>NC_000012.12:93085128-93710128 GCF_000001405.40 Homo sapiens
AAAAAAAAAAAAGAAAAAAATTTTGAAAGACTACATTTTAAAAAAATGAGCTATTATTGTTATTCTTTATATTATTTTTCATTGGCATTTTTATTTAGATGTAATAATGTTGATGCTAATACCGCGTCAGTAACAAACTTTACTAGCTGTAGTGAGTTGAACTGTGGCTCCCAAAAGTTATGTCCACCTGAAACCTCAGAATGTGATCTTATTTGAATACAAGTCTTTGTAGATGTAATTAAGATAAGGGTCTCAAGATGAGATCATCCTGGATTGAGCTGGGACTTTAATCCAGTGAGAAATGTCCTTCCAAGAAAGAGAAAAGAAGACACAGAGACAAAAAGAGAAAGCCATGTGAAGACCAGGGCAGAGGCTGGAGTTATAAAGTCCCAAACCACAGAATGCCAAGGATTGCTGGGAGCCACCAGAATCCAGGAGAGAGGCATGGGATGGATTCTCCCTCAGAACCTTCAGCGGGAACGTGGCCCTGGCAAGACCTTGATTTTGAATTTGTGGCCTTCAGAACTTAGAGAGAATAAATTTCTGTTGTGTTAAGCCACCAACTTTGAGGTAATTTGTTAACAGCAGCTCTAGGAAACTAATATACCAGCTGAATAATATACTGATAGTTTAAAGGTCACACCAATTATAGATTTGGTTTTCCTGGCCCTTGCCTGACCTATGTCTTTCACTTAGAGAATGTTGGTAAGAGTTTATTCTGAAGCAGTAGTATTGGATTCCCACAGACAAACATACGAGGTCACATGGCAGCTGCTTTACACAGGACTGTCAACTGGGCCATTGCTATGGTTAGAATGTTTGTGTTCCCTACAAAGTTCACATTGGGATTCAATCCCCAGTGCAGGTTTATTAAGAGGCAGGACTTTTAGGAGGTAATTAGGTTATGAAGGCTCTGCCCTCATGAATGGAATTAATGCTCTTATACAAGGGCTTGAGAGCCTGTGCAATATAGGGGGACCCCATCTCTACAAAATATTTAAAAATTAGCCAGGCATGGTGGTGCACACCTATAGTCCCAGCTACTCTGGAGGCTGAATTAGGAGGATCACTTGTGCCTGGGAGGTTGAGGCTGCAGTGAAATGTGATCATGCCACTGCACTGCAGCCTGAGTGACAAAGTAATACCCTGTTTGAAAACGAAATAAAATAAATAAAAGGGCTTAACAGAGTTCATTTGGCCCTTTTTGCCCTTCCACCATGTGAGGACACCACAAGAAACCCCCCATGAGGAATAGGCCTTCACCAGACTCAGCTGCTGGTTTATTGCTCTTGGACTTCCCAGCCTCTAGAACAGTAAGAAAGAAAGTCTGTTCTTAATATATTATTCAATCTAAGATGTTTTGTTATAGCAGCAAGAACAGACTAAGACAACTATTGCTTGGATTTTCTTTTACTCCTCAAAAGCCAAATATGTCCATGGTTGAAACCAAAGAAACTGGATTTTCATTCCAACTGAACGACCACAGTAGCAGAGCGATCAGGAACATGGGATGGGGTCAGGTAGTTCTGGATTGGAATCCCGGCTCCAACCCTTAACTGAGGGAGTGAACTTGGACAAATACCTGAAACTCTGGGCCTCTCTTTGCTCATTTGTAAAACAAGAATTGTTAAACTCCCTCAAATGCTGTCAGACAATTTAATAAGGAAAACACCATCTTGACAAAGTCTTAGTGGTACCTCAGAAAAAAGAAGTCAGGGATGGATATTTATACAGTTTTGAGATCTTGGTTCAAGTAACCTCAAGAGTCTTTAAAGAAGGGAACTGAAGGTCAGGCGTGGTGGTTCATGCCTGTAATCCCAGCACTTTGGGAGGCCAAGGCAGGCAGATCAACTGAGGTCGGAAGTTCAAGACCAGCCTAACCAACATAGAGAAACCCCATCACTACTAAAAATACAAAGTTAGCTGGGCGTGATGGTGCATGCCTGTAATCCCAGCACTTTGGGAGGCCAAGGCAGGCAAATCAACTGAGGTCGGAAGTTCGAGACCAACCTGACCAACATAGAGAAACCCCATCACTACTAAAAATACAAAATTAGCCCGGTGTGGTGGTGCATGCCTGTAATCCCAGCTACTCGGGAGGCTGAGGCAGGAGAATTGCTTGAACCTGGGAGGCAGAGGTTGCAGTGAGCCGAGATCGCGCCGTTGTACTCCAGCCTGGGCAACAAGAGCGAAATTCTATCTCAAAAAAAATAAATAAATAAAAGGGAACTGACTGGAATTGGGCTAAGATCATGATGTAACCTTAGCCCAAGGTGGACGAAGGGAGGATCTTAAAGCAAGTGTTGATGAGTAAACTATGGCTTGATGAGAGTGAGCAATTTGCCCAAGGGAGCAGATTGTTATCTCAGATAAGCTGATCAGCAGGAATTTCCTAATGCAAACAGAGAAGTTATTTGTTGGCTTACAGTCTTATCTATTCTATGAAAAGTTTTCAGAACAAGTAACTTAAGTTATATTGACACAGGTGGTCTGAGTTCTAAGTCCAAATAGCAATGTCATGTTGATGGCAGTTGTCACAGTTCTCAAGAGAATGATATCTACTTTCTGTGGCTGTTGTCAGGAGTAAATGACATCATGGTTCTATAGTATCTGCCACACAGCAGGGACTAAATAAGATATTATTATTATCCATTTTAATTTATTTTGAAAGACCAAACAGATGTAATAGGAAATTTTTATATCTCTCAAATTTTTATTGCTTTTCATAAATAATAAGCAAAGTAAATGGCTTGCGGCTTTCCTGGAGTTTAGGAACTACTAAGTTACTAAGGTTATAGTAGAATTTGCACTTACTGAAAGAAAAAAAAAGGGGACAAAAGGAAAAAAAACATTGAGAGCTCTTTTTCTTTGCCATGATGCTAGTTGTCGGCATATTTGCATTCCCCAAGGACTTGGGAGTAATTAGCTCTGCATAAGCTGCACATCTTCAGGAAGAAAACAACTTTTATAAATGCAGAGAGGTTTCATGAAATGGTGTGTCATATGGAAATGCAATAATTTCTGGAGACTAGGAGTCTTTATTCATTCCCTCTGCATATTCTCAATTGAATTAGTAAAATTTTCTTATAAGAGAATGCTACATCTCTTCAGTCTCTGAACATACAAAGCCCAGAGGAACTTCTTGAGTGTTTGTATATTTGAGTGTTTGACTTCAGAATCTCTAGACGGTGGTTGAGTCTTATCCTCAGGAACAGAAAGCAACATGGTCAGATGCCTGTTTGACTCCAAGGGCAGTGCTCATTCAATGCCCCCACCCCAGCTTTCTCCACTGAACCTCGCAGCAGCATTCTAAAGACTGCAGGAGGGACTGCCCTGGTTTTGCCCCCTTCACTCCAGGGAGTCTGAACCTGCTTCACTCAACTTTCCCATCTCTAAAAGAGAGACAAAAAGTGCAGCACTCTTAATGTTTTGATGCGTCATTAAAACAAATAAAATAATCCAAACGATGTAGAAGAAAATTGTTTTACTGACAAATAATAATTATACATATTTATGGGGTACAATGTAACATTTTGATACACCAAGGGATGATTAAATCAAGCTAATTAACATATCCAGCACCTCACCTACTTACCTTTTTTTTCCTAGTGAGAATATTTAAAATCTACTCTTAGCAATTTTGAAATATGTAGTAAGTTATTATTAACTATGGTCACCATGCTGCGCACTAACATTTATTCCTCCTGTCTAACTCAAACTTTGTACCCTTTGACCAACATCTCCTCTTTCCCTGTCCCACCCCGTACCCCCATCCTTGAGTAATCATCATTCTATTCTCTACTTCTGTAAGTTCCACTTTTTTAGATTCCACAGGTAAGTGAAATCATGGAGTATTTGTCTTTCTGTGCTTGGTTTATTTCACTAAACATAATGTCCTCCAGGCTTATCTATGATGTTGCAAATGACAGAATTTCTTTCTTTTTAAAGGGTGTCTAGTATTGTGTAGCCAATTCTTCATAATCCCAAGATATCATTACTATGTGATAATAAAGGCAAGCGTATGAAGTAAAAGAAACTGTAGTAGGTCAAACTAATAAGAAAAATGCTGATCTGAATGTCTATACAATGCATAGATTGTGTTTTTAAAAATGCAACAGTATATAATTTCCGGACCTGCTATAGTCTTGGGAACTAAGCAGTATAAAACTTGGCTAGTGACTAGATAAAATGATGATGTATAACAGACATTAGTTACTTATATGCTTAATTAATCTGAACATTTACCCTACACTCTTATTGGCGTTATTAATTTGTTCAATTTGTTAAAAGAGTTTCCTAAGAAAATGTGGCTTTATTTCAGTACCTATTTTGAATCCCAAATATTTTTTATATTCTGGCTTGATAACTGAGTGACTAAGAGGTTTCAGGGCCTTGCTACTTGGGTTTGTATACAGGCCTACCATTTTCTGGCTATGTTTTCTTAGATTACTTCACCTCTCTGTAACTTAGTTTCCTCAATGATAAAATAAAAATAATAATCATGGTCACCTCATAGGGTAGTTAGGAGGATTGAATGTGTTAGTTCTTATAAAGTGATTAAAGAACCAAATGCATAGTATGTTAGTTCTTGTTTATTTTTCTTGAAGTTAACTGTAGGAATTTTACCACTTACAATTTACAGTGGCATTGCTCTATGGGAATAATACTACGTGGGAGGATTCTACCGTGGTTTTTGATATAGTTTGGATGCTGTCCTCCTCCAAATCTCATGTGGAAATGTAATCTCCAGTGTTGAAGGTGGGGCCTCGTGGGAGGTGATTGGATCATGGGGAGTCTTTCCCCCTTGGTACTGTCCTCACCACAGTGAGTGAGGTCCTGTGAGATCTCATTGTTTAAAAGTGTGTGGCACTCCCCCAACTCCTGCTCCTGCTTCCGCCATGTGAAATGCCTCACTTCCCCTTTGCCTTCCACCATGATTGGAAGATTCCTGAGGCCTCCCCAGAAGCAAAAGCTGCTATGCTTCATGTACAACCTGCAGAGCCATGAGCCAATTAAACCTCTTTTCTTTATAAATTACCCAGTCTTAGGTATTTTTTTATAGCAGTGAATGGATTAACACATTTTATTTCAAATTTATATCCTGTATAGCCTTGCATTATGAAAAGAGCACAGAACAGGAAGTTAGGACATCTTGCTTTGAGGTCTAGAACAGCCATCAACTATATGATCTTGGGTGAGTCACTTCACCTCTCTGAACCTGTTTCCTCAAGAAAAATAAGCAGAGTAGGCTGCCTGCGTGATCTCAAGACAACACACTGTGCTAGAATGAGTCTTACAGCAAGAGTTCAAAGTTCAAATTCTAATTCTAGAACTCGTTGAGTGTAAAATTCACAGCAAGTCATAGAACCTCTTGGAACCCCAGTTTCCACATCTGGAAGAAGGGGCAGAATAGTATCAAAAATGCTTCACTCCCAGGAATGTGGTGAGCATAAAATTAAATAATGAAAAAGTCAACTATAAAGCACTAAATAAATATAAGGTAAAACTATTAATAAAATCTCATTTAGTTTAATATTTCTGCTAAATCTTTTTATTTTCCTATAATCTTTTCCAAGTATTTGTTCTTCTGCAGGTAGAATTCTGTGGGTTGAAACCAGACTATAAAAATCTGTGTGTTTTTTTTTTTTTTTGTCACTCAGACTATCTGCTATGAAGAATGTTTTCCCTTAGTTAAGGTAACAGCTATAAATGTTCAGTTTGCCCCTGAGTCATTATCTGAGTCATGATTCTGTATGAGTCAAGAAATCTAAGAAATATAGAAATTATCTATTTATCCCCTTTCTTTTCTTTGTATAAATATCTCTAGATATAACCAATAAATAACTTGCCTCTATCTTGGGTTTCTTAATATTTTAAAGAGACTGTTGTAGAGGAATAGGGTAATGGGAGATTATCTTCATCAAGAAAGAGCCTGTGCATATAACCTGTACACACACACACACACACACACTCACACACACACACACAAAATCAACAAAACCCTATGCTCCAGCCAGAAAAACACCTTCTTGCCACTAGGCCCCTATTAGTGCTGGTCCCTCCACCTGGAATTCCTGTTCCTCTGATTTCTAA
Organism: Homo sapiens; assembly: GCF_000001405.40. Classification (NCBI taxonomy): domain Eukaryota; kingdom Metazoa; phylum Chordata; class Mammalia; order Primates; family Hominidae; genus Homo; species Homo sapiens. Next base: position 93,091,222 of record NC_000012.12, read on the forward strand.
CTGTTCAATTATACCTAGAATTCAGGGTTTTGTTATAATCTCAAACTTTCAGTGAGATGGATTGAGTGGTTCTTTGCCCAGTGAAAAATCTTTAAGGCCAATATTCCTTTTTTTGCAGATGGTGAATCTGACAGAGGAAGAATTAAATGACTTGTTCAAGGTCACCTTTGAGGAATTTGCAGGAAGTTTAACTTATGTATATTTTTCCCCTGTAGTACCCCAGGTATATCTTTTCAAATCATCCTCGTCTGAACCAATTTATGCTCCCCTTACCCATCAGGTTCTCCTGTAACACATATATAATACCACATGTTGCCTTGCACTATAGTTGCTTGTGAATAGATACCTCCCTTCCCAGAGAGTAGGTCCCACAGAAGAGTAACTATCTTATTCTCCAAATCCTTTAGAGCTTTTAGCACTGAGTACATACCCAGGTATCACAAATTTTGTATTTGTTGAATTGGAGTGGAACATCTCAAGGATATTTTTCTATTGCCTTTCTATGAATAAGCTCAGTTTTGCATGAGTCCACTTTGATTCTCACCTAAATAAGATCATGTAGAAACACCAAAAGCACCAGTGTAGATGCAAGAGATGGTGAAGACCTGAGGCCTTCACTGCTGCCTCCTGCCAGCCCTGCAGTTCTCAAAGAACAAGGGTCGTTGGGCAATCCTTCCAGACAGCTTCTGGGAGTGACCCGTCCTTGACACATTGAGTTAGCTGTGCTCTGAAGGCCCAAAGCGATTCGAAGCATGATTTTAATGACTGTCATTACTTCTGCCATTACTACCACCCAATAAAAACCATCATCAGCTTGATGTGATTATCCCTCGGTTGTGCAGTGCCTCTGGACTCCAGCAAGCAACAGAGCATATGGTCTTTGCCAATAGCATTATTCATCAATGGAGGATAAAATTCACAGTAGCACCCAGCTTGTCACAGTGGGGAATGGCTTTGGGCAAGTCACAGCTTCAGCTCAGCTTAGCTCTTTCCAAGATGTGGGCTCTTATTCACAATGCCCTTCATAAAAGTGAAAATGAAACACATGCTGAATGGGATTTTTAGAACAATAAGAACCCTATAATTAGGAAGCAATAGCTAAAATTATATTATCCCTGAGAGCAAAGCATAGTAACAAGTTAATGCAATTACTAATCCAGCTTTTTCCGAGGTAGAAGCAAACCATGCAATTATATCCTTAGTCTATATTTTTTCAGGGGCCTAATGACAGGAAAACAAATGAAGTGGATCCCCATCTTCCACCCTTGCCTCCGCTAAGCCATCAGAGGACAAGTTTCCCACCCCACTCTCTCCAATTTCACTTGAAAAATAAAACAGGCCTCCAGCTGTGAAATGGATTATGCTCTACAACTATGTACCTGGAATAGAAGCCATCATTCTTCATGAAGTTTGCTGAGAATTATGTATCGCAGCCTGGCAGCTTCCTGTTCCCTCGTTAGCCTGCATATCCCACTTAACGAAAGATTCGCCATGCACTGACTTGTATGTGACTCACAGTGTGCACAGTATGCACTGACTGTGACCTGTCCCCAAATGAACACAGTACCAGTCTAACGTACCACCTTACCTATGGCTCTCTCCCATACACACCCAATCCACTGCAGGCAAATGATCTACCCACAATCTCCCAAACACAGTCTTCACTGTCTGGTCACTGCTCCTTTACACGTGGCATTCACTCTGCTTGCAGAGGCATTTTAGAGTGGATATCTAAAGAAGGAGATTTCTCCCAAGCATGCACATAGGAGGGCACTGGTCTGATGCTCTGATTGACAGTTCACTACTGCAAAGAGGACAGATGAGAAAGCAGCTCAGCTCTTTGATGCTAAGGAAAAAACACAGAACCTCACTTATCTATATGTAATCACAAACTTTAGTATCCATCAGTACCAAGCCAAAATAGTTCCTGTTTGGACATACATTATTAGAAATTAACAACAAAATTTAGTAAATGGTTGGCCAGTTCTGAACGCAGAATAGCCACCTCTGAGTGAGCATTTTGATCAATCTAACTCACACATTTCTGGTTCAACAAAGTTATTAGATGAGAAGACCCAAAACGGTGTGTAAATGGGACACAGATTTATAAACAGTTAATTTATAATCATATATGGCAAATTAACCTGTATGTCACTAATGTGCCACCAATCATAAGACATGCCATCATTTAATCTGTCATGAAGAAGTGAAAAACTCAATTAAACGGTGACATCATGCTTCCTGATTAGAAATGTTCATTTTTTTGTTATGCTAAATTTACATAAATACATATTTATTTAAACAACACGGGGCCACAATATGAACATCTATGCCCAAGTTTCTGCATGCCCAGCAATGACTGCCACCCTGACAATGGTGACTGATATCATCAAGTGTAACATGCATCCTGATTCAAGTTGTTCAACTGTGACACAACGGGTACCTTAGCACTGATGAAATATGGTACCCGCCTGCGTCACATGAGCTTCTCATGATCCAGCAGCCTCTCCTCACCTGACACTGGCTCTAGTCCCCAGTAATGACTCTGATCCTGTTTGTCCTAGGAGTCTTCTCTTCCTTTGTTTCCCACTTCCCTCACTGGGCTACTCAGTAACCAGTTAGCTGTTAAGGCGCAAGCCTTTTTTTATTTTAATTTTTATTTTTTCCAAAACTCCTCAACAATTGCAATTGCCACTTTGTTTCTACTATTATTGCCCTTGACTTATTTCTTTATTTATTTAAGTTTCTTTTGTTTTTAAACAAGAAGGCTGGGTACAGTGGCTCGTGCAGATAATCCCAGCAATTTGGGAGGCCGAGGCAGGTGGCTCACTGGAGGTCCTGAGTTCAAGACCAGCCTGGCCAACATGGCAAAACCCTGTCTCTACTAAAAATACAAAAATTACCTAGAGGTGGTGGCACACGCCTGTAATCCCAGCTACTCACATGGCTGAGGCAGGAGAATTGCTTGAACCTGGGCAGCAGAGGTTGCAGTGAACCAAGATCGTGCCACTGTACTCCAGCCTGGGCAACAGAGCGAGACCCTGTCCAAAAAAAAAAAAAAAATCTCAAGGCTGGGCATGGTGGCTCACGCCTATAATCCCAGTACTTTGGGAGTCACAGTACTCAGGATCATCTGAGGTCAGGAGTTGAATACCAGCCTGGCCAACGTGATGAAACCTCGTCTCTACTAAAAATACAAAAATCAGCCGTGCATGGTGGCATATGCCTGTAATCCCAGCTACTTGGGAGGCTGACACAGGAGAATTGCTTCAACCTGGGAGACGGAAGTTGCAGTGAGCCGAGATTACGCCACTGCACTCCAGCCTGAGCAACAAAGTGAGACTCCATCTGAAAAAAAAAAAAAAAAAAAAAACCAAGAGAATCTTCCATCATCAATTGAAAAACAGTAACTGCCCTTATTCTCACCCAGGAGGAGAGAATGAAAAAATGTTATCATTTTAATATCTTTATAATTTTAGTACCATGTACATAACATGAAGTTTACCATTTAATCATTTTTATTACAACAAAATATTTTTTAATTTTTCTGCTATTGTTGTCATATACTTTACTTCCGTGCATGTTATAAACACCATGATACATTGCTATAATTTTTCCCCAAGAGGCTTTCAGAGGTCTGCAATGAGTTAGGGTTGAAAAAACAGTGATCCAATGTGCTAGTTCAAAGACTGCCTCTCCTTGGCTTCCAGGAAGCCTTCTAAACCTACCTTTTCTATTAGCCTACCTTTTTTTTTTCTTTCCAATCTTTTAAAATTCTATTACAGATGTACAGCAAGATCAAAGGGAACACCTTGTCCCTGGGGCTTTAGCTACTGGCTGGAAGAGAAGCATAGAAATGTCTTTAACTCTTTCCAGTGGATATCACTAAGGTTATCCAATCATCCCATGACCACTCGGCCAGAGGGGGTGAGATCACCCCACCACATCCTTTACATGCACACACACACACAAACACACACACACACACAAACACACACACACCTTTCAGGCTTACTGTTGCCTTTTTATTTACTTTGCTTCACCTTGGAAGAGACTGTTAATGCTCATGCTAACCTGATTTCACCTGTATAAAAATGTCCAGGGACATGTGGGCATTCTGTGATTTGTCCTGGTTCTAAATATCCCTGAGGGTGGTCCTGACCCACATAAAAACAAGTCTGCTTCAGAGCCAGCTTCAAAGCCTACCTCTCTGATCCCCAAACCTCAGGTGATCGCACTGTCCTCTGGCCAGTGATGGTTCTTAGAGTCTGTACTTCCTATTTGATATTTATACGCAATGGCGTGCTGGTAAATGTTTAGCACCTGGCTCTGGGGGTGGAGAGGTAGGAGTCTGGGTTCGGCGGGTTTATAGATTCAATTTCTGTGGTGTAAACACTCCCACCATGGCTATTTCAAGCCACCAGTATGATGTCACTGACCACAGTCAGGAAGAGACGCAGAGTGGCATATTGTTATGTAGTATTTCTACCACACAGATATAATACACATAAATAACTTCAAGATCAGAGATAATACTGAAAGGTAATAAAACAATTAGTAATGAGTTTTGACTATTTATTATCTTTGTTATTAGTATACTTTATTTAATTATAACTTTATATAATTTAATTTCTAATAATGGCTGTGTTTAATAACCAGCTCACAAAACTGGAAAACTTAGCAATTGGCTTTTGCAAGCCAGTAGGAGCAGCTCCAGCCCACAAAAGTAATAAAGTATATGCTATCTTGTATTATTATTTTAAATCTTTTATGTCCCCAACTAAATTATATACTTCAGATTATGAAGTTATTTGTCTTAAATACTTCTTTTTATTTACCATGCTGCTAAACACAAATAGGTAATTAACTTCTTTTTTTTTTTTTTTTTTTGAGATGGAGTCTCACTCTGTCGCCCAGGCTGGAGTGCAGTGGCACCATCTCGGCTCACTGCAACTTCCGCCTCCCAGGTTCAAGAGATCCTCCTGCCTCAGCCCCACTAGTAGCTGGGATTACAGGTACGTGCCACCATGCCTGGCTAATTTTTGTAGTTTTAATAGAGATGGGGTTTCACCATGTTGGCCAAGCTGGTCTTGAACTCCTGACCTCAGGTGATCCACCTGCCTCGGCCTCCCAAAGTGTTGGGATTACAGGCGTGAGCCACTGAGCCCAGCTGGTAATTAACTTCTAACATTAATAACGTTTACTCATTGTAAATGTTTTTGAGAGGCCACTAAAATTCACCAATAACAAAATTTAGACTGGGCCCCAAATCTGACCCTTCCTGAATCATATCTTTAACCTAGAAAGTTTATGCACTAAAAAAATTTATCAAAAAAGATATATTGGCTGAGTGAGGTGGCTCACCCCTCTAATCCCAGCACTTTGGGAGGCCGAGGCTAGTGGATTGCTTGAGCCTAGGAGTTTGTGACCAGCCTAGGCAACATGGCAAAACCCTGTCTCTACTAAAAATAAATGAAAAAAAAAAAAAAAGATGTATTACTGACAGTGTAATTGAATCATTTCTGCTACCAGCTATAAGATTGCCTACCATTAAGAGCAGCGGTGACCAGCTTTGTTATCAATGCTGTTAGGAACATTGATTAACTTTCAACCCCAACAAGCAAGCAAGCCAACTCCTATGACTGCTGAAGTGAGCGCTCTAAAAGAGAGAGTATTCTTGGAGGAGGGAGCCCCGTGGTGGGTAAACAAACTGAGAAACTTAGCTAACCAAACTTGCAAGAATGATCAGTCTCTTTATAATTTACGGTTACCAAGAATTGGCATGTAACCCAAAATGTCAACTTATTATCAAGGAGATACTATCATTATCCTACTGATGGAATATCTTCCCAGTAACAATGATATTGGTATTCATTAACCAGGATTCTTCCTTCCCAGAAACAAGGAATCAGATTAGCAATGAGAAGGATATTTGTTGTGTATCAACATGGAGAATTTAAAGGTCTTGAAGCATATATCCTCTAGATATGAAAAATCCAAACGAACTATCTCTCTTCCACAGTGGAGTGTATCTATTTGGTGCAAAAGTAATTGCAGTTTTTGCCATTAAAAGCAATGGCAAAAACAGCAATTACTTTTGCACCAGCCTAGTATCTAATCCCCAGACTATTAATATCTACCAAAGTGTGTCTGTCATCTATGAAAATTACTGGTAAAGTCTGTGAAAATTTTCACTGAAGGTCAGCAAAGGCACTATTATCTCATGCTGGAGAAGTTACAAGTGAATACTAGTACTAGTAACTAGTATTCATTAATACTAGTTAGCTTTGTACACTACAGTTCCATGGCAGAGACAGCTTACTGAAAATATGCCCCAGTTCAGGGTTGGCAAATACATAGCACATGTGCTGTCCCCATCCCTTCCCATACTCTTGGCAGACATCACTAATTGATCACTACACTCTTCCTTCATTGAGTCTTACAGTTCTTCCCAACACAGCTCTATATGCAGCACTACCAATCCTGGCCCTGAGCTCCAGAAGAAGAATTAGGAAGCAAGGCATGTGCAGGTTTCTCACAGGGAGGTTAAGGACTACATGGAACTAAGTGCATTATTTCAAGTTCATTTTGATAGCTTGCTGTTAGAAGGTTAATGTTGTTGCCTGCTGCTCCTTACTGTAAACCCCTAGGTCCTGACTACCGAGGGGATATCAAGGGCTCTATGTTGGCTTTGGTTTTTCTCCTCTCCAGTGTTACAATATGGAGATGCCTACGTCTTACTTACACAGAACGAATTGTTCACCATCATTTTGTCAGTGAATGTATGTTTTAGAAGTCAGTTACTATGGGTGCAGCACACCAGCATGGCACATGTATACATATGTAACTAACCTGCACATTGTGCACATGTACCCTAAAACTTAAAGTATAATAATAATAATTAAAAAAAAAAAAAATAAAATAAAAAGAAGTCAGTTACATATTTAAGCTTCCCTTGGCTCTTTGCCACTTCCACTAGAGGGCGCCACTGAAAAGGAAAGGAGGTAAAACTAAAGGGAAGCCATTTTTCTCCTTAGTGCCTTTCTGTTGCCTCTGCTCAGCCTTACCATCCAGAAGAGGAAGTCCTCAACCAGTCTGCACAGCCTCTGGTGTACCACGGACATAGCACTCTCCACACAAACAGAAACATCTCTTGCTATACTTGCCCTTCTCCTCTGATCCCAAACACCCTTCATTCATCTCAATCACTTTCCCATGGACTTGTTTTCCTTCTTTCATTAGAACCAGAGCTCCATGAGGGCAAAGCTGGTCTTTGTCTTCCCATACCATTATGGTGCCTGGCACAGAGTAGGTCTTCCATACACAGTTGTGTGTTACAAACCTCATGTGCTGAAAAATCACAAGCCTCTTATTCAAGGTGACAGAAATGGAAACCACACCACCTTATTAAGTCGTAGCAAATTTTCCACAACTTCATAAGCATGTGCTTGGACCCTGCTTTCTAATTCTTCAAACCAGGAAATAACTCCCACATGGGCACTAGTGTTCTGCTCTTCTACACAGTGGAATTAAGCTTCTTAACTCCGCATCTATAAGGTTTGATACAAAAGGAAACTCTATTGTCATTTAACCTGACGTTCTAGCAGTTTTCCTTGAAGTTCTCACAGGAGAACTTTGGGGACAATCCTCTCATCAAAATGATTTCTAGCTGCTACCCTTCTCCCACCTTGAAATTCTTAAAGTTTCTTGCCCCCTTGTTGACTTTAATTATGTTCTTCCAATAGCCTTGTAAAATTGAGCAAGTTCCCGACAGCATTTTGAAAGGCCCTGTGAGCTCCCTGGTCAGCATTTTCAATCTCTAATTATAAATCTGCCTGATGGCTTTCACTTAATACTTCTAAGGTGGGGCTGAGGGTAATTGATGGTTTTGAAGCTAGCTCTTTAATAGCAGCCGTCAATGTATCAAGGCTTAATTTCTTTCATGATCTCAGAGAAGTTGCTGCAAGTGGTGAGGAACTTATGTTATCATCCATCCTAGGAAAACAGAGAGATTTTATTAGAGTGTAGTGAAATATTTATAAGAACATTAGAGCTTGTGGGACTCAAGAACTGACTTCACCTCAAACTTTCATTTGCATACTTGCTTCCAGGGAAATCTATTATGGGATGGCCTGGATATATCACTTTAAAAATCCTGCTTTTAATGAACAAATGAGAAAAGGTGAGTAGTTTTCTCTAGAAAGAACATTTTTCTCACCCACTGTCTTCCCGGAAAGATAAAAATATGCTCAAAATATAGCATAGAAATAAAGGGACTATTTTGAAACAGAGACGAAAACATTTTAACTCAAGAAAGAAACGTCAGTGATGATGGAGGATTTCCTTAACAAGAAGAAGAGGCTTCACTGTTTGTTCACAAAGAAACTCGGTCTCTCAGTCTTTAGTTGTGACTTTCTGTTTTACCGAACTATTATTTTAATTGTGGCTTCTCTGTGTTCTCGTTGCCTTCCCGTAACATTTCCATGTTACTTTGTTGGTACTCATTGTCCTTCTGACAAGCCATGTCAGTCTCTTCCACACTGCCTCTTCCATCAAATGTATACTACAGTACCTTCATTAGCCCATTATAGATGCTATGTTTATTCATTCATTCAACAAACATGTCTTGTGGGTCTACTATTGGCCAGATGTTATGAATACGAACACAGAAAGCAGTCCACACTCTCAAGGAACTTGCAGTTCAGTGAGAACTTGACTGGTTAGAAACCACCTGGCAATGTTACAAACTATATTACATTTTCAAGCTATATTCAAGTTATCAGAGACTGTCATCACTCCTCCAAGCTAGAGATTCTGATTAGCTGACACATTTGCAACACTGATCTAGTGAACAAGATGTAACTATGATTCCTTGACCTGAATTTAGAGGCCTTTAGTACAAAAACAGTGCTGGGAGAGAAAGCTGAGGGAAGACTGGTAGAAGTCTGGAACTTCAGCAAAGAACAGATAAATTCATAGAAAGACAGATCTGCTTTCCTCTAGTTCAGCGGTTCTAGGGTAAGACTTTGTGCAACTGGGAATTAGAATTTTCTGGCAGCAAAGCTGTATCAGCCCTTTACAGGTTTACCTGGAATAATTCACACTCCCTTCCTTAACGTTCTACCTGGCCAAACTATCCAGGCCTAGCATAAACCTCAGAGCCCACAGTGAGAATCATAGTCACCTAGTTGCTCTGACCTACTGCAATAAGAAACCAATGTTTTGTTTTGTTTTGTTTTGTTTTTATGAAGTAAATGATGTTTAATGCCAAAAAGCACACTCGCTTTGGGTAGCTCAAGAGGTGTAAATTCAGACAGAAGCCTACCTCCAAAGTACAGAGCAGAAAAAAGCATTCCCAAAAATGCATTCTGGATTTTACCTCTCCCTCAAGCCCATGCTTAAAGTCAGCATCTGTGTAATGCTAATGATTAGTAAATCAAAAGGCATTTATTTAATGGAGCCGCTTCAGTATGCTGCAGTAAGTTGCCTTCTGCCATATGGCTTTGGGTATGAAATGATTAAACTATAATATCTGGAGCCTCTGTTGCTGGCTATTTAACGGTGTTATGCATCATGAGCTCCGAGATGGCTGCAAATCTGTTTTCAGTTTGCATTCCCAGCAAAAAAGGACTCCTGGCCCAGAGGGATTTAAATCCTCCTCCACTAATCACTAGGGCATACAGAATCACACTGATCCTGCATATAGTTAGTAGCTACAGACAACCCAATCCTAACTCAGGAAAGAGACAGGGACCTTCATTAGGCAGCCATTTCCGGGGTTTAAAAACAAAGAAAATGATAATCTGTAATGGCTAAGAAAGCAAGAAGAAGGGAAGGAAGGCCCAGCACAGAGCCCTTGAGATGAGGACAATTTGGGGCACAGTAAAAAGGCTGCAAACTGGACCTTCTCAAACACTAGTCCATTGGCTGATCATAATCGCTACCTGGCATGGATAGCATCTTCTCTGCCAGGCACTCTGCTAAGCACTTTAACACATGCTACCTAGGGTGGGTGTGGTGGCTCATGCCTGTAATCCCTGCACTTTGGGAGGCTGAGGCAGGAGGATCACTTGAGCCCAGGAATTTGAGACAAGCCTGGGTAACATAGTGAGAACCCATCTCCACAAAAAATAAAAAACAAAAATTAGCAGGGCATCATGGTGCCTACCTACTTAAGAGGCTGAAGTGGGAGGATTGCTTGAGCCTAGGAGGTTGAGGCTGCAGTAAGCTGAGATCGCACCACTGCACTCTGGCCTGGATGACAGAGCAAGACCTTATCTCAAAAACAAAACAATACGAAACAAAAACATATCTCACCTCTCTTAATATTCACAACATCCTCTATCTAGTAGGTACTACTATTGTTCCCATTTTACTGATGACAAAACAGAGGCTCAGAGGACTTAAGCAAGTTGACCGAGGTCACAGCTGGTTAGTGGTGGAGCTGAAGTTCAAATTCAAGTCGGCTAGACTGCAGGGCCAAAATTCTCTAACTACAGTCCTAGTTGAGCATCACCACTAGTTCCTTAGGTAAGAAACACTGATGGTGAATACCACCATCAGGGGATTTTTAGTTTCTTGCTTCTAAATATGATCAGTAAACTATGTATGATCCTCATTGCAATGGGTGGACTTAGTCTTTTTTTTTTTTTTTTGAGACAGAGTCTCGCTCTGTCGCCAGGCTGGAGTGCAGTAGTGCGATCTTGGGTCACTGTAACCTCTGCCTCCCAGGTTCAAGCGATTCCCCTGCCTCAGCCTCCCAAGTAGCTGGAACTACAGGCGGCATGCCACCATGCCTGCCTGGCTAATTTTTTTTTTTTGTATTTTAGTAGAGACAGGGTTTCACCATGTTGGCCAGGATGGTCTTGATCTCCTGACCTTGTGAGCCGCCCACCTTGGCCTCCCAAAGTGCTGAGATTACAGGCATGAGCCACCGCGCCCGGCTGACTTAGTCGTTTTCAACAAATCCTTTTGTTGGCTTCATAAAATCCAAAGTTGAGAAACCATTTCAAGTGCTGTTATATACAGGCACCTGATCCAGCAAACCATGCCTAGTATTTAAATGATCCCAGAACTTAGAAAGGGCAAAAATAGATAGTTATTTCCTGTTCAGAATTCTGCCTCGATATGGCTCATGCCATTTTATGTGCTATCCATTATAGTATTGTAAGTGTTACTAGGAATATAACCCAGTTCCTGTCCCCAAGAATGTTGCCTTTCTACTGGAGAGACTGGAAACAAAGAGGTCAGTTATACTTCAAAGTATAAGCAATTTAATTCCTCAGTGGAATTAAAGTACCATAGACATGGAGAGAATCAAAAGAGTTCAAAAGAAAGCCTTGGCTACTTTGCTATGTGCAAGAGCAACTACCAGAGTAAAATCAGAAAAGAAACTCTTGTTCATCTATTCAACTCAGCATGAATAAATCACTTAAAATCATAATTGTTCTGGAACTTTGGGTGGCTATGGGCAAAAAGTCCTATAGAGAATTTAATAAAACTGTAGGCTTTGTATCAATCAATTCCTTTGGAAATTTTTAGCATAACTCAGGAGTTGGAAACTTCCTTCTTACAAAAGACAGAGGCACTGTCTCACCCTCAGCCAATAGCCTCCTCCCTCATGGGTCCTGCTTCATTAACTTTTAACTGGTGCTTTTACTATTCAGTTTGTACTTTTAAACTTTTAAAGCTTTTATCAGATGTCCTTTGAAACCAAAGCATACCATTAAAACACACACATTTCCAACGTGACCAGATTTTTTTAAAAAGACCTATTCACAAAGACCTTGAGAGGACAAAGAATGTATTTAATGATACCAACTAGCATGGCGCCAGTAATGAATGGTTCTGTTCTGCCAATAATACCCAAAACTAAGGCAATGATTTTTTTGTAAGCCTTGTTTTGCTTTAGAAATTTACAGTAATATACTTTCCCATATATTATCTTATTTCATCCTTCTGTCAACCATAGCGCCAAGCAGAGTTGGTTTTATTATCCCCATTTTAAAATAAGGAAACTATGGTTCAGAGCATTTAAATAACAGAGCCAGGCTTACACATGCAGTAAGCAACAGAGTCAGCGCCAGAATTCCAGCTCTCTGGTTTCCAGCCCATTGCCATTTCAAGTCAGCTATTTATATCAAACAATATAACTTCTATTCTTATGTGATCTCTGCAAGGAAAGGTTGCAAGTCCTATTTGTCTTTGGATCCCTGGCACCTGACTTGGGACAAGTCAGAGTTTATGGTGGACCAGAAATAAAAACACTTTGTTCTAGTGTCTATGCTTTTCAGTCACTGTTACCAGTTACGAGGGTTAGGCTAACACTAAGAAGGCCAAAGTTTCAGGTTTTAAATATGCATGGGACAGTGAGTTTTCTGGTATTCCATGGCCACACAATCTTGCTAACCTATCCCAAAAGGGACCTGGCAGGTTAATGGATAGATTGGTCCAATGTACTCCCCTAATCCATCGTCCATGCTTGAAATCAGGGACTGTCACTCTCACAACTAACTTCTCAGGAAACATCCTTGCCTGTAGTCTCTCCCAGGAGGATTCTGAGGCAGGGCCTTGTAGATTGGTAGCCACACTCTATTCCCAGTGATTCTCCCTGTACCCCCAGCCTGGTATAGCTAATTAGAGCAGAGCTGGTGCTTGGTTCAAAGGCTATGGATGAGCATCCAAAAATCTTTGAGATGTCCTGGCAGAATGATACTTCCCAATGGAAACAGTGATTTACTGGGCCCATGAAATGTTCCTTATCATAAATTCAAAGTGAAGGTGTATGGTAGAAAGGAATTCACCAGGGTGATGAAATGATGTACAACAAACCCCCATGACACATGTTTACCTGTGTAACAAACCTGCATTTATACCCCTGAACTTAAAAGTTAAAAAAAAGTTAAGGAAATAAAAAAGAATATAGACCAAAAAAAAAAAAAAAGGAATTTGAGGAGAAGTAATAGAGAAATTTAAAAATTAAAAGACTTTAAAAAAACAGAGTGAATATAATAGAAAAGAGTAACTTAGGAGTGAGAAGAGAGAGAATCAGAGATGAAGACACATTGACGGTAGACCCCCAGGGGAGGAAACTCAGGGAAGCTTCCCCCCTGGGTTCCAGCCAGGGTTACAGAGCTGATGGCTGTCTGCTGGAACCGAGGTTGGGTTTTCTTCCCTTCAAGACCAGTTGCTCTTTAATCTTTTTGGATCCCAATCACTTTCATCATCTGATGAAAGATATGGGTCCTTGTCTCAGAAAAATGTGTATATGCACATTCAGACCAATGACTGCATTTAATTTCAAGAGACTTCTAGATCCCCTAAACCTGACTTCAGATTCACTAGGGACCCATGGGCCACAGGGCAAGAAATCTTGTTTAAACTATTAGTTCATCTCAGATAGCTATGGTATCATAGCCATCTCTGAAGCTCAGCATTTAGTATGGGGCCTGAAACGTAGCAGGCATTGCATACATCTTGGTAGAATGATTGAGTGAATGAATGAATGAATGAATGAATGAATAAGTAGATGAATGAAATAAATACAACTTGAAGTTTATGTCCTACTCAGCACATTGGGAGCATCCTCTTCTTCTTATGAAATACTGTATTAATGTAAGCTGAGTAGTATGTCAGGAAGGAATGCCTTTACCCAGATGATGTTTAATATATCCATCAACATAATTGATGGGCACACTGTCACCTTCTACATCCGGAGCTAGAAGGCCATTATACCACCAGTTACATGCAAATGAGAACTTGGAATGACATAGCCTAGAAGAACAGCTCTACTTTCCTAGTAGATATAGAAATGAAAAGCAACTATGTTTTCTACCTGAAATATATGTGTAATGATTATTTTGAACTGTAAGCTACTTTTTCCTACTATATAACTTGAAGGCAAGGTTATGTGACATAGCTTTGTACCTGCCCCCCTTGCTCACTGCCAATCTAAGTGTGTTACAGATAGAGAGATTTTAATTAAACTTATCTCATGGACTGTAACGTGGGTAGAGAAGACCTGCTTTTTGGTTTGTCGGGTGATGGGGGAAAATAAAAGGGAATTATAGCAGAATATAATGATCTCAAACTTTAAGTATTGAAGTCATTGTTTCAAACTGATTACATCTAAAAGTAAGAGTCAATTCTGTGAGCTATTTTTTTTATTTCTTAATTCTTGATCATAAAACTCCCATATAGTCCAGGCATAGTGGCTCAAACCTGTAATCTCAGCACTTTGGGAGGCTGAGGCAGGAGGATTGCTTTAGGCCAGGAGTTTGTGACCAACCTGGGTAACATAGCAAGACCTTATCTTTACTAAAAAAAAAAAAAAAAAAATTAGTCAGGAGCGGTGGCATGCACCTGTAGTCCTAGCTACTTGGGAGGCTGAGGCTGGAGGATTTCTTGAGCCTGGGAGATCAAGGGTGCAGTAAGCTGTGATCATGCCACTGCACTCCAGCCTGGGCAACAGAGTGAGACCCTGTCTCAAAAACAAAAAATAAAACCAAAAAGCCTCCTATATAAAAAGCTGTGCTTCAACCTAAATCTTCAATAATTAGAATTGCAAGGTATGGCAAACAATTGCAGTTTTCACGTAGACAGTCTTCCCCTCCTTGTGGATCCCATGCCCTGGTAGCGCAAGAAGAACGAGGGCCCAATTCACTCACAGTGCAAAACTTATGGGGTTCCATTTGTCTCAGTACTTCCTTATGGGTACCAGTGGCATAAAATATTGTATGGTGCTTCCACCCAAGGAGCATGAACATTCTCTCATTAACATATTTAAAGCCCAGTAACAGAAAATCCATACTTGGCATGTGACATAGCTAACCCTAAAAACCTAATTTTTGCTAGCTCTTGAGTCACTTAGCTTACCTAAGCATAACATTTATTTTATCTTTTTTTTTCTTTTTTGATACAGGGTCTTGCTCTGTCACCCAGGCTGGAGTGCAGTGGCGCAATCTAGGCTCACCAGAGCCTCGACCTCCCAGGCTCGAGCTATCCTCCCACCTCAGCCCCTGAGGAGCTAGGACCACAGGTGTGCGCCACCACACCCAGCTTATTTTTGTTTTGTTTTGTTTTGTTTTGTTTTGTTTTGTAGAGATGAGGTTTCACCATGCTGCCCAAGCTGGTCTCCAACTTCTGGGCTCAAGCGGTCTGCCCTCCTTGGCCTCCCAAAGTGCTGGGATTACAGGTATGAGCCACCACGCCCAGTCACATTTATTATTATTATTTTTTAATGTGATTTAGCATATTGCTGCTGTATTCAGCATGTGCCTGGGGTGAAGGACAGTGAAAAAATAATTTTCTAGCTCGGCACAGTGGCTCATGCCTGTAATCCCAGCACTTTGGGAGGCCGAGGCAGGCAGATCACCTGAGGTCAGGAGTTCGAGACTAGCCTGGCCAACATGGCAAAACCCCATCTCTACTAAAAATACAAAAATTAGCTGAGCATGGTGGCACATGCCTGTAATCCTAGCTACTCAGGAGGCTGAGGGAGGAGAATCACTTGAACCCGGGAGGAAGAGGCTGCGGTAAGCCAAAATCACATCACTGTACTCCAGCCCAGGCAACAGAGCAAGCTCCATCTCAAAAAAAAAAAAAAAAAGAATTTCCTGAATACCTTTATGAGGCAAGGACTTTCCAAAGATTATCTTATTGTATTAGTCTGTTCTCATGCTGCTAATAAAGACATACCTGAGACTGAGTAATTTATAAAGGAAAGAGGGTTACTTGACTGAGTTCCACGTGGCTGGGGAGGCCTCAGGACAGTTACAATGACAGTGGAAGGGGAAGCAAGCACATCCTTCTTCACATGGCAGCAGCAAGGAAAAGTGCCAAGCAAAAGGAAAGGGAGAAAAGCCCCTTAAAAAACCACAGGATCTTGTGAGAGCTCACTCACTATCATGAGAACAGCATGAGGGTAAATCCCCCATGATTCAATTACCTCCCACCGGGTCCCTCCCACAATAGGTGAAGATTATGGGAACTACAATTCAAGATGAGATTTGTGGGGACAAAGCCAAACCATATCACTCATCCTAAGGATTTTCTTTTTTCTTTTTTTTTTTTTGACCCATTTTACAGACCAAGAAATTGAGCTACAGTGAGGTCACACAGCCGAGAATCACACAGTGAAGAGTTGGGATTTGAGCCTGGAATACTCTGACCTCAGAGTCTGGATGCTAGTCTCTTGCTGCCTCCCCTGTGTTATGAGGTCATGTCTAAATCACCTCCGTTACTGAAAATGCTTGTGAAAGACCTATTCTGCTGGATAGAGCAGTCACCTTAGTCAAATATGATCCAAATGTTGCCATTAGGTCCTACCCAACCCCATCAAAGATCAGAACCTGGAGGTGTGGTAACTCCCTCCAGTCCAGAAAAAAAAAAAAAAAAACAAACCCAGTAGGTCAGAGTAAGGAGCTGCTCTGAGCCATCAGTGGGAGGGTTAAGTTAAAGAATAGAAAGATGTAACCTGACCCAAAACTTAGCTCTCATTTTCAACAGGCAAGAGCTCCTTGCAGGGTGACCTTGACTCAGACCCACAATTTCATCTTTTTTTTTTGTTTTCTTTTTGGAATGGCAATAACAATGTCTGCCCAGCATCCACCACTTTAAGTTGGTGTTTACAATAGAACTGACACAGCCCTTTAAGCAGGCTCTTGCGTGCAGAGTTAACTCTCCCCTTGCACACAGAGCAGATCGTCAGGCTCCCTCCAGCCCCAGGACCTTTCTCTAACCATAAAAAGGCAATTGTACCTCTAAACCCCAAATCCTTACCTATCCCTGCTGCACCCAGCTGTGCAAGGTGAGTCCTAGGAGGTCACATCCCACATGATTCCACGTTTTCTCATCAGTATCCTTTGCTAGTTCCAGATATTGCAACATCACTACTGTTCAAGATTAGAACTTAAGAACTTGAAAAGGTCAAGAAAGATGTGGTGCCTTGTCTCCACATCAAGTAAACAGTCCGTGGCATTGGCCTCTGACAAATGACAACAGACTCACGGGGCAGCAGTTGAGGAGCTGTGCTTACATGATACTTACCATCCTGAGAAGCATGGATGTATGGGGATACCCATACCCTGGTAACCCAACCCCATGGGCTCAGACAGTGTTGAACACTAGAGAATCTTCATCATTTGCTCAGCTGTCACCACTTCCACAGATGCAAGAAATGGCCGATGGTTCTAGAGGATGACCCCAGCCTCTCAAATAGAAAAGGGAGTGTGTTAGATGTCATCCAGCCAGTCGTATAGAAAGGTGGACTTTAAGAAACTGTGGTTAATGTTGGAAGGAAACATAAGGCAGCTTTTAAAGCTATTTTCATAGTCTTCAAAGAGAAATAAATGACCAGCGCCGACGGCTGCAGACAGCAGGACAGGCAGCCTGACGGAGCTCTGTATTCACTTTATTCTAATCTGTTGGGGGCAGGGGAATTCATGGGTCCACACTCTATGAATCCATGGGTCCACAGACTAATTACATCATACATTGTCTGATTAATCCTCCCGATAATTGATCCTGCTCTGGCATGAGATAGCTGTGTGACCTTGAACCAATCATTAACCTTTGGGCCTGTCCTCTTCTAATGCCAGGGTAAGAATTATCAACATATATGTTGAAATCCCCAAGGATTATGCCAAGGAATGGAACAGAGAGGAAGACAGTGAGACATGTTGAGGGGGTAGAGGACTTGGATAGAGAAGAGTGAGGCAGAGAAGCAGCGTAAATAAGTGGGAGAATATCTAGGGAGAAAAGGAAAGACAAATTCAATAAGCAGTTTCAAAGCATGAGCCTCAAAATAAATGTCTTTCTTCCTTGCAATATTACTGTTTTGTACTGGCTTAAGAAGCTAGACTATCTCCTGTCTGCAGAAAACAGACAGGATAACAGGAAACAGTTTTGGATTCCACAGTGATTATAGCTACTTAAGTTTGACTTACCAAATACTGTCTCAAACAGATGGTATGTAACATTTGATTAAGGGCTTATCCTGCAAGCCCGACAGGGAACATTTCTTTCCCTCTTAATATAGAAAAAATGTAGAGAAGAAGGGAAATAAACTGACGATCTTGCCCATGTTCCATGTATACCAACGTTTATGCCTTTTCTAAAATGAATCTGTGCTTATTATGCAACTCAAGACCAAACTGCATACTGGTGACACCATAGAATTTCAGTAAAAAAGGATATTGAAGATCATCCTATATAAGCCCCTTATTTTATAGGTAAGGAAACAGAGACACAGAAAGATAAGTTTGTTTGCCCATGGTCACACTGTGGCACATCTGGGACCAGGTCTCCTGATTCCAGGTCTGGCATTCACACCAGTCTTTATATGTGCATAATGTTCAATATAGGGAAAACATACAAATCTGTCAGCACCATTACTACTAAATTAGTGCCAATCTGTGATGAGCAATTATCAGAACTTGAAGCTGATGGGTAATGCCATTCTAGTCCAGTTAATGAGCCAAAAGCTTGGTTCTTCAAAACACTTAACATTAATCAGCATTTGGCTTCAGTTTGTGACAAGTGTTTTCAAAACATCACAGACAATTACAATATTCCTAGCTTTGCCTAGTGTAAATACATGATGAAAGAAAGTCAGAATTTCATAAATGACAGTCTCCAGAATGGAAATAATGAGTCCCTTAGAGAAGGTACAATGTGTTCATCTTTCTTGCTAGCCAAAAGTAATTTGGGAACTAACGAGGTCACTGAGAAATTACAAAGTGTGAACTTCTGCTGGGTGAGGATGAAAAGGCCTCTTTTCACAGTAGCAAAGCAGAGCTAGCACGTGAGATCAGCCCCATATGAGTAATGAAGGAGTGACACCAGGCTTCATGCCTCATCGGCCACCCCCACACACACCCCCTTCCCCCTTGGTTACTGGCAATGCCTCAAAGGCGGGGGGCTCCCAAGCATGGAGTACTGAAATGCTCATCTAGGGAAGAAGAAGCATTCCAAGAGGACTTGGGAACTCATTACACAGTAGCCTGATGCTGGGAAAGTAGTAGAAGAAAGAAAACCAGAAAAAAAAAATGGTGGTTTGTACGAAGATGATGTCCTCAGCTCCAAGCTCCACGTTTCCCAGGACGGTTCTTGCAGAATTTTGTCCCCTAGGATTTCTGGAGAAGTTGTCTATGATTGATTGATTGATTGACTTTCTGCAAGCCAAGAACCCAACTGTGGTTAATATTAGGTTTTCTGAAAGACAGAGAATTGCTTAATTAACTGGGCTTAGGATAGTGTTACTCATTAGCTAGTTTTATATTAATAAAAATATGTTAATCAATTAACCAGTCATTGTCGATCACCTGGTTAATAACTAATATTTATTGAGAAGTCATTGTGTGACAGGAACAATGTGAAATGTTTTCCCTTCATTATCTCATTCACTCCTCACCATGAGTCTTTGAGATGATAGTAATCATAATTACATTCAGGAATTTATTCGACGTATATATTGAGCACCTGCTTATCAATAGACAGTTCTAGGCATTGGAGATACAGCAGTGAACAGGCAAAATTTCTCTTGTCTCTTGGATAGATTATATCAGGTAACTATCGCTGCCTAACAAACCTCCCCAAAACCTACTGGCACAAAACAATTAACACTAATTATTGTTCATAAGTGTATGGGTTTTCCAAGCGGTTTTTCTGATCTTGATGGGACTCACTCATGTATCTGTTGCCACCTGGCAGATTAGCTGGTCTAAGAGGGTCTCTACTAGGAAAACTCATCTCTACTCCACAAGGTCTCTCATCTTTCAGCGGCTCTCCTAAGCTTATTCTTATAGAAAAGGCAGGGGTCCCAACAGAGGGGCTGGAAATGTACAAAGCCTCTTGAGGCCTAGATTGGGAGCTCATACAGTATCACTTCTGCCACACTCTGTTAGCCAAAGAATGTCATGAGACTAGCCCAGGTTCAAGGGTGGGGAAATGGAGTTGACCTCACAATGGACAGAGTTGCAAAGTCACATTGAAAACACAGGGTATGAGAGGTCATTGATGCAGACCATCTACTACATATATAATGATGACTAAAATGACACTAAGGAATTCATGGAAATATTTCATTTGAGTCTCACAATAATCCCTGGAGGCAAATTCTATTACCAATCTCTGCTCCCCAAATGAGGAAATTGAGGCCTAGGGAGGTTACAAAACTTGTCTAAGATCTATGAATATTTGGTGATGGCCTCAGGGTTCAAACTTAAGATTCCAGTGTCTGAGCACTGACCCACTATGTGATTCTCTCCAGCCTGCGCACTTCATGAGAGAAAGTACAGGACATGGTCACTGCCCGTAAGGCACTTATAGTCCTACTGGGGATAGATAAGTCCCTGAGGAATCAGTAAAAATACGTGTCTCTAACCCAAACTTGGTAATTGCCCAACAAGCAGTAAGAATTAAGGGGGCCAGGACAAGAGACAGAAGCTTCCATAAAGAGATTCTCCAATGAACTGGGCTTTGAAGGGTCTAGGCAGTGAATAGCAAAAGGGGAGAGTTTTCTGATAATGGCATCCTCTCACCTTCATGTAAGGGCTTATAGTATAAACTTCCTTTTCTTTAGAATGGCATTCAGTGCTGCAGGCAATAGAAAACCTGATTAACAGTGACTTCTCATATAGGGATTTTTGTTTGTCATGCACAACAAGTGTGGGAAAAAGAAGTTCAGGACTTCACAATAGCCAGATGATGTCATCAAGGAACCAGGTTCTTTCTGTCTTTCTCCTCTGCCATTCTACAAACATACCCCGATTCCTGGGGGTTTCATAATGCCAGGATGGCAGCTGTATTCATGAGTATTCTTGTGCATTCTCAAATAGGAAGAAGGAGGAGGTGAGCATGCTAGCACATCCTGTCCACTGAACTACTTTCCCATGATTTCCACCCATTGTACCCTCCTTACTCTCTTTGGCTAGAACTCAGTCATGCGTAGCTGCAGGGAAAGCTGGAGAAGCTAATGTTTCAGTTTTCTGAAACTCTGTAATATGGGCAAACAAGAAAAAAAGGGGGCTGTGAATGACTTTTACATAATCAATCCACAGTGTCGATCCCAACCCGCCCAGCACCGTCTCCCAGCACTTTCCCCAGCCACTCCTATGCACCAGCAAACAGAAGTCCTCTGCATTAGTCCATTTTCACACTGCTGATAAAAACATACCTGAAACTGGTTAATTTATAAAGAAAAAGAGGTTTAATGGACTCACAGTTCCATGTGGCTGGGGAGGCCTCACAATCATGGCGGAAGGCAAATGGCACATGTTACATGATGGCAGGCAAAAGAGCGTGTGCAGGGGAACTCCCCTTTATAAAACCATCAGATCTCATAAGACTTATTCATTATCATGAGAACAGCATGGGAAAGACCCACCCCTATGATTAAATTACCTCCCATTGGGTCCCTCCCATGACACGTGGAATTATGGGAGCTACAATTCAAAATAAGATTTGGGTGGGGACACAGCCAAACCATATCATCCTCATTCCAAGTGCACTTCAATCAATTGTTCTCTTGGCTCCCTTTTTTATTTTCATAATGTCCTCTTGCCTTCATGGACTGTTGAAATTCTTCCATGACTCTTCTCTGATCTCCCGTAGCTGGCATGACCCCTATCTTGTGTTAGGCCCCTTGGTCCTTCTGCTGCTGCCCCTGCTGTAGCACAAAGCACATTCTGATTTCATAGTTCCTCTACTAGAATGCAAACTCTTCAAGTCAGGGGTCATGCCCTGTCCAGTTTTCTACCCACCTTTAGAACCACATGCAGCTCCAGGATCATGCAGACATGAAGGAAATTGAGTGAGCTTCATGATTTAGCATGAGGAGGATGAGGAAAAGAAAGGTGGCACAAACAATTGGGGGACTGAAGGAGCTGTTGAGGAGGAAAGAAAAAGTCTCCTCTTCCCATTTAGGCCCTCTTCCAACTGGGCCTAAGAATTAAACTGATATATGACAGATTGACCGGAGAAAAGCATACAAGTTTAATTACAATTTTTACACATAAGCAGGGACCTTCACAAGAGAATGAAGGTCTGAAAAATTGACCAGACAGAAAGATTCTTGCTCTGTTTGCCCAGCCTGGAGTGCAGTGGTGTGAACACAGCTCACTGCAGCCCCAATCTCATGGTCTCAAGCAAACCTCCCATCTCAGCTTCCCAAGGTGCTGGGATAACAGCTGTGAGCCACCGTGCCTAGTGTTTTTGTGCCTTTTAGACAAAGAAACTATTAATTTGTGAAGAAATAACAAGACAAAAGGGTGTTGGCCAGGGACAGCAAATTGTGAGGAAGTGACTAAGATACATAGTAGAAAGAACCAGAGGAAAATAAGGGTTATTTTGGTAACTTTGTTTGTCCAGATCCATTTCAGCATTGATTCCCAGTGCCTGGTGATAAGAATGTTCCTCTCTCTCTCTGTCTCTTTCTCTCTTTTCTTCTCCACACCATGATTCTGTAAGGAATGTTCTTCTCTTGCTGGTTCAGGGTAGACACCTTTCTCATGGGAAATTTTATGGCCTGTTTAGGTTAAAAAAAAATGTGGAGGGGAGGGGTGGTCAGAAAGCCCTTCCTGCATCTGCTGTTTCTCAAGTGCCTTCAGCTCAAAGTCATCAATCTGCCAAAGTGGCCTATTTTGGGGTGGCATGTCCTGAGCTCCTTTAGAACAGATGACAGGCACAATGCTGGTGCCATCGTCAGCACCAGAACACTGCTGAGTTCTGTTTCAGACTTGTTGAGTGTGAGGTGATCATGGAATTCTCAAATAGAAATTTAAAACAGGCATCTACTTTCAGAAGAAAGGTCAGGATTTCTTTTTCTTTTTTTTCTTTTTTTTCTTTTTTTTTTGTTTGAGATGGAGTCTCGCTCTGTCACCCAGGTTGGAGTGCAGTGGTGCAATCTCAGCTCACTGCAAGCTCTGCCTCCCAGGTTCACGCCATTCTCCTGCCTCAGCCTCCCGAGTAGCGAAGACTACAGGTGCCCGCTACCATGCCAGGTTAATTTTTTTTTTTTTTTGTATTTTTAGTAGAGACAGGGTTTCACTGTGTTAGCCAGGATGGTCTCGATCTCCTGACCTCATGATCCGCCCCCCTTGGCCTCCCAAATTGCTAGGATTACAGGCGTGAGCCACCGCACCTGGCTGGTCAGGACTTCAATTGTAAGTTTGATACAAAGTGGAAAAGGCTGAAGATTTCATCCACAGTCTGAAAAGACCATATGAAAGAGGAAGGGGTGAGCTCCAAAGAACAAGCGTATGTCAAAAGTAGTGGTGGGCAAAGACTCAAATCTAATATCACTGAGGCTTCTGCCAGGCAGAGAGCAGTGGCCGTCTGCTCACCGCAGTGGCCAGTGTGTCTTTGTGAAGAGCAATGGAGGCCAGGATTGAGGTGAGTATTGTCAGTACCAACTCTAAATTTCAGATTAGCTGTGGATGGAGGCAGTAAATAAGCAAATGCGTTTGTCCAATTTCCTTACATTGCAAGTTGCAAAACCCACTTGAAGTTGGGTCGAGACCAGCTTAAGTAAAGCAGAATGTATTGGCTCATGAAAGAGCAGGATAGCTTTGGCTTCAGCCATGGCTGGATTCGGGGTCCAAGTAATGTCCTCAGGACTCTGTCTCTTTCCATCCATCTCTCATCTCTCTTCATTTTTGATTCTCTCTTAATGTTAGATTCATTGTCTCTCACTATGGATGGCTTTCCCCAGGTATCCAGGAAAGGTGACAGAAAGCAACTCTGGTCTATATCATCTTTACAATCTTGTGATCCAATACTGAAAAAAGAGCCTTTCTCTCTCTCTCTCCGCATTTAAACATCAAATCTCAAGGAAGAATCTGATTGGCTTTTCTAGGGTTTTCTGCCTCTTCCCATTCCAAAGGAATAGATTTATCTGATTGACTGAACTTAGATCACATGCTAACTTCTCTGGAAAGTGGGGGATTCCCCATAAAAAAGTAGTTCCATTAGCAGAAGAAGAGAAGAAGGCATTCTAGACAGAAAACAAAACAAAACAAAACAAAAAAACCAGAAGTCTTCTCTTAGAAGGACTGTTGCAAACAGGGTTTAATCATTTGGGTCCTGCTTCCTTGTCAGTGGATCCAGACGCATGGAGCTTATTGATAAGCACCTGTGGAGACGTGTTTGACTCGCACCCCTGCTGCTGCTGCGTGCTTGCCTGTTTAGCTAGAAGCCATTCTCTACCTTTCAGACGTATCCCCAGCAGAGGAACTGAATGGAGACTTAGGCCAGTCAGTCTCAAGGCTGGTTATTTTTAGTAACTGGATTCTGCCCTAGTTGCCTTATAATTACATCTGTTTTAGATTATATTTGGCTCCCCCCTCCGTGCCTTCCTGAGCTACATATTGGATTCCAACTCTGTATGCTATTTCTTCCAGGCCTAGAATATTATTTTCTTCTCTCCTGATATA
Organism: Homo sapiens; assembly: GCF_000001405.40. Lineage (NCBI taxonomy): Eukaryota > Metazoa > Chordata > Mammalia > Primates > Hominidae > Homo > Homo sapiens. The sequence goes on from NC_000012.12 coordinate 93,115,653, forward strand.
ATCCCCTTACCAAGATCCTATGGCTGGGTCTCCACTCTTTCTTTGAATGGCAGCTGTCTGTACTAGAGCTATCTGCAACTGGATCCTGAGCTCTACCCACTTGCCGAGACTTCTTCCTATCTCTACTGGTTGGACCACCCCTGCACCATCTCTGAAGGCTGGTTCAGTCTCTGAGTCCCACTCCACCCCGCACTGGCCAATCTCCAATTATGACAGCTGCTAACGTTCTTATAAAAACTTCCTTAGTCTCTAAATATAGAGGGTAATCAGACCACATGGAACAGAATTCATGGAAGCACCCAAACTGTGTTTATTGCGTTATAAACATTTGATCTTCTCTGCAGAACCATGAAGAAGTGGGAAGAATGCCCAGTTCCCCTACTTCTTTAGCACACTTTGCCACCTGGGCCCTGAAAGAGTTTGTACCACTGGCCAGGTGCAGTGGCTCACTCCTGTAATCCCAGCACTTTGGGAGGGCAAGGCAGGTAGATCACAAGATCAGGAGATTGAGACCACCCTGGCTAATATGGTGAAACCCCATCTCTACTAAAAATACAAAAAATTAGCCGGGCATGGTGGTGGGCGCCCGTAGTCCCAGCTACTCGGGACGCTAAGGCAGGAGAATGGCGTGAACCCAGGAGGCTGAGCTTGCAGTGAGCCGAGATCACACCACTAAACTCCAGCCTGGGTGACAGAGTGAAACTCCGTCTCAAAAAAAAAAAACAGTTTGTACTGCTGAATGGCAGTGTGTTAGAACCTTCATAAAACAGATCCTACTCTTTCTGCCTGAGCCTTTTCTTCCATAGAGTTCAGACTTTGTCATGGGATAGCTGCCCTCTGGCCCTTCCATTTCTCCCATAGCTCTTTCTAGGCTTTTGTATATAAAACTCAGTTTTCCCTTCCTTCAGGAAAAGAGCAAAGAACTCATGCATATGGATACACACAAATAGATTTTCTCAAGTCTGCCCCATTAATTTGCCAAACATGCCTGATGCCTAAAGAGAAACACCAGCAGAAGAATAGGTTCAGGTTGAAATCTCTGCAATAAGAAGAGTTGTGTTACTAGAAAACTGTTTCCCAATCTGGGTCTATATTACTAAAGCATTCTTGGTATGTGTACGGGATACCTCTCATGTACCACTTCACATCCTCTCAGCCCCACCTCCAAGTGCAGCCACTGCTGCAGTATTGCGCTCCATGTAGTCTTTGTCCAGCTTCACATGAGTGTAATCTCATCTTGTCTGGGTCCCCACCACATACCTCTTGCTTCCTGTACCAGGTCTTCTCTCATGCCAAGGTGCAGTATATCTAGGGGAACCTGCTTGGCACCCAAACGTTATAATCCAGAAGTAAGAGCGTGGCTAAGGCTGTTGGGACCATCTTGGGCCAATAGATGACAGGAGTTAATGGCTAGGTAGTTCCTCCGTTCCTCCTTTTGTCTTCCAGGCATGCTTTTTTTTTTTTTTTTTTTTTTTTTTTTTTTGAGATGGAGTCTCGCTCTCTCTCCCAGGCTGGAGTGCAATGGCGTGATCTCGGCTCACTGTAACCTTCGCCTCCTGGGTTCAAGCAATTCTCCTGCCTCAGCCTCCTGAGTAGCTGGGATTACAGGCGCCCACCACCACGCCCAGCTAATTTTTGTATTTTTAGTATAGACGGAGTTTCACCATGTTGGTCAGGCTGGTCTCCAACCCCTGACCTCGTGATCCACCCACCTCGGTCTCCCAAAGTGCTGGGATTACAGGCGTGAGCCACCACGCCAGGCCCAGGCATGCATTTTTGAGACACAATTCATAAGGCTGCTCAGAAGGTTCCAGTGAGATAGAAGAGGAGTTGTCTGTAGCTGTGGCCAAACCAGTAACTCATCCTCTTTTGGGCTTTTCCTCCTTCCCTGTCTCACATCCCTTGATCCCCACTCCTCTTCTCTGGAATCACTGATTTTTTTTTTTTTTTTTTTTTTTTTTTTGAGACAGAGTCTCGCTCTGTTGCCTAGGCTGGAGTGCAGTGGCCCGATCTCAGCTCACTGAAACCTTCACCTCCTGGATTCAAGCAGTTCTCCTGCCTCAGCCTCCTGAGTAGCTGGGATTACAGGTACCCACCACCATGTCCGGCAAATGTTTTGTGTTTTTAGTAGAGACAAGGTTTCACCATGTTGATCAGGCTGGTCCCAAACTCCTGACCTCCAGTGATCTGCCTGCTTTGGCCTCCCAAAGCACTGGGATTACAGGCGTGAGCCACCACCCCCAGCCTCTGAGATCACTTTTCAAATAAAATATCTCAGGCTCTGCTTTCAGAGCCACCCAAGACAAGAGAGTATATCATGGCTTCTTTGTAATTGTCTAACAGAAAGAATAAAATTTTGGTACCAAAGAGACCTCATGTCGAATTCTAACAGTATGACTGAAAACAAATTATTTAGCCATCTTAAAACCCAATTTCCTTATCTTTAGTACACAGATAACATGAGTGGCCCCCATGATGTTTGTCTAAATACTAAATCAGATAGTCTCTCTGAGAAGCATAATAGGTATCTGACACAGAGTAGCACTCAGTCAGTATTCATTCTCTTCTCCTTATTCTCACCCGTTGTTCTGATAGAAATAAGAACTTTTTAAAAAAGAGTTATAAAGTAGAAATGAAAACAGACATAATAAACAGACGGTTGTATGTTCAAAGAAAACATACTTTAAATATGCATACTTACTAGCATATAGATGGATGCATATGTAAAAATTCATTAAGCTAAACACTTAAAATTTGTGTGCTTTATGTAAGCTATGCTGTAATTGCCAATTTATTTTTTTCAAGAGATAAGGTCTTGCTCTGTTACCCAGGCAGGAGTGCAGTGGCACCATCATAGCTCCCTGCAGCCTTACACTTCTGTGCTCAAGTAATCCTCCTGCTTCAGCCTCCTGAGTTGCTGGGACTACAGGAATGCACCACGTGGTTATTTTTTGTAGAGACAGGGTCTCAAACTCCTGGGCTTAAGCAACCCTCTTGTGTCAGTCTCCCAAAATGTTGGTATCACAGGCGTGAGCCACTGCACCAGGCTTGTAATTCTTTTTAAGTTAAAAATTGTATGGATGTACTAAATACTCCCTAAAATGAAAGGACACATTATTGTTCTAAAATGCATTTAACATACATCCACAATGGGATGAACAAATGGGTTCTTATTTCTATCAGAGTAGGAACTCTTTAATAAGTTTTAAATGAAAATGCCCTTATTGAATATATATATTCAAAACAAAGTGTTTACGTATACTAAACCATCCTTGTTTTTCTTTTCTTTTGTTTTTAGTTGAGACAGAGTCTGTCACCTTGGTTGGAGTTCATTGGTGCAATGATCGCTCACTGCAACCTCAAATTCCTGGACTCAAGTGATCCTCCCATCTCAGCCTCCTGCATAGGTGGGACTACATGTACCCACCACCACACCCAGCTAATTAAAAAAAAAATTTTTTTTTGTAGATGCAGAGTCTCACCCTATCAACCAGGCTGGAGTGCAGTGTTGCAATTATAACTCACTGCAGCCTCAAACACCTGAGCTCAAGCCATGAGCTCCTCTGCAGCCTCCCAAGTAGCTGGAAATACAGATACCATGCCCAGCTAATTTTTATCTTTTGTAGAGACAGGAGTCACACTATGTTGACTATATTGGTTTTAAACTACAGCTCAAGCTATCCTTCCATCTCAGCCTCCCAAAGTGCTAGGATTACAGGTGTGAGCCACTATGCCCTGAAACTTTTATGAAACTAAAAGTTTCATAGTATGAATGACAGATTCTTTAAGAATCTGATAAAAAGGGAACATCACATTTTTAATCTCTTGCATACTTTTAAAAATATGTCAACAGAGAAAATAAAAGATTGGATATTTATATCAGAAAAACTAATCGTGGCCAGGAGTGAGGCAGAGGTGGTGGGGCCGGCCAGTCATCAGAGCCAACTCAGGAGGCGGGACATTGACACGAAGGGAGGACTTTGGCTTGATCTCTATGGAAATGGGAAGGAAAGCCTTGGTCTTATTAGCGGCAGATAACCAACTGAGATAATCAACCAACAGTGGGGTAAGAAATTCAACAGTGAAGTAAAACAAAAAAGTGCATGCCATAGAAGTCACCACACAGCCAGAGTTGGCGGCGCTGCTTGAACACCTCAGAGTAAGAAGGAAACCCTTGTCAAATAAATGCTAGGATGCTATCCTCTCAGGTCTTGACTTTTACTGTACTAGCTTCTGTTCTTATCCTCTTTCCCTCCTAACATCAGACTGGGGAAAGAGGAATCATGGAAGACGGGATCCCTTAGTGCAAGAGCGGAAGGTGTCACCATCTCCCCTCAGTTCTCTCTGCCCACCACATCTAGGGGAGTGGCAATTTCTTGAGTGCCACCACCAGTGCCTTGCACAGGCAGGGAGGCACTCACAGTCTTTGTTGGGTTTGTGGAATGGATCCTGTGACCTACAGACAGTGATGGGGTGCAATGGGTGCTATCCTGTATGGAAGTAGAGCGGTAGATGGCCCAGTCCTTGTCTGGAGGCATTCATGATGCAGTTGAGAAGACAAAAAATGCACTCCAGCAGGGGCCCACTGTGGACAAGGCTTCATGCCAAGTGAGGGAACCCAGAAAAGTATGTGAATGATGACCAGTGTGAGGGTGGCCCAGAAATGGAAAAGGAAGGAAATATCATGGGAATGATTTGCTTACATTATAAGTATCTAAGGGCAAACTTGTACAATGATTCTAAGATAGTGACAATTACTGCTCGAAAGAAAAGCACGTATCACTTTTGAGATATATGCCTTCTTGTAACACATCTCAAAATGCCAAGAAAACTACACACAAGCCTAGAGACAAGTCAGTAGATACTAAAGAGACAGAGCCATATTAAAACAGGTTGTGAGGGTAGCAGCTATGGCAGGAGCTGAGGGGGTAAAGGAAGCCCATCCAGAGAGCCGAATCTTCCAGGTTACGGAAGTGTAGAGCCAGGAAGCCCCCCGGGGCCTTCCAAAGACCCACAGCATGCCGCCAGCCTTTGGGTACCTGCTACATGGGAGCACCCACAAGCCAACAGAGTAAGGCTGTGGCACAGCATCAACATCGTGAAAGGACTGCAGATGTGAGCAGGCAGCTGAGAGACACTGATCCCTTCTTCTTCCCCTCCTCCCTACTTGACACACTGAAAGAGCGTAAGAAAGGGTGGAGTGGAAGAGAGAAGCTGTGAACCAGAATGAGATTTAAACTATGCAGACCTACTTTTTTAAAACGGCAAATTTCTACAATCTGCCCTAGATGTTGTTGGACAGAAAAAGGGATTAGACATAGCACCATTGAAAGTGCTGATTAGGGGCCAGGCACGGCGGCTCACGTCTGTAATCCCAGCACTCTGGGAGGCCAAGGAGGGTGGATATCTTGAGGTCAGGAGTTTGAGATCAGCCTGACCAACATGGCGAAACCCCATCTCTACTAAAAATACAAAATTTAGCCAGGCGTGGTAGTGGGTGCCTGTAGTCCCAACTACTCGGGAGGCTGAGGCAGGAGAATCGCTTGAACCCGGGAGGTGGAGGTTGCAGTGAACCAAGATCACGCCAGTGCACTCCAGCCTGAGCGACAGAGCCAGACTCCATCTCACAAAAAAAAAAAAAAGTGCTGATTTTAGGGACCAAGAAGTGAACCCATTCCATGTTTATGCCCCCAGTATGTTGCAATTTCCCAATTAACTGCTTCCTGAGAGGTCAGTGATGTAAGAGAGGCGTATATACACGCAGTATCCATTCATACAAACAAAGAATTGATTTGAAAAGATTCAAATAGTTTCAGGGTAGGATAAAAACAGCGACATTCACAGGGGGATTCTTATTGTGCCCTGGATTGAACCAAGTTCATTATCTTAATCTATTTCACCCTCCCAACAAGAATTGCATTATCCCCATTTCTCAAATGAAGAAACCAAGACTTTAAGAGACTTTGAGAGCTAAGGAGTCTGAAGTCCTACTGTTTGTAAGTGTCTAGTAAGTGGCTGTCTGCCCTCAACCTCCTCTTATTGCTTGTCCTAAGCCAGGATTCATTAAATCAGTCTAGTTTTACTTTCCATTACCTGATTTTATAAATGTTTAAACTTAGTCCCAGAGAAATTAAAAGACTTGACTAAAGTCTTTAGTATTCAGTAGCAGAGGAGAGATTTCTAACATAAAAAGATCTTCCAAGTTTTACTACAGGGCTTGTAATAAAACCATTACAAAGAAAAAGAATTATTGCAAACTTGCCTACCAACATGTGATAAGCACTTTTGTTCTGAGCCGTGATTGTCCTTACCTTAAGAGAAACATAGTACAAAAAAGGTGACTGGCTCTGGCTGTCCTCTTATCGAGAGTGGGCAATGGAGGGGCTTTGTACAATTCTTGCATTCTCAGCATCTAGCATAGTGCCTGGCAAACAGTCATTACTCAATAAATGTTTGCTGAATGAATATTATATATAACTCAATATTCCCTGGACACAAAAAAATAGCTCTTTTCCCCCTTCACATTGTGGAGAGAACACTAATGAACAGATTGACTTTGTTTTTTCTGCCAACTCACATCATTCCAAGTTTTATTTGCGTTTGTAATACAGATGCATACAAGTGGACTCATCATCCATCATCTCGTCTGAGCTAACCACCATGACATCATTACCAATCCCCAGATACCAAGGCCAGATCTTCTAGATCAGTCTCTCTACATATGTGTATTGCTTTTTCCTTTGCATTACTTATTTCCTTTTTGTACTATAGCTGATATTCCAGGAGCTGACTCCTGGACCCTCTTTGCCCCCAGTGACTTTCAAGGTGCAAGATTCTGTTGCCTCTCTTTTGCTGATAGATGTTGCTGAAAGGCCTGTGTGGAAACTTACAAAATCAAATGAGTTTTCTTCTCCTCCCCTTCTGTTAAATTCTAACTCACCATCCCTCACCCATACCTGAAGCCCAGCTCTCTCCCGCAGGCAGTCTCTGCCAGCCAGGCCAGGCCTGAGCTTGTTCTCTGCGTGTCTGAAGCAGGGAGTCCTAAAAGGAAATATTGCTCTCATTCCAAAGTTGCTTCATCTTCATGGGCAAAGAAAAAAAAAAAAGCAGAGGAAGGTAAATGCAGCAACTCTGAGAAATTCTTAGTTGATTATTTACTGTTGCTTAACCTTCAAAAGATTCCACTGTAGAAAGGGAGGGCCGGTATTCATACAGTTCCTAGCCCAGGTAACTTCTCTTTCCTAGACCTGCTAGTCCAGTTAGCTTGAGCTCATTTGCAAGGAGGCCAATTCTGTGACCCCTTTCGTTTCCCAGAATGCCTCACAGTGGACACTCAAAGCAGTCGACTTGCTAACAAGGCTAAAGGAGTTAGGTTTTACATCATTCCTGAATTATTGATGTGCTTTGCAAATTAGCTTTTCCTGTGCACATGACTCTCCTTAGCTAATCTTTACAACATATAAGACAGTTGTCAAAACTGTTTTGAAATATGATTCTGGGGTTTCAGAGTACCGTTTCACGGGACTTGAGTTTTCAGAACAAATCTCTGTGCAGAGATAGGAACTATTCTGCTTAATAAGTATTATTATTATTAATTATCTGAAGCAATTACTCAAAATACCTAAATGCAATTTGCAAAGTAGTCAGGTAATAACACCATGTAGAAGTTCATGTTAAGAGCTACCATTTCAATGAATGTAGGGAACACTATCCACTTTTCTCAGAGTCCTTAGAAAAATATAGTAAGTGAAAATAAAGGCCGGGCATGGTGGTTCATGCCTGCAATCCAGGCACTTTGGGAGGCCGAGGCGGGCGGCCTTATTTGAGGTCAGGAGTTTGAGACCAGCCTGGCCAACATGGTGAAACCCCACCTCTATTAAAAATACAAAAATTAGGGCTGGGTGCAGTGGCTCATGCCTGTAATCCCAGCACTTTGGGAGGCCGAGGCGGGCGGATCACTTGAGGTCAGGAATTCGAGACCAGCCAGGCTAACATGGTGAAACCCTGTCTCCACCAAAAATACAAAAAAATTAGCCAGGCATGGTGGTACACACCTGTAATCCCAGCTACTCGGGAGGCTGAGGCAGAATTGCTTGAAGCTGGGAGGTGGAGGTTGCAGTGAGCCAAGATCACACCACTGCACTCCAGCCTGGGCAACAGAGCAAGACTCCATCTCAAAAAAAAATAAATAAAAAAAAAAGTAGAATGGTTTATTACACATAAGAGGCAAAGGCAAAATGACACATGGTATACAGACTGAACCAAAATATCAAAAATAACAATGCACTCTTTTCTTTTTTTCATCCAACAAGAAGCCATAACTTTATTTATGATAGAAGCAGTACAAATTTCAAACCAAGCTGCAGTCACTCATTTGAGACACCAATAAAAGTTGCTTTCAGATGGTTACACTGTTAATTCCATAATAGCATTTACAATATTATTACTTTGTTCTTCCAGGCTCCAACTGCCTTTGCTCTGGACACATTCCCTTGTGACATGACCAATTCTATGTCCTTAACTTCTACACCTGTTTCATCAACCTCATCCTCTTCACTCTCCTTTTGTACAGTTGGAGTCTGTGTGTTTTCTTGAACATTTAAGACAGCTTCACCCTGAACTTTGAATTTCGCAGCAGTTGCTACTTGTGCTTGCTGAGATAAATCTTCAATCTTGGCTTCTGCCAAAACGATATAGGTATCCGAAGCAGGGCTCTTGTAGACATCTGGTTTCGCGATGACAAAGAGGATATTCTTAGATTTCCAGATAGTGACTCTAGTAACCCCTATAACCTGTCAAAGACCCAGTTTGGACATAGCCTTCTGTGCCTTCTTTTCACTCCAACTCTGTTGTGCTTTACTGACTGGTTCTTCATCAATTTCAGCTGCTGCCACCACAATGCACCCTTTATTATGGCTATACCAGTTAGGAAGAGCAATTGGATGCAAATCACAGAGATACCTCAAGCAGCTAAAGAAAATCAATGGTTACTATCACACATAAGAAAGTCTGAAGGTATGCAGTCCTCTGTCTTTTGTATCTGCCATCCTTAACCTCATGACCCAAGAAGGAGGCTGGAGCCCTAGGCATCACATCCATATCCCAGAAAAGAAAATGGGAAAAAGGACAAAAGGGGTAGGCCAGGCAAGGTGGCTCATGCCTGTAATCCCAGCACTTTGGGAGGCCAATGTGGGTGGATCATTTGAGGCCAGGAGTTTGAGACCAGCCTGGCCAACAATGGCAAAACCCTGTCTCTACTAAAAATACAAAAATTAGCCAGGTGTGGTGGTGCACACCTGTAATCCCTGCTACTCAGGAGGTCAAGGCAGGAGAATTGCTTGAACCCAGGAGGCGGAGCTTGCAGTGAGCCAAGATGGCACCAGTGCACTCCAGTCTGGGTGACACAATGAGACTCTATCTCAACAACAACGACAACAACAATAAAATGTTCATTATTGACTGAAATTCTAATTTAACTAAGTGTTCCTTATTTGATCTGGCAACCCTGACCACCCAACATCTCCTGGGATTTCATTAGTCACCCCTACTGTGAAGGAAGATGGAAAATGTAGCCTTTTAGCCAGGCACTTTCCCACGCTGCTTATTCTACCAAGGAAGACATGGAGAGTGAATACTGGGTAAGGAGCCAACAGTCTTTGCAGGAGTGAGGGTGGTTCTGGGAAAAAGTGACAGAGCTACATCCATGCCCCATGCCCTCTGTGAAGAATTTCTTGACTGCATCAGCCTCTTGTGGTCACTGTGACCTCTGAAAGCCTATGGCCCTTTTTGTCTTAGTTCTATTAATAGATACAAAGTAAAGATTACTGATTTTTAATTAACATGTAAGAACTGATGTATTCAGGTGGCTACTGTCTTCTTCAAAGGGTTAAACACACAATATTGCCACTCTTAAAAACACTTTTAGAACTTAGAGCTGGTAGAAGCAGAAGTCTCCCTTTACAAGGCATACGGGAAGCTGCAGGCTGTAGGCAGGGCCAGGGATGCGTTGGAAATTTGCTAACTCTGAGTGCTTCAACAAATTGCATTCTATGTCAAACTCATGCCATTCCTCGTAGAAAGACCAATTTCAAATGTCCTCACTCATATGGGGAAGCCAAAAATTATAACAACTGAACTCATGGAGATAGAGAGTAGAATGATGGTTACCAGAGGCTGGGAAGCGTAGCAGGGAGCAAGGGGAAAAATGGGAATGGTTAATGAGTGCAAAAATATAGTTAAATAAGATCTAGTATTTGACAGCACAACAGGGCAACAACAGTCAGCAATAATTTACTGTATATTTTAAAATTGCTAGACTGTATATGTGGCTCACGCTTGTAATCCCAGCACTTCGGAAGGCCGAGGTAGGAGGATCACTTGAGCCCAGGAGTTCGAGACCAGTTTGGGCACCATAGGGAGACCTCTTCTCTTGGAAAGACTCAAAAATTAGCCAGGCATGGTGGTGCATCAGCCTCTTGTGGTCACTGTGGCCTCTGAAAGCCTATGACCCTTTTTGTCTTAGTTCTATTAATAGAACTGCATGGGAGGCTGAGGCCAGAGAATCACTTGAGCCCAGGAAGTCAAGGCTGCGGTGAGCAGTGATCTTGCCACTGCCCTCCAGCCTGGGCAACAGAGCGAGACCCTGCCTCTCAAAAACAAACAAAAATGAAACTAAAAGAGTAGAACTGGAATGTTCCTAACAAAAAGACATAATAAGTGCTTGAGGTGATGGACACCCCAATTAGCATGATGTGATCATTATACACCACATGCCTATATCAGAACATCACATGTACCCCTGCCATGAATACATACATGTATTATGTACCCATAATAATCAAAAATTAAAAATAAAAACTTACACTATTTCTCCCCAGAACCTTCTCCTACCTTTGTAGGAATATAGGATTATCTTCCAGGATGTCAATAGCTCTGGCCAGTGGGGACCAGACTGATGAGAAGCAGCTGGTTTAGGAAACTGATGTTGGAAAGCTCATGGCCTCTCATAACTCAGTCATCTGTGGCCTGATCAATGTCACTAAAGCATGGTTTGTACTCTGTGGTATGTCCTAGAATAAAGGTAGGGAACAATGGAGGAAAACAGGCCTGAATTAAAATGTTCTCCATGTCTCTCTCGAAAAATTCCAACTTGGAAGTCCCTTTTGCCTGATAGTGACTGCTTACAGTTCCTACCCAATGTAAACTACAGTTCCATGTTTTTCCCCCTGGCTCTTAACTGGCTGAACTTGGGATGTTTTATAAGTGTCTGTCTGTACTTCCTATGACAGCCAATCACATCCAACCTATCCTCAGGTCCCTTCCCCAAATTAACTCTGTGGTCCACTGACTTCCAAAAGTAGGGTCAAAATTATTTTTCTAAGATTAAGCCTTAATAACGTCACTTATATGTTTCATCTTTTCCTGGATGGCTACTGGGCAAAAATATCTTCATGCAGGTGCTGATAACAGTAAACACATCATATATCTTCAGCCTGGGGTTTAAACACATTCATTTCTGGGTTTGTCATATGTTCTCTCGCTATTTATACTGCTTTGGGTCAGCTACTTGATACTTAATAAAATTTGCCTCCAAGCTGTCCTGCAGGGAAAATGACCTATCTGGGGGGAATGCTGTTCCAACTCTATAACCTCTGATGATTGCCCAATAGTCCTCCAAAAAGGTTGCAGGGCAGGAGCAAGGGAAGGTCCATGCCACTTCCTGGCATTTAATGGCAACAAGTGCTTTAGTGTAAGTATAATTATATCCCCTGCTTTCAGGAGGCCTTTCCAGCCAACCTCTCGGACACGGGAGCAACTGTAGATGGCATGAGCAATGTGGAAATTCGGCTTCTGCTCAAGGTCAGAACAAGCCGTTCACCAGCGTTGATTTTACCAACCTTTCGGTTATTTTGGAAAGCCGAAAGAGAACGCAACAGAGGCAAGAATGGATCTATGGGATGGAAATAAGGAGCCATTTATAACCCAAAATGAGACTGCCAGGAAAAACAAACACACAGAAAAGTACATTTTATCAGAGGCTTGGGCTGCCCAGGGCTATTGGGGTACAAAGTACTGCGTGTTCAGCTCCCTGGGCCAAGAGCTACAGTAAGTCAGGCCCCCCTGCAAAGCTCCTCTCCTGTCAGCCCCATCAAGCAGCCTTAGCCACCTGGCGGAGACAAGCTTTAGTGTTTTTAAAGTGTGTGCTGCGTGAATGTTTCACATTTTTGGTAAAGATGTGGGGTCATGTTGCAACACTTAAGTGCTTCTGCGTAAACCTTGCGCAATTCCGACAGGCACTGGGTTCCTAGCATCAGTGGCATCCTCTGCTCACATACGGCTTATGTAATGTGTGATCAGGCCCCCCAGGTTTCTCCTTGTAGCCTTTGAAAAAAATTTCAGGCTCTGAACTTGGCCCTGGTTTCCGGCAGTTCTTTGCTCCGAAGGTGCGTGGAATGGCTCAGCTGTCAGCACCTGCTGGTGAGATACAGAAAAGTGCCACGGGTTGATCTTTCTCTGGCACCAGTACACAGGAGGCTGGCGATGCTCCCCAGATGGGCTTGGCCCGCCCTGAGGCACCCTATAGGGAAGGAGAGTGAGGGCGGTTCATCTAAGGAAGAGTAGGTCGGAGGATTGAACGGGGGCTGCTACCAATAGGTAACAAACATGAAAAGGATTTCCCCAAAGCAAAACTTTCTAGCCAGAGCAGCAGCACAGTGAATGGTTTACTCACAGCTCCTTTGTCTGCTGATGGGAGATTTGGCACTGTGCTTGCCTCTTGGGCTTACCTGAGCAAAGTTACACAGTAGGTCAAGTGTTTGATGCCTTCTCACCTCCAGTCACTGTGCTGGCGCCCGCCTCCGTGCCTGGCTTCTGTTTCCATCCAGACTTCCATCCATTCAACAAAGCTTTCGAGCACCTGCTCTATGCCAGGTGCTGTGCCAAGTGCTGGGCACCAGGCAGGGCTTTCTCAACACCTGGTGGCCCCCTGTGGTGCGCTGGACCAGTCCTAACACAGGCCTCCTCTCCAGTGTCACTCTCGGCCCCACCATTTCCCAAAATTATCCCTCCCTGCATTCACTTCCTATGACTCTTGTCCTTTCTTCAACCTTAGGGATGGGACTATTTCTTTACAGTTTTTATCATAGAAATCCAACAAATTTTATTTTTATAAAAGAATTGTTCTTGGTAGTCACAGATTTCTCTCTGTGGAATCTGAGTTTCTGCAGATTAAAAAGTGATGATGTGAGCTGGGCGCTGCAGGTGGTGCCTGTAATCCCAGCTACTTGGGAGGCTGAAGCAGGAGGATCACTTGAGCCCAGGAGTTCGAGACCAGCCTGGGTAACAGAGAGACCCCCCCATCTCTAAAACATTAATTAATTAATGCTAATTAATTATTTCAAAAATGGTGGCATGAAGAAACAATGTCTTCCATGGAATGAACAAGGCATTAATTGAAAAATGTGAAGCAGGAAGGAACAGGGGAGGAATACATTGTCTGAGCAGAATCTACAATTTCACCAGGTAGACAAGTTGCCCCTTTCACCTCTCCATTTATTATTGGTGAGCTGTATGTGTAATGGTTAAGGAGGCAAATTCTGGAGCTGGACTACCTGGGGATTCAAATCCCAGCTCTGAAGGTTATAATCTAAGAAAGCTATTGTTATTTGTTCCTTAATTTCTTCATGCAAAAAGAGGGATGGTAGAAATACCTAAGCACATCTCACAGAGTGGCTTAGGGATTAACATAAATTAATATGTATGACATTTTTATAACACCGGGATGCACAGTAAGCACTCTCTATATAAATATTAACTTTGATTTTTCGTGAAGGCAACTCTAGGCTTTCTACTTTGCAGTCAGATTCTCATGGCAGTTACTGCATGCGAAAGACAGAATTTGTTATTTGGCCTGCAGTTTCCACATCTGCAAAGTAGGAAGAAATGATTGAATAAAGATGTGGGGGCGGAGGCTGCGTTCTGGTCTGTGATCTCCACTTGCTTCGTGACCTTGGACAACTCACTTACTCTCTCTGCATCCTGGAGATTGGACTTGATCTGAATTTCCCAAACTCAGGTCATTCAAATAACACTTAGAGAATCTTTGCCATATTCCAGTCCACTTTCCTATACTCAGCTACTAACTTGATGTTTTCCTTTAGATAATCCTTAAATCAATTCACTTTCATATGTAGCCTCACAGGAAGCAGTAATATCCACGTATGCAAGAGTCCGATATGCTACAGATTTTTGTTTTTCCTTTATTTATTTATTTATTGTGATAGCGTCTTGCTATGTTGTCCAGGCTGGCCTTGAATCCCTGCCTGGGCTCAAGCAATTCTCCCGAGTAGTTGGGACTACAGTTGTGTGCCACCACAGAGGGCATGATACACTGTCGATTTTTCTAATGCATGTTAAAATAAATGCCTAATGAAAGTTTTAAATGTTTGTATAATGCCCAAATCATCTTGCATCCTATCAATGAGATGAGGACAACATTTCTGGAAACTCTGGATCAAATGTTCCCTCTGGATCCAGGCAACTGTAAAATCTATAATGTTATACCATGTTCAGGTGGCTATTTAACTTAGGGTATGTTTCTTTATACCATTTGCCTCCTTGAGAGCTCAGACTGTGGCTTAAACCTCTTTGGGCACGTAGCAAATAGAAGAGTGCTTGATAAATCTGTATTTAATGTTAAATTAAAAGCACACCATACATACATACAAATATATCCATCGCCTACTCACCCCCAGACCCCATCCACTGCCAAAATGCTCATTTCTTTCTCTCCACCTCAGTGTCACTGTGTTCCTCAAGTGGCTGTCTGTAAATGAACTGAAGCATGTGGCGTTCCAGGCCTTGTGTGGGCACTCAGGAAATGTTACCTTCCCTGACCCCTTTCCCTCTTCCTGTGCCTCTTTGTTCATGAGTTGCCATTTGTCTGTGTGAAAAGTGGGCCGACTTCCCAAGGAGTTTATAGCCCAAGCTCTTGGGTCAGAATAATTGTTGTCTTCAATTTCAGCCCTAAAAGAGGTTCCATTGCCAGGTGCAGAAACTTCTAATCTAAGAAAAAAAGAAAGTATACTTCTAAAAGCTATTATTAAAGAGATCTTGAAAAACTGTCTGGTGATTTCCTAAAATTCATCAGCAAAAATTGAATACACACCCACAGTATCATGACCCCATTGTGGGTTCACGGTCTGAGAATTTCACAACCAACCAGCATTTACTAAGCATCTGCTTGAGCCCTCTCTGTCCATAACCTTGGGAGACACAAATCTGAATAAGGCTATCTATTAGACCATGAGACTAGAAGAGACTAAAAGACTGAATACCTTGAAAGCAAGGAATATGTCTTCATCTTTGCCTCCCCAAGGGCTTAGCAAAGCATCATGCATGTGGTAGTTATGCATTAAATATTTGATCCGTAAATGAACAAATGGATGAATGACACTGCTCCAGCACTGAAGGAGCTTACAGTCTGTTTGAGAAGAAAGAAGCCATAGATAAACGATGGGTTAATTAACAATAAACTCCACATTACAAGAGATAACACTGGCTAATAAAAACGTTAAATGAAAGGGGTGCTGTCATTTACTTTCCCCCAAAACACCAAATGTTGATTCAGCCGCAGGTCTCAAAAAAGAATGTGTGTTGGCCACTCTTCTGTACTTTCATTTTTCTGCACATGAGTCCAACTTTAGAAGGAAGTTGCTAGGTTGTTGTCATGTGACTGATTTTTATTTAATTAATTAATTTATTTATTTATTTTTGGGACGGAGTCTTGCTCTGTCACCCAGGATGGAGCGCAATGGCACAATCTTGGCTCACTGCAACCTATGCCTCCTGAGTTCAAGCAACTCTCCTGCCTCAGCCTCCTCAGTAGCTGGGATTACAAGCATTGCCACCATGCCCAGCTAATTTTTGTAGTTTCAGTAGAGACAGGGTTTCACCATGTTGACCAGGCTGGTCTCGAACTCCTGACCTCGTGATCCACCCGCCTGGGCCTCCCAAAGTGCTGGGATTACAGGTGTGAGCCACCGCACCCGGTCCATGTCAGTGATTTCTAAAGGCCACCAACCTTGCTGGCTCCTGGGAATGAGCAGGGTATTATTTAATGTAAATAAATCAGCGAGTGTTTATCCTTCCATGCATTCTTCTGCCATCCACAGGCAAAGAGAGAAGTGGCACTGGTGACTTTTTTAGAGCTATGAAGTTGGAATATACAAGAGAAGCTGAAAGCTTTCAATTAATGATTTCTTAGGCTTTAAGTCAGGGTGACCCTTCAACATAAAAGGGCTTTAGCCACCACTTGCTGGGGAGAAGCGCTGGGCTTTCTACACAGTTCTCTGGGACTCCAAATTGTTAGCATAAAAATAGCAGCCCAAATCAATGTTCTCTATTATTCATTAGTTACCGAAATACTTTTCCCAAATATACGCATAGCTGAAAGATGCCTTCTTTCAAAATGTTTTAAACCACTTTCAGCCCATGAATCTTAGTCCATCTTTAAAGGGCACCCATTTTTTTTCAAACCATATATTTCAGTCGATTTCATTGGGCACTGATACCATCACCAGCAAAACCCTAATTAATTGGGAAGAATGACATTTCCATTAAAATTCTTTTTGAAAAATGATTTATGCACCTGGCTGATAAAAATTTCAAACAGGGCAAAACAATATGGAGTGGAAAGTAAACTTCCATCGACCTCTGGAACCCAGTCTCCCAATCTTTTTCATAGAAACATCCAGTGTTAAATTTCTGGGGTATCCTCCTAGAAATACTCTGTGTATATATAAGTGCATACACACAAAAGAGGTCTTTAAAAAGTTTATGGAAAATGCATATTATGAAAAAACTATGCATGGATTTTCATTTTTCTTGCACCAAAATAAACTCATACTAACCTGTTATAACATGTCTGAACAGAATCTAGTTGAGGCAGTAAGAAGGATAAGACTTCAGTTTGAAAAGCGCCTCTGTCAGAGCAACATGAATTCTGCTAAAATTGAAGCAAGAACAAACTTCAAATCTAGGGTGAAGTTTGCATGGAAGAACAGTGAAATCATTGAAACTGTACAAAAAGTGTGTGGGGACACTGCCCCAAAGAAATCAACAGTTTACACATGGCTAATTCCTTTTAAGAAGAGATGAGACGATGTTTAAGATGAAGCCCACAGCAGCAGACCATTCGCATACATTTTGGAGGAAAAAGTTAGTATTGTTGGCTCATGCGTATAATCCCAACACTTTGGGAGGCCAAGGTGCGAGGATCACTTGAGCCCAGGAGTTTGAAACCAACCTGGGCAACATAGTGAGACCCCCATCTCTACAAAAAATTTAAAAATTAGCCGAGTGTGGTGGCACAGGCCCGTAGTCCCAGTTACTTGGGAGGCTGAGGTGGGAGGATCACCTGAGCCTCAGAGGTCAGCCTGCAGAGAACCACTATTGTGCTACTGCTCTCCAACCTGGGCAACAGAACAAGACCCTGTCTCAAAATAATAATAATAATAATATTGTTTGTGCCCCAATTAAAGAGGACTGACAGTTAGGAACATAAACCTAATTATAAACATAATAAGCATAAGTCTAATTATAGCCAACACCATAGACATCTCAATTGGTTCAGCTTACACAATTCTGAATGACAAATTAAAGTTGAACAAACTTTTCACTGGATAGGTAACAAAACCACTGCACTCAGATCAGCTGCAGACAAGAGCAGAGCTTTCAATGGAATTTTTAAAGAAGTGGGATCGAGATCCTGAAGCATTTCATTTAAGGATTGTAATAGGAGATGAAACACGGCATTACCAGTATGATCCTGAAGATGAAGCCCAATCAGAGCAATGGCTACCAGGAGGTGGAAAGGGTTCAGTCAAAGAAAAAGCAGACTGGTCAAGAGCAAAGGTCATGGTAACAATTTTTGAAGATTCTCAAAGCATTTTGCTGTTGACTTTCTGGAAGGCCAAAGAATGATAACATCTGCTTCTTATGAGGGTGTTTTGAGAAAGCCAAAACTTTAGCAGAAAAAATCCAAGGAAAGCTTCACCGGAGAGTCCTTCTCCACCGTGACAATACTCCTGTTCATTCGTCTCATCAAACGAGGACGATTTTGTGAGTTTCAGTGGGAAATCCTTAGACATCCAACGTACAATCCTGATTTGACTCCTTCTGACTTTTTGTTTTCTAATCTTAAGAAATATTTAAAGAATACCCATTTTTCTTCAGTTAATAAGGTAAAAAAGATTACATTGATATGGTTAAATTCCCAGGACCCTCAGTTCTTTAGGGATGCACTAAATGGCCATCACTGCTTACAAAAGTGTCTTGAACTTGATGGAGCTTATGTTGAGAAATAATTTTATATTTTTATTTTTATCTTTTAATTTTTTCCATAAACTTTTTGAAGTCCCCTAATGCAGCAGTCACCAACGTTTTTGTCACCAGGGACCAGTTTCGTGGAACACCATTTTTCCACGGACCAGCATGGGTGGAGGGCAGTTTTGGGATGAAACTGTTCCACCTCAGATCATCAGGCATTAATTAGATTCTCATAAGGAGTGCACAACCTGGACCCCTCACATGGGCAGTTCCCAACAGGGTTCACACTCCCATAAGAATCTAATGCCCGCTAATCTGACAGGAGGCAGAGCTCATTCGCTTACCTATTACCTTCTGCTGTACGGCCTGGTTCTTAATAGGCCATGGACCAGTACCAGTCTGCTGCCTGGGGATTGGGGCCCCCTGCCCTAGTGTGTGTGTGTGTGTGTGTGTGTGCGCGTGTGTGTGTGTGTGTGTGTGTGTGTGTATTGTGTGTGTGTATTCCCCTCCCCTTCCTTACATATACTCTAACATTCTTCAGTGAAACTTAACAGATATTGTGAAGTTTGCTGCAAATCTGTACAGCTGCACTATATTTCATAATATGAGTGTCCCATAATTTACCCAGCCTCTTCTGAATAGACATAATGGTGGTTTTCAGTTTTTTACTTCCACAAACATACTTTTGCACATATGTATGACTAGGACTACAGAATCAATTCCTTAAAGTGGAATTACAGAATCAGAGGATATGTGAGTTTTCATTCTGATAGACATTGCCAAATGGTGACACTTAACTTTTGATGAGAACTGCCAAAAGTAAAGTATTTGTTCGTGCCAGAAACAGAGTGAAGATAGCATTTTATTTTAAAGTTTAATACCTCAGGCAAGCAAGTAGCACATTTATTCATGAAACTCATTTGCCCCTGTCTTGCCCACCTAAAGCACATACACATTGTTATGAACCCATTCAAAATATACTTGTGACAACAGCTTACTCAATGAGGAACTTGCTAGAAATTTCGTATCACCAAATTGTGTGAGTATTTGTCGCAATGGGGTTAGCTTGCACGCTCTCTACTTTGCCCTGGCTGTGTTTACTACCTTTCATGGCCCTGGTCAGTTAGTAACACTGTCTTGTTTTTCTTTTGTAACCAAAGGTCAGTTTGTGACCCTGCTCCACTCCCCACCTCCTCTGCCTTAGTTTCTTCTTGCCTTAGTTTCCTCATAAGAGTAACCAGTCTTAAAGTGTCAGGGCAGGCACATTACTGATGTATCAGTGAAGAGCCCCTGGGCACAATGGAACTTGAATTTGATTTTCTATTACCTGTGAGGGTGAGTTAGTAAGCAGACAGCCTTGTACTCTGTTCAGCGGCTTCCCTTGCTGCCTTTCTATAATGAAAAAAGCAGAGACCCAGAACATTCTCCCGTTTCTCTAGTGTTTACCCAACACACACTCTGTGCTACCATCCCCATTTGTGGCTTCTTTCCTATTTGCTCTTGTAACATGAGAAACAGTGTGGAGGTTTTATGCTTGTTTTGTAACCAGCTATAACCATTTCCTTTTCTCTGCCTCTGATTATAAACACATTTCCTTCCTGGTAACCATTGAAAATCTATATCTGACCAGGTTGAAACCAAATGAAGTCATTTTGGTTCCATTGGTGACAACCAATTAAATATAATTCTGTTTACATTTAGAATGGGTTGTAAATTTAAGAAAATGATTTAAGCCCTACTTAAAATATTTTTTGGCTCATAAAACCATGAAATCATTTCTGTAATATGAGTAATCAAGAAGCTTCATATTTACATTTACCTTTAAATTGCTCTAAAAGAGCCAGAGACTGGACATTAAAAACAAACAAACAAAAGATTCAGAGTCTGCAAGGAAGCTATTTCACTATCCCCATGCTGCGAGCTGGTTAAGCTCTTTAGCTCAGATAGCCCTATTTTCTCAGGGAGCAATGGAAAAAACAGATCTCCTACTTAAAAATAACAGTAAAAACAAGAAACACACTGCACTATATTGGTAAACCTCAAACTCACGTAAGTCAGTTACCTGCCCCGATGGGAGTTTAGAAGTTGGTGCTACTACTCTTAGTACTGCCATAAGATGTCACCAGAAAACAGGACCCTGAGTTCTAGGAAAAGGGATAAGAATGGACAACAGGTGGGAGCCACCAAACTATTCCAGGCCGGATGACAGAAACCTTAAAAGAAAAGTTCCAAATACAATTAACTGACCAAACCCCTCCACACAGTGGAGAGGCTTCATAATCAATAAAGACAACTTCCCACCTCTGAGCACTTACAACAAAGATGCAGATGTATCTTTGGCAGTGGACTTTTTTTTATTGAGTTCTATCTCCTTTTCTTCACAAGCATGTATTAAGCAAGTTTTATGTGTTATACTTTCACTGGGTGTTGTGCAAAGACTAAAAAGTCATCAGCTCTGCCCCATAGTGGGTGGTTGTTAAATGTTGTTAAATGAATGGATCTGTGAATATATGCATGTGTGAATGAATGAATAAATAAAGCTTATAATATGGTTATGGGAGAAAACACAGCTTTAATTTTCTGTTACTTGTCAGGGTGGTGTGTACAGAACACAGTGGTATGCGTGACCAGTTCTACCCAGGGTAGTGTGGCAAGATCTCAGACTTGAGGTGACAATTGAATGGGCGTTGGTCAGATGAAAGGAGTTTAACGTAGACAAGTAAAAGACCACAGAATGAGCAAAAGCCTAAAGCAGAGATCAACAAACTACAGCCTGTGGACCAAATCCCATCTGCTGCCTGTTTTTGTAAATAAAGTTTTATTTGGGCAGAGCCATGCTCATGCATTTATATTTTTTCCATGGCTGCTTTCACACTACAATAGCAGCATTGAGTAGTTGCAACAGAGACCACATGACCCAGGAAACCAAAAATATTAACTATCTGGCCGTTTACAAGTAAATGTCTGCCGCCCTCTGGCCTAGAGATATGAAAGAGCTGAATATTCAGGAACCTGTAGGGAAGTCGTAATAGCTGAAACTTGTAGTCCAAAAAGGGGCTCAGTGAGAGAAGAGACAAAACGGTGATCAGAGGCCAACCCTGAAGGTTCTTCTGTGCCATATTAAGAAATTCAGTTTTGCCATCGCATGTTCTCACTCATAGGTGGGAAATGAACAATGAGAACACTTCGACACAGGAAGGGGGACATCACACACCGGGGCCTGTTCTGGGGTGGGGGAAGTGGGGAGGGATAGCATTAGGAGATATACCTAATGTAAATGACGAGTTAATGGGTGCAGCACACCAACATGGCACATATATGCATATGTAACAAACCTGCATGTTGTGCACGTGTACCCTAGAACTTAAAGTATAATAATACAGAAAAAAAAGAAATTCAGTTTTGCTCCTTTAGGAAATGGGTAACAAGAGCAATTTTGCTTTTAGAAATATCTCTCAGGGATCAGGATAGACGAGAGAGATGCAAGTTTGCAGCAGGAGATCAGCTCTCCAAACTTCACATCTTATAAATTCCTTGATTCAACAAACATTGAAAAGCTTAATGCTGTCATTATGCCTCTTGCTCTATCCTTGGGAAACAGAACCTGGCACACAGACATGCCCAATCAATATTTATTGAATAAAGGAATTAAGGAAAGAAAAAAGACAATATTGTAATGGCATCATTATTAAATGGTTTTCTGAATAGGCTGCCTCTGCTATGAGACAAATAGCTGAGATTCTCACAGATTTCCAGTTTCCATACTAGCAGGCATTGAGATCCAGGCAAAAGGAGGTTAATAGTGAAACACAAGCCAGAGAGAAATTCCTCCCCTTCATCTCTGGTGCCAACATCATCAAATACCAGTCACTGGCCAAACCTGTGTTTATTCCATGCCCTGTGGCCTAATGAGAGGGGATGGGACAAGAAGCAGCTCTGCTAATAACTGTCATGAAAATAATAATATCACTTGGCTGTATGCGGCAACTTTCATTGGAAGCTCTTGAATCAATTTTTTCCTCTTGCATAACTATTATTTCCATTTTATTTCCACTAAAGGAGAAGCCAAACCACAGAGTGGTTGTGACTTGCCCAAGGTCATGGAGCAAATCAGAAGAGCAGTTTTTAAAAGCTGAGAAGGATATCAGGGGATGTAAAATCCAGTTGCCTTCCCAGCCTAGAATGGGCTGGGTTCATGACTCAGTAAGACACATGGCGTTACCTAAGCTCAGTGTCTCTGAAAATGAGTCACACTAAGGGAGACTCAGGGCCTGAGGGGCTGTGTCAGACATACGTTTTCAGTAGTCACTCATTGTCCCTGCCCATCAGATTTTAACGTCTGTCACCGAAGCCCATCACAGACAGGGCCTCTTGGGAGGTTTAGCCTATGGAACTGGGAAGGTCTGCCTTGGGGGTGTCTGTCTTTTCTGGATGTTTACCCAGCTGTCAGTTCCTATGAAGCCCAGGTCTCCCCATTCCATTATCCATCAGGAGCCCATGGCTGGGGTAGCTGTGGCTTCCACTCGGTCCATGATGATTCTGGTGTTTGCCTGTTGTCCCAGCATAATTACTAATAAATCTTTTTTTTACTCTAAAAAAATGCCCCAGTTTGGACCATAAATTAATTATATGGTCACTCTAACTGACAAATCAGGAAGCACCTATGCAGAAACCAAAAGCCCTCTTTTCATCATGATGATTCTATCTCAGCCACTTTTGTTTCATGGACCTAGAATCTTGAACTTACAATAGGCCCAAACTCCCAGTCAGTTAAGGAATCTCCTCTGAGCTATGTAAATGCTCCTGGTCATAGAGTTAGCTACACAGCCCATAGACCAGTTAATTACTAATTGTGAATAATCACTTCCTTACCTTGTACCAAAATCTGCCTTCCATATCTTTTATACAATGATCTTAGCACTATTCTCAAGAAGCTGAAAAGTCAATTCTCCCTCCTGTCCCATAAGAGAGCCCCCTTAAGTCCTCCGTTGTACAGCCCAAACACCACCAACCATCAGGAACAAATTCTAAACAGCATTTAGGAATGTAGCTTTGGAGTCAGACATACCTGGATTCGGATCTGGGCTCCATCACTCCCTAGCTAGATAGCCTTTGGTAAATACTTAACTTCTCCAATTTCACTTTCTTTGTCTGTAAATTTTGAACAAACATTAACTACTTAAGCTAGGCATGACTGGTTATGGAACCAATAGCTAGTTCTCCTTTCTTTCTTACTAACAAGGGGCTCACTTAAATGCTCTTGGATTACCCAACTTCCTTGCAGCTAGATGTGGTCATGCAACACAGTTCTGGACAAGGAGCTGCAAGTGGAGGTACCAGCTGGAGTTTCTGAGAAAGCCTGTTAGAGGGCACACATCCAGCTTGCATTCACCTTGTCAGTTTGTGCTACTTAGCTTCTCCCTTCTTTCAAATACTTCCTGCCTAAAAATTAGTTGTGAAGCACAAAATAGAACAGCTATGCTGCATACATGAGGAAGCAAGCCTCCAGCAAAAGAGACTGGGTTCTTGATGGCACCATGGGGCCTGCATACTCACTCTGAAGTGCTTACAGCTGGACTTCCTATTACATGAGAAAAATAAATCCCTCCATTGGTTAAACCATTGAAATTGGGTTTCTGCCACTTGCAGTCAAATGAATCCTAAATGACACATACTTCAGAAGGTTGTTTTGAACATAAAATGAACTTACTACAGTGCCCAGCACAAAACATATAGTGAATGGTTTGCTATTATCACTATCATAATTATTATCATTGCTACTCATTGCCATAGACCTTAGAGAGAGGGGCAAGAACATGTAGCTATAGCAATCCTTCCAACCTCTGATAGCACCAGTACAAAAATATCTGTGATCTCTTAAGCACACACAAAAAAGTCAGTTGCTGATGTTTTGACAAGTGCATCTCTGTTAGTGGCTAATGAAGCCAGTTCTTCAAAGCACCAGATCCCGAGAGCACAAAGAAATGAAATTCCACCTGGCTGGCAGGTCAGGGAGCAAGTTCTTTCCTGTAGTGAAGGGTGCGCCTGGTTTCCTCTCTGGACAGGGGATCCATCCATATTGTATAGTGCATTTCCTGGAAGTGCTGTCTTCTCTGAACGACAAGCAAAGCACAACACCTTAAGGATGTCATTATTTCATGGAAAGAGAGTTTCTGCTCAGAAACCAAAGCCACACCTAAAACCAGCTGAGCATAGGAGCACATGTTCAAATGGAGCACTGGGAAGTGGAATTAGCTTTCTATAACCTCACTGAAGCATCTGCCAAGATCAGACAAGGATGGGACTAGCTATACATTCTTCCCTGGAGTCCATCAAGCCACAGATTTGGGTTCACGGGGGCCTATCATGGTATTCATCCCACCTCCACCTACTCCCTACTGCACTCTGCAGATATAAAGAGTGGTGAAGTGGGAAAAAAAAAAAAAAAAACAACAAGACAAAACAAAACATCATAAATTTCAGAGTTCAACAGACCTAGGGTTCAAATTCCAGTGGGTCACTTCTAAACTGGGTACCTTTGGACAGACCATTTGCCCTTTCTGAGCTGCAGTTTTTGTATCTGTAAAACAGATAAGAGTTTCACAAGTTTGCAGAGGATTGAAGGAGAAAGTCTGTGTGGCAGTACCTGGTACAGGGTTATCATGAGTCCTTCTTTCCCTATCAGCAGGATGGTCTTGGCTGACTTTTTGTATTCATCACCCAAGCCCAAGGAGTGGACCCAGCTCAGGTCACTGCCACCAAGGGCAGCTCGTTTGTTGCCTTCTACCCCGTGCATCATCATCCAAGTTTTTGGGCCACACTTGGGGAGCCAAAGCCTTCTCCAAAGCTGAGGTCATAAAGCAGAAAAAGACAAAGCTCTGCTTTCAGAGAGCAGGTTTGGTTGGCAGTGAGCAAACCACCTCTCTATAGCCAATCTGCCCTTGGGTATGGGAGTGAGTCCCCAGTAAATCCAGCAAAAAGTGGCTGGCCCGCTCAGCCCTCCCACCTACCACAGCCACGCGCAACACCTGGACAAAGATCTAAGGCCTGGGAAGCAGCTTTGCCCAGCCTCTCCATCTCCGGGCACAGCCCCCTTGGGGCACAGCCTCAGGCAGGATGGAATATGACAGTCACAAGATTCACACCTCAAGCCACAAAACATATTCTTCTCCCAACGTCACCTGGCAGGTGTCATCGTAGTTGGTTTTATAGCTACAGTGGCAAACACAGTGTTTTCTTCACCTCTGTGTCACAGGAATGGCCACTGTTACTCTCCTCACTTTTAACCACTGGAGTATCTAGGGACATTTGTCAACAGGGTTTGTGGATATTGAGACTGACCGGATATTCATACATACATTTCTCTGTAACTCCATAAGCTGGCAACATAAGACCATGCAGAAACCAGAAATTTGGGGTCCATACATAATGGCTCCACACAAAATGTGTTTTGTCACAGAGTATAAGAATAGATAAACTAGTAATAGCAAACAATGTGCTAACTGTACTGCAGGCTCTGTGCTGAGCATGTCACTTTCTACAATTATTATTATCTCCATTTTACAAAAAAAAAAATCCCTTGAGTCTTCTTGGTGTGTTCTAGATATTAATTCTTTATAGGTTTAGATATTATAAATCTTTTCTCACTCTGTCACCTTTTTGTTAACTTTGCTTGTTGTATCTACCCTTTACAGAATTTTTAATTTTTAAAATATAGTCAACTCTATCAAATTTTCAACTTATGGCCAGGCATGGTGGCTCATGCCTGTAATCCCAACAATTTGGGAAGCCGAGGTGGGCAGATCATTTAAGGTTAGGAGTTTGAGACTAGTCTGGCCAACAAGGTGAAACCCTGTCTCTACTAAAAATTCAAAATTACCTGGCCATTGTGGCACAAGTCTGTAATCCCAGCTACTGGGGAGGCTGAGGCAAGAGAATGGCTTGAACCCAGAAGGCAAAGGCTGCAGTGAGATGAGATGGCATCACTGCACTCCAGCCTGGTCAACAGAGTGAGACTCCATCTCAAAAGATAATAATAACAATAATTTCAACTTATGGTTTGTGTAATGAGTACCTTCTTTAACACCTCTGATATTTTAGCTTTGTAATTTTACTTTTGCACTGAATTCCTCTTTGGCATATGCTTGAGATAGTGAACGAATGAGCTGTTTCTCCACTACCAAGTAGTAGGTTTTAGGCAATCCATCCCTTCCCCACTGATTGATGGTGCCATGTTTATCCCAAAGCAGGTTCCTATGTAGACTCAGGTCTGGCTCTCACTCTTTGCTCTTTCCCTAGATGTATTTTACTATGTTCTTGTTCCATACTGATTTTATATGGAAGGGTGAGTTCCTTCTCTTTGCTCTTCTTTTTCAAAATGACTTAGGCATCATGAACATTTATTCCTTCATATGAATTTTAGAGTAAGTATGTTGAAGTCCTAAAAAAAAGACTTGTAATAATTTTGTCTGAAATTACATTGAATGTATAGGTTAATTGTGAGGGAAATTAACATATTTATATTTCGAAGATGTGGTGTATATTTCTATGTATTCAGATCTCTTCAAAGCAACAACTGAGTTTTAAATTTTTCTTGGTAAGTTCTTTGATAGGTTATTTCCTACATACTTTAGAGTTTGGGAATCATATCTTATTTTTTAAAAAATATTTTTGAGATGGTTTTGATAAAGAATAATAATTCTTAGGCCAGGCACAGTGGCTGATGCCTGTAATCCCAGCACTTTGGAAGACTGAGGTTGGAGGATCACTTGAGGCCAGGAGTTTGAGGCCAGCCTGGGTAACATAGTAAGACCCTGTTTCTACAAAAAAAATTAAAAATTATCCAGGCATGGTAGTGGGTACCTGTAGTCCCAGCTATCCAGGAGGCTGAAGTGGGAGGATTGCTTTAGCCCAAAAGTTCAAGGTTGCAGTGTGCTGTGATCTCACCACTTCATTCCAGCCTAGGCAACTCTGTCTCAAAAAAAAAAAAAAAGCAAAACAAACAAACAGAAAAACAATAACAATTGTTTAAAAGTGATCAGGTATTCATCATCTCTGCTGAAGTCTCTTATTCTATTTAGTCTATTGATTAAATATGCTGATACAACCTTTTATTTCTTTTTTCTCTCCTTTTCCTTTTTTCTTATCTTCCTGTCTTGCCCAGAAACTGGGTAAGCGTTATATATATATATAAGAAGCACAAAAATACGCTTACTTCAAAAAATATATAAATGTGCTTACTCAAAAAAATATATATATATGCTAACTCCAAAAGCTAATAACTTATCGAACTTCTACTTGAACTTTATTCCCAAAGAGATGAACATATTGAAATAACATGATTAACCCACAAAGCTGATAAAGTGTCCATTGACTTAAATGTTCCTCCTTAGTTATGTGCCAAGCATTGTGCCTCTGTGTAACAGCAGCACAGAAATGGCAATATACAAAACAATTAACAGTTAACTGTTGCTAAACAGTAACAATGAAAGCAGGTTGTGTCTAAATTTTCTTTTAAATCCCATTGTGTGACCCTTTACAACTTTCAAATAACTTCCATACCCATTACACCATTTGTGTTTCATAAACACATATTAGTAGGGAGAACAGGTATTGGCTCATTTTATAATTAACATTCAATATGGTTGGGTTTTGGAGGATCAAAAACTAGAAAGGATCAAAATTCATATTCAGGTCTTTAAAGCTTCAAGTTCTCTCACTATAACAAGCTGATTTATATATAAACAAAATATATAAAACTACGTGATTCAATTCAGTAACACTGAATTTTCATTTAAATCTCATTCCATCCTGAAAAAGATGATCTGATATCATCCTATCATTTTTAAAGAAAACTGTATCAGCTGATATTAAACGTCTAAACATTTTCAAGGTGTAAGAGCCAGATGACCATATCAATTAGGGTTGTAATTCTACTAAGAATTTGGGTCTATACCATGGCAAAACAGTCAGTTAATTTGGTCAGTTTAGGTAAACAGGTCAGTTTTGTGGGAGGGAGGGAAATTGGGTAAGAAATATTCATCACATTAATTTTACTAACATTGCAATACAACTAAAAATGTTATTTGGTTGGGCATATTTAAACATTTAAAAGCTGCTGTAAAGATAATATTGTTACCTCATTTTTATAAGAAGAAAAAACTAAGTAAATCCATTTCTTGGGTGTGCAAAAATAGCCCAAGGGGAAGTGACAGACCTGTGAACAGAACTCATGAATTAAACCTGAGCTTGGTCTACCAGTTCTCTGTAATCAAGCCCCATGATTCACTCATGGAAATCAATGCCTCTTAAACTCACTGAATGACAGACACCTCAACAGACACACATCTGTGGATTCCCATAGCTCCTTTAAAAGTAACCATCAGGAAGCAATTAGGGAGTGCATCTGTCTCTAACAGTCAAGGTATTTTTCCTTCCATTTCTTGCATCTTCTCTTAGGGAATGTGTAACGGATCGTCCTCTCTTAATGGTGCTGTTACTTGGAATATACAAAGTATGCTGACTTGTGAAAGGGTCCCAGGCTTAAACAGCAGGAAAACACAAATAAAGCTGTATTCAAAGAAGATGAATCAAAGTATCTCAGAAGAGGAAACCAGAAAATTGTAATCTTTCTTAAATGCAGCTTTGTGAGCTGAGTAATAAAATACAATAATGTAACTAAGCAGGAGGCTTACATAACTGAAAAAATGAGGGGCAAGGAACTGTTCCAAATCCATTGTACTTATTAGAACCTCTGATTTCCTTTGAAATGGCACATGCAATAAAATTTACTGTGAGCTAGCTAACAAAAAAATCTCATTTTTATGGGAAATAAGTATTGTCAGAAAAACGAATAGATTCTATTTTAAATCCTGAAGATTATAAAATTGAGGTTTTAATAGATGAAGAAAAAAAAAGGCTCCAGAACAGAGGCATCATGGAGGCAGTGATTTCTATTTAATCTTTTATCTGTAAGAGAAAAAAAAATCACCTCAATTGAAACTAATATAGTTTTCTGTGGCAGAATATACCACGATAGCTAATAATGCACTGGCTGTCTGTATTAAGTGAATTTTCTTTTTGTTAAAAAAAATCAGTGCTTGTTAAGCACATGAACTGTGCAAGTTTATATCTGGCCAACTCCTGTCCCCGCACCTGTTCATTCAGGCATTAGCCCTAAGGACTTACAAAGCAAATGAATGTATCCGTAGAGCAATGGGTAAAAATAAACTGAACTATTCTTTTAACACTATCAAAAATGATCTGACCAAATAGAAGATCACATTTCACGAGGTAAAATAGCCAAATGAGATGTTTCCTCACGTTTTATGATTGGTTTGGCTTATTCACTGCGTATGAAATAGCTGACCTTCATTCCAGGAGAATGAGCAGCAACCAAATTTAATGCTGTTTGCTCAGGGGTTCAAATCTGGTTTAGCTGGTTTAATTGCCTCTGAGGCAAAGTTTCTAAATGTGCTACTGTTACACAGAGACCCAATGCTTGGCACATAACTAAGGAGGAACATTTAAGTCAATGGACACTATATCAGCTTTGTGGGTTAATCATGTTATTTCAGTGTGTTCATCTCTTTGGGAATAAAGTTCAAGTAGAAGTTCGATAAGTTATTAGCTTTTGCAGTTAGCATATATATATATTTTTTGAGTAAGCACATATATATATTTTTGAAGTAAGCATATTTTTGTGCTTCTTATATATGTATAATGCTTATTTTATATATATATAAAATATATATTATATATATAAATTATACATATATAAAATATTCTCTATAATAAGAAGTTCCCGGCTGGGTGCAGTGGCTCACGCCTGTAATCTCAGCACTTTGGGAGGCCGAGGCGTGTGGATCACGAGGTCAGAAGTTCAAGACCAGCCTGACCAACATGGTGAAACCCCATCTCTATTAAAAATACAAAAATTAGCCGGGTGTGGTGGTGCACGCCTGTAATCCCAACTACTCGGGAGGCTGAGGCAGGAGAATCGCTTGAACCTGGGAGGCAGAGGTTGCAGTGAGCCAAGATGGTACCACTGCACTCCAGCCTGGGTGACAGAGTGAGACTCAGTCTCAAAAAAAAAAAAAAAAAGAAGAAGAAGAAGAAATTCTCCAGGACAGACAATTATAAAATCAACTAGTACTGTCACTCCCTGGCTCACTATTCTTTAGCCATATTGGCAATGGATTCCTTGAAAAACCTAGATGTGGTTGACTGAATCATTGTTCACAATTTTTCACATCTTTCCTATATTAGATAATGTATCCACATTCATCTACATTCTTCCAAAATACCATCCGCTATGGGTAAAATATTTTCCCCATCCCACTGATTTTGGGCTGGGCCATGTGGCCTCCTTTAGCCAATGAAGTGTTCCTGAACATGTTAAGAGGCCTTAAATGTGCTTGTGTGATTCCATTTGGGCTCTTGTGCTCCTGTCATGTGCTATGTAAGAAACATGTTCCTGGAAGCTATTGGTCAACACAGAATGAGTAACACACAAGGGAGACCTGAACCCTGGAGTCCAGCCAAGCCCCACCAGTTGCAGCTGGCTCACAGACCCATGTGGAAGGAATAAATGCTTATTGTTTCAAACTAGAGTTGTGGATAGTTGGTTGTAGCACACTGCTATAGCAAAATGTCATCTCAGTGCCTCAGCACATTCCCTTCCCTCTACCAGAAATCATCTTCCACGACCACTCTTTGCCTAGTTAATTCCTACTCATGCTTCAGAATTCAGTTTAAATGTCTTGACCACAGGACAGATGTCACAAACCAGATTACCTGCCCCTTCACATCCTGGGTTTCCTATTTTGTGAGATTCATCACTTTTGCAATGTTTTGCTTCATGTCATTCAACTAGAATATAAGCTTCTTTAAGCGGTGGGACCACAGTATATTTTTCATTGGTATTATTCTTAGCACACGACACACAATGCTAATACAAAGTAGATTTAATAAATATTTGTTACCTGATTTTTAAAAAAGGCCATGTGGTTCTACTACTTAAGAGTTAGAAAAGAAACTTAATTTGTATGAGTTTTGGTTTTCAGCAACTATAACATGAACACAATAATACCTATCTCCTAAAACAGTGAGGATTAAATAAACCAACCATTAAATTTAATGAATTTGAGGAAAGACTTGTAAGTATCTGACACATGGGTGCATAAAAGGCATTTGACAACTGACAGCTTTTATTATGGTTGGAAAGATAAATATATTTGCCCTCTGTCTAAGAACTTGATTTATTTTAAAGAGATATTTTTGCAACTCAAAAAAGAAAAAAATCAGATTAGGTTGCAACTTATGATTATTTAATTTGGACATTTCAAAGTATCCTGTTTACTTCCCAGGCTCTGAGTCCCTTTTAGAAGCACTTTCAGGTAGAATTCAGCTAAGAAGAAACAGGTTGGCGATTGATACTTGGTTTATTTCAAACATTTGTCATTAAATGACTCTATCCTTTTAAAAAAGAATGAAATTCATTTTTGCTATTTATGTTTATTTCTATTTGTATTCCTTCCCACCATTTTTGCTATTTAAAATTTTTTCCCTGCTTAATTAATTTTTTAGAGTTGGCACTTACTTATTTTCAAAATGTTTTTCTTCATTCCTACAAATAGCTTTTGGAATAGGATTTTATACAACCTAAATCAGTTTTTTTCTTTTGCCAAAAACAATATGTATCCACTACAAAAAAATTAGAAAATACAGGTAAGTGTAAGGAAGGAAGATTTAAATGTTTGTAATCCTGCCACCCAGAGATATCCACTGAACATTCCTCCAGATAGTTTGATTCAAATGCATATATTTAATAATGGTGGAATTATGTTGTACATTTGCCCTTTTGAAGTTAATATTTCATTTAATTACCACAATTATCTTTCTATGCCAATAAATATTCATCTACATCTTTTATTAGTAGCCTTCCATCATAACATCATTTACCTGAGCAATTCCCTATTGTTGGAAATTTAGTACATTTTACTTTTTTCTTTTACTGTTATCAGCAGTATCTTCATGAATAAGTGAAGAGATAAAAATGAGTTACTCAAACCTTTAGAAAACACCACTTAATGGGGTCTTGCAGTTCAGAGCAGAACAGATCATTATCCCAACTGTAATCCAACCCTTTCCTTGCATTTCTTATTGTGAGTCTAGGACCATCATTGGAAAATAATCAAGTTTGGTAGGTGGGCTAAACTAGAATCAGAGAATTTGAGGCAACACTTTCATTTCTGGTCTCAATAATGAATGTGTAAACCAGAACCTACAAATCGACTCATGATCAAAAATATCATAACAGAAAGCAGGAATTCTGAAATGGGAATAAAGGAAAGAGAAGGAGACCTACAGACCACTGTTGCTCTCCCTATCTGCGGCTACCACGTCCATATTTGTTTTGACAAACACTCCTTTACCACAATCGGGTCTCTGGTATCATAAGCACTGACTTTCCCATTTTACAGATAAAGGCACTGAGGCACACACAGAGGGGCTGACAACAGTGTCCACAGTGCCACAGTTAGTAGCACAGCCAGGGTCTGAGCCTGTGTGTTCTGCCTCACAGACAAGTGCTCTTTTCATGCTCACAGAGTTCTCAGTAATACTGGGAATTATTCAGAAGAGGGAACAGGACGCAATGCAGCAGGGAGATTAGCAGAAACATAATTCTCCTGAGAGTCAGCATGGAGGTATTTGTTAGCTACTCAACACTGGTCTAACATCCTCGGTAAGAGGATCATAAATACCTCTATCCACCTCCCTAGGGCAATATGAGCATTATTGCTTATTTAGAAATTTGTCCCTGTAAGAGCTTTGATATTCTCAAAGGAAAGGTGCTGCCAAAAAGTGAAAATATTTTCTATGCTTCCACTATGCACGTGAGAGAAAGGAGATTTGGATCAGGTAAAAGAAGTATTGTCAGGCACATAAATTCTTTATCTAATCATATTAGGATAATACTCCTGAGCTCCTTGAATGGAGGCATCATGAGTACCTGCTGCGCTTAGCACATACCTTACAAAACACTGAAAATCTTACTCAACACAATCAGAACTGCTCATTAATGAGCTCATCAGTAATGTCAGTCAAGAAAAAAAAAAGGGGATACATTTATGTTGTAAATGTAATCAGTCGACAGGTTCTTCCCGCCTGATGCACAGAAGAAATCAATTCACTGACACCATGGTATCGGAATAAAGGATGAGTTTAGTTAATGCAGGGCTGCCCAGTGGAAGGACTGGCGTTATCACTCAAGTTGGTCTCCCAGAAGGCTCAGAGGCTAAGGTTGTTCAAGGATAGTTTGGTGGGCCAGGGACTAGAGAATGGGTGTTCCTGACTGGTTGGGGATGCAATCAGAGGAATGTGAAAAAATTATCTTCATGTGCTAAGTCTGCCTCTGCGTGAGGGCCACAGGACAGGTTGAGTCATGAGTCACAAGTCCAGGTGGGGTTAGTAGATTGCCAGAATGCAAAACCCTGAAAGACATCTCAAAAGACCAATCTTAGGTTCTACAATAATGATGTTATCTATAGGAGCAATTGGGGAAGTCATAAATCTTGTGACCTCTGGCCACATGACTCCTTAGCAGTAAGAGATGATAGAAACTCTGCCTATACCTTAGCAGAATCCAGGCCCCTTCCATAATCCTAATCATGTGGCTTTTCATTAGTCTTGCAAAGGCAGTTTCAGCCCCTGAACAAGGAGAGGATCAGTTTTAGGTAGGTACTATTATGATCCTTGTTTCAAAGTTAAACTATACACTAAATTCCTCCCATGGACAGCTTGGCCTACACCTGGGAATGAATGAGGACAGCCAGCCTGTGAGGCTAGAAGCAAGATGGAGTCAGCCATACTAGACTTTTCTCACTGTTGTAATCTTTGCAAAGGTGGTTTCATAAACATTGTATTTTATTTTATTTTTTAATCTTTTTAAGATGGAGTCTTGCTCTGTTTCCCAGGCTGGAGTGCAGTGGTGTGATCTCAGCTCACTGCGACCTCCATCTCCTGGGTTCAAGTGATTCTCCTGCCTCAGCCTCCCAAGTAGCTGGTATCACAGGCATGCGTCATCACACCCGGCTAATTTTTTTTGTATTTTTTAGTAGAGGTGGAGTTTCACCATGTTGGCCGGGATGGTCTTGAACTCCTGACCTCAGGTGATCTACCCACCTCAGCCTAGCAAAGTGCTGCAATTACAGGAGTGAGCCACCGCACCTGGCCCATAAACATTATATTTTAAATTAAATAAATATAAATGTATTTACCAAACTGGTGGAAGGCCATGGTTCTTTCCCTCACTATAGATTCACTGGCAAGGGTCCAATACCACCTTTTCTGGCCTAAACCACACCCATAAGATCTCATTTTTCATTTCCAACTTTTCTTTCTTTGTAGGGGGTCAGAACTTAAAGACACTCATGAGCAAAATACTGTAGAGTTTATTATTTTTCCTAATCTCTTACTGTTAACTAATTTAACATTAGTCTTTCCAAAGCATTCCATTTAAATGTCATTTTAATAATTCTCTCTCTCTTCACCCTCATGTTATTAAAGTAATATTAAAGTAAATAGCATAATTTTAATAACAAGTAAAACCAGCACAAATATGTCAGGGAACAAACAATTCTGATTCTCATAAAGCACAAAACTCAACTCCTCAAAGAAGAAAGGGATCAGTGAGGACAGATGGACAGCTCTGTTCAGTGTGTTTTGAGCACCAGCCCAAGCCTTACAGAGGGAATGGATGCTGGTTCCCTCTATGAATCTCTTAAGTAGAAGTTGGTTTAAAGAGTGCCCACCATAGTTTTTTTTTTAAATTAGTTAATTATTAATATTAAACAGTGTATTTGTGGACAATGACAGGTGACAGTCCCAGGTAGGAGTTTAAATCATATGTATCCATTCATACTCAAAGTTTTAAAATCCCATCCTCCCTACCCAAATAAATTTCCAGAGTCTGTCAACTTGCCTGTCTACATAATAGATATGAATTCACATTATCCTGCTCGTAGGACCATAAAAGACCCAGTTACTCACCAGGGAAGCCTCTTAAGATGAGAGGGAAGAGCTAGAAGAGCAAATTAAATCTCAACTTTTATTTTCTTCCTACTACTTACAAACATTGTAAGCTTTCTTATTATTTCTTATTTTCTGTCTCCCAACTTTGGAAGGTAAGTTCTGCGAGAGGAAGGATTTCATCTCCCTCACCTACCTCTGTATTCTTGGCACACTTAGAAGAGTGCCTGGCACAGAGAAGTTACATAATAAATGTTTGTTAAGTGAATGATTGATTTAATCCAGGTAAACACAACATGGATGTTTGCTACACAAATTTGATCCCACTTAATGGTTAACTTTTTGTTTTTCCATTTTTTAAATAAATTTCTACACTGTTAGAAATTTTTCAAATTTCTTGGCAAAAATATACCATGCAAAAGGCTAGCCAGATTTTAATCTTGTCTAAATCAGGTCAGAAAAATCACTTTTATTCCAGAAAACACAAAGGGCAAAGTACAATGGCCAGAGCTGTATAACAGCTACACTCACCAGGTGTGCAAAGCGATTTAATATTGTCATTCAGACTCAGCCCTAATGAGCAATCTTGTTTATCTACAAAACTGTGAACAACCCACTGCTAACAACCGGACATTGTCCCCAAGCCCAGCACACTTCATGTCAACTCTCGATGCACCCACAATCTAGGACCGTTATTAGAACTTCTAATAAGGACCATGATAGAACTGCTGAGAAATAAAGAAAAAAATGGATTTCATGCACGTGCTTTAAAACTTTATGTTTAGTTATTTTAAGCATATGTTTTGTTCTGGTACACTTAGATTTGCAACTGAAAAGAGAAAGGCATATCAGAAAGAAGTTTTTTGTTAAAGCAGACTGATGAAGAAACCAATGCTAGATGGAAAGCACAACTCATTTTAAGTTACCGGAGAAAGCAACAGAAAGTTTCTCCAAAAGAAAGAAAAAATAAAGAAAGAAGCAGCCAATTGGAGAGTTACTTATTTTTATTATGCCAATTAAAAAGATAGTCAAGGGGCCAGGCACGGTGGGTCACTCCTGTAATCCCAGCACTTTTCAAGGCAGAGGTGGGTGGATCATTTGAAGTCAGAAGTTCAAGACCAGCCTGGCCAACATGGTGAAACCCTGTGTCTACTAAAGATACAAAAATTAGACGGGCGTGGTGGTGGGTGCCTGTATTCCCAGCTACTTGGGAGGCTGAGGCAGTTGAACCTGGGAGGCGGAGGTTGCAGTGAGCCAAGATTGCACCACTGCACTCCAGCCTGGGCGACAGAGTGAGACTTCAACTCAAAAAAAAAAAAAAAAAAAAAGTCAAGGGCTTCATGCCACGTCTTTTTTTTTTTTTTTTTTTTTGAGACAGAGTCTCACTGTGTTGCCCAGGTTGGAGTACAGTGGCTCAGTCTTGGCTCACTGCAATCTCTGCCTCCCAGGTTCAAGTGATCAGCCTCCTGAATAGCTGGGACTACAGACGTGTGCCACCATGCCCAACAAATTTTTGTATTTTTAGTAGAGATGAGGTTTCACCATATTGGCCAGGCTAGTCTCGAACTCCTGACCTCAAGTGATCCGCCCACCTCGGCCTCCCAAAGTGTTGTGATTACAGGTGTGAGCCACCATGCCTGGCCCCACATGTCTCCACAGAGTGAACATGACCACGATCTTTCTTCAAGCATCACCTTTGATAGCCTTTCAATATAGAGTTATGGGCTTTACTTCAAACATTAACTCGTCTTCCACATTCAGTTATCAAAGCCATTGAATACAACCTTTAAAACATTTTGCAAGTTCAGCACTTCTTCTCCATCCCATTGATACTGATTCAGACTCTGCTCCTCATTGCAATGAGCTGTTATAACAGCTCCTGAATGATATACTTGCCAGTGCTCTATCCTTGTGCTAATCCATCTCCATGAAGCCACCAGGCTTCCCTCTGACCCAGACTCCCTGGCATACCATTTAAGGCTTTCACCCCAACTCAACTTACCTCCGAAATCCTTTTTTTTTTTTTTTTTTTTTTTTGCTCTATCGCCCAGACTGGAGTGCAGTGGCGCGATCTCGGCTCACTGCAACCTTCATCTCCCGAGTTCAAGCAATTCTCTGCCTCAGCCTCCCGAGTAGCTGAGATTATAGGCGCCCACCACCACGCCTGGCTAATTTCTTTGTATTTTTCAATAGATATGGGGTTTCACCATCTAGGCCAGGTTGGTCTGGAACTCCTGACCTCATGATCCACCAGCCTCGGCCTTCCAAAGTGCTGGGATTACAGGTGTGAGCCACCATGCCCGGCCTGAAATCCTATTTCTAGTCAATCCCCCTGCAGCATATATTTTATGCTTTAGGCACAATTAGTAGACAGTGGGCTACATGAGTCTGAAGCCCAGTGGGACAATCTGGAGCAACTGAACATTTGTAAATAGAGTAGTTCACGATTTCTGTGGTGGATACTGTGATGCGCCACTCAGATCCTTCAAGAGCATGATGCTCATTCTTCCAGCTGCAGGGGAGTGCTGACTCACAGCTAACTCTCTTTCCAAAGAAGCTGCCTTACTCAAGCTCACATCCCCTCCAAACTGGCAGCCCATATCCAGTGACTGGTTGAGGCAGAGCACAGAAGCCCAGACCCCTTGCCTTGATGGCAGATAACTCTGAAGGGTGATCCCAGCTTGAGGACTCATCCTGCGCCATGGGCTCTGTGTTGGCTATATTATAGCTTACCTTCTCCTTCTGTCCAGTCCTGCTTCCCTTACTTCCAAGGAATTCTTCCCTATAAAGCTTCTGCATAGGAATCTTAGGCACAGGGCCTGATTCCAGGAAACCCCACCTGAGGTGGTTTTATTTACATTTTACTCGAAATATTATTATCTTATAAAAATGACTTGCTTTTTAATTAATGTTTATGCTTGACCATTTCAACTTTTTTAAGGTTTCATTTTAATTCAAAGTGTTTAATTGAAAGGAAGGAACATCTGTATATATTTTTAAAGTATTAATTCCTATCCAGCTCCACAATCAGATATTGCTTAAAATATTGGAGTCAGAACTCTGAAACCTGGCTCCATCATTTCCCGGCTGTGTAATCTTCAGTAGGTTACACAGCCCCTCTGTGTTTCCGTTTCCTCACCTACAAATTGAGGATAATAACAACAAAATGATCCTAAATAAACTACTGGGAAGACTAAATGAGTTATCATATATAAAGCATTAAGAATGATGCTTAGCAAAAATACATGTGCTAAAATTCATTAGGGTAACACTAGCTGCTATAACAAACAGACCTAAAATTGTTCAATGACTTGACTATATAATAGATATTTCTTCCTCATTTGTCTACACGGTTTTACAAGGACTTAGGTTGATAGATGCACAGTTTTCTTCACTACATAGTTTCTCCATCCCAATTGGCCAGAAAAGGGAAAGAACATGAAGGAGTATGTACCAGAGAATTCTACGGAGGTCATTCTTCCTGCTCAAATCCCATTGGCCGGAACATAATCACATGGCCACACCTAACTGCAAAGGAGGCTGGGAAGTGCAGGCTAGACAATGGATTGTAATGACTAGCTGTCTATACAGCAGACTTTGCTGTACTGATAATTATTGTTATCATCTCATTATTACCAACTTTCGAGCTTGGGCTCTTATCTCCACTTACCTAGAATGTTGCAAAAGCCTCCTCACTGGTCTCTCTAACTCCAGGCTATTTGCCATCCCAAATCCTTCCTCCACAACAAACCCAGAGTTATTTATGTAAAACACCAAGTCTGATCTTTTCCCTCACCGTCCTCCAGCTTCAGTTTAATATCCTTCTGTGACCTCCCCACTGCCTCAGGTTCCAGTCAAGTCCCCTTCATTGCCTTCGTGACTCAGTCCCTCCACATCCCTTTAGTTCATCTCCAAAATCCCCGCCCACCTTGCAGCGGGTGTTTGCGATTTGACACCCACTTTGTGCCTGCAACAGTGCTGGACATAGGCTACTCCAGTGAAGAAAGCGGGCGGGATCCCTGCTACATTTTAATGAGGTAGCAGAAAAAACAAGTAAACAAATAAATATGTAATATTAAGCTATAAGGAGTACAGTGAAGAAAGATACAGGGTAAAAAAAAATGGGGGCGGTGAGCTAAATGAACAGGTAGTAAATAACAGCTTAAATTTCACGTGCAAGTGATAGCCATTCTGCAGCAGGATGCATTGTGGACTTTTTATCTTCACTATCATTACCCACACCCCTGAGACTGCATATTACAAAAGAGTTCTTATCATTGACCTATATTTGCATTCCTTTTAGCTTCTTTTATGGCTGTTATTCAGGGAAATAATATAGAGCACTAAAGATTGCCTAATGTGCTATTTGTGTGGGATGCTGAGAGAATATCATTTGCTATTGCCCCACGGGGCAGTGACGGTACAAATGACTCAATTTTTTTCCCTGCAACCTTCTTTGCAGGAAAATTCAACTAAAAATATTTAATAAAACCAAGTTTTACTCAAGTATAAAAAACTGTTGTTTTTTAAAGTTCCCTGGGCTATGTTACTGTCACCGTGGTAGCTTAAAAAGTATTACATATGTGATGTTCCTGTCACTTTACTGGATTTAGGTTTTCAAATTCAGAGCAGGTGAAATTGAAGGTTTTCTTTACAGAGGCTGTTCTTTTAACCAGGGTGATTTGCTCCCACCCGACTTAGTCATTTTTAAAATTCTTATTTTTATTTTAGAGACAGGGTCTTGCTCTGTCACCCAGGCTGCAGTGCAGGGGCACCATCATAGTTCCCCGCAGCCTCCAACTCCTGGGCTCAAGCAATCCTCCCACTTCAGCTTCCCAAGCAGCTGGGACTACAGGTGCACATTACGATGCCTGGCTAATTTTTTATAGAGACAGGGTCTTGTTTTGTTGCCTAGGCTGCTCTCAAACTCCTGGGCTCAAGCGACCCTCCCACCTCAGCCTCCCAAACTACTAGGATTATATGCATGAGACACCACGCCCAGCCTGAATTTTTTTTAATATAAGAAATCAATATAAAGACAAAATAAAAACGGGTAAAATGTGTGCCTTTAACCTAAGGTATAGACAAACCCTTATTATCCTCATCTAACACACAGACCTTAATTCTACTGCTGATTTCCTTCCCACTTCTCTTCAACTCAGAAGCACTTTCTGAGGCAAAACATAGCTTCAGCTTTCTGGTCTCATGGCAACTTGGCAGCACAAGGCTTCTAGGCTAAAATCCCAGCTTCCATGGATCCACGCTGTTTCAGTCACAAATATTTACCTTGCCTGGCTCCGCAGGCTAATTAAAGGGGTAGGCTCTGTTCCTCTTGGCTCTCCTCTAAATTGCTTTTAGAGGAAGAAGCAGTGGCGGGACCAGAATGGCAGCCCCATCACTCATCTCCACAGCCACACGGTGACTACCTTACAAATATCCTGTTCAGATCAGAAAAGGGGTTTGCAGCCACGCCCTTGCCTCTCTCCAGCTAGATCTGAAATTGCACATCCCAACGATGATTTCCCCTGGAAGCTGACATTAGCCCTAGCAGCGTATGTGACTGATGGTGCCTCTGAAAGAGGGACTCTCAGGATCAAATACTAAGAGCTTATTATACCAGTTAGAACACAGTGTTTCACTGTGAATATATACTTTTATTATAAAAATGACATATGCTTATTATAAACAATTCAAGGTGAAGAAAAGTTGGGAAGTTCACAGGGAATTTTTCTTCTGCTCTCACTCAGCCCCAGCACTGATCCAAAGACTGCCCTCCCTCTAGAAACCTCTTTTATCAGTTTCTGGCATTTTCTATGCATCCACAAGCAAATGGATATATACACACACACACACATATATATATATATATACACACACACAAACATACATATATATATATATATGCATTTAAATAAATCACTCTAAAGGCTTTAAAGTGATTTCATAATAACAAGCAAGTCCACATTTGATAAACCATAAAATGGAGTCACATAGTTCCAGTCAGCAAAGGGCTTGGCCCTTCCTACAAAGCAGAGTCACTGGGTGAATCCTGCTTACAACTCACAATCGAGTCAAGAAGCCAGAATCAAATTGCCAGGCCCAGGAAGCAATCAGAACATGAGGTGAGGTTACAACTCTGAAAACAGATACTCAAAGTCTGGGCAGGGGAGGGAAATCAATGGAGAAGGTAGAAATACACTCTGAAAGGCAAGGGGCTCAGAGTGCTGGGTCTAGTTGGAAGGGGAGGTGATATGGTTTGGCTGTGTCCCCATCCAAATCTCATCTTGAATTGTAGTTCCCATTATCCCCACCTGTCTTGGGAGGGACCCAGGGGGAGGTAATTAAATCACGGGAGCAGTTTTTTCCCATGCTGTTCTTGTGATAGTGAATAAGTTTCATGAGATCTGATGATTTTATAAAGGACAGTTCCCCTGCACATGCTCTCTTGCCTGCTGCCATGTAAGACATGCATTTGCTCCTCCTTCAACTTCACCATGATTGTGAAGCTTCCCCAGCCATGTGAAACTGTAAGTCCATTAAATCTCTTTTCCTTTATACCAGTCTTGGGTATTTATTATAGCAGTGTAAGAACAGACTAATACAGGAGAGAAAGCACCCCAGGGTTTACTGTCATCACTGGGGTGATGGGTAGGGAGCAGAAGTGGAGAAGTGGCAATTTGAGTTTGCCTTACAGGAAGAAGCAAAGATACCACTGGAAAAACAGAACACATCCATCCACAAGTTGAGAGGAGACAGAGAAGCCCACAGGGGCTGAAGCTGGATGGCGTCTACCTGGGAGGCAGTCTCCCTCTGCCTCCTCTTTGAGAGATTTCTAATAATATTATAAGTTGCCTTTCAGCTTGCTTTTGTTGCTTTCTTCTTTTAATATAGTAAAATGTATATGTAATGTAAAATTCATCTTTTTAGCCAATTTTTTAGTGTACAGTTGAGTGGCATTAAGTATGTTCACAATGTTGTACAACCGGCATGATCGTTCATCTCCAGAACTTTTTCATCTCCACAAACTGAAACTCTGTCCTCATTAATAACTCCCCATTCCCTACTATATTAGTTCATTTTCATACTGCTATGAAGAAATACCTGAGACTGGCTAATTTATAAAGAAAAAGAGGTTTAATGGATTCGCAGTTACACATGGCTGAGGAGGCCTCACAATCATGGCAGAAGGCGAAGGAGGAGCAAAGGCATGTCTTACATGGCGGCAGGCAAGAGAGTGTGTGTAGGGGAATTGCCCTTTATAAAACCATCAGATCTCATGAAGCTTATTCACTATCATAAGAACAGCATGGGAAAAACTCACCCCCATGATTCAGTTACCTCCCACTGGGTCCCTTCCACAATATGTGGGGATTATGGGAGCTACAATTCAAGATGAGATTTGGGTAGGGACACAGCCAAACTGTATCACCTACTTCTCCCAGCCCCTGGCAATTATCATTCTAGTTTCTGCTTCTATGAATTTGACTACTCTAGGTACTTCACATAACTGGACTCATACAGTATTTGTACTTTTGTGACTGGCTTATTTCACTCAGCATAATGTCTTCAAGTTTCATCTATGTTGTAGCATTTGTCAGAATTTCCTTCTTTTTTACAGCTGAATAATATTCCCTTGTATGGATATACCACATTTCATTTATTCATTTATTAGTTGATGGACACTTGGATTGCTTCAATGCTTTAGCTATTGTGAACAATGGTGCTATGAACATGGGTGTACTTTCAGGTGCTTTTCTAAATGAAGTATTCTAAGCCGTGAAAGGTGAACAGGGTTTTTCTAAACAGAAGACATTCCCAAGTGAGGGAAAGTGTGGTGTGAGGAAGCACAGCTTGTTCAATGAAAGGTAGGAGGCCCCATGAGGCAGCGATATGAAAGAGGGGAAGAATGACAAGTGAGATAAAAAATGTGGGTCAGGCCATTAAACTTAAAAATACAAAGAAGAATAGAATATATTCACCACCTAGTTGTGCTGTGTCTTAATATCTTGCCCTATTTACTCATTTTTCAAAGAAATATGGTATTACAGATACAATTGATCCTTCCTGCAAAATCCCTCATCTCATTCTTTCATTCCCCTTCATAATGGCAACCATTTTCCTGAATTTTAAATTTATTTTTTCATGTTTTATAAATTTACAACGTATATGAACCATGTCATGTTTTGCATACTTTTACATTTTATATGAGTGACATCACACTCTGTATATATCCATTTCCAACTTGCTTCTTTAAATCAACATTATGTTATAGGGTTTTACTTAGATTATTTCATATTAATACTT
This sequence comes from Homo sapiens, assembly GCF_000001405.40. Lineage (NCBI taxonomy): Eukaryota > Metazoa > Chordata > Mammalia > Primates > Hominidae > Homo > Homo sapiens. The sequence continues at coordinate 93,159,315 of NC_000012.12, forward strand.
CATAGTATAAATATTTTACACTGTATTTTTGTACCATTACAAACAGTGCAGCAATAAACATTCTTGTACATTTTCCTTGTTTATATGGGTATGACTTTAGGCTATGGACCTAACAGCCTCAATTTGTAAAGGCAAATTTCTCTCCAACTAAGTGGTTATATCAATTTACACCCCAACAAACAGGGTTCACTTGTTCCCATTCTGCCACATCCTTAACAACAGTGAGTATTGTCAAATGTTTAAATTTAACAAGTTGATAAAATAGAAGGTAGTTAAGAACTCAGATTTTAGAGCCAAACCACTAGTATTCAAATGCTGGCTTTACTGTTTACTAGTTGTATGATTTCAGCCCTACTTTCCCTCTCTGGAAGAAAAAAAAGGTCGTAATACCTACCTCACACACTCATTGCCAGGAATATGTGTGTTAACATATGCAAAGCAGTTGGAATAATATATATATTGTTAATACTCAGTAAAGCCTTTAGAATAATACACGGTGAGTGCTCAATAAGTGTGAGCCTTGTTTTAACATTTTGAATTGGCCATTCAAGTCTTGTCTCCTGTGAATTTTCTATTCCTTTCCTTACCCTAGGACTTATCATTTTAACTTAACTATTCTGAACATAATCATTCATTTGTGGTTATATGCTGGAAATATCTTCTTTTAGTCTGTGGCTTGTCTTTTTTGTTTTTATGACATTTTTTGTTAAGAAGTTTTAAATTGGAATCTAGTCAATATATCGTTCTTTGTACTCTTTTTTCTCTTGTTTAATCAATCCTTCTCTTTGGTGCGGTCATACAAATATTCTCCTATATTTTATTTGTAAAAGTTTTTAAAGTTTGTTCTTCACATTTAGGATTTTATGATTTAATCCATGTTGAATTTAATTTTGTGACTAGTGTGAGGTAAGGAGTTTTTTCAATCACTTCTCCATATGAGAAACCAAATATTGTGATATCATTAATGAATTTGTAATGTCATTTTTGTCATGTTATTTCTATATATGAATAGGTCTGGTTTTAGGCTTTCTGTTCTATTACTCTATTTGGGGGGGTTTTTGTCTTTTGTTTTTTTTTTTTTTGCCTACAACAAACATTTCTTTTTTTCTTTTTTTTTTTTTTTTGTTTGTTTGTTTTGAGACAGGGTCTCATTCTATTGCCCAGACTGGACTGCAGTGGCTTGATCATAGCTCAGTGCAACCTCAAACTCTTGGCTTCAGGCAATCCTTCTGCCTCAGCCTCCTGTGTAGCTGGGACTACAGGTGCACTTCACCATGTCCAGCTAATTTTTTTATTTTTTGTAGAGATGGGATCTCACTATGTTGCCCAGGGTGGTCTGGAACTCCTGACCTGAAGTGATCCTCCTGCCTCTGCTTCCCGAGTAGATGGGACCACCGGTGCATGCCACCGCACCTGCTAATTTTTTTTTTTTTTTTTTTTTTTGTAGAGACAGGGTCTCCCTGTGTTGCCCAGGCTTCCACTGTCTTGATTACAATAGCTTTAACATTCATCTTGACATGCTAGGTTATTTCATTACCACTTTGGTTGAGCTAGGAATTCCCTTTCCTGTCTGGTTCCAGGTCCAAGTTGGCCAAGAGAAGACCTTGTGTGAGACTTTGGGATGTGGAAGTGAAGGGCAGTTCTTTACTCTGTGAAGCTCTTCAAAGTTAGATGGGGTGACAGACACAGAAGTACCTAACAGATTCCAACTTGCCCTTGTTCTCCTCTGCTTTGCATCCTGCTGTTCTTCCCAAATTCTGGTCCCGCAGCCCAAGACCTACTACCAGATACTTGGCTAAGAGCCACAGAGAAGGTGGCTTCACAAAGGCAACAGCTTCACACAGACATCTCCATGAGTTCCCTTGGCAGGACAAATTCAGTAGCTGGATGTGTACTTGGCTTCTTAGATTTTTTTCTGTAAACTCGATGTTGTCCACTTATGCCAGTGCTTTCAAAAGATAGTTTAGACTCTTCTCTGAGCTCCCAGCTTCTCCTTCCAGATCTTCATCTCCCCAGCTCCTCCCACAATTGGATAAAGTCTGCTTTCTAGAATAAATCCCATGTCATAACACTCTTTGTGGCTCTAGTTCCTTGATTGAACCCTGACTGACATATTTGATAGGTTAAAGTGAGCCTTCCTATCTTGGTCTTCTACAAACTTCTTGGTCCTTTGCTCTTCCACATGGCTTTTTAAATCATCTTGTCAAGTATCAAAAAAAAAAAAAAACTGTTGGGATTTTGAGTTGGGATTGTTTTGAATTCATTAATTAATTAAGGAAGAACTAACTTTTTATGATATTTAATATTTTAAAAATTATTTATTGATGTTGATAGAGTGTAAATTATCTTTATACTAATGTTGTGCTTAGTAACTTGTTGATTTTTTATGTTAGTTCCAATTGCTTGCCTGTATTTTCTCTTAGACTCTATGAGGGCAATTTCTATAAATAGCGATTGTTTTGTTTTGTTTTTACAATTAGTATGTCTTCCTTTTACTGCCTTACTGTTCAACTAGAACCCCCAAATAATGATTGGCTACAAATAGTAATTGTAGGCATCTTGTCTTGTCCCTCATATTAAAGGAAATAATTCTAAAGATTTACCACTAAATATGATGTTTGCTGCAAGTTTCTGATAGACATATTTTACTCTGTAAAGAAAATCTGCTTCTATTTGTATTTCTTAATTTTTTTAAATATGAAAGTGTTAAATTTTAACAAATAATTTTTCTGCCTCTATTGAAGTAATCATGTGCTTTTTCTCTTGCAATTTGTTAATGTGGTAAATTATATTAATAGATTTTTCTAACACTAAACCATCCTTGCTTTCCTGGGAACTCAACCTGGTTATACTGTATTATAATATAGTATATAGTATAGCATATTTTTGTTTTTAAACAAAATATAGTTTTGTTTTATACAAAATATAGTGTGTTTTTGTTTTTAAAGTAACCAATTTTGCTAAATATTATTAGAATTTATAGCTTTATATTTAGAAGTGAGGTTGGCTTACAATTTTCATTTATTTATTTATTTATTTTTGAGATGGAGTTTCACTCTTGTTGTCCAGGCTGGAGTGCAATAGTGCAATATTGGCTCACCGCAACCTCCACCTCCTGGGTTCAAGCAATTCTCCTGCCTAAGCCTCCCAAGTAGCTGGGATTACAGGCATGTGCCACCACGCCCAGCTAATTTTGTATTTTTAGTAGAGACGGGGTTTCTCCATGTTGGTCAGGCTGGTCTCAAACTCCCGACCTCAGATGATCCACCCACCTCAGCCTCCCAAAGTGCTGGAATTACAGGTGTGAGCCACCATGCCTGGCCTACAATTTTCTTTACTGTCCATGTCTTATTTTGGAGTCAATCAAGCATACGTCAGTCTAATAAAATGAGCTTTGGAGTACTCCTTCTTTTTGTAATCTTGTTATAGTCTCTGGAATAGTTTATATAAGATTGGGATTATACATTCCTTGAAAATCTGGTAAAACTCACCTGTAAAAAATTATTTGTGGCCAGGTGTGGTGGCTCATGCCTGTAATCCCAGCACTTTGGGAGACTGAGGCTGGAGGGTCACTTGAGGTCAGGAGTTCGAGACCAGCCTGGCCAACATGGCAAAACCCTGTCTCACAAAAATTAACCAGGCATGGTGGTGGGTGCCTGTAATACCAGCTACTTGGGAGGCTGAACCAGGAGAATTGCTTGAACCCAGGAGGCAGAAATTGCAGTGAGCCGAGACTCTGTCTTAAGAAAAAATTATTTGTATGTTATTTCATAATATAGGTAGCTATAATCATTGATGTCATATCTTTCAAGATCATATAATTTAGGCTATTTCTTCTTAAGTTTATATTGATTATTGTTTTCTGGAAGTTAACCATTTTGTATGTCTTCCGAATTAATTGACATAAAGTCATACCTGATTGTCTCTTGTTACCTGTTTTAATTTCTGGTATATTTGTAGTTATGTCCCTTTCTAATTCACAATTTCAATATTGCTTTGAATATCTTTTGTATGTAACATCATGCTGAAACTGGCTGTAAGAAAGCCAAGTTTTAAATAGTTTTAATAGCTAATTCTTCCGAAAACCCAGAGTTGTAAAGAGGAATAGAAACAGAAATACCACTAAAACTACTTCTCCATAACTTCTACCTACTGTCCCTAATTCTTCCCCTGGGAGTCACATAACCTCAAATGTGTACTTCTACATACTCCTTAGAAATTATTACTCTTAAGTAAATCCAAAGTGGTGGTGTTTTGTTCAGTCCGTTCAAGAAACAAGAGACAATACATATCTCTCCTGAAATACATCTTTTGCAGTTTAAGGAGCCTCAGTTTTTCTGAAAGTTACTCAAACACCCTGCATCCCAAGCTCTTTGCTAGCACTCCTTTCTGATGATCCATCCCCAGGCATCAGCATCTGGAACTGAGTCCTTTAGTCCAAGCGTAGTCTGACCAACATGAGGAGAATGAGTCTAAGGCTATCCTCTCACTGGACCATTCCCTTCATACTTCCTAAAATACATTTCTTGCTTGTTCATCACACTGTTGACTCATGTTAATTTTGCAGTCAACCAAATATTTGAGTCTTTTTCACACGTGCTGTTGAGGAATCTTTATCCCCAAGTAATAAAAGAAGACTCCATTATATAACTCCCTAGTCTACAGACTTCAAAAGAGAATTTTAAGCATGTTTGGGCCTTGAGCAAAGCACTGAGATAAAAAGTTGAGGGTGAAGGAGTAGCAGACAGTACTATCCTCAGCAATTAGAGGAGGAGTTCTTTCTTTATAAAGGAAGGCATCTCAGCTGGGTTATACCATAGTCCAATTTCCACAAACAGGGAAGGAAAGAATTCCCTTTTACTGAGTACCGACTGGGTGCCAAGTCTAGGTTAGGTGCTTTATGTGTGTTTATCTCGGCTTTCGTGCTGATAACATCATTGGGTCAAGGTGCAGTGTAAATAAAGAAGGATGTAAATAAATGCTAGGTAAAGTTATTCCCATTTTATGTATGAGGAAACAGAAATTCACAGCATGACTCGCCCCAAATGATACAACTAAAAAGTAATGGGGCCTTGTTCAACTTCTGCACTCTCAGCCAGGAATGAATGACTACAAGTAGAGAGGAGGCAGCAGGCAACAAGAGCAATTGGATGATGCTTTGTGGTTTAATGAAGGACAGGACTTTCACCTACATTAACTCTTTTGGATCACCTGCTCCACCTACCATAAGAGGCTGATTCTCACAACAGCCTCTTATGGTAGGTGGAGCAGGTGATACAATCTTTATTTTACATAAAGATTACAGGGCTCAGAGAACTGAGGGACCTACCCAAGGTTGCCCAGCTAGCCAGTGGTAGAGACACTTTGACCCCGGCTTTCTGACAGCAAGCACCTCTTTTGGCAGCAGGTATGGGGCAAGGAGAACAGCAGGGACCTGGGGCAGGTGTTGACAGATCAATGTGGACATGGGGAAAAAAGCCCCAAAACCCCTCACCAAGGAAATGTAATGCTCTGTTATTTATTTAAAAAAAAAAAAATTTTTCTCAAGCCTTTGAGATGCACAGAAGAGGCCTGGCGTGGTGGCTCATGCCTGTAATCCCAACACTTTGGGAGGCCAAGGCAGGTGGATCACTTGAGGTCAGGAGTTTGAGACCAGCCTGGCCAACATGGTGAAACCCCATCTCTGCTAAAATACAAAAATTTAGCCAGGCATGGTGGCTGGCACCTGTAATCTTAGCTACTTGGGAGGCTGAGGCAGAGAATTGCTTGAACCCAGGAGGCAGAGGTTGCAGTGAGCCAAGATCACACCACTGCACTCCAGCCTGGGCTACAGAGTGAGACTCTGTCTCCAAAAACAAAACAAAACAAAAAGAAGATGCACAGAAGAAAGCAAGCCCAGTGTATTAGTCTGTTCTCACGCTGCTAATAAAGACATACCTGAGACTGGGTAATTTATATGGAAAGAGGTTTAATGGACTCACAGTTCCACATGGCTGGGGAGGCCTCACAATCATGGCAGAAGGCAAAGGAGGAGCAAAGTCACGTGTTACATGGCAGAAGGCAAAAGAGCATGTGTGGAGGATCTCTCCTTTATAAAACTGTCAGATCTCATGGGACTTATTCACTATCATGAGAATAGCACAGGAAAGGCCTGCCCCCATGAATCAATTACCTCCCACCGAGTCCCTTCCATGACACATGGGATTTGGGTGGGGACACAGCCAAAGCATATCACCTAGGTCGATGACAGAAGCAGCAGAGGTGCCTAGGACAGAACACATCACTCCTTCTGCCACAAGCATGTGCTGGAAATGCCTCCAGTCAAGTATCCTTAGAACAATCGTTTTCCCAGCTATTTAAACTCCACTGAAGTCAAGCACCAGCTTATTCCAGGCCAGGCTTTGCCTGCTAATTAACAATTCACCTGCTGGTTACTAGTTCCCACAGGGCCTCAAGTGAGACCAAATCCCCCAGCTGGAAGGTCCTCTTTTTTTTTCCAGCACTGCTAATTCAGCTCTGTTGCCCATCTCAAGCCTGGCTGAGAAGTTGTTCCCCTGCAGCCCCCTTAGTTGCCCCAGGGATTCTAGATGCCCTCTATATTCAAGCCAACATTCATCGTCTGTCAACAGGTGGTGGACATGTACTTTTATGATTGTACTCAGGTTCCTCTGAGTTTTGTTTTTTCAACCCAGACATTAAGAAATCCTTATTTCCTATAGAGGATTTAAGAAATAGAAAAATGGCATGAACCTGGGAGGCGGAGCTTGCAGTGAGCCAAGATCACACCACTGCACTCCAGCCTGAGTGACAGAGCGAGACTCCATCTCAAAAAAAAAAAAAAAAAGAAAGAAATAGAAAAATGAAATTAAAAAAAAAGATAAAAGACATTAAGAAATCCAGAAGCAGAAACACAACTTCTCCAGTATTTTCCAAGCCTGGCTATGGATCAAATTCACCCAAGCACCTTAAAAGAATATACAGATACAGAAAGGATTCTGCAGCAGAGAACCACGTTAAACATTACTTGGATGCCATCAGCAAAATGCAGACTCTGGAAAAAAAGAAAAAAGAGAGAGAGAGAGATGAAGGAAGATGAAGGGAGAACTTGTACATTAAAAGAGACTTAAGAAACGTAACAACCAATGGGATGTTTGAACTTAGTTGGTTCCCATTTCAAAAAACACAAGGTAAAAACAGACAAATGAAAAAAGAAAATTTGGGACATTTGAGAGACAGTTAAAATTTTGAACACTGGCTATATGATGATATTAAAGACTTTTTATTATTTCTGTTTAGATGTAATAATGGTATTGTGGTTATATTTTGAAAAGATTTCATATCTTGAAGAGAAATGTACTGAAATATTTTTGGCTAAAATGATGTGTCTAGGAATTGCTTCAATATGGAGGAGAGCGAGTGGAAATCCAGACGAAGCAGGAATGGCCATCAGTCGATGATTTTTACAGCTGGATGTTAGGTTCATGGAGGAAAGTGGGGTTCATTATACTTTTTGTTCTACTTCAGTATATGTTTGAAATTTTCTGTAATAAAAGTTTAATCTCCCCAGTTTTGTGAACTATTCTATTTATTTTATCCTCATCCTTTAACACACCTATGTACACGGAACTTCCTGTGTAAAATGTTTATTGAGTGTTTATTCCCCAGAGGAGAAGCAAAGAGGAAGTAAGAGTAGGATATTTTTGAACTATGTACAAATACAACCAGTTTCAGACCCTTTTATATGATCTATACTCATTCTAGACTGAGCCACATAGAAGAGCTGTTCCTGAAGTCAGATCAGCCTGGTTACCTCTAAAAGACCAAAAGACTAAACTAAAACAGCCTTTTTTTTCTTCTGTGGAAGCGTACATGTGTGTTTGCATGTGTACGTGTACCGAACAGCTGTCATGGACCTTTGTGCAGGCTGTGCACTGCACAAGTTTGTCACATCTAAGGGGGCATGCTTCACCTCATCAACACATTGCAGATCTATATATTTATTGTGACAACAGTCTTGTAAGTGGCAGCAAAATGTCTTCTTCTAACAAAATTGGTATTTTTGATAACTTTCCAAAAGATGGAAGCAAAAATATCTTAAAGTAGGGACTTCTTTTCTAATTATGTACTTATGGTATGGGCTAGCAGTGGACCTGAACTGACTGTCTTGCCTGAGTTTGAATCTCTTCCCCCAAACTCACTCACTGAGTTTGTTATTTAATAGCCTTGAGTTCAAGTTTCTTCATCTGTAAAATGGGATGATAATATTATGTACCCTGAGAGCACTGTTCAGAGCATTAAATGCATATAGACAGTATCTGGCCCATAGGAAGCCTTCAAAAAGTGTTAGAGATTAGCTATTACCATATCTGTTCACCCATATCAAATTTTATAGGTGTCGGTATGTTGCGTTATTCATAAACTCAACTAATAAATTTTGCAGTGGACTGAAAAAAGACTGTCTCCACTATTTCATGAATCCAAACTATTTTAAAAAGAGGATTTTCCCCTAACCATCAGTTCTGAAAAATGCAAGGAAGCTCAAGCTCCAGGTAAGCAGCCAGGGTTTCTAAGCCTCTCTGCGCACAGAAGCTGTGTGCATATGCTAATGAGGAACCTTTGAAGAAAAGTGCTGGGGTTTTTCCAACGCTCTAACTACTTGGCCAGTAAGCCTTTAATGATGGGAAAAGACCCAGTGGGAGTTGCCAGCCACAAAAGGGGTTTTACCTCACAGGCAGAATAGTCAAAATGCTTCAAGACGTTAAAAGCCTATTTTTAAAAGGAAAGAACACAGAGTATGTCTTTAACTTGATGTTAAAAATAAACTCAGCCGCCTCCTCTGCGTTTCCCACCCTCTCCCACTGTCCTTCCGTCCCCTGCACTGCCCTAAAGGAAAGAAAGAGTGCTTTTGTTTCATTTTTATTTTTCTCATGAGCTTTTCTTTCATTATTATTTGTTTACTCTTAGCCAAACTTGTTTTTCCGTTCACAAAACAAGTTGCATTTTTCTCTTAAAAATTCCTCGGGGATTCCCAGGAAGCAAGACGGATTATCAATTAGAACTAGCCCGTGTCAGGATGAGTAAAAGATTCGCGCGGAGATAAGCAAAGTGGAGCCCTTACGGCGTCCCTTGTGCCCAGAAAGTATCTGCAGGGGACGTTGTTCAAGCAAGGGGGCCTTTTATTTATTTTTTATTTTTTTATTTTATGTATGTATGTATTTATTTATTTTTGAGATGGAGTTTCACTTTTGTTGCCCAGACTGGAGTGCAATGGCGCGATCTCGGCTTACTGCAACCTCTGCCTCCCGGGTTCAAGTTCTTCTCCTGCCTCAGCCTCCCAAGTAGCTGGAATTACAGGCATGCACCACCACGCCCGGCTAGTTTTGTATTTTTAATAGAGACGGGGTTTCTCCATGTTGGTCAGGCTGGTCTCAAACTCCCGACCCCCACGATCCTCCTGCCTCAGCCTCCCAAAGTGCTGGGATTTGAATGCTTTTTCATATTGGGGTTTAAGTACAGACACTTCCTGAGGCATGACTAGACATAGCAACACTACTTTGCTGAGCTGCCTTCAATAAATTCCATTAAGCAGCCATAAAATTCCAATAGATCAGATGTGCCAGTTTTTGTTCATGAAAAAGCTAATCTGTGTAGCAGAAAAGCTGCCAGCTGGAGTGGAAAAGCTGGATTTCTTATTGTATATTGATGGCGGAGGGATTTCAAGACCCCAGTGGAAGCCAAAGTTGTTGAAAGACAAGGAGACCCAGGCCTGTGCATAGTACTATGATTTCACTGGAGGGAAATATAAGAGATGAAGGGGTGGCTGAAGGCTTGAGACCCTGTTTACTTAAAAATATTAAAAAAAAAAAAAAAAGAAAGCCCTTAGGCAATATAAGATAAAGGAAAAAACAGCAAAAATCATTTTAAGAAATAAAATTCTGCCAGTGTGGTGGTAAACACCTGTAATCCCAGCACTTTGGGAGGCCAAGGCGGAAGGATCACTTGAGCCCAGGAGTATGAGACCAGCCTGGGCAGCATGGTGAAACCCCGTCTCTACAAAGATACAAAAGCTAGCTGAATGTGGTGGCATGCACCTGTAGTACCAGATACTCTGAGGGAGTGGGGGAGGCTGAGGCGGGGGATGGCTTGAGCAGGGTAGAGAGAGACCTGGAAGGAAGGAAGGAAGGAAGGAAGGAAGGAAGGAAGGAAGGAGAGAAAGAGAGAAAGAAAGGAAGGAGGGAGGGAGAGAGGGGAGGAAGGAAGGAGAGAGAAAGAGAGGAAGGAAGGAAGGAGGGAGGGAGGGAAGAAAGGAAGGGGAGGGAGGGAGGGAAAGGAAGGAGGGAAAAGGAAAGAAAAGAAGAAAAGAAAGAAAAAGCTCTAGCTGGGTGTGGTGGCTTGTGTCTGTAGTCCAGATATTGGGCAGGCTGAAGCAGGAGGATTGCTGGAGCCCAGGAGTTTGAGGCCAACCTGGGCAAAGTAGCAAGACCCCATCTCTTTAGAAAATTAGAAAACAAAGTTCCTGTCTAGGGTTGGCCTCTAACTTGCAGCATGACCTCAGTCCAGTGATTTTCTTCCCTACAATTTCTTTTTCACAAAATCAGATCCCTCTCTTCTTGAATCTGTTCTTTAATAGGAATATATAATTGATAAATTACATATAATTGAAAACAAGATATTACATCAGAGCGCTTAATAAGTGAAAATCACAGTACAAACGCATGCTTAAACACTGTTGAAATTTAATGAAGTAATTTTGACACATGTCTAGAAAGTCAGAAGGGAAATTTTGTTACTAAAGGTTGAGTTTGAGCCAATTGTTTTCCAATTTTCATGAAAGCGAAGCACTGTAATACAAAAGCATGCCTAGGAACACTAGCACCTAACTCAATATGCCTTAACAAATGAGTAAAGGAAGAATGCCAAGATTTCCAGCCTGCAAAGCTTCACCTCTAGGGAATCTATGGCCTTCTTGCAATGGATCTTCTAGTTTATAAGCTCACCAACATAATTTGACACCCAGTGAAAATGATATTTTCACCATATGTATATGCCACCATTTTCAAATGTGTGTAGATTGGTTGTGACTAATAAAATACAATAAAAAATTATAAATTTATCATTTGTATATGTATTAATAAAATACAGACTCATTTAAAACATTACCAAAATTGAGTCAATTGTCAACATCTATTTCTGGATCAACCAACTCTAAAATTACAATTTCTTCCAGCTGGGAACTCTGGAGTTTAATATACTATAGCTTTTTGTCATAAATTGATCTCTGCTGTATTAGTTCATTCTAGAAAGTGATGGAACATTGATACTTTGAGTAACTTGTGTGCCAGTAACAAAGTGCTTCCCTAAAGCACAGCCAGGAATCAAGTCTATGATTAAAAACATCTGAGTCAATAACTATTTATTTACTTATTTGTGTTGTCCTGGGAAGGCTTGAGGATGGCTTACCAAGATGCACAAAATTCAGCAAGATACCATCAGTTAAATAAAAGTAATGGGGGAAAAAGATAGGATAGAAAAATGAGTAGCAGGGCTGTGGTTAGGACATAAAAGGCGTTCTGTGAAATCCCACATTCTTCCAAGTGCTGGCCTATTTGGCTCTGCCCTTTGTAAGCAGCCAAAGGGAAGAGGAAACCATTATTAGATACATAACTCATATTAGCTGTTAATAAATATACATCAACTTCTTATAAGAAGCCCAACTCTTTCTGCTGGAAAGATGAGAGAAACTTCAAGAAATGGCAGCGTCCCCAACAACATACCAGTTGCAACAGATCAAAAACTCAGTTTTAGCCCATGTCCTCATGCCAGAGCCAGATTCAGTAACTAATTTTTTACAGACTTTCTCTAATGATGAAAAAGTACTTTTCCAACACTCCGTGAAAATGATCTCTTCCCTCTTGTTTAAGTGGGGAAACAGAGGCAGAGAACAGTGAATTGCTTCCACTTCATATACTAGGTCAATTGCTAAGATAAAAGTAGAAATAATTTGTCCTAGCTGGATATAATTACCTCCAGATGTGCATTTGCAGATTACATGATGATTATGAAGTGCTCTTGAGGACTCCTTAAGGTGTAATGGTGACCTTTGACTCCATTTCATTTTCTCTTCCATCCCCCTGATGCAATTTTCCTCACCCTGACTCTTATCCTCTTGCCTTGGTCACCACTGAGCACTCAAGGATGTAGAAAATAGATGGCCTCTACAAGGCGGAGGTCCAGGGGAAGCCATCACAGAGATGGATGAAATAGCAGAGCTGGAACACTCGGGCATGCACTATGGAGATGGCCTGGAATGAGTTTCTGAAAAGAGTCTGGGCCTCCAGCACCTCACTGCTGACCAAGAAGTCCAGAAACACGTCTGTGCAACTTCCACTTCCACGGCACCAGCAAATCACCAGGCCATTTAATAATTCACCAAGCAAATACGTACTGAGTGCCTTCCAAGACACCAGGTGCTGAGCCTGTGCTAGGGAATCAAAGGCAAAAAAGGCACAGGTGTGTCCCCATAGAAACTGTAGCTTAGCTGTAAGAGAGTCCATCACACAGGAATTTTAATATGGCATACACACATTGACTCTGGAATCAAACTCTTGAGTCCTACTTCCACTTTTGCTATGTGAGTAAGTCAAACTCTTGGGGCTTCAGTTTTATCGTCTGTAAAATGGAGATAGCAACTACCTTCTAGAGAAAGAGCCTAGAACAGTGCTGGACACAGTTCCCATGCCCAGACCACTGCCTTCTCCTGGGATCCTTATCTCTGTAAGAATGACCAAAATTTACTGTGCGTGTGATATTCCAGGCACTATTCAAAATATTTGAAGTGTGTCAACTCATTTTCCCTTTATCATAGCCCCATACAGAGGATATCACTATTATTTTCATTTTACACATCTGAGACATGTGATTCAGTGCCTGGCCCCAGGTTCTCAGAGTGGCAGTGTACATCAGTGGTTAAGGGGACACACTCTGGGACCAAACTACCTAGACTTTGCAACTTAGAAGTTGTCAGAGCTTGGAAAAAGTAATGAACTTCTCTGGGCCTATCTTCTACCTATTTCTCTCAGTTTGTTCCCCATCTTTACCGCGACCTCTGCAGACTACATTTTCCCAGGCTCCTGCCCATGAGTGTCTGGTTAGCTCAGCCGACAGGAAGCAGTGGTGGAGCTTAGCAGTAGGATGAGGGAATGTCAGGGTACTTAAGCCCCTCTCAGTTTGGGGTGGCTGCTCTGACAGTGGCTGCACCTCCTCTAGAGCTCCAGTTCCCGCTGGGCAGTCCCAGTGCCTCACCTCTGGTGACATCCCCACTTCCTTCTGTCCCTCCAACCTGGAGCAGCAGCTTCCTACTGTTTCTCATCTTTGGATTGTCTTGCATCCTCCATTTGTTTTTTGTGTTCTTGCAACAGACTTATAGTCAGAGCCCCATGTCAGACTTCCTCTGGTGAACTACTAGAGTGGCAGATGCACCGTGCTCCAACAGTCTCATCTGCTAAGTGGAAATAATAATTGTGTCTACCTCATATGGTTTTTGCAAAATTAAATGAGTTAATATATTTAACGTGCTTGGGACAAACCATGGCACACAGAGTGACAGCCATACTGTAACACACAGCCAAGGCACCAAAGTCCCTTTCTAGACCCCAGAGAGGAGATCCCCAAAGCCTTTGAGAATGAATAAGACTCAAGCAGGTGCAGAGAAGATGGAAGGACATTCGAGCTGTCTTAGTCCCTTTGTGTTGCTATCAAGAAAGACCTGAGGCTGGGTGATTTACAAAGAAAAGAGATTTCTTTGGCTCATGATTCTGCAGGCTGTACAAGAAGCATGGCGCCAGCATCTGTTTCTGGTGAGGTCTTTAGGCTGCTTCCACTCATGGTGGAACATGAAGGGGAGCTGGTGTGTGCAGAGATCACTTGGTGAGAGAGGAAGGGAGCAAGCAGAAGAGAAGGAGGAGCCAGACTCTTTTTAACAACCAAATCTTGTGGGACCTAAGAGTAAGAACTCACTGATTACCACAAGAATGGCACCGTGCCATTCATGAGCCATCTGCCCTCATGACAAAACACCCCCCACGAGACCCCACCTTCAACACTGGGGATCAAATTTCAACATGTGATTTGAAGGAGACAAGTATCCAAACTGTATCATAGGCAAAGGGATCAGACAACTAAGTGGCCAAGAGGTAAGAGAGAGAAGGGGGCCTTCCGGGAGCCAGGAAAGGGAAGAAACACAGGAAGACGGGGCATGCTAACAGAGCAAGGGGAGGGGATGGAGTCAGGGAGAAGGATGAGGCTGGAGAAAACAGAGCCCAGAGCATACCTTTTTAGGCATATTGGAGTCCAGACTTTGCCCTGACAATGGGGAACCATTGGAGCATTTTACTGAAGTGACACATTTGAATTTATGTTTTAGAGAGGTTTCTTTGGCTGCAGTATGGAAAATAGATGGGGTGGAAAGGAGAGATGAGAGAACAGCAGGAAGAGCTGTTAGGAAGCCATCGTGAGTGCCCAGGCAAGAGATAATAGCTTGGACTATAGTAGTGACCCAGGAGCAAAAAAAAAAAAGAAAAAGAAAGAAAGGCTCAAGTTATTCAGGAGGTAAAAGGAACTGGATTGGCATTGGATTGGATGTGGGAGCCAGGGGAGAAGATGACATCAAAAATGATGCTCCAGTTTTTGACTTGGGTAAATGTACAACAGCAAGCAGCCCAGCCGAGTGATTAGAAGCATGGGCTACAGTTTCAACAGCCTGCATTCAAAGTCTGGCTCTGTCCACAGCTAGCTGTTGAACCTGGGGCAAGGCACCGATTCACTGGGTGCCTCAGAGTATAAGAGAGGGATAATAATTGTATCTTCTGTACAGGGCTCTGGAAAAGGTTAAATGAGGTAAAGTATGTCAAATGCTTGGAACGGAGCCTGGAATATCACAAGCACAGTAAATCTTGGCCACTATTACATAGACAAGATCTCAGGAGCAGGCATAGTTTGTGGGGGTGGGAGCATCATGAGCTAGGTTCAAACACACTGATTCTGAGACATCTAGGGAACCACAGAACAAGTTCTGGGCTGGAGATGTAGATTTCATTTGAGAGCTGCCAGTAGTAGAGACGGTAATTGAAGCCATGGGAATGGAGGTGATTGTCCAGGGAGTGTAGGTAAAGTGAGAATAGATAAGTGCCAAAGGGCACAGTCTGGGTATGTCAACATTTAAGTGACAATTTCAGAAAGAGAAGCCAAGGAAGAAACCAGAGAAAAGCAGTTGGAGAAGCAAGAAGGCAACCAGAAGTGGCCTTGGTACAGCTGTGATGGGGAGACAATGACGAAACAGCAGGAACTGGCACTGAGAGTTATTGGTGTAGCTTGGGCTCTCCCCTCATCATCCTCTCCAGCTGGGAGTCATGTGACAGAAGCAAGAAGCCTGTCACAGCGCACATGTAAAAGAGCAAACTCCAGACACACACGTCTTATCTGTGCTGACGGCCCACCTTGGTGACTGGAAATGACACCATCCAATTTTTTCTGGCCGCAATGTTGCACCCCTGATTTTTTCCTTCATATGACAGACTTCACAGCAAATACTCCTACTGAGTCCAAACAACCGCTACGATTGAGAACAAGCATGAATCCGCCACCCACCTTCTCCTGGAAATAAGGTGATGTGTAGGTTCCTCATCTCCTTTCCAGTGTCCACAAACCCATCTGAGTAATTGCAACTTCAAATTTTTCTTTTCTTTTTTTCTGTTACAGACACTGATTCCAGAAGAGTGTTCCATATGCTATGCTTTTTTAAATTTATTATTTATTATTTTTATTTTTTTGAGACAGAGTCTCGCTCTGTCACCCGGGCTGGAGTGCAGTAGCACAATCTCAGCTCGCTGCAACCTCTGCCTCCTGGGTTCAAGCGATTCTCCTGCCTCAGCCTCCTGAGTAGCTGGGATTACAGGCACACACCACCACACCCGGCTAATTTTTGTATTTTTAGTAGAGATGGGGTTTTACCATGCTGCCCAGGCTGGTCTCGAACTCCTGACCTCAAGTGACCTGTCCACCTTGGCCTCCTAAAGTGCTGGGATTACAGGTGTGAGCCACCGCGCCTGGCCCATATGCTAAATTTATTAGAACCCCCAAGCCTGGCCAAAGGCCTCACTCCTAAGATTCTGGTGGCAATGCCAGCATACACTGGGCTCAGAGGAGGTCTTCAGATACCAGGAGGATTACTCTAATTCAACGCAGAAATGTTGTGAAACTGCTTTATATTCTGTCTAGCACAAGCAAGTGGGGGTTACTATTTTTGTAATCATTATAAGAGCCTTCAACTATATAATTTTGGGAAGTGGTGATAAAAAACAGAGTACTTCTCCCTTGAATTCTACCAGCCCCAAACTTTCATTAACATCCAATTAATTTTCTTAAAAAAGTTCAGCATGAAACTCTCTGCAGCACTTTGGCACAGTAGTATCTATGCATTTGGAATGACACAGTAATTTCTTATCCTAGGGAAAAAAAATTACTCTGTCAAAATGAATCTTTTAGCCTAAGATGAACTGGTTCCATTTCTCATTTCTCTTTTCTCAAGGTTATTGGGTTGCTGAACTCCCATGAACCAAAAAGAAAACACTGAATGGTATCCAAACCAGCCTGGAAAGGACAGCGAGAAAAGCCAGAACCAAGGCTGACCAGCCTGAATGCTGGTAAATGTTATCAAGGTAACAACTTCTCATGTATCGGTATGTGACCAATAAAAAGGGAATGTGCTTGATTAGCAAAAAGAATCTCCATGAAAAATAAGGCATATTAGCATGATGACTTTATTATACAGCAATAACATAAATGGCAATCCACTCTTGTAGAATATTTGTGTTGAAATTAGGAAATGGCAGCAGATTCAAACACAAGAGTTAATGGAAGCCCTAAATATAGATGATATTCCATCTGGCTGCCAAGAGCCTGCCTCAGCACATTAACCAGAAGACCAAACCAGAGAAGGGAAATAGCTTTTAAAAGTGCAAAAGAGAAAAGAGATTCACTTAGAATTTTATCTGGTAAAAAAAAAACATCTAGTCATAGGATGAGGAGTCATCTGTTTCATGGACTATTTATGACTCAGATGTTAATTCGGATGCTGTCTTTAAATACATGGAGAGAAGAGAGAAATTTTCCCCCTTTATTTAGGCTTGAAAGAGTTTTGTTGAAGCAGGTAGCTCACAGCTGGTAAGTGGCATTCAGTTGTTTAAAATAATTTATATGATTTGGCTTTCATATTTGCTACATTTGTGCAACAAACAGAGCTGCTGTTTTGATTCCTCCAAAACCATTTTAAACTCTAGCACCATGGGGACCATGTACCCTTAGCATTTTGCAAGAGTTATACTTTGCACTAAATGAACAGCAAGCCTGTGTTTACAAAACAAAATTATTTTTTTCCAGTTTCAGTTTTGCTTATTAACAAAGTAGATATTTCTCAAGTCAAAATTTCTCCTTTGTTTATGGTTGGAGATCTTGGCCCTGATGAAAAAACAAAAATCCACTGATGAGTACAGAAAATCACCACCATGCAGACATCTCTCTTTACAACAATCCTGTGGCTCACAGAGCCATCATGATTGCCAGTGTCCTCGTAGAAAGTCAACAATAGCTATTTGCAGTTGATTCGGTTCCTCTGTTTAGGAGATTTTTTGTAGCATAAATAGATTACAGTGTTTGCAAAAATGTGTGTTTATGGTTGACCCTTATGCTTCTCAGAATCTGTTTGGAGTACTAAGGCATGCTATCCTGGGTGTGTTGATTTCTCTTTGTGCAAACTCTGCTGAAAACCAAGGGCAATCAACAGGATGAAGAAAGTTTAATTCAGGACCCCGGTTGATAGAGATTACCTCTGGGTCTAAGGTCAGGGATGCTTTAGTCCTCCTTGTTAGAATCTCCAGGGAAACCCTAACTCCCAGATATTAATCAGATCTGTAGAACCCTGCTTAAAACCTTCCAGTGGCTCTGAATTACTCTTAAATAAAACTCCTTACCCTAGCTGATAACACAGTATATAATCTGACCTCTGTTCAGACCTTACCAGACCTATTATGCGCTGTTTATCCTGAGGCCTCTCACCTTGACCTGCAGAAGGCTGTCTTCTCCCTTTGTCTTCACATGACCTTTCCTCTGTGTGTAACTGTGTCCTAATCTCTCTCTTCTTAGAAGGACACCAGTCTTACTGGGTGAGGGCCCACCCAGAGGACCTCTTTTTTGCCTTAATTACCTCCTTAAAGGCCCCATATTCAAAGACAGTCACATTCTGAGGTACTAAGTGTTGGGACGTCAACATATGAATTTTGGGGGGCTATAATTTGCCTATTCTGCACATTTCATATAAATGGAATCGAACAAAATGCGGCCCATTGATTCTGGCTTCTTTCACGTAGCACAACGTTTTCAAGGTTCATCCAAGTGGTAGCAGGTATCAGTGACAGAGCAGGAGCACCGTCATCTTGGACAAACATCGCCATTTCAAGTTCCGGCTCCTTTTCTAATCTCAGGCATTTCAAGGAAATCACTTCTCTTCTAACAACAAGCAGCCAGAAAGAGCAGACAGTAAAACACAGATAAGACAGCTCAGGCACAGAAGGTGGGGGGAAAGTCTCTTGGGTAACTGCCAAACTTCACACTCATACAATGGGCCCCAGTAAAACAGTGGGCCCTAATAAGCACATTCCTTTCCCTTTAGGTACACTAAGATAGGGAAGCTAAAAGCAGGCTTGGGTATGCCTGCAGCTGAAAAAAAAAAAAAAAAAAAAAAGGATAGAAACAAACACAAAAACTCCCTCTCAAATAAGCAAGACAAAGAAACACAGAAATATTCTGAGCCTGTGATAAGCTCTCCTGCCCTAAACCCTTAAATACTCTTAGTCTGTAACAGAGAGTGCCCCTGACCTAATTCAGCCAGAAGCCCCTCTCGGGTTTATTCTCCAAAATAAACCTGTTTTTAACTGTGAAGCCACTTTTCATGTTTCTTTCTTCCTTATTCAACTCTTACTATCAGTACTTTCTTCTTTTTTATGACTGAATAGTATTTCACGGTATGGCTGTATCACATTTTATTTATCCATTCCTCAGCTGATGGAGATTTGGATTGTATTTGCTTTTTGCCTGTTATAAATAATGTTGCTATAAATGTTTGTGTACAAGTTTTTGTATGAACATACGTCTTCAGTTATTGTGAGTATATACCTAGGAGTGGAACATTCTGGGTCATAAACACACATAACTTTGTGTTTCCCTTTTTGAGGACCCACCAAACTGCTTTCCCCAGCAGCTGCCAGCTGCATCATTTTACATTCCCACCAGCAATATATGAGGGCATGTTTCTAGAGATTACATAATCACAAACGAAGGGCATTGTCCTTTATAGCCTGCTGAAGTTCAAAAGAGAGAGGAAGAGATGTTCAAGTAAGGAAGAGATGTTTTATTAGGAATATGAAGGGTTCACAAAGTCCTGCTTACTCATTTTCAGCCAACTTTGCCATGGCATTATTTAATTAGCATTTTCACCTCATCTTCAATCTTAACATGAATAGCCTGGGTCTCAAGGCCATCTTTTCCCAACCAGTATAAGCACCTTCGAGACAGCATTCAATATGTGTCAATTTATTTCCTATTCAATAAGGAAAATTAGGTCTTGCTTTGCCCACTCAGCTTTATTCCTGGAAATACACTTTTCAAAAAGTAGAAAGTTCAGTCTTGCTTTAAACCACCAAGCTGCCTGAATGGATTTCATCCATTATTTGGGCTTTATTTTAAACTTTGCTTTTAATAGGCACAGAACCAATGCATATTTTAAACTTTTGACGCAGGCAAATTTTATATGTCCAAAAGACTCTTGGAAGTTAAGCAGACATAAGGGGTACCGTGTGTGTGTGTGTGTGTGTGTGTGTGTGTGTGTGTGTATCACAGAATGAGGGGCACATGCTGCCAATTTAGTAATTAATTATCAACTAACAGAAGGCCACTACCTATACTGTCTGTGGCAGCCAGAGCCTCACCACACTGACACCAAGTTGCTGTGCCTCCTTGACAGAAAGTAACACAGATTGCCATCAATGGATAGACAAAAAAACTCTGAATCTATGGTTATACGTGTGCATCTTACAAATGGAGTAACAACAAATAGAAGAAATATATTTACAAATGAAAATGAACCCGCATTTATTTACTTCACTAAAACTGTTTTTTTTTCTTCTCATCAAAGATTTCTCTATTCATGCTACTCAACATCCCAAAAAGAATCAGCATAAGGCCACAAACTCAACAAAATTCCTTCTCCTGTTCATTAAACTCCTGTCCTGACTCCAAGTTCACACCTAAATAAACAGGCAAGCCTGTGCTCTGCACCCTGAGGAACAGTCTCCTAGGCTTTGTCCTTGCAGAGAGCCCATTTCCAAGGACAGGCCGTCCATCTACCCAGCTTTTCTCAAGGCCACATAGCTCCTCTCTAAAGACAGCCATCCCCAGGGGTTCAGTTGATCCTGACAGCTGCGCCTACAGAGAAAGAAGGGAAGAGAGATGGGAGAGGAAGATCTCCCAGGAGTCAGGATGCAAGGTGAAGCCAGCTGTTGATCAGCGGTCACTCAGCAGCTAGACCATGCGACACTCTCCTTCTGAAGGCTGCAGGCTGTGAGAGTGTTCTGAGTGGCATTTAAGGATAGCTCCCATGCAGCGTGCCAGCTTCGGCAGGGCCTCCTATGGTAAGCCCTAAAACACAGAGGGAAAAGAATAACCAAGTGGAAGTGGATCATCATGCCATCTATCAGAGACAATGCATGTGAGAATGCTGCTACTAAATGAATGAAAAACGCTTTGTAAACTCAAAGTCTGTGGTTCTCAAACTTGAGCATGTATCTTTTTTTTTTTTTTTAAATTAAAACGCTGATTTACTTGGCCTTATTCTAGAAGTTGGATTCATTCGGTCTGGGGTAGGACCTAGAAATTTGCATTTCTAACATTGCATTTCCCAGAGGATCTGATACTGCGGGTCAGCGGCCACACTTGGAGAACTAGTTGCTAAAACACAGGATCCATGTCAGCTGAAGCTATAATGGGCAATCATGAGCCATGCCCAGACTGAGCAGTAAAAGGAAACAATGTTACTGTCTAAAACAAGCAAGAAAATAATAGAATATTTAAAAATAACAGAATATATAATGCTTGAGTTGCCAGTAGCAAAGTGTTATGATTAGGTCCTTGAAGTCGGAAAAAGCAGAGATTAACTAGACATTTCTGAATAAGCCCTGTCCTCTAACTCAGCAGAAAGGAAGAGACCAAGTCCATCATCCTCTCAGTAAACCATTAGCCCTGGAGCATTGGCTTTCCCTCTTCACAGATGAGGAGTTCCATCTTCTAACTCACACAGAGCAGGGAGAGGATAAGAGCTGAGGAAATGCCATCAGCCCTCAGCTGGTGACTGTCTCTACTAGTAGTGCCTCATATGGGTATAAGGCTTTGTGGTTTTGAAAAGCTTTCCAGTGATCAAAACAATGTGACATGGGTGAAAGAATAGACAAATGGACCAACTGAACAGAATAGAGAGCCCAGAAAAAGACCCGCCCAAATTTAGTCAACTGAGCTTTGACAAAGGAGCGAAGGCAATACAGTGGAGAAAGGACAGTCTTTTCAGTAAATGGTGCTGGAACAACTGGACATCCACATGCAGGAAAAAATAAACTAGAATCTAAACCAAGACCTTACATCTCTTTCACAAAAATTACCTCAAAACGGATCAAAGACCTAAAGGTAAAAATGCAAAACTGTAACTGGTGACAGCCAGAAAGAAAAAATAATAATTGAGTGACTACTAGTGCCAGCTATCGAGTTAAGTACTTTTAATAGCTTATCGCATTGATTCTAAACTCTGTACACAATGTATTATTCCCAAATTGCAAATGATGAATTTTTTGCCAGTGATAAAGTATAATTTCTCTATGTTATTCCCTATAGAATCTGGAGCAGGAGCCTCAGTCTCCTATCAAAAGGAGAAGAACCTGAAGAAAACACTTCTCTTCCTTCTCTCTGCCTAGGGGCAGTGACCTTGGATTCAACCACCATCATCCCTTCCAGACACCAGAGGGGGGAGTCCCACAAGGCAGAAGGTGCCCCTGTGACCCATCCACTTCTCTTCCATGTTCTTTACCTCCTTGCTCAGGAAGCCATAAAGTTGAGCTGAGTGGAAGGTGAATTTCATTGCAAAGTTTACACAGGCTCTGCTGACAGGTTCATGAAAACACTACTGAATATGTTACATACCACCAAGGCTCACAGCACATCCTGTGTTGGAAGTGATACTTTTCCATTACCAGTAAACCTCCTTTTGTCCTAGGAGCTCACTGAACAGCTAAAATCAGGTGATATTTTTATGTGGAACATGCAACGTATTAAGTCCTTTTGCTCAGTGACCCAAAAAGGAACTAAACGGTACCCAGACTAGAAATCAATGTCAAATTATTCAAATAAATTCCACTTAAAGAATGGTGGTTTGGAAAGCGCTCAGTCAGAAAGAATTCTCCCAAGATTAGTTTACTGTGAAGTAGAAGGGAAGAACGTTTTAACTTTGGTTGGAAATCTGATGACATTACATAGAAGGTGATGAAACATCCTCTAAGAAACGGTTCTGATCCATTGTATGGCACCCCCCTCTCACATTCCCCCATTTTACCCACTAAAGAAGTTCTTTTACAAGAGGCTAAGGAAACCAAGCAATATAAGATCTAATCAAAACTGAGTGCTGGAAATGTGTGGGGAGAAATCCATAATTAAACTGAGCAATTAACTCCAGAAAGTTAACTGGGGCCAACTCTGACACTGCTATAAAGTTATAAAATCTCCAGCATCTCATTTCTTTGTCCCTCTACCCAATTTCCCCTCAAAGGTAAGCCTCTCTTTCTCTCTCCTCTCTTCTTCATATTTAATAAAACTGTTTGCCAGAAAGGAAAGAATCTTAGGTTAGTCATTTACACTTTAGTGCGAATTAAAGCCAGTGTGTCAACTCTCACAGGAATGAGAATTTCAAGCCATACTTCTAATTGTGGAATGGCTGTCATTGAATTCTTTTAAGGGTATTTCATGGAACAACTAAATATAAGGAAGAGGAGAGAAACTGCCCAAGTCTGCCTATGCCTAAAGTCAGCCTTAAGTTCAATCTTGAGGGTGACAGCTTTCATCTGCCACTCCCAATTGAAAGTGAATTCAGATTAATTCCTAGATGTTTGTTTGTTGTTTTTTTTTTTTTTTTTTTTTTTTTTTTTTTTTTTTTGGGACGGAGTCTCGCTCTGTCGCCCAGGCTGGAGTGCAGTGGCGGGATCTCGGCTCACTGCAAGCTCTGCCTCCCAGGTTCACGCCATTCTCCTGCCTCAGCCTCCCAAGTAGCTGGGACTACAGGCGCCCGCCACTACGCCCGGCTAATTTTTTTGTATTTTTAGTAGAGACGGGGTTTCACCATTTTAGCCGGGATGGTCTCGATCTCCTGACCTCGTGATCCGCCCGCCTCGGCCTCCCAAAGTGCTGGGATTACAGGCGTGAGCCACCGCGCCCGGCCAATTCCTAGATGTTGAATGAGAGTTATAATTTATCCTTTCAGGATCTACTGGTTTTCTTTTCTTTTTTTCTTTTTTTTTTTTTTCAGACAGAGTCTTGCTCTTGTTGCCCAGGCTGGCGTGCAATGGCATGATCTTGGCTCACTGCAACCTCCACCTCCCGAATTCAAGCTATTCTCCTGCCTCAGCCTCCCGAGTAGCTGGCATTACTGGCATGTGCCACCATGCCCGGCTAATTTTGTATTTTTAGTAGAGATGGGGTTTCTCCATGTTGGTCAGGTTGGTCTCGAACTCCCAACCTCAGGTAATACGCCTGCCTTGGCCTCCCAAAGTGCTGGGATTACAGGCGTGAGCCACCATGCCTGGCCGGTTTTTCTTTCTTTTTTACTTTTATTTTACGTTGAGGGGTACATGGGCAGGTTATGTAGGTAAATGGGGGTTTGTTTACATATATTTTGTCACTCAGGTACTAAGCCTAGTACCCAATAGTTATTTTTTTTCTGATCCTCTCCCTCCTCCCACCCTCCAGCTTCCAAAAGGCCCCAGTGTCTGTTCTCCTCTTTGTGTTCATGTGTTCTCATCATTTAGCTCCCACTTAGAAGTGAAAACAGGTGGTATTTGGTTTTCTGTTCCTGCATTAGTTTTCTAAGGATAACGGCCTGCAGCTCCATCCATGTTCCTGCCAAAGACATGATCTCATTCTTTTCTATGGTTGCATAGTATTCCATGGTGTATATGTACCATGTTTTCTTTATCCAATCAGTCATTGATGGGCATTTAGGTTGGTTCCACATCTTTACTGTTGTGAATAGTGCTGCAACAAACATTCGCATGCATGTGTCTTTATGGTAGAATGATTTATATTCCTTTGGGTATATCCGGGATCTACTGGTTTCAATATCCACCTCTTCTCCTCTAGGCCCAGAAAACAGGTTAATTTCTGATGGCTTTTAAGTGTCAGCCCTATAGGACCCATTCTCACTTGACACCAGGTATCTCCACTCCAGATGCCCTTCCCCCTACCAGGTTTTACTTGAAAAGCACAACATGAGTGGCTTGGGCCAAATGTGGCCATAGGTCCTTCAACAAATGTTGAGTGAGTGTGACCCTTGGAGCAGAAAGTTGACAGGGATCTGACACATGGCTCGTCCCCCAGAGGCTCTCACTGCTCTCTTAGCTGGAAGAACTTCAAACTCTCAGACAGTGGAAAATTCAGTCTGTTCCAAGCAGGAGACACAAATGTGCTCTTAAAATTCATACTGGCGTTTGGAACTGCCCAGGGTATTATAAATATAATCGTTCTGAAGTGTGAGTGTGTGTCAGGGAGAGAAAGAGATGGAGAGAGAGAGAGAGACAGACAGAGTGTGTGTGTGTGTGTGTGTGTGTGTGTTTGTGTGTGTGTGTGTGTGTGTGTGTGACGACAGAAAGGAAAGTGAGAGCAGACCCAGGGCCAGCAAGTATCCATGCCAAGAACACAAGGCCAAGCCCAGAGAAGAATGTCCACCAGATGCCCAGTGACTACATTTTGGATTTTCTACTGCTTCCTCCTCAGAGAAAAGGGGGGAAATAAATTAGAGAGAACGCAAAGGGAGAGAGAGAGTGAGCAAGATGGGTGGGGATGGAGAGAGAAAGGAACAGGAAGTGGGAGCCTTACTAAACATAGAGCAAGAGGCCCAGACTGAGAGAGAGAGGCTGTCAGAATGAGGAACTACTGAGAGATCACAGGCTTCTCCACCAGTTACAAGTGATTAATATCTACATTTATTGTGTTTTGAAGCCATCAAGTTCTATGTCCAAATGACCCCACCCCTCCCATAATGCAGCACCAAGACTAATCCACCATCCACAGGGCATTCTGTTTCCTGCCAAACAGATGGGGCTTATTGAGGTTGGTCTTACACAGCCTCTTCCAGGTCTTGGACACACGCTGGCCAGCCTCTGTGGCTGAGGAATAGAATAAAGTTAAGTGAACTGACCCTACACGTGGGCCCCTATGACCTTCATTGCTCTTGAACTAACTGAGCTGACCAGCCAGCCTGAAGCAACATGGCCCCAGGGCAGGGGCTCTTAACCTTTTATGCACCAGGCTTCCTTTGGCAGGCTGGTAAAGCCACAGACTCCCTTCTCAGAATAATGTTATTAGGCATAAAATGAAATACATAAAGCTACAAAGGAAATCAGTTACAACATCAAATATTTTAAAGATTACAAATACAGTAATATTTTTACTCTTTTATCAGTGCTTTAAATAATAGGATCTGGTGAGAGGTCAAATAACAACCATCATTTCAAAGAGTGATGAGAGAAGGAGTGTTTCCATTGTCTACAACAACTACCAGGTGATATGAAAAGATCTGTTATTTCTGTGGCAAGAGTCATAGGCGCTGCTAATACCAGTGCAGTTTCTTGCCTACATTCTTAATAGAAACAAAAAGCTAGATTTCAGTGAGAGGTTAGATAAAATAAAGATGCAATTTTTCCCCATCCAAATTTATGAACCAGAACAAAGGCAATAAAAGGAAGGGAGCTGCAACAACAGTAATCGTAGTGACAAAGCAACATCTGCTACAAGAACAACAGCAAAAAATGGCTGCCATCTCTGCTCTGTATCAGGCCCTGGGTTAAATGCTTTCTACTCATCTTTCTCTTTCATTCTGAGGGAGGCATCATTTTGCCCACTTTACAGATGAGGAAACTGAGGCTTTAGGACATTAGGGAACTTGTCTAGGACCATAGCCAATAAGTAGCTGTGGCAAGAATGGAAGTCAAGGCTGTCTGACACTGAAGGCCACATTCGCTGTGCACTGTGTCTTCAGAAAGAGATAGGGTGTGTGTGTGTGTGTGTGTGTGAGAGAGAGAGAGAGAGAGAGAGAGAGAGAGAAAGCTGTTTCCTTTTTCTCATTCATGCCAGAAGAATTGGACTGGTTTAAGCATCTATACTTTCACCCATCTTGACTATCCATTTCCATCTTTTTAATGTTTGCTCTTTTCAGTTCAAAGACCCTTATGCTTCATACATTCATAGCCAGTACATATATGTTGGGTACTGGCTATGTTTACTGACACCAAAAATTCAAAGATAAATATGTTCTCTGACTTTCAGGAAGCTTATAACTTATTGGAGAAAACAGATATGCAAACAGATAAATTATAATATGCAGCAATTAGAATTCAAGGTAATTTGCACAATAAGGAGAATTTATTGACTCATATAACTGAAAAGTCCAGAAGTAGACAGGCTTCAGGCACTGTTTGATTAGGTCTTCATCAGCAGTGTGCTAGGAAGTATGTCACAACTAACTGACTTTCCAGAGAAAAAAGAGCCATGAGTTTGTCTATTTCCATGGTGTAAATACTCCCACCACGACCTATTTCAAGCTACCAACATGAAGTCACTGAAGATAGAATTAGGAAGAGATGTGCGCAGTCACCCCTTGCCTGATGCAGGCTAGCTCCAGCATGCTATGACCATTCTCATTTCTTCACAGTTCTCTCAGTTTTTCCATCCTCTGTATGCTGGTTTTGTCCTGATGATGCAACCAGCAGCTGGGACTGTACACTTTCCTTCTAGTGTCTAGCAAGCTTCTCTTCTACTAATCACCAAAAAAAAATTCCTGAGCTCTTCTGAAAGAATCGCTGTATCCAAGGAATATCACCCAGCTGGCTTAGCCTTGGGTGGCATATTAAAATAAGCAATAGCTACCTTCTCTCAAGGCTCTTCATTTCACCTATCAAGTACTCCTTGTTGGACAAAGCTACGGTCTGAATGTTCTTGTCCCTTCAAAATTCATATGTTGGAACCTAATACTTAAAGTGATGGTATTAAGAGGTGGGGGTCTTTGAGGAAGTGATTAAGTCATGAGGGCTCCACCCTCATGAATGAGATTACTGCCCTCATAAAAGAGGTTGAAGGGAGTGTCCTTGTCCCTTCCACCATGTGAGGTCATAGCAAGAAGGTGCCGTATAAGGAATGGGCCCTTACTAGGTGCCTTAATTTTGGACTTCCCAGTCTCCAGAACTGTGAGCAATAAATTTCTATTGTTTATGAATTACCCAGCCTAAGGTATTTGGGTATAGCTGCCTGAATGGACTAAGACAGGCAGAATTAGCACCAAAAACCTATCCTCTAGAAGGTGGAATTATCAGCAAGACAAGAAAATGATATTCTTGTTTACCCATTTTAGTGCCTGTGTCAACCAGATGTTCCCTTCAGAACTGAGACCCTCATTTTCCCACTCTGGAAGTATTGATGGCTGATGGCTCACAGCTGAGTTCCTCCCAAAGCATTGCTCTGACCAAAAGGAGCTGCCAGACTCGAGGATATTGTCCCCCTTAAGAGGACACTGCCTCTAATGGCTGATCAATGAGTGAGTATAAAAGCCTGAGGTCACCTCAATTCAGGCATGTCTGAAGGATCATCCTGGCTCCAGCGCTTCCAAAGGGGAATCAGATAAAGCCTCTGTTGAAATCATATACTGGGTCAATTTCTCCCTCTGTGCCATCATCCTTCCCTCTCTTGCCTACATCATTCCTATGTGTCCTCCCCACTAAACCTCCTGCATGCAATCTCAGTGTCGGTTTCCATGAAACTGAATATTCAATGCCTATCTCTAAACAAGTCACCAGATGTTCTAGACAAATCAGGGCCCATCCTGGAGCTGGGAGTGGAATCAGTCCCACCCACATCCCATGGCTGCCCCACGGTGGGAGAGGGTTGGGATGTATCTTGAGAAATAACTGCACTGTCTGCTACATAATAAGGCATACTGGGTGATGTAAAAGACGTATGAACAATATCACAGTCCAATGGCTGAGCCATTATAGGCATAGAGAAAGAAAAAAGCAGGCCCTGACATCCAGAAATAGTCACCGGTAGACCTCAATATTATTACAAGCTGATCTGACACTCACAGCCAGGCTATAGTTCTCCTGTTGGACATAGACAATCTCACAGAACACCAACCTCAGACAAGCTTATTCTGAACCACGATAAAATGAAACAAAACAAGGTCACTACCTAATTTTGTCCATGCACAAAAACAAGGTCACTCTGCCCCCTGTAATGCACTCAATCATAGAATTGCCTGGATTTCTGATGGTATCTGACCTAGAGCAAATCTTTAATTTCTTAAGCCCTCCACAAATCACCCAACCAAAGTCCAAATCTTCTAGTAGTTTCTTTCTAACACAGTTGCTAAGATAGTGTCCTTAAAGTATGTTCTCCCTAAATCAATGAGTAGTAAGCCCAGCTTGTTTAATTATCAGTGTGTTCCTGGTGGTCTTTGGCTGGAGGGCATTGGTAGCCTTCAATCAGTGTTTGTATGGTGAATAACTGGGTGTGTAAATGGCTATGTTGCCCCTCTTTCAAGAAAGGCTTAACAGAAGACCTTTGAGCTGGTTCTTAAAGGAAGATTGAGCTTTTCCAAGCAAAGCAGGGTCAGAGAGAAGTCATTCCAAGCAAAGGAAGCAAGATGTGCAAAGGTTGGCATCACTGAAATGAAGGATGAAGAGTCCATATGGGTGGGGTGTTGGGTGGACCGGAAGGGTGCTAGGACCAAATGTGGATATCCTTGTAAGTCACAACTAATCTTTTAGGCAAAGAGGACAGAGAAGCAGGAGAGAGACAGAGAGCTCGAAATTTGAAATCTGATTGCAGAGAGTATTACTGGAGTAGCCATAACTATTTTTCCTCCAACCCTTTCTTTCTTTTTTGGAGAGAAGGAGAAGACATTTGCTTTGGTTGAAGCAAAATTGCATATTTTGAGTTTTCTCAGTTTTCCCAACCTGACATTTAAGGCGCACACCTAACAACACTGAGCCCTTAATTCCCTGGATATTGTGAATGCTTCGAAGACATCATGGCCTTCTCTCAAAGGTTTGATAACTTGCACTTCACTATATAATTCCTCTTGCTTGTCAGAAGTGCAATTCAGCTGGTCACTTCCTCTGTTATTTATAATTAAATGACTTACCATACATTCCTTAAAAGAGACTTCCAGATGCCCTGATAGAAAATGCCAATGTCTTCCCACTTCCTTGTGTGTGTCCACCTTTGACTCTCCATTCGTGGCGCCCCCAAGATGACCTTCATCGTCTAGGGGTCTTATCTCTAGGACCTCCCAGGCCGTACGATTCCTGCAGTCCCTCCGTCTGTGTTTAAGTCTTGCTTGTGCTCCACAAAATCCTTCTGCCTTAACAGCCCTACAGCTGCACGGCCTCCTCTTCTGTTCCCTTCTGTCTGTCTTGCCCTGCCCTGCCACTGAGCACTCAGATTTTATAACATCTTGCCTTGCCAACTGGTTTTGTGAGTATCATATAAGTATCTGTTAATTATAGATCTTTTACAAATAACATATACCTGATACAGCTGAAGGAGACTGAAATGTCCCCACTCTTACAAATCCATGTTAGTGCTGCCCTAGACTACCCTTAAAAAGAA
The DNA here is from genome assembly GCF_000001405.40 of Homo sapiens. Lineage (NCBI taxonomy): Eukaryota > Metazoa > Chordata > Mammalia > Primates > Hominidae > Homo > Homo sapiens. Next base: position 93,189,336 of record NC_000012.12, read on the forward strand.
TTTTGTGTATATTTGTGAAATCCACATTTTCTACTTTTACTCTCTCTATATATATCTCAATAACCTATGTATTACTTTGTGCTTTTAAACATAAAGATAATCATAGTGTTGTATCATTTTATTCTATGCTTTTTATACTCACAATTATGTTTTAAGATTCAGTTTTGTTAATATATGCAAAGCTTTTAGAACAGTGCCTGTAAACACCATATAAGTATTAGCTACTATTATTTTCAGTATTATTATTATTGTTATTTTGAGGCAGCATCTCATTCTGTCACCCAGGCTGAGTGCAGTGGCATGATCACAGCTCACTACGCCTCAACCTCCCAGGGTCAAGTGATCTTCCAACCTCAGCCTCCTGAGTAGCTGGGACTAACTACAGGCATGCACCCCATGTCCAGCTAATTTTTGTATTTTTGGTAGAGATGAGATCTCACCATGTTGCACAGGCTGGTCTCAAACTCCTGGGCTCAAGCAATCTGCTTGCTTCAGCCTCCCAAAGTGCTGGGATTACAGGTGTGAACCACCACACCCAGCCTATTATTTTCAATATTATTAATAAATGTATTTACATCATTCCTTGTAATTATAGTAAGCTAACATTGATCATACAACATTTTATTTATCCCATTCCTCTCTTGATGTGTTGGGACTTAGAAAACGACACCCCAGAGTGAAGGCCTCTGAAGCAAAGTCTCTCTCTGACCTTCTCCTACTCTCCTGTCTCTTGCCCCTCATTCTTCCCTAAGGCAAGCCATAGAAAATGTGATTCCTCTTCCCCAAGGCAGATCTTAGAAACCAAAACAGATTTTACATGAAGCCAGTCATAAAACCTAAAAATATTACTGTAATCTTCCCCTGCCTTTCTGTGTAAGAACTGGCTGCAAAGAAATTAAGACCCTCGTCCCAGAGGGTTCCTATTCCATACCTGGGAGAAAGAAATGCTGCACAGAGAGGCCAAGAAGAAGCTGAGCTGACGGGGCTTGATAGGTATCGCGACTCGGTCTATTTCCATTAGATTATTCCTGTTTCCCCCAATTGTAGTTCTACATGGCTGTACATTCTTCATTGAACCTAAGCATAAAAAAAGGGATCAATTTTTCCTGGATCTTTGGTCTCCATTCTGAAGACTCTCATGTCTCATAAAACTGTGATCAAATAAATGTATTATGCTTTTCTCTTGTTAGCTTGTCTTTGTTATAGGGGTGTTGGCCATGACCCTTATGACAGGGAGGAAAGGGATCACCTTCTTTCTGCCCCTAAGGTACATATTTAGGTTGTTTCCAATTTTTCACAATTAATTATCAGCAGTATCCCAAAGAATATCCTTAAATATGCCATGTTCATATGTTCAAGAGTTGGTATTTGCTTAAAAGTGGACTTGCTGGGCTGTAAGGAGAATGTATTTTAGGTTTTGCTAGCTATTGTCAAATTGTTTCCCAAAATGTCTGTACCCTCAGCAGTGTATGAGAATTCTTATTTTTCTATCTTTGCCAACCACCACTGATTTTTTCAAAAGTTTGTGAGTACAAAGTAATAATCTTGTTTTAACTTGCATTCTTCTTTTCATTAATACGTGATATTTGTACATTTTTTTTCTCTCCATTTATTGGCCATTATGCACTGGGCCTTAACCTTTGCTGGGGTCTTAGACGCCTTTGAGAATTTACTTCAGAAAAATACACACATATATATATATACACACATACACTTTATAAACACATTGAGGGGCTTCACAGAGTCCCTGAAGACCCATCCACAAAGCCCCTTCAGAGCAGAGACTCTCGAGCTTTTAGTAGATATGAGAACCTTCTGGGAAGTTTTTAAAAATGCAGATTCCTAGGACCCATCTTTGAGGATCCTGACTCAGAGGGCCCTAGCTAGGAACTGAAGGGCTGGTGCAGGTGATTAAAAAAAGAAAGAAAGAAAGAAAGAAAGACAACCAAGACTATACTTTCAGGGGCCATTTCTGTAGTTCGTTAAGAAAGACAATCTTGAGTTTCTGGATTCCCAGTAAGAACTCCTATTTCTGCTTTCCAAAACGTTCCCTTCTCCTACAGCTATGAAGCAAAGGATAAAGTCACCAAGTTTAATGTACTAAAGCTGTAACTTGCCTTTAAATTGATGCTGTAGCTACTTTTAAATCCATGGTTACTTCTGCAGATATACCTTGTGCCTCTCTCCTCCTTAGCTGGAAAGGTCGGTGAGGGAATGAATAAATAGGGTGACATGTGAGACAAAGAAAAACACAAGGAAAGGAAAAAAAATTAGGAAATTCGAAGCTATTCAGAAAATGCTACATAAAAAGCATCATCCTACTAAATATGAACAGCTTGTGTTTGGAATGGTTTGTGTTTCTAATTTTATTTCATGAGCAAGCTCATTTTTTTTTCTCTGCCAGATACTTCAAAGATTCTCTTGCAAAAAGAAGGAAATAAATTTATTTTCCTCTTGGATCCAAATTCACATAAATGATTCTGTTGTAAGATGAAGAAAATTGATTGCTTCAATGGCAAATAAGATACTTTTTTAATTTAAAAATTTAGTACTAAGGAAATCATGTGCCAGGGAATTCTCAAAACATTTTGAGAGAGGTTGAGAATCCCGGTATGATGAGATGATGATGTTACTCATGCACATATTCCCCCGCTTTCTTTTTCAAGCCTGCAAGTGTCAAGACAGAGTTAATCCTTATTTTTGACTCAGTCACACGCAAATGCGTTCTTCTCTGAGCTGGTCAGTGGCCAGTATCCTCTTGAACCTTTGGTGGAATTCAGGTCCGTGAATGATGCCAGGAACAAGAATTAGGATCTGATTCTAGGACTTTATAATGACTCACTCGGTACCTTTGTCCAGTAACAATAGAAAAATGACTCGGTTGCTCTATCCATGAAACTAGGGCAGTGATGCTGGCTGCCTGCCTCACACAGGGTTGAGGGGAAACCAGGCTTACAAAATGACAGAGGTCTCCGGAGCACGGGCATCACATGGGAGGAGGTGGGGGTATCTTCACAGAGCCAGAAGACAACAGAGGGGGCAACCTGACACAGAACCAAAGGAGGTCCTTGAACCCTGCCACACCAGCCTGGGTGGAGGGTATTCTGTATACACTGTATACACTGGAGAACATGGAATGAAGTCAACTTACATCTTTTGTCTTTCTGGAGACCATCTTTTTACTTTCACACATTACTCATGGATTAAGAAGAAAAGTGGTGGCCATGACATTTTCTAACATTTTCTGGTATCCATTATCTTGTTCGCTTGGCCATACAGTGCTTCTTATACTCTAGATTTTCAGATTCTAGACAGTATGTTCATTAAAAGCAGGAATTAAAATTGACATATAGATATACATAGACGTGTGTGTGGTGGGTAAGGTGCCTGGCACTCAATATAAACACTGGATATAATAAATGAGTGAATTCCTACACACAGAAAAACACAACACACACAAACACAAATAAGTCAGCATTTTTCCAGGACCCAAGCCACAAGGAAGAAGATTTGGGGAGTGGGAGACTTCTGCTGCCAACCTCATTCCTGCCTGTATTATTTAGGATATAAATACCATTGCAGTAAAGGAGACTGAGTGACCATAACTTAAACAAAATAGAAGTTTGTTTTTCTCTCATATAACATGGCTGCTCTGTGGTATCACAACCCCAAGTTCCTTCCACCCTTCTTAGAGTGTTATCTCCATCTGCATGGTCCATGTAGCTCACCGCAGCATCTGCATCCCAGCTGATAGAATAAGGAAAGGAAGGAGAGCATATCTTCCCTTTCAAAAAGGCTGTATTTCTTGGGCCAGAACTTAGTCACATGACCACATCTAGCTGCAAGGGAGGCTGGGAAATGTAGTCTTTATTCTGAGTAGCTGTAGATCCAGTTGAAAAATAAGCATTGTCTTAAAAAAATAAAAAATAAATAAATATTGGGGGAAGTAACTGTCCCTGTCACACTGAAAAAATAAAAGCACAAAGATGTAGGTTTCTCAGAATCACTAGAAAAATTCCCAGTAAACCTAGGACTAGTACTAGGCTGGGTGCAGTGGCTTGCACCTGTAATCCCAGCTACTTGGGTGGCTGAGGCAGAAGGATGGCTTGAGGTCAGGAGTTTGAGACTAGCCCAGTCAATATAGTGAGACTCTCATCTCTAAAATATAAATTAGCCAGTCATGGTGGCACACATAGAACAAGATCCTATCTCTAAAAAGGAAGTAGCTAATACTTAGTTGGTCTCACAAGCATGTCAATCTACTAAGCAGATGTTCACTCCAGAGAAAGACAGTTCTCAACTTCTTACATTTGCCTTTTAAACAATTTACACTTTCCTCTATTAATCTCTGATAAATTTAAGCTTCATTTCCCATACCAAATTTGGGTTTTCATACTGCAGGTAGAATTTTATATTTTCTGACCTCTAGGAGAATAAATGCCCAACCTGATCACCACACATACAAGGCTAGAAGATGAATACATTTGGTGTGAAATCAGAGATCTGCCAGCATTCAGCTTGGGAAATAAGAATAAAAAGCCAAGGAGCCTGTCCAGAATAGGTAAGGTTACGAATGATCAGACAACCTAATAGTGATAATTAACGTAACCATAACATAGTTAAAATCTATGGAGGACTTACTTTGCATCAAATGCTTTGCCCACATCATTTTATTTAGAATTTTCTTTTAATGTTGGAGGGTGTATTAGTCTATTTTCATGCTGCTGATAAAGACATATCCAAGACTGGGCAATTTACAAAAGAGAGAGATTTATTGGATTTACAGTTTCATGTGGCTGGGGAGGCCTCATAGTCATGGTGGAAAGTGAAAGGCACATCTCACAAGGTGGCAGACAAGAGAAGAGAGCTTGTGCCGAGAAACTCCTGTTTTAAAAACCATCAGCTCTCCTGAGACCCATTGACTATCATGAGAATAGCACCAGAAAGACCGCCCGATGATTCAACCATCTCCCACCAGGTCCCTCCCACAACATATGGGAATTATGGGAGCTACTAGATGAGATTTGGGTGGGGACACAGAGCCAAACCATATCAGAGGGCTATCCTGTTACTAACCCTATTTATAGTCAAGGAAATGGGCTTAGAAAAAAGTTGAGGAACTTGACCAAGATCACACAAATACCAATTGACAGAGCCTGGACCTTAACTCAAGAATCTAACTCTACTGTTGGTACCTGAAATCACTGATCACTGTGGAGTCTCAATTAAAGAAAAAGACAGGCTGGTGGGAGCAGGGAAAAGCAACAAAAAAAGGCAAATACACTATAAGTCTGCCTTTCTTCATGGTCCAGGACATACAGACCTCCTGTGCAAATAATTCATAATCTTCCTGTGTCCAGCTATCACCAGACCCTCAGCTAATACAAAAAATGCAAGTTAGCTCCCTGCAAACTTGGTATTAGCAGTACTGCACGTAGCATTCTGCAGCCCAAAACCGTCCTATAAAATCTCCAGCAAGCCTTTGTCTCCTGGCAGTCAGCTTCTGTTCTGCTGATTTGCCCGTTGCTTTCTTGCAATGTATTTTCATACTTTCTCTAATAAATTTACCTTTCTTTATCTACAACTGTCTTGGTAAATTCTTTTACCTCCACGCCACTGGCCCAGATAATCATCACTCCCCAGCAATAATCTCTACCACTACGCTGATGGCAAGGAGGACAGTGAGCAATGTCCCACGCATCCTTCCCGCCCACCATCACATGGATAGGTATCAATCTTGTTGTTCATCCTATCTGGGAGTATTGAGTTTGGTGACCTAAAAAAGAATATAAAAGTTCCAACCATCAGTATTTAAGAAGTGATCTCAGAAATTTACTTAAATCTCCACATAACCTTTGTAAAACAAAAAAATCCAGAAAAAAATTGAAATATATTAAAAGAGACTTCAAACTTTGATGAAAATGTTTTGTAATTACTAAAGTTTACAAAATCTACACTATTGCAGATGGTCATATCTACAAACTACTCTTTTATGGCACTTACTGCTATTGGAATTCATCACGTAATAATTTGTGTAAGTTTACCTTGCCAGTGGAGAGAAGACTCCAAGAAGGTGTTTGTTCCTAAATCGGGAACAGAATAGGTGTCCAATAATTATTTACTGAGTGAATCAATGTTTTTCTTTCAACATATCTTTTTAGAATTATTTGCCACTTATTAGAAATAGTTAATATAAATAATTATATTATTAGATGTTGCTGTGCTTCAAAATTTGATACTAAGAGCTTGCACTATAAAAAGTTTTGCTTAATCCGTGTTAACTTATCACAGGAATTTAATATCCCACTGACTTGTGTGTGTCTGTGTTCCCTGTGGGATTTCATTTCTATTAATAAGTTTGTTTACTGGACTACTTTTTGCCCCCAACATTTCGTGTGGTCGGTTTTAAATTTGACACTGCTGGATATGAAGGAGTCAAGTCATTAAGAACTCAAACTGCTTTAGAACATGGTAATTATGCTCCAAGTGGAATGAACCGTGGATCCATCTGACTTTAATAAATCCATTCTTGAAAAGAAATCTCTTCTCCCTGAGATATATAATTAATGTAACATGAAGTCTAAAACTAAATTTCTCCCCAGAAATTCCAGGTGAAAATTTCAGGACACTTTTTACCCTAGAATTTTGATTCTTCGTCACATAGGCAGACAGATTCTTACTAAGTATGCACAAATGCTTAACGGGCCCAAGAGACTTTGACTTCCTTAAGGTTTTCTAAATGGTTGCTCTCTCAAATGCATGTTCATGTTACTGTTTCCTTTTGTGAGCAAGCCCTCCCTCCACAGCTCCCTCTCAATCCAGCCTTTCAGCTGCAGGATTGTAAAGAACTGAGGATTCCCCAATGTGAGAATTGACCAAGAGTTTATATACCCCACTACCTTTTATAGGTTGTGGGAGCCATTCGTCTCAAAAGGAGAACAGCGCCCTGGTGTCTTTGTGAGTTTGCATCAAGGGCTCCTCACTGAACAGAATGTTTGCTAGAAAAAGACATGCAGATTGGTTAGCTAGTTTTTTTCCATGAAGATTTCCCCCCACCCCAACTTTTTATTTTGAAAATTTTCAAGCCTACAGAAAAGTTGAAAGCACAGTTCAATGAACACCCATAAACCTTTCACAAAGATTAATCAGTTGTTAACATTTGTCATGTCCCAAAGAACATTTTCTACCTCTTTACATATCTGTATGTGTGTGCTTACAAATATAGAAACAGGGTCTTGCTATATTGCCCAGGCTGGAGTGTAGTGGCAATTCAGAGCCCCAAGCATGGCTCACTACAGTCCCAAACTCCTGAGCTCAAAAGATCCATGATCTTCACCTTCCTGAGTAGCTAAGACTACAGGCATGTGCCACACACCCAGCGTGTGTCTGTGTGTGTATGTGTGTGTGTTATTGAACCATTTGAAAGTAAGTTGCAGGAATCATGATGCTATACCCTTAAATACTTACTCTTATTTGTCCTAAAAAAAAGGATACTTTCCTACATAGTTATAATATCATTGTCATACCCAAGAAACTTTCCTTTGATTCAATAACATTATCTAATATACAGTCCACAATCACATTTCCCCAGTTGTTCTATAATGTATTTTACAGTTGGGTTTTTTTAGGGGAGTGCCTATCTGTATTCATTCAAGATTCATGCATTGCATTTAGTTATCATGTACATTTAGTCTCTTTTAATCTAATTCTACCTACCTCCAGCCCTGCCTTTTTGGTTTTGCTCTGTCCTTTCAAGTTTTTTGAAGAGTTTAGGGCAGTTGTCTGGCAGAATGTGCCCTAATCTGGTTTTATGTGATTGTTTCCTTGTGATTCAATTCTGCTTAAGCAATTTTGGCAAGAATGATACAATGAGATGCTGTTCCCATGAACTTTGAATAAACTCAAGGACAGGGATTTTACCAAGCCTGAGTGATCAGATTCAAAGAGGCTTAAAAAAAAAGGCATTTTTGAAGATGAGAATTTAGTAAGTATATGGCTCTTCATAGCAGGGTGAGATGTCCCAAGCAAAATGAAAAAATGGAGCTTCTAAGATTAGTGTCCAAGATTATTCATGACTTGAAAGAGGCCCTTGTTATGTCAAATCTAGCAACCTTTGTTGAATCATCAGGACTGAGATTTGGGCAGAGTCAACCTCTGCTGTTGTAAAGTGGATAATTACTAACTTGGTGCAATTTCAGGAATGCAGAGGCCACTCTTCCCCACTCAGCTACACTGCCTCCATTATGGGAGTGGTGACGCCTGTCTGCTATTATTAAAGATCAGAGCTGCTCTCTAATGACTATCTACTATATGTCAGGCCTTGTGCTTAGTGGTTTATTAATCTGTTCCTTACAAAAACCTCATGAGGTAAACATTATTATTCCCATTTCCTAGGTGGGAAAGTGAGGCTTAACAATGTAACTTCCCCAAGGACCCAAGCAGCTAATTTAAGATGTGAACCAAAATCTCCCTCCATAACTAAAGTTCCATAATTCCATGTTCCATGTGATGCTCCTCTATTCCCCAGTCCCAGTCTTACCTCATTCCCTAAATGGCTTTTCCTTCTCTCTCTAGAGCATACATTACACTGGACATCTGATTACCCCATTTTATGCCAATAGATCCTTCTACAAATGCTAACCATTATTGTGTGTGCCAGGTCCAGTTTGTGCCAGGCACCTTGCTGAATGCTCTACACACCCAAACTCATTTACTCTTCCCAAGAACCCCAGAAGGAAGGTGTGCATCAGTAATGTCCTGTGACCACTCTGATAGTAGATGGCAGAAAGAGAATCTGAACCAGATCTGACTTCAAGCCTGAGTTCCTAACAAAGATAGGAAGAACAAGGCAACCCCGGATGATACAGTAGCCAGACACTTGCTAGTAAAGGCCAGAACACTGACTCACTAAGCTCTGAACTCCTCTGCCCCCATGCTGCCAGGGGCACAACCCCAACAGACTGCCCAGCACACTGCCCTAATGGCCATTGACTCATCTGCTCCAACGAGCAAGTCACTGCACAAAACTCCTCCCCCACAGAAAGGTGTTGGTCCTCCGGCATTCAGAAAGAACCAGGAGCCAACATACCACTCACAGGAAGAAAACGCACACACTGTCTCTATTTGTTATTCCTCCTACACAAACTCTTTAAAATGATTGAGTTTAATAAAGGAAGATGTTTCCCTGCAGCTGTAGAGAGGAAATGTTCTAAAGTAAAAATCAGAACACAGTCTGACTAGGATCACTATGCCTATAGCAAGGATGTCCTCAAGCGGGGAAAATGAACTCGGCTAAATGCATCCAGTCTGTTCCTCTGGCCCTTCTAATGAGCAGGACCTGCAGAAGGCGAGGAAGGTTATGGTCGCACCCATAAACACCTCTTGGAGGCACCTGCCTTATCCATGCCCCGTTCTTTCACAAGTGCACCCCACTCCCGACCCCACTTCCCTGACAAAGCTGACAGCACCAACAGTAGACGCCTGTTAGGGCATCTTTCCTAGATTCTCTCCTAGAGACTGGTATTTAGCAATTCCTGCTCTTGAAGGTTCTTGAACTTAGAGCAGTAGAAAGGCCAGGAGGAAAAGCCAGTCTTGGCTGAGCAGAATAAAGCAGCCTCAGTGAGAGATGAGATGAGAGACAGACACGAGCCCAGGTGGACCCGTCACAGCCCCGTCTCAACACCGCCCAGTGAATCTATCACACATGCCTAGTACATTTGTCTCCCCATTTCCAAAATGAACATTCTCCTCTCTTGAAACCCCAGCCCACCCATGCCCGCCCTACCCTTCCTTTGAGTCCTGAATTGTATTCCTTATTGCCTTCTCCGGGACTCCTCTGTCATAATTATGCCCCCTCATGGATTATTCCCATGAACATAGAGTAATACTGCCCATCTTTTAAAAACAACCTCCAGCTGGGCACCATGGCTCATGCCTGTAATCCCAGCACTTTGGGAGGCTGAGGCAGGTGGATCACTTGAGGCCAGGAGTTAGAGACCAGCCTGGCCAACATGGTGAAACCCCATCTCTACTAAAAATACAAAAATTAGCCAAGTGTGGTAGCACAAGCCTGTAAACCCAGCTACTCAGTAGGCTGAGGCAGGAGAATCGCTTGAACCCTAGAGGTGGAGGTTGCAGTGAGCCAAAATCGTGCCACTGCACTCCAGCCTGGGTGACAGAGAGAGACTCCATCTTAAAACAAACAAACAAACAAAAACACACACAAACAACCTCCCTTTTCCACACATTTTCTTCTAGCCTCCACTTCATTTTCTGCTCCTCTTCAAAGCAAAGAGTTGTCTCTATTTACCACCTTCACATTTTAAAAAATTTTCTATTCTGTCTTCAGTCCACTTTAGCCAAGCTTCTTTCCCAATCACCTTGTTGAAGTCAAAATTAAAATATAGAGACAAATCTCTACAAGTAATGTTTTCTTTGGCAAGAAAGGATCCCAATGTGGGGTGTACACACAGTCTGGTTGGTTTTTGGTATGTCCAAAGAACAAATAGAAGGTTGGGGATTTTATAAAAAAGAGAGAGGATTGTTATGTGTGGTCCTGAAAGAAAGTTCATTGTGATTAGCAAAGATTTGGGGAGCTGGCAAGCTCCAATTGGTGGGCGAGGGTGGTGGGCAAAGTTAGTCCTAGAATTGCAGCAAGTTATCTTAGCAGCTGTAGATAAAACTGGTTTCAGGTTACAACCAGCAGTTTCAGCTGCTGGGCTTGCAGAAAGTAACATTTCTAGAGCAAGTTGAGCATGACAAGAATGACCCAATTCATATGATCAACTTTCACGACCCCATGAAGACTGGTGTCATTAAGGTTACTAATGGCTTTGATGTTTGCCTAATCTAAGGATCACACACTAGTCCTTTCTCACTTGGATGGCCTGCAGCATTTGACAAAATGATGATCATTTTCTCCCATGCAAGATTTGCATGACACTCCCTTCTCCTGGCCTTCCTTCTCCTTTTCTGCCTCCTTTTCCATCGCCTTTACTGTGTCCATCTTCTCTTGTTCTCCAAATATTGAGGGAAGGGAGAGTGAGGCAGGAAAGGAAGGAAAACAAACACAATGTTGCATCCCTGAGCTGGCTTTCTCTCAGGATCATGCATGGCCAGTTACTCCATGTCCCAGGACTTTTCGTCCAAGAGACCACAGGAATGACCACATCTGAGCACTGGCTGTCCAAGGAGAGGAAGAGGGAGGAATTTATCCACCAGCTCCCATTCCCCAATGGTCAAAAGTTTACTCCACAGGGTGTTAACTCCTCCTCACTTCTCAGTCACTTCTACAGAGGCATTGAGCACGTTTCTGTCATCAATAAGAAATCCCCGAGATGGAAAGTGACACCCACAAAAGGTCAGTGGGAGCAACACAGAGCCAGCCACAGAGGCAGAACAAATCTGCAAGGCCCCTGAGGCACGTGAGCCTGAGAGCACCTGGAGTAGCTCATGACAGGTGTCTATGACACCCCAGTCCTCTGTGCACAACGCCAGACTTGCCAACTTCACATTTCCTCATGAATGTCTAATAGGTATGTGAAGCTGAACGTGGCCAAAAGAGAACTTTTCTTCCTCTATTCCCCAACTTGCTCTTCCTATATCTTCCCTATCTTGGTCAGTAACATCTTAATCCAGCTAGTTGCCAACCTAAAAAGTGAAGGGTTACTATAGACCCCTCTTGCATCCTCACCCCACTCATCTATCAGTAGGTCTTGTTGGCTCCAGCTACAAAATGTATCCCAAATCCATCCACTTCTCCTGTCTATACTACAACCAACCTAACCCTGCCCATCACCATATCTCAGATAGATTCTGCTTTTCTTAACTGGTCTGCCTGCTCTTTGTCCCTCTAAAACACAGTCTCCACACAGTTGCAACCAGAGATACTTTCTTTTTTTTTTTTTTTTGCAACATCTCATTATTTAAAAATTTCAAGCATATATAGAAGTAAAAAGAACAGTAAATCAAAACCCCCACTACCCACCATTAACAAGCATCCAATCATGGCCAATGTCATTCACCTCTATCTCTAATTTTGAGGTAAATCTCAGATATTACACCATTTGGTCTATAAATGATCTGATTTTGCATATGTTTGCGTCTCTTAAAGATAGGAACTTTAAAAATAACCACATCTAAGGAAAAAATCAATAAAAATTCCAATTAAAAAAACACAAAGTGTTTTTTTTGTTTTTTTTTGTTTGTTTGTTTGTTTGTTTTTTGACAGGGTCTCATTCTATTGTCCAGGCTGAGTGCAGTGGCACAATCATGGCTCACCCCAGCCTCGACCTCCTGGGCTCAAGCAATCCTCCCTCTTCAGCCTCCCGAGTACCTGGGACTACAGGCATGTGCCACCACACCCAGCTAATTTTTGTATTTTTTGTAGAGACAGGGTTTCACCATGTTGCCCTGTCTGGTCTCGAACTCCTGGCCTCAAGCTACCCACCTGCTTCAGCCTCCAAAAGTGCTGGGATTACAGACATGAGCCACTGCACCTGGCCCAGAATGGTCTTTTCAAAAAGTAAAGCAGAACATGTCATTTCTTTGTGAAAACCTTCCCGTGGCTTCCCATCATGCTCTGAACAAAGCCAAACTCCTTCTTAAGACTGCTTTCACATGGCTCCTGCCTATGCCTCTGGTCTCATTTCCAGCCAGGCTCTCCCTGTCCGTGCACACCAGCCACCTTCGTTCTTCCCTGGGAGCCCTTATTCTAGTCGTTCTCTCTACCTAGGAGGCTCATTCCTGTCATCTTCCTATGCTTGGCTCCTTCTTGTCACTCAGGTCTCAGCTTATATAAGGACATCTCTTATCACCTGTGTCAAGTAGCCACCCAGCCCTCGCCACATGACTCTACTCTAATTCTCGCCATAGTCTTTTGCCCATGACATTTCCAGTGTGTCCTGGACAGGTTTACTCTTATTGTCAAGCATGACTATTAATAGCACCTCATTCACTCTCAAAAGTAGGCAACAAGGCTGGACACGGTGGCTCATGCCTGTAATCCCAGCACTTTGGAGGGCCAGGGTAGGAGGATTGCTTGAGCCCAGGAGTTCAAGACCATCCTGGGCAACATGGTGAAACCTCGTCTGTACAAAAAATACAAAAATTAGCTGGGTATGGTGGCACATGCTTGTAGTCCCAGCTACTTGGGAGGCTGAGTGGGAGGATCCCTTGAGCCAGGGAGTTTGAGGCTGCAGTGAGCTGAGATCACACCAATGAACTCCAGCCTGGTGACAGAGCAAGACCCTGTCGCAGAAAAAGAAGTAGGAAACAAATTTTATGATCACTCTACTTATAAGAAACTTATTTTTATTTGACTTTGACTAGCTTATCACCTATCTCCTTCTATGAGGATATAAGCTCTTTGACAGGAGGTCTCTCTGATTAGTTCTTTACTGTATCTACAGTACTTGGCTCATAGGAGATGCTTGATAGGTATCTGTGGAAGGAAGGAAGAAGGAGGGAAGGAAGGAAGCAAGGAAGGTAGGAAGGAAGGAAGGAAGGAAGGGAGGAAGGGAGGAGGGAGGGAGGAAGGAAGGAAGGAAGGAAGGAAGGAAGGAAGGAAGCAGGGAAGGGCATGAGGAAGGGAGGAGGGTGGGTGGGCTCAGGCCCTGACTTTTCAGTTCCTGGTTTCAGACATCTTTTGTAGTACGTACTGGGCTTCCATAATCTCCCGTTAAAATTCCTGTTTTGCTTAACATAGATGGAATGGTTTTCTGTGAGTTATAACCAAGCAATTCTTGACACCTGCTGATTTCTTTTAATAAATTGTCCACTTTCCTCTTCATGCTATACTTTACTTCTAGTGAATTGCTTTATTTAATAAAGAAAAAGAAACTTTTATCAGCACCATCCTTTTAAAAAGTGTTTTCTTTAATCGTAAGCTGTTGAGAAGTCTGGAATTGCAAACAAACAATCCTAATACAAGGTAATTCTTTCTGCTCCAAAATCTACAATAAATATTAGTGACACTGGCAATAAAGCTTCAGATCCTGATTATGCATGAACCCGTTTTTACAAAAACGTTTCAGTGGAAGATATAAATGCATTGTCAAAACAGCATTAAACCCTTGAAATAAGAGCCAGATTTTTTTTTTATAATTCAAGTATGTAAAGCATGTGTATTGCCATGGCCTTTGGGTCATTCCATTTCAGGAAATTCATGCTTTAAAATAGTCATTGTCAAATAAGAGCCATTCTTGGAGGAAACGAAAGGTTGGGTATTATTCATTCAAAGAGAACAATCCAAATATCAAAACTCATTTTGTTTTGTTTTTAATAGGGGATGCTGGGGGTTGGGGGTTTTCTCTGAACTTCAGATAACAGATAATGACAGGAATGTTGATTCATAGTGCACAATATTGAGAAAAAATAAATAAGCTCATTCCCCAAGTAACAGTAACAGTCTTTGAACAAAGAATGAGGAAGCCAAGCATGGAAGGAGATAAAGAAGTTTTACTAAAGAAATGTGCCCCATACCACTTCTCCAACCTCAGCTCTGCTCTCTTTCCCAAAAGAAAAGATTATATTTAACAACCAAAGAAAATTAGAAGATCATCGCACCTCCTTCCAGTAGCCCACCCCCAAAAGCAACAAGTGCCATTTCTGTAAGAAAGGCACTATAAATTCATTTATTTCATGAAAATCCATTGTACTGAAATGTGCTAGGATTTGGATGTACAGTGTGAGTAAAACAGACAAAATCTCTGCTTTCTTGGGGCTTGCAATCTTCTTGAACCCTCAGAAATGGCCCAAATCCCAGCCTATGTGATTTTTCCATCAAGGAGGCAGCATTCCATTGGCCCTATAGTCAGTCAAGGGGCCTGGGTGAAAATCCTGGCTTTACAGTTTACGAGCTGGGTGATCTCAGGACAGTTACTTAATCTCCCTATGCCTCAGATTCCTCATCTGTAAAACTAAGATGGTAATAACATCTACCTCATAGGGTTGTTGGGAGGATTACATGAGGTAAGCAATGTAAAGCAGTTAGATCAGTGCCTGACATAGATTAAGCAATATTTAAGAGTTTGCCATTTTTATCATTAGTACAGCAAAGTGGGATTGACCAAAAAGGTCTGTATTTAGAACAGTTAATCAATGAATATAATGCACCAAAACATCCCTGTACATAGTTTCCTGGTAGCCAGGCCCAGACAGGAATTATGAGGTTTCTTATTTGGAGAAACTGAATGGCTCCAGAGAAAAGACCTTGATATGGTTAGGCTTTGTGTCCCCACCCAAATCTCATTTTGGATTATAATCCTTATAATCCCCATAATCCCCACATGTCAAGGGAAAGACCAGGTGGAGGTAACTGAATCACAAGAGCAGTTTCCCCCATGCTGTTTTCATGATAGTGAGTGAGTTCTCAGGA
This sequence comes from Homo sapiens, assembly GCF_000001405.40. Lineage (NCBI taxonomy): Eukaryota > Metazoa > Chordata > Mammalia > Primates > Hominidae > Homo > Homo sapiens. The sequence continues at coordinate 93,204,712 of NC_000012.12, forward strand.
AATCTGATGGTTTTATAAGGGGCTCTTCCCATTTTGCTTGGCACTTCTTCCTGCCACCTTGTGAAGAAGGTACCTTGCTTCCCCTTTGCCTTCCGCCATGATTGTAAGTTTCCTGAGGCCTCCCCAGCCATGTGGAACTGTGAGTCAATTACACCTCCTTCATTTATAAATTACCCAGTCTCGGGCAATTCTTTATAGCAGCATGAGAATGGACTAATACAGACCTCCATAGGATAGCATTCAGAAATTTCTCAGTTCACAAAGCATTCAGCTCCTTAATTTAAAAAGAAGGAAAAAAAAATTTCCAAGTATTGCGGCCAACTCCCTGCTGCCAATCGTCCTAAAACAACTACCCTCAGAAAGTTAGCCCCAATGAGGTCTGAAGCATCCCCGCTCCACTCTCCAGCAGCTCACGCTTCATTATGCATGAAGAGCTAAGGGTGACCAGAACTTTGATAATAGAGAGACACCAAGAAAAGCAGGCATCTCATCAGAAACAAAGAAAACATAAGAAACTGAAGAGAACCTGAAGCCCCTGAAAGATCAGGGGAAGATATTGCAACTATAAAATAACATCAAAATTCTATGGGGACAAAAAAAAAAAAAAACCAATAGAGAACAAGAAAGTTTGGGGAGCATTAAAAATAAAATTGCTCAAATTGAAAATTCATTAGAACAGTTGGAGAATAAATTAAAAAGCACACACACATACACACACACACACACACACACACACACATATATATACATATTAGTCAACCCTGTTCCCCTCCCTTAACAGTGGCATCAAGAGTCTATCTTCCCTAACCCACTTTTCTTCCCTATCCCGTGCCCTGGGCTATATTAGAGTGCTCTTGACACTAGAGACATCTGGCAGATGAGGCTGGAAAATGTCCAATGAGGGATGGAAAGAAGGAGTGATGGCAGAAGTGGAGCCCAACTTCATACCTTTGCAGCCGCCTGGGCTCAGTTTCTGCTGCCCCTCCCTAGGTGCTCTTCCCCTCTGCATAGAGGCGACACCTGATGAAGTTTTCATAAGTACACAAACACTGGACTGGAATTACACAGACTGGTTGTGTGTCCAGGCTCTGCTATGAAGTTTCCAAAGAGGCAAGAAGCATGTCCATCAGAACAGCTATTGGCTTGCAATCTTGTTGTCACCATTAACCAAAAAGAAAGTATCAATTTTATTTGAATGGCCTTTGGCAATGTTGGTCTGAGAATATGTGGCATGAAATAATAATGATTACTATTAAATTGATTATAAGTACATACCTATATCAACTGATATATAAAAGAAATGATTGAGCCAGGCACAGTGGCTCATGCCTATAATCCCAGCACTTTGGGAGGCCAAGGCAGGAGGATAGCTTGAGCCCAGGAGTTTGAGGTCAGCCTGGGCTAACATAGTGAGATCCTGTCTGTACAAAAATTTAAAAATTAGTTGGGAGTGGTGATGTGCACCTATAGTCCCAGCTACTCAGGAGGCTTAGGTGAGGGGATCACTTGAGCCCAGGAGATCAAGTCTGCAGTGAACTGTTATAATCATAATAATAATAATAATAATAATAATAATAAACTGATAATGTGAAAGAAAAGATTAATATGTAAAGGATTGATCCAAGATCTCAAACATTTGATAGGAGTTCCTGAAAGAGAAAAGGAAGGGGATAAAATAATCAAATAAAGAACTTTTTCCAAGGTTTGAAGAACATAAATCTTCAGATTGAAAGAACTTAGCACAGAAGAAAAACCTATACCAAAGAAACAGCATCATGAAATTCTAGAGCATGAGACACAAAGAGAAGAAATAACATTCCTACTTCACACGATACACCAAAGTTGATGCCAGGTAGATTAAAGACTTAAACGTGGAAGTCAAACTTGAAAACTTTAAGAATAGAATATAGCATAGTATCCTCATGTCCTTAGGATAGAGAATGATTTTTCAAATAAGACATCAAATGTACAACATATAAAGAAAAATCTGTGGCTGAGCAGGTTGGCTCATGCTGATAATCTCAGCACTTTGGGAGGCCAAGACTGGTGGATTGCTTGAGCTCAGGAGTTGGAGACTAGCCTGGGCAACATGGCAAAACTCCATCTCTACAAAAAATACAAAAAAACGGCCGGGCGTGGTGGCTCATGCCTGTAATCCTAGCACTTTGGGAGGCTGAGGCAGGAGTTTGAGACCAGCCTGACCAACATGGTGAAACCCACTGTCTACCAAAAATACAAAATTAGCCGGGCATGGTGGCACGTGCCTGTAGTCCCAGCTCGGGAGGCTGAGGCAGAAGAATCACTTGAACCTGGGAGGTGTAGATTGCAGCGAGTTGAGATGGCACCATTGCACTCCAGCCTGGGCAACAAGAACAAAACTCTGTCTCAAAAATACAAATAAATAAAAATAAAAACAAACTAGCCAGGCTTGCTGGCACACACCTATAGTCCCAGCTACTCGGGAGGCTGACGCAGGAGGATCACTTGAGCCTGGGAGGTCAAGGCTGCGGTGAGCCATGATCGTGCAACTGCACTCTAGCCTGGGTGATAGAGTAAGACCCTATCTCAAAAAAACAACAAAACAAAAAACACCCAAAGTGACACATTTGACTACATTAACTTTAAAACTTATATTTAATCAAAGGAGTCTGACATGATTTGGATATTTTTCCTGCCCAAATCTCAAATTGAAATGTAATCCCTGATGTTGGAGGTGGGGCCTAGAGGGAGATGATTGGGTCATAGGCTCAGATCCCTCATATCTTGGTGCAGTCCTCATGATACTGAGTGAGTTCTCACGACACCTGGTTGTTTAAAAGTGTGTGGCACCTTCCCTCCCTCTCTCTTACTCCTGCTCTCACCATGCAACGTGCCTGCTCCCACTCCACTTTGTGCCATGATTGAAAGCACCCTGAGGCCTCCCCAGAAGCTGAGCAGAGGCTGGCACAATGCTTGTACAGCCTGCAGAACCATGAGCAAACTAAACCTCTTTTCTTTGTAAATTATCCAGTCTCAGGTATTCCTTTATAGCAAAACAAGAATGGCCAACACAGAGAACATATCAAAGCTGCGTGATTGTTCACTCATCCTTTTGTCCTTTCCTCCTGTACTCTGACTGCAGTTCTCAGCCTTACTTGCAGCAAGTGTAGCCATGTGATGACATAGTGGTCAATGAAATGCATCCATCTGGGACAAGGCACCCTCCATCACTTAAAGATACACAGCTAACAGGGCGTGTGTTTTGTTTTGTTTTTGTTTTTGTTTTTTTATTCTCAGTGTTCAAGACATATTTGAAGGGAGGAGGAGGTAGAGGTTGCCATGAGCTGTGATGGTGCCACTGCATTACAGCATGGGTGACAGAGAGAGACCCTGTCTCAAAAATAAAAATAATATGGAACTCAGAATAGCAGCATTTAACTGTTCCTAGAACTTTCTAGAAATGGTCATCATTCAACTTCAGCAACACGTATGCATTACTACTACTTCACACCAAAATCCCCATAGTTGCAAATAAAATATGAAAGTGCTTTGCAAATATAAAAGGTAACATAAACAGAAGTGTGCTAAGAGGAAAGAAGTGCTAAAAAGAGAGTGAAACCCACAAAAAACATTATTTTAATTTCAGTAAGAAGAAACAATTGCAATGTCCTTAGCAATTCACTTACCCTCACTTGTTCTTCAGTGTCTAAGTCTGTAACATGGAGGTAATAATAATACCTCCCTTATAGGATTGGCGTGACAATTAAATGGGTCAATAAACTTTGGAGCTTAGAACAGTGTCTGGCATTTCAGCATAATAAATAGTTTGTTTTTTTAATAATATTGCCTTAAAAATGTCAATGCTCACAGCCCTCAGTAAAATGAAAAAAAAAGAGAATGAATTGAGAGAAGAGGGGGCTGAAACATAAAAGGAGCTGGGCATTTTTTACAGGCAATCTGACTTGAAGCCTCTCTACAAAATTATGAAGCAGATAACACTGTGCCTGTTTTATAGATAAGGACAAAGAGTCTCGAAACTATATGGCTATTAAGTGTACTTCAGGCACATTTTCATTTCATTTTACTTTTTTTCCTCCTTTTATTTTATTTTTCCATAATTTATTGGGGTACAGGAGGTATTTGGTTACATGAGTGAGTTCTTTAGTGGTGATTTGTGAGATTTTGGTGCACCCATCACCCAAGCAGTATACACTGCACCATATTTGTAGTCTTTTATCCCTCGCCCCCCTCCAGTCCTTCCTTCGAAGTCCCCAAAGTCCATTTTATCATTCTTATGCCTTTGCATCCTCATAGCTTAGCTCCCACATATCAGTAAGAACATATGATGTTTGGTTTTCCATTCCTGAGTTACATCGCTTAAAATAATAGTCTCCAATAATAGTCTCCAATCTCATCCAGGTCACTGCAAATGCGTTAATCATTCCTTTTTATTTTATTGCTGTGTAGTATTCGTATACACACACACACACACACACACACACACACCACAGTTTCTTTATCCACTCATTGATTGATGGGCATTTGGGTTGGTTCCACGATTTTGCAATTGTGAATTGTGCTGCTATAAACATGTGTGTGCAAGCATCTTTTTTGAACAATGACTTCTTTTCCTCTGGGTAGATACCCAGTAGTGGGATTGCTGGATCAAATGGTAGTTCTAATTTTAGTTCTTTAAGGAATCTCCACACTGTTTTCCATAGTGGCTGTAGTAGTTTACATTCCCATCAGTAGAGTAGAAGTGTTCCCTGTTCACCGCATCCATGCCAACATCTGCTGCTTTTTTATTTTTTTATTATGGCCTTTCTTGAAGGAGTAAGGTGGTATCGCACTGTGGTTTTGATTTGCATTTCCCTGATCATTAGTGATGTTGACCATTTTTTCATATGTTTGTTGGCCATTTATATATCTTCTTTTGAGAACTGTCTATTCATGCCCTTAGCCCACTTTTTGGTAGGATTGTTTGTTTTCCTCTTATTGATTTGTTTGAATTCATTGTAGATTCTGGATATTAATCCTTTGTCAGATGTATAGATTGTGAAGATTTTCTCCCACTCTGTAGGTTGTCTATTTACTCTGCTGGCTGTTCCTTTTGCCGTGCAAAGCTCTTTAGTTTAATTAGGTCCCAGCTATTTATCTTTGTTTTTATTGCATTTGCTTTTGGGTTCTTGGTCATGAAATCCTTGCCTAAGCCAATCTCTTGAAGAGATTTTCCAATGTTATCTTCTAGAATTTTTATAGTTTCAGGTCTTAGGTTTAAGTCCTTAGTCCATCTTGAGTTGATTTTTGTGTAAGGTGAGATATGAGATCCAGTTTTATTCTCCTACATGTGGCTAGCCAATTATCCCAGCATCATTTGTTGAAAAGGGTGTCCTTCCATGGACTACTACACAGCCATAAAAAAGGATGGGTTCAGGTCCTTTGTAGGGACATGGATGAAGCTAGAAACCATCATTCTTAGCAAACTATCACAAGGACAGAAAACCAAACACCGCATATTCTCACTCATAAGTGGGAATTGAACAATGAGAACACTTGGACACAGGAAGGGGAACATCACACCAGGGTCTGTCGTGGGGTGGGGGGAGGGGGAGGGATAGCATTAGGAGACATACCTAATGTAAATGATGAGTTAATGGGTGCAGCACACCAACATGGCACATGTATACATATGTAACAAACCCACACGTTGTGCACATGTACCCTAGAACTTAAAGTACAATAATAAAAAATGATAATAATAAAAAGAAAAGGTTGTCCTTTCCCCATGTTACATTTTTGTTTGCTTTGTCAAAGAGCAGTTGACTGTAAGTATTTGGGTTTATTTCTGGGTTCTCTACTCTGTTCCACTGGTCTATGTGCCTATTTTTATACCAGTACCACGCTGTTCTGGTGACCACGGCCTTAGAGTATAGTTTGAAATCAGGAAGTGTGATGCCCCCAGATTTGTTCTTTTTGCTTAGTCTTGCTTTGGCTATGCATGCTGTTTTTTGGTTCCATATGAATTTTAGAATTGTTTTTTTCTAATTCTGTGAACAATGATGGTGGTATTCTGATGGGGATTGTGTTGATGGCTTTTGGCAGTATGTAGATTGCTTTTGGCGGTATGGTCATTTTCACAATATTGATTCTACCCACCCATGAGCATGAGATGTGTTTCCATTTGTTTGTGTCATCTATGGTTTCTTTCAGGAGTGTTTTGTAGTTTTCCTTGTAGAGTTCTTTTGACTCCTTTGTTAGGTATATTCCTAAGAATTTTATTTTATTATTTTTTATTTTTTTCAGCCATTGTAAAAGGGGTTGAGTTCTGGATTTGATTCTCTGCTTGGTTGCTGTTGGTGCATAGAAGAGCTACGGATTTGTGTACATTAATCTTGTATCCAGAAACTTTGCTGAATTCTTTTATCACTTCTAGGAGCTTTCTAGAGAAGTCCTAAGGATTTTCAAGGTAAACGATCATATCGTCAGCAAACAGTGACAGTTTGACTTCTTCTCTACTGATTTGGATGCCTTTTATTTCTTTCTCTTTTCTGATTGCTCTGGCTAGGACTTCCAGTACTATATTGAAGAAGAGTGGTGACAGTGGGCATCCTTGTCTTGTTCCAGTTTTCAGAGGGAATGCTTTCAACTTTTTTCCCCATTCAGTGTTATGTTGGCTGTGGGTTTGTCATAGATGGCTTTTATTGCATTAAGGTATGTCCCTTGTACGCCGATTTTGCTGAGAGTTTTTAATCATAGAGGATGCTGGATTTTGTTGAATGCTTTTTCTGCATCTACTGAGATGATCGTGTGATTTTTGTTTTTAATTCTGTTTATGTAGTGTATCACATTTATTGACTTGGGTATGTTAAACCATCCCTGCATCCCCAGTATGAAACCCACTTGATCATGGTGGATTATCTTTTTGATATGTTGTTGGATTCAGTTAGCTAGTATTTTGATAAGGATTTTAGCATCTATGTTCATCAAAGACATAGGTCTGTAGTTTTCTTTTTTGGATATGTCCTCTCCTGGTTTTGGTATTAGGGTGATGCTGGCTTCATAGAGTGAATTAGGGAGGGTTCCTTCTTTCTCTATCTTGTGGAATAGTGTCAAAAGAATTGGTACCAATTCTTCTTTGAATTTCTGGTAGAATTCTGCTGTGAATCCGTCTGGTCCTGGACTTATTTTGAAATGGTAATTTTTAAATTACCATTTCAATCTTGTTGCTTGTTATTGGTCTGTTCAGGGTAGCTAATTCTTCCTGATTTAAGCTTGGAAGGTTGTATTTTTCCAGAAACTTATCCCTCTCTTCTAGATTTTCTAGTTAATGCATGTAGAGGTGTTCATAGCAGCCTTGAATGATCTTTTGTATTTCAGTGGTGTCAGTTGTAATATCTCCTGTTTCATTTATTAGTGAGGTTATTTGGATTTTCTCTCTTCTTTTATTGGCTAATCTTGCTAATGATCTATCCATTTTATTTATCTTTTCAAAGAACCAGCTCTTGTTTCATTTTTCTTTTCTATTTTTGTTTTTGTTTTTTTCCATTTCATTTAGTTCTGCTCTGGTCTTGGTTATTTCCTTTCTTCTGCTGGATTTGGGTTTGGTTTGTTCTTGTTTCCCTCATTCCTTGATGTGTGACCTTAGATTGTCTGCCTGTGCTTTTTCAGACCTTTGGATGTAGGCGTTTAGGGCTATGAACTTTCCTCTTAGCGCCGCATTTGCTGTATCCCAGAGGCTTTGATAGATTGTGTCATTATTGTCATTCAGTTCAAAGAATTTTTAAATTTCCATCTTGATTTTGTTTTTGACCCAATGCTCATTCAGGAGCAGGTTATTTAATTTCCGTGTATTTGCGTGGTTTTGAAGGTTCCTTTTGGAGTGGATTTTCAGTTTTATTCCACTGTGGTCTGAGACAGTGCTTGATATAATTTCAATTTTATTACATTTATTGAGGCTCGTTTTATGGCCTATCATATGGTCTATCTTGGAGAAAATTCCATGGGCTGTCGAATAGAATGTGTATTCTGAGGTTGGATGAAACGTTCTGTATATATCTGTTAAGTCCATTTGCTCCAAGGTATAGATTAAATCCATTGTTTCTTCGTTGACTTTCTGTCTTGATGGCCTGTCTAGTGCTTTCAGTGGAGTATTGAAGTCCCCCACTATTATTGTGTTGCTGTCTATCTCATTTCTTTTCTTAGGTCTATTAGTAATTGTTTTATGAACTTGGGACCTCCAGTGTTAGGTGCATATATGTTTAGGACTATGATATTTTCCTGTTGGATAAGGCCTTTTACCATTATATACTGTCCCTCTTTGTCTCTTTTAACCACTATTGCTTTAAAGTTTGTTTTGTCTGATATAAGAATAGCTATCCCTGCTCGCTTTTGGTGTCCATTTGCATGAAATGCCTTTTTCCACCCCTTTATTTTAAGTTTTTGTGAGTCCTTATGTGTTAGGCAAGTCTCCTGAAGGCAGCAGATGGTTGGTGAGTTCTTATCCATTCTGTGGTTCTGTACCTTTTAAGTGGAGCATTTAGGCCATTTACATTCAATGTTAATATTGAAATGTGAAGTACTGTTGCTTTCATCATGCTCTCTGTTGCCTGTGTACTTTGGTTTTTTGGTTTTTGATTTTGCTTTTTAACTTGTATTTTTGTTTTATAGATCCTGTGTGATTTATGCTTCAAAGAGATTCTGTTTTGTTTTGTTTCAAGATTTAGAGTTTCTTTTAGCAGTTATTTTACTAGTGGTTTGGTAACGGTGAATTCACTCAGCATTTGTTTGTCTGAAAATGACTGTATCTATCTTTCCTTCTTACATGATGCTTAGTTTCACTGAATACAAAATTCTTGGCTGATAACTGTTTTGGCTGAAGATAGGTCCCCAATCCCTTCTAGCTTGTAGGGTTTCTGCTGAAAGATCTGCTGTTAATCTGATAGATTCTCCTTTATAGGTTACCTGGTGCTTCTGTCTCACAGCTCTTAAGATTCTTTCCTTTATCTTAACTTTGAATGAGCTGATGACAATGCCTAGGTGAAGATCTTTTTGTGATGAATTTTCCAGGTGTTCTTTGTGCTTCTTGTATTTGCATGTCTAGATCTCTAGCAAGGCCGGGGAAGTTTTCCTCGATTATTGCCCCGAACATGTTTTCCAGGCTTTTAGAATTCTCTTCTTCCTCAGGAACACCAATCATTCTTAGGTTTGATCATTTAACATAATCCCAGACTTCTTAGAGGCTTTGTCCATATTTTCTTATTCTTTTTTCTTTGTCTTTGTTGGATTGAGTTAATTCAAAGACCTTGTTTTTGAGCTCTGAATTTCGTTCTTCTACTTGTTCCATTCTATTGCTGAGACATTCCAGAGCATTTCACATTTCTAAAAGTGTGTCCAAAGTTTCCTGAATTTTTTATTGTTTTTTCTTTAAGCTGTCTATTCCCATGAATATTTCTCCGTTCATTTCCTGAATCATTTTTTTCCCTTGCACTGGGCTTTGCCTTTCTCCAGTCCTTCCCTGATTGGCTTAATAACTAACCTCCTGAATTCTTTTTTAGGTAAATCAGGAATTTCTTCTTGGTTGGACCCATTGCTGGTGAACTAGTATGATTTTGAGGGGGTGTTGAAGAGCCTTGTTTTGTCATATTACTAGGGTTGTTTTTCCGGTTCCTTCTCATTTGGGTAGGCTGTCTGAAGGAAGGCCTAGGACTGAAGGCTGTTGTTCAGATTCTTTTGTCCCACGGGATGTACCCTTGATGTAGTACTCTCCCCCTTTTCCTATCGATGTGGCTTCCTGTGAGCTGAACTGCAGTGATTGTTGTCTCTCTGCTGGGTCTAGCTGCCCAGCGAGTCTACCTAGCTCAGGGCTGGTACTGGGGGTTTTCTGCACAGAGTCCTGTGATGTGAACTGTCTATGGGTCACTTAGCTGTGGATACCAGCACCTGTTCCAGTGGAGGTGATGGAGAGTACAATGGACTCCATGAGGGTCCTTAGCTTTGTGGTTTAATGCTCTATTTTTGTGCTGGTTGGCCTCCTACCAGGAGGTGGCACTTTCCAGAAAGCATCAGCTGTAGCAGTATGGAGAGGGACCAGCAGTGGGTGGGGCCCTTGAACTCCCAATATTATATGCCCTTTGTCTTCCACTACCAGGGTGGATAGGGAAGGACCATCAGGTGGGGGCAGGGCTAGGTGTGTCTGAGGCCAGACTCTCCTTGGGCGGGTCTTGCTGCGGCTGCTGCCGGGGATGGGGGTGAGATTCCCAGGTCACTGGAGTTGTGTACCTAGGAGGATTATGGCTGCCTTTTCTGAGTCATGCAGGTTGTCAGGAAAGCAGGAGAAAGCCGGCAGTCACAGGCCTTACCAGCTCCCAGGCAAACCAAAGTACCAGTCTCACTCCCACCATGCCTCCCACAACAGCCCAAGTCTGTTTCCAGGTGGAGGGTGAGAAGGGCTTGAAAACTTGCCCAAGGCTATCTGCCTCCCAGCTGCAAGAGAAAAAAGCTTTAGTTCTGCCCTTGCCTGTGAAGTCTGAACACCTGATTCACGCCCTCCCCTTAGTTCTGGCCAGGAGGCTTCTTGCCCTGTTTAAATTGTTACAAAGTTCAACTAGAGAATTCCTTCTCCCTGTGGAGTTTTACCCTCTGCTCCTCTGGCCACCCTCTGGATGGATCCCTGTGGTGTCAGGCAGGAATGGGCTGTCTGGGGACCCAGCAAGCTCCCAAGGCCTTTCTGCTGCTTCCTCTACCCCTGTGTTTTGCTCAGCTCTCTAACTTGACTCAGGATCATGTAAAGTCAGAAGCTTCTCCCACAAACAGTACTTCAGTTTCTCCAGTGGGGGTGTGTGTTCGGGAAAGGAGGATCTCCCTTTCCCAATTCAACAGTTGGGGCACTCACAGTATTTGGGGTGTCTCCCAGGTCCTGCAGAAGCAGTCCACTTCTTTCAGAGGGTCTGTGGTTCCTCTCAGGATTGCTGGTTTGTTCTTGCAGTTGATCTGGAGATAAAATTCACAATGCAAGCCTCCGCATGCTGCATTTTCATTTTAAAAGGCACTACAAGTGCTTTACCTTTCAGAGAAGCCATATAATTCCATAGACACACTCCATTATCATATGCTAAAGATTATTTAAGCTGTTCATTCTTGCTAAATTGAACCATAATCAAACTGTCAAGAAGGCATAGAAACTCAAAGACTGCTGTTAAATCACCCTTTTGCCCCCTCATTAGCAGGGAAACTGACCTCAGATGTTTTCATCTCACCCCACAAGTGTTATTTCTCCAGCCTTTACTCACTGCCCCTTCCCTCTACAGTCCTGAGCCTAGGTTTCTAGAAGAAGAGAAGCTGCTTTGGATGGGTCCCTTCTCCCATATGTCCCACCCTCTCTCTCTATTTAATTTTGGCAACCTTGGCTAATGTCACCAGAGATGTGTCTGATTTTGTCAGTTTTCTCAAAGAAGCAACTTGCCATTATTGATAACTTTTATTTTATCTTTGTTTTCTATTCTATGTAATTTACATGTATTAAGTTTTTAGCCTTTGTAGTGTATAGTTCTGTGATTTTTGACAGGTACAATCATGTAGGCAGAACCATGAAGATATAAAGCATTCCGATTATCTCTAAAAATTCCTTACAACCCTTTGTTGTCAGCTCCTTCCCTCGCCTCCAACCCCTGAAAATTACCATGTGTTTTCTATTCCTCCAGCTTTGCCTTTTCCAGAATATCATATAAATGAAACCATGTGGCATATACCTATTTGAGTCTGGATTCTTTCAGTTAGCATAAGATATTTGAGATTCACCCAGTTGTTGCATGTATCAGAAGCTAGTTTCTTTTTATTGCTCAGTGGAGTTCCATTGTTTGGATGGACTACAGGCTGTTTATCCACTCACCAGTTGAAGGACATTGGGGTTTGGGATGTGATATGGTTTGGCTATGTCCCCGCCCATATCGCACCTTGAATTCCCACATGTTGTGGGAGGGACCCAGTGGGAGGTAATTGAATCATGGGGGCAAGTCTTTCCCATGCTTTTCTCCGGATAGCGAATAAGTCTCACAAGATCTGTTAGTTTTAAAAAGGTGAGTTTCCCTGCACAAGCTCTATCTCTCTTTGTCTGCTGCCATCCATGTGAGATGTGATTTGCCCCTCTTTGCCTTCCGCCATGATTGTGAGGCTTCCCCAGCCATGTGGAACTATAAGTTGATTAAACCTCTTTCTTCTGTAAATTGCCCAGTCTCAGGTATATCTTTATCAGCAGCGTGAAAACAAACAAATACAGGGTGCTTATGAATAAAGCTTCTATAAATACTTGCACACAGGTTTTTATGTGACTATATATTTGCAATTTGCTTGGATAAACATCTAAAGTTGGTATTAGTGGGTCATAAGGTAATGATATTTTAACTTTATAAGAAACTGCCAAACTTTTTCTAAAGTATCCATACCATTTTGCATTCCCACCAGTAATATTTAAGAGAGAGTTCCAGTTTGGGTACAGTGGCTCATGCTTATAATCCCAGCACTTTGGGAGGCCAAGGGAGGAGGATCACTTGAGCCCAGGAGTTCAAGACCAGCAGGCTCCATCTCTATTATAGTTAAATTAAAAAGAGAGAGGCTGGGCACAGTGGCTTACACCCATCATCGCAGCACTTTGGGTGGCCGAGGTGGGCAGATCACTTGAGGTCAGGAGTTCAAGTCCAGCCTGGTCAACATAGTGAAGCCCCGTCTCTACGAAAAATGCAAAAATTAGCTGGGTGTGGTGGCACATGCCTGTAATCCCAGCTACTTGGGAAGCTGAGGTGGGAGAATTGCTTGAACCTGGGAGGCGGATGTTGCAATGAGCCGAAATCAGGCCACTGCACTCCAGCCTGGGCAATAAGAGTGAGACTCCATCTCGGGAAAAAAGAAAAAAAAAAATTAAAGAGAGAGTTCCTCTGCATCTTCATGAGCACTTGGATTTTTTATGTTTCTTTTTTTGTTATTATTATTTTTATTTTTTATTTTTTTCTGAGACAGAGTCTCGCTTTGTTGCCCAGGCTGGAGTGCAATGGTGCAATCTCGGTGCACTGCAACCTCTGCCTCCTGGGTTCAAGTGATTCTCTCACCTCAGCCTCCCAAGTAGCTGGGATTACAGGCACCTGCCATCATGCCTGGCTAATTTTTGTATTTTTAGTTGAGACAGGGTTTCACCATGTTGACCAGGCTGGTCTCAAACTCCTGACCTCATGTGATCTGCCTACCTCAGCCTCCCAAAGTGCTGGGATTACAGGCGTGAGCGACTGTGCCTGGCCAGCACTTGGGTTAAAAAAGTTTTTTTTAGCTACTTTATTTTGGGTTTAGTGGTATCTCTTTGTGGTTTTAATTTGCATTTTCCTAATGATGCTGAATATCTTATAAATGCTTATTGGGCATTTTTATATTTAAGTTTCCTTTTGAGTTGTTTGCCCATTTTTTAATTGGGCTGTGTTTTTCTTATTTTCGAGCTTTAAGAGTCCTTCATCTATTTTGTCCTACAGCACATATTGATTTCCTGCTTCCTTTTTTATCCTCCCAGGGGCCACATCTAACATTTTTGAGATGAGCATACAGATTGTGTTTTGCCCAGAGCCACTAGTCACAAGGGAAGGAGGGGTCCAGATATTGATAAAAGATGGGAAAGGCCTTGATTGTACAGTAATCCAAAGTTTTCCACTGTCTTCATCTAAGTTAGAACAACACAGTGGGTCTATGATAAGAGAAAATAAAGAAACAACATGGCACAAAAGTCTTAAGGAATGGGCCAAGCTAGTGAAAGAAGTTAGTTTAGTAGCTACTTCACTCTGAGACAGGACCAGAAGGTACAATTTTCATTCTACCCTTTGCTCAAGATTAAGGATTTATTGTATGCCCCTCATCTTCAGTTTCAACAGGACTGATCTGATTGGCTGAGCACTGGAGCCAAAACAGAGAGGAAGAGGTAGCGTCCAAAGACGAGGAGACACTGGAAGGAGAGGAAGAGGAGTGCCCTTGCGCACACCAGACAGACAGCTCAGTATGTACTGAGCAATGATTTTCTTTTCTTTGCTTTTTTTTGGTTGTTGTTGTTATTGTTGATACAGGATCTCACTCTGTCGCCCAGGCTAGAGTACGGTGGTGTAATCTCAGCTCACTGCCTCCCTGGTTCAACCTATCCTCCTGCTTCAGCCTCCTGAGTCACTGGGACTACAGGCACATGCCACTACAGACTAATTTTTGTATTTTTTGTAGAAATAGGGTTTCCCTATGTTGCCTAGGCTAGTCTCAAACTCCTATATTCAAGTAATCCACCCGCCTCAGCCTCCCAAAGTGCTGTGATTACAGGAGTCAGCCACCATGTCCAGTAAGCCACCATGCCCAGCCTGAGTTATGATTTTCTATGTTGCAACATTATCTGGACTCCTTGTGCACACTTGGTCAATAGAAAGATTTTTAGGTAGGAAAGGCTTAGAAACGGTAATCTGTTTAGGAGTAAAAGAAAGAGCAGGAGGGGCATGCCGCTATGTTTGCAAATCTCCTCCCAAAAGATTACAAATATCAATACTCCATATCAAAGAAGAGAGCAGAGATGAATCTTTATGCTAATGGACTGTAATATCAATCTTCTAGCCATTCAGGACAAAGTGAGGATAAGAATTAGCTCAACTCCCCATCACTGTTTCCACTACATTTTTACTTTCACAAAGGAGAAAAATTTTAAATATTCTATAAATTATAATTATATACTATAAAATATAATTGTTATATGATAAATATAATATATAATTATAATATGCATATTTGTATATTTTAATATATGTACTCAATCACTGGCTTTTAACTTTAGTCAAATAATCGAAACCATCTTCAAATTTCTGACTCCATATTACTTACTTGACCTGAGAATATGTTGTGATTTTGAAGTACTCACAGCATCCAGGAAATGAAAAAAGACAACCTCAAATTGCCCAATCTTTCTATGGGAAACATAAGTAGTATATTTTTATTTCCTTTCTCTATGTCAAAAGAGACAATTAAACCTGCAATACAGAAGTCTGAATTCCTTCAAATCGACATCAAATTACTGTGCCCTAGTAAGTCACCAAATGTCTTGACCTCTGCAGATTTTTTGTTGACCCCTATACTTTGGATTATTTCCTTAATTATCAGAATTTACATAGGGCTGTTCCACATTGTGGCACTCTATGCAAGATGAGTGGTTCAGAAAACACATCATCATGGGTCATCGTTTATAATGAGAAGTAGATTAACCCAGGGGCATGCCATCAGATGATCTGCCAAAGGTACAGTTGACAAAGTCTTCATCAGTCAGTACTGATATAAATACCATCCTCCTCAGCAGATCATTTGCAATGTGTCTCTCAGAGCTAAATCAGTACTCTAATTGCAACATCAGTTAGGGGCCCTACTTGGTGATGAGAGGGGCAAAGATAAGAGGATGTTCTCAACTGAAGCTATTTATACACACCACGTAGTCCTTAATTATCTGTAGGGAGAGGAGGGAAATAAAGAGAAGGTTGACATGACTGAAATTGAATCCACCCACCGCCCTTTGTGCCACTCCAGCAAGAGAAAATTCTTACTAAGTAAGAAAAGTACTTACTTTCTAAGAGAAAAAGGTAAGAAACCTCCAGTTCTATGAGAGTACAGCCTACTCAGTTGCCAACTGATATTTAAATGCTAATACTCCTTTTTATTGTGTGAGTCTTACAACCATTCAAGACTTCAGGAGACTTAAAAAAAAGAAAACTTAAGTTTTATATCCCCAAAATTAAACAAGCAGTCTAGGTAGAATCTCCTTTTATCGTTATAGAAAAAAGTTGTGGATTAGAAAATTGATTCAGCTATTTCAGAAGTTTGGTCAGTAAAAAATCCAGACTTAAATACAAGAAAACTTCCTGGAACTCAACATACAATTATTGATAACTGTTGGGGCTCAAAAACCAATACCCCAGAATATGATGTTTTGCCTTCCTGAGCTGAAGAAGCGTCAGGGTCTCTCTGACCTTCCCTGCCCCCGTCCAAGCGAAGCTGAAGTTTCTTTAGCTGCCTAAGATGCAGACCCACCAAGAACAATTGTTTTTTCTTACCAAGATATAACCACACCTGAGCAGACCCCTTTATCATTTAAATTCCAAACAGAACTATTTACAAGTTAATCCTGCATTGCCCCTTAATAGAATTCCTCTTCCCCCTCTTCTATAACCTGTTTTACCAGGATCCAAGCCCCCATTCCTTCTGTAACCTCAAGATGGTTTATAAGCTTCTATACCACACTGAGTAGCTGGGCCTTCATTCTGAAGGCTCCCGTGTATACATGGCAAATAGATTTGTATGCTTTTTCTCCTACTAAGCAATCTGCCTCATGTTAGTGATTTTCAGTGAACCTTTAGGGGGCCAAGAGCCTATGGCCCCCACATTACATATTCATAAATTGATATATGCCAGGAGATTCAAAAGATAGTACAGGATCAAACATAAGGTACACTTGGGAAGAAATAACTGTAATAATAACTGCCTTTATTTAGTGCTTCTATGTGTCTGGGACTGTGCTAAAAATTTTGCCTATATTTTCTCAATAAATTCTTTCAGCATCTCAGTAACAGATACAGAATTATCCATGTATTACTGATAAGGAAACTATGGCTCAGAAGATTAATCAATCCAAGCCACATAGCATTAAAGGAGAAGTATTAATATTCAAATACTCATCTGACTCCAAAGCCTATATCCTAAAATACTACTCTTTATGGTACATATTTGTATCAACCTCATGGCTTATCTTACCCATACTTCTTGTGTTCCCATAATGTTGACTGACCTTTTTGTTGATACTGGCCCAATTGTCCCATAGAACTGATGTTTATGGTTTTTTAAATAAACAGAAATTGACTCTCCTTGATCTTAAAACTTGAAACTTACATTGTTTTATCTGAGTTCCTTCCTCAGGAAACTGACTCTCAGGTAAGAAACTGAAACTCATCAGATCACTGCATCCAGCCAGTGAAGATGCCAGACCCCTCATCCGTCATGATTGCTTCCTGACCCCTCCATGATTTCTGTTTTCCCCTACACAGCTACCTTCATACCCTGCTGTATAACCACTAAATAAACCCCCAATTTTATTTGGTTGGGAGAGATGGACTTGAGGCTGATCTCTCCTCTCTCCAGCTAACAAGATCCAAATAAAAAGTTTTCTTCCCTGGCAATACTGGTTGTCTCAGTGATTGGTTTTCTGTGATGTGAGAAAGGTGACCTAGACTGAACCCCTGGCATTTCAGTGACATTATGACCTTTGAAGGCATCTCTTGCCATTTCCCCATGCATCTTTAAGCTGTGAATCCACTGTGAACTGTTTAACTTTCTGGTTATTTCCCAGCTCCAATCTAACAATGAGGTCATTGTAGGTCTACATCTTTCCAGTCTGCACAGAGACTTTGCACTGGGCACCCTGACAATCCAGTGATTGTGCATGTGTCCTATACCTAGTCTCATTCCAATCAGCCAGTGGCTGGCAGAGAGGGAGCAGGAGAGGAAGGGTACCCTGCCCTTTTAGCAGGGGTTCTGTGTGGGCCAGCTTTCCTTGGCAAAGCTACAGAAACTGGGATTGACTTGGGTAACACAAATGCAGACTAGTTTGAAACCATCAAAAATGATACTGTAAAATAATATTTAATGACATGAAAAAGTCCACTAAGTTAAAAAATAAATATATGCATTTGTATATATGCACTCAAAGTCTAAAAGAATGTTCATTAAATTATTAACAATTATCTTGAGAACCAGGAACAATTTTAACTTTCTTTTTTATTCCTTTTTGTGTTATTTGAACTTACAATAATAAATGTATATATTTGTAAATGTTAAAAAATATGTAAATGTTTTCTCTTTTGGAAAGAAATAAGAATCTATGCATACCATTTGATGAAGCCATATTATTATTATTATTATTATTATTATTATTACTATTATTATTATAGATGGAGTCTCACTATGTTGCTCGGACTGGTCCAAACTCCTGGCTTCAAGCAGTCGTTTCACCTCAACCTCCCAAAGAGACATATTATTTTTTAAATTTATCATAAAAAATAAAGATGAACTTAAAAATATAGCCAGGAAAACATTCATTGCCATATTGGCAAGATAAAATTTCAAATAAAAGAGTCCAACAACACAACATTGAATAAATATATCCATCAATGGATATTTTGTAATTTTAAATATATTTTATTTTAACAGATATGACATGGAAATATGTGCACAATATATTAATTGAGGGGAAAGTTACAAAACAATAGAGTATGGATCTGTTTTATAGTTAAAATTCACGTTAAATATATTTACGCCTAGAAAATAATCTAAATTTAACAAAAAGTAGGTGGGATTATAGATTATTTTAATCACCTTAAATTTATGTATCTATATATTTTTTATTATCCTACAGTGAACCTTCATTACCTATGTAATTGTTAGAAATAAAGGTGGGGGTTTGGGGGCTTTATCTGGTTGGGGTTTTCTTTTCTTTTCTTTTCTTTTTGTTTTTTTTTATACAGATGAGGTCTCACTAAGTTGCCCATGGTGGTCTTGAACTCCTGGCCTCAAGCTGTCCTCCTGCCTCGGCCTTGCAAAACATTGGGATCATAAATGTAAGCTACTGTGCCCAGCCTTGGGTTTCTATTTTATTTAAATATCAATGGCTCTCATTGGGATTTAGGAGTTTTCTTTTTTGTCATCTCACTTGACCTTGCTGAGAGCACATGGGAAAACCATCAGCAGTTAAGGTTGTATAGTCCCAAAACAAAACAGACTAGACTAACGAGTGTACATTTTAATAGAGAAGGCAGAGGCAATTTCTCAATCACCATATTAGGTTTTCTTAATGAGTGTTCATGTATTCATCATTGAGTGGCAGATTGTCCCCAGAGCCTGGTTCTACTCTATAAAGTCCTGTGCGCCTCATATCCATGGTAACAAAATATCTGAGAGTTTTTATTTGCAAACTTGGCAGGCTGCTGGAAAGCAATGGTGAGGAAACATGAATATTCTAAGGTAGTACATTATTTCACAGTAGCTGTAATATGAAAATTATACCTTTATGAAAAGTATTATCTTCCTCAAAAAACTGAAAATAGGATTGTTACTGGTAGCTAATCCATATGGGTCTGCAGCAACCTCAATTCTTGCCACCACAGAAGAAAGAATTTGAGGGGCATAAGGCAGAAGGAGAGACTGAAGCAAGTTTTAGAGCAGGAGTGAAAGTTTATTAAAAAGCTTTAAAGCAGTAAAGAAAGGAAGGAAAATACACTTGGAAGAAGGCCAAGCAGGCAGCGTGACCTCCTGATTTGGGGTTTTATAGGTTGGCGTGCTTCCAGGATCTTGCATTACTTCTTCTCACTCCTGAGATCTTATTGGGAAGCTGCTGATCAGTTTCAAATGTTTTCTATCTATTAGGAGACTGCCTTTCCCTGGCAGGAGCTGTAACCAATTATTACTTTACAGAAACAGTTAACGATGTTGCCCAACACTCCTGGTGTGTGTGTGTTGCAGGGGCTGGGGCCCTCTCCTGCCCTGCTCATACCTCACTATCTTCCCACTGTAACAGGGTTACCATTGATTTGGCAGTTCCACTTCTAAGTACCTACCCAAAAGAATTGAAGGCAGGGACTTGAATAGATATTTGTACACCCATGTTCATAATAATATTATTTACAGTAGCCAAAATATGGGAGTAACCCAAATGTCCATTAGTGGATGAATAGATAAACAAAATATTATTTAGTCTTAGAAAAGAAGGAAATTCTGCACCTGCTACAACATGGATGAAACTTGAAGACATTATGCTAAGTGAAATAAGCCAGCCACAAAAGGGGAAACTGAGTATGATTCCACTCATCGTGGAACTAGCCCCTCACTCAACATTGATGTAAGATTTGTCCATGTGAATACCTGTAAATCCAGTTAATCATTTTAACTAGATAAGTCATATTCATAGAGACAGGAAGTAGAATGGTGGTTGCCAGGGGCTGGAGGGGAGGAATGAAGGGTTAGGGTTTAATGTCTACAGAATTTCAGCTTTGCAAGATGAAAAAGTTCTGAAGATGAATGGTGGTCATGGTTGTACAATAACATGAATGTACTTGCTACTGAACTGTACACTTAAAAAATAGCTAAAATAATATATTTTATGCCATGTAAATTTTATAATTTTTAAAGAAAAATCTATATAAACTAAAAAATCATTGTCAGGCATGTAATTTCTCATGTAGCTCATTTAGCTCTAAGATATATTTCAAAATTGTCTTCTTTCCACTTCCATGGTCCCTGGCCCAGTTCAGACCTTCTTCCTCTTATATGACCTGAATTACTGTAATGGCCTCCAGAACTTGGCCATGTCTTTCTCCCCTCCAACTCATTCCTTTACCTATCTCCAACTTTATCTTTCTTTTTCCATTTTATTTATTTATTTCAATAGCTTTTGGGGTACAAGTGGTTTTTGGTTACATGGGTGAAATGTACATTGGTGAAGTCTGAGATTTTACTACACTTGTCGCCCAAGGAGTGTACTTTGTACTCAATATATAGCTTTTTATCCCTCATCCACCTCCCACCCTTCCCTCTTCTTAGTCTCCAAAGTCCATTATACCACTCTATATGACTTTGCATACCCACAGCTTTGCTGCCACTTACGAATGAGAACATATAGTATTTGGTTTTCCATTCCTGAGTTACTTCACTTAGAATGATAGCCTTCAGCTCCACACAAATTTCTGCAAAAAACATTATTTCATTCTTTTTTATGACTGAGTGGTATTCCATGGTGTATATAGATCACATTTTCTTTATCCACTCATTGGTTGGTGGGCACTTAGGTTGTTTCCATATCTTTGCAGTTGCGAATTGTGCCTCAGCATTATCTTTCTATTATCCTTTCATTTACGAATTTTTTTCAGACCCACAGAAGATAATATAAGCACCCACTTACCTGCCACTCAGATTCTTAAAGATTATTATCAGTCACATCTTTTTTTGTATTCTGTGGTGACCCCATTTCTCTCCTTCCCCAGAGTAAAAACTATTCTAAAGCTGGTAAGTATCATTCTGTCCATACTTTTACACTTTTATAACATACATATATATGTGTGTATACATATTTATGTGTTGTCTGTACATGCATATGTATATATGTATATACTCATATAATATGTATATATGTATATGTATATATGTATATACTCATATAATATGTATATATGTATATACTCATATAATATGTATATATGTATATACTCATATAATATGTATATATGTATATACTCATATAATATGTATATATGTATATACTCATATAATACATAATATGTTGTTTCATGTGCTTTAAAAATCTGACACAAATGCTATTATGCACTATACAGCTTTCCTCAACTTGCTCCTTTCACTCAACATTGATGTGAGATTTGTCTGTGTTGGAACATGTAGACCCAGTTTATTTATTTTAACTGCTCTAGAGTATTCCACTGTAGAAACAGTACCATGATTTATTTATCCCTTCCTCTACTAATGGTCATCTAGGTTAGTTTCCATTTTTTGTTTTACAAACAATGAATAATCCTTCCAAATATGTAAGTTCCTCTAGGGTGTACACCTGGAAAGGCAATTACTAGATCTTAGGATCAATGAGGAGCATTTGGATACAGCAAGGGAAAACCTGGCTCACAAAAGGTCTAGAGAAGAATGTTGCTGGAATTGATTCAATGGCTAAGAGATCAGTGCCTTTATTAATCTTTTGACCTTCCCTTCATTGTCTCAACATGACTATAGCAGTTCTAAACACCACTTCCTCAGACCATACTCAAAATCAGGCAGTGAGGGAGAGTACATAAAACCATCCAGCAGACATCCTATTTCTCATTGGCTAGAAATGAGTCACATAGCAACCACTAGATGCAAGAGAGAATGGGAAAGTTAGTATTTGGGTTTTCCAGCCTCTACAGTGGGAGATGAGAAGGGAGAAGTTGTTGGAAATGGCTTTTGGGTACCCAACCAATATATCTACCACATCATTAAGTTAACTAGATATTGTGAAATTGCTCATTCAATATAGTTGAACAAATTTACACAGCCTCAAGTAATATATGAGTTCCCATCTCCCAAAATTCTGTCGATATTGTTAGATGCTTTATTTTTTGCCAAAATAATAGATGTCAAATTGTATTATCTCATTGTGGCTTTAATTTGCATTGCTTTAATTATTAGTGAAATACAGTGCCTTGTCAAATGTTATTGATTATCTAGGGTTCCTATTCTACAATTTCCTGATTATATGCTTTATCCCTTTTCCCTTGAGTTTTTTTGTCCTTTTTTTATTTTGTTAAAGAAGTTATGTTTTTTTAAATATAGTCTAGATACTGGTATTTGTCAGTTTTATGTGTTGCAAATATCTTCTCCCAATTAGTGAATTTCTTTTAGATTTGTATATAATGTCCTTGTCTTTATGATTTACATTTATTATGGTCTTGTTTTAAGAAATCTTTCTCTACTGTGAAGTCATAAAGACATTTCCTATATTTTCTTCCTTCATTTTTTAAAGTTTCTGATCTGACAAATAGGTCTTAAATCTCTCTAAATTGATATGTTCATATGAACGGATATTCATTTTTCCATGTGAACTATTTCAGCATTGTCTATTGAATAATTCACAATTCATTGATTTACAATGTCTTTCCATCATATATTATCATATATGCTTGAATCTGAGTTTATATGTCAGCAATAAATTTTTTAAATTGTGTTATTTAAATAGTCTATACCTTTACTAATTTTTGGTCTATTTGATCTACCAGTTTCTGAGAGAGATATGACAAAATCTCTTCCCTTTTTATCATAAATTTGTTGATTTCTACTGGTCAAATTTTTCTGTTACATATTTTGAGGCTAAGTTGTTGAATGTATGTAAGTTCAAATGTAGTAATATTTTCTTGGAGACATGTACCTTTTATTAATGTCTTCTTTAATCCCCAAGAATGATTATTGTCTAAAATTTTTTTGACTGATGGTGATATTGTTAATGCAGCTTTTTTTTACTCAGTATTTTTGTATAATTTTTTTCCATTCTTTGATTTTCAAATTTTTGTGTCATGTTCTAGAAGTGTACATTATATTCCTTTTTCCTCCCTATTTGAATGAAAACTTTATGTTCTGTTTTATTATTTTCATAGTTACCCTTTAATTTTGAGCAATACTGAACTAAAATTCTAAAATTAATCAATTTCCCTATTGCTCTCTGGAAAAAACTATTAGCTTCTTAAAATACTTTAATTCTAATCCCCCCTTCCATTTTCCATGCTATTATTGTCTAGCATTTTCATTCCCCCTTGCTTTAAAACCCTCTAAACATGTCTACGTTTGAGCAGTCAATACCCATGTAGACTTATCAGCATGTTTACCAATTTGCTTGTTTACCATTCTTGCATCCTACTCTTATGAGGTTATTATATCCAAAGTATATCCATTAGCAATTCTTTCAGCAATGGTTTGTGACTCTCAATGTTTCATCTTTCTTTGAAAATCTCTTTAGTTTGCCCTCATTTATAAATATTTTAGCTCAGTATACAATTCTAGGTTAACAATTATTTTCCCTCAACACTTCGATGGTATGAGTCCACTGTTTTTTGACATCTATTATTGCTGAAAAGGTACTGCTGTAAGTCTATTTACAACTATTGTTCACTAGTTGGTAGCATGTCTAACATTTTATAGCTATGAAGTTTTTCATTTTTGCCTTTGGTACTTCACTATGGTATGTCTAGGTGTGAATTTGTTCTTAGTTTTTATTAATGCTGCTTTAACCTGAGAAGATATTTTTCTTCAAGCTGGAAAATTCGTCATTATCTTTTCACACACTGCCTCTCCTACACTTTTTCTATTCTCTCCTGAAACTCTTATTAGATATCTATTGTACCATCTCATTCTATTCTTCGTGTTTTCATCTTAGTTAAGTAAATTAAGATATTTTCATACCTTTATTTATTTTTTTTCTTTCTCTAAGCTGTATTCTGGATGATTTCCTTGAATCTGTTTTCCAGTTCATTAATTTTCTCTTCAACTCTATGTAATCAGATATTAAATCAGTCCCAAATGGGTTTACTTTCAATGAACATAATTTTCATTTCTAGAAATTCTATTTGTATCCTTTTCAAATATATGAATTTTACATTAATGTTGCCCTATTCTTTCCTACACTTTGAATTTCTTATTATTAAATTATATTTATTTAATAATATTAAATTATATTATATTTATTATTATTAAAATATAAATATTTTAAAAATATTTATTATATTCTCACTCAGATTATTCTTTCATCTCAGTTTGTTGGGATGTTATTTTTCCTATTCATTGCATCTGTTAGTTATCTTACAGTGTTTTGTTTTTTATGTAACTTGTAAATATTCTTAGCATTTTGAATTCATTTTCACCTGGAATTGCCTTTTCTAAGGGAATGGTCTATATCCTGAGTTATGGGTGCTTATGTGCAGTACCTAATAAGAGGTGAAAGTTTCCCAGGTCCAGGAACAAAGTACAGTAGTCCCTTGTTATCCATGGGGGATACATTACAAGACCCCCAGTAGATGCCTGAAATTGCAGATAGTACGAAATGTTATATATACTTTGATTTTTTTCTATACATACATACCCATACCTATGATAAAGTTTAATTTATAAATTAAGCACAGTAAGAAATTAACTTTCTTTAGCATATATTTGGCTTTTCTTTGGCATATCAAAATTGCCAGCATCACTACTATTGGCCTTCGGGGCTGTTATCAAGAACAATAAGGTTTACTTCAACACAAGCACTGCAGTAATGTGACAGTCGATCTGATAAGCAAAGGCTACTAAGTGACTAACATGTGAGTAGTATATACAACATGGATATGCTGGAAAAGGGATGATTCATGTCCTGGGTGGGACAGAGTGAGATGGCATGAGATTTCATCATGAAGCTCAGGACAGTACACAATTTAAAACTTATGAATTATTTATTTCTGGAATTTTCCATTTAATATTTTTGAACTACAGTAGACTGTGGGTAACTGAAATTACAGAGAGTGAAACTGTGGATAAATGGGGACTACCGTATTACAGAGGTAGCAGGAGCTGGCCACAGAGTGTTGCAGGGGGCGGGGGGTCATCATATGTGCCTCCAGCCACAAGGTATCCTTTTTGGAATTTGACAGTGTATAAATATCATTACTATTATACCCTAGATTTTCCTAATACAGTCATAATTTCAGACATTGTCAGTCCTCATGTTAAGCCAGCGTTTTTCGCTGCAGGTTGTGAAGTATCAGTGGGTTGTGGAATCAATTTAGTGGGTTGACCTGCAGGGCTTTTGTTTTTAAAATGAAATGCAGATTAAAATAGAATAGGAAATGTCAGAGTTGCATTATGTAAGAGGAAGTGTTGGGATTTGAAATGTTTTGCAGTTACAAATGTATATGCATGTATGTGATGAAAAATGTATTTCATGCTGTGGGTCATGGTCAAAATTGTTTGAAAGCCTCTAAGTTAGATAATATGTCCAGATATGAGAATTAGAAAAAATGGAATAAATTATAAATTAGTTGATTTTGTTAAAGTATTTCTATCAGTAATCAGAGAAGCCAGCAAAACATGGTGGAATGCAAGTCCTTAGTGTTCCTAGTTTATCACTGCCCTTTTCAGAAGCATATTTCTTTCTGAATTCACTCCAACGTCTCCACAATCTCGATAGGATTTTCAGCTCTCTTTTGTGATAATCACGTAGAAGTATGTCTGTATGTGATTATCATAAAAGGAAAGCCTAAGTAGTAAAGAATATCAACAAATAGCAGATTGCTTTAATATTTTAGTCTACTTAAGTAAACAAGGATTTTTCCTACCCCTCTGGCTCTTTAAACTTATAAGCTTACATGTTGATATGCCTCAGAAAATTTTATCTTCTCAACCTCTTGGGTTAAGAGAGGCCTAGTGAGGACAACATGGGCGGTCGACACGCTTGCCCAGGATGAAGCAGTCAGCTAGTTGATACCATGTGAAACCATGGGACCCCGTGTTAACAAATCTAATTTTCAAAGAGAAATGAGAAATTTTTATTTTTATGTGAAATATCCTGTTTTTAAATGTTGGGGCCAGGTGCGGTGGCTCACGCCTGTAATCCCAGCACTTTGGGAGGCTGAGGTGGGCAGAGCACTTGAGGTCAGGGGCTCGAGACCAGCCTGGCCAACATGGTGAAACCCCATCTCTACTAAAAATACAAAAATTAGCCGGATGGCTGGGCACGGTGGCTCATGACTGTAATCCCAGCACTTTGGGAGGCCGAGGCATGTGGATCACCTGAGGTGGGGAGTTCAAGACCAGCCTGATCAATATGGTGAAACCCCGTCTCTACTAAAAATACAAAAATTAGCTGGGTGAGGTGGTGTGCGCCTGTAGTCCCAGGCACTCAGGAGGCTGAGACAGGAGAATTGCTTGAACGCGGGAGGCAGAGGTTGCACTGAGCCGAGATCACTCCACTGCACTCCAGCCTGGGTGACAGAGCAAGACTCCATCTCAAAAAAAAAAAAAAAAATTAGCCAGGCATGGTGGCACATGCCTGTGGTCCCAGCTACTTGGGAAGCTGAGGCAGAAGAACCACTTGAACCCGGGAAGCAGAGGTTGCAGTGAGCCAAGATCATGCCACTGCACTCCAGCCTGGGTGACAGAGCGAGACTCCATCTCTAAATAAATAAATAAATAAGTGTTGGAAATTTATTCAAAATAATTTCAAACACTGTGAAAGACAATGTGTCCACAGGCAGCCCCATTTGTGATCTCTTCCCCCAGAAGCATACTAGATAAAACTTCACAACGATTACTCCTCAGAGCCTCCCTAACTTTACCCCATTCTCACCTTCCCTCCCTCACCCTCACGTCAACTGCTCTCCACTTTGAGTTACTAACGCAATTGATATGTGCCTCTGTTACACTGCTTATGACATTATATGGTAGTTATGTTGTTGCTGTTTGCTGTTGTTTTCTTTTAACATATCCATCAGCTCTGCTAAAAAATAATTAATAATTCAATGTGGAATCCTGAGGTTGGGGCTGTCATAGTTTGAGGAAATCAGTTTGAATCCCAGCCCTGATGAGACAACTTTGGGTGGGTTTTCACATCTAAAATGTGAGTGAATTATAATAATGGATAACATGGTTGTTGCATTGTCAGCCT
Source organism: Homo sapiens (assembly GCF_000001405.40). Classification (NCBI taxonomy): domain Eukaryota; kingdom Metazoa; phylum Chordata; class Mammalia; order Primates; family Hominidae; genus Homo; species Homo sapiens. The sequence goes on from NC_000012.12 coordinate 93,231,950, forward strand.
TGCAGGAGAAGCCATCACCTCGAATTCACATGTGCAGGGGACACTGCAATAGAACTTTCTTTGCCTTGATGTAAACTGATGTCAATTGGACAGATGTTTCTTGGATACCATCTATTCCCTTTTGCTGCAGCCTCTTAATGGCCCTCTCAAGCTTCTCAAACTAGGCATGTTCCATATGCTGGGAAAAGTCATGCTCTGTTTGACAGTCACCTTCCGAGGGCCTCTGATAGCAGAACTCGGTGAGGATTATGGAGATAGATTGATGGGGAGATCAGCCATCTTGCTGCCACACACACCTTGACAGAGAGATTTACTGCCTCTCCAATATCGCTTCCGAATCAACTTTTTTTTTTTTTTTTTAATGGGTTCTCACTCTGTCGCCCAGGCTGGAGTGCAGTGGCACAAACATGGCTTACTGCAGCCTCAGCCTCCTGGGCTCAAGGAATCCTCCCACTTCAGCCTCCCAAGTAGCTGGGACTACAGGCATATGCCACCACACCCAGCTAATTTTTGTATTTTTTGTAGAGACAGGGTTTCACCATGTTGCCCAGGGTGGTCTCAAACTCCTTGGCTCAAGTAATCCACCAGCCTCAGCCTCCCAAAGTACTGAGATTACAGGCCTGAGCCACTGCACCCAGCCCAAATCAATTTTTGCTGTTCATTCCCAAGAGGAGAAAACATTAAAAGGTTTTCCTTTTTTCCATTTTTCCTTTCTTTTCCCCTCAACCTCCCTTCTTCACCCTTATACCATCCTCCTTCCTTCTGGCACTGGTTCCCCCTCAAGCAAAAAGATAACGTGTACCTCCAGGATTCTTGATAATCAAACACCATATGATTTCTATCAGCTGAATGCCTGGCAAAGCAATACTTCCCTCATCAAAAATTAAAACTGGAGTGGCATTTACTTTCCTCCAATATCACCTAAGAAGTTATAGTAGGACACGAAGCCAGAAACTTCTCAATCTCAGCTTTTAGTTGAGATTATTTTGCCCATTGGATTATGGAGCTCTTTCAATGGTGAAGTTAGTAAATTTAAATTATCGGGAAATTAACCTTTAACCCCATTGAAATGGTCAGAGTAATTCTCAATCTACAGAAGGAAAAAACAAAACATGGCAACTGAGTGATTTGTTCTATTACAAATCCTGTACAAGGAATAATTTGGAAACTGGGTGGCTTGTTCCAACTGACTATAAAAGTTGAGCAAATAGTCAAAATGCCTATTATGCTAATTTTTCTTTTTTTCTGGATTCTATGCATAAGGCCAGTGTGAACTTAAAGCTCTAGTTCTTTCATGCCTGTAATAAACCAAAAGTTTCTGCTCAGAGCAGAGTACAGAATTAGAATTGCCCATTTGTCCTTTTTTACTATTCTTTTAAGACTTTTGCAGGTTCACAAATGATATAACAGGACACTCATGAACGCTGAGCTACAGCAACAGAGACACATGTGTATCTGTAGTCAGACCTTCCCACAAGGCTTCAGGAAGAAACCTTGAGTGCAGACTGATTTTTTTAAATTAAGATTATGGGTAGTAGGCCAGGCGTGGTGGCTCACGCCTGTAATCCCAGCACTTTGGGAGGCCAAGGTGGGTGGATCACAAGGTCAGGAGTTTGAGACCAGCCTGATCAATGTGGTGAAATCCCATCTCTACTAAAAATACACACAAAAAAAATTAGTTGGGTAGCGCGCACCTGTAATCCCAGCTACTCAGGAGGCTGAGGCAGGAGAATTGCTTCAACCCGGGAGGCAGAGGGTGCAGTGAGCCAAGATTGCGCCACTGCACTCCAGCCTGGGGCAACAGAGCAAGACTCTGTCTCAAAAAAAAAAAAAAAAAAAAAATTATGGGTAGTGGGTGGAATATTGAGAGTTTATATGAGCCAGGCACTTTCTAGATGCTTTATAAGGTCCCATCATCTTCACAACAACTCCAAAAGGTAAATACTAGCATTATTTGCATTTTGCCAGTAAAGAAAATGAGGCATAGGGAGGCTGAAAGGCCCCTCTACTATGTGTCTGAATTGGAACCAGGAAGGCCCATTTCAAAGCCCACAATCTTGAACACTCCGCAGGCTAAAGCCTCAGAACCATGTCTTTCTCTCAATCTGGTTGGTTAGTGATGCAAGAAAATGGATAGTCACATATACCTTTGTGTCATTTATATTCCTTTTGTGGAGAAATATGCTTGCATTTATTTATGACAAAAATCTGGCTGGGTGCGGTGGCTCACGTCTGTAATCCCAACATTTTGGGAGGCTGAGGTGGGCAGATCACCTGAGGTCAGAAGATCAAGATCAGCCTGGTCAACATGGTGAAACCCCATCTTACTAAAAATACAAAAATTAGCCAGGCATGATGGAACATGCCTGTAATCCCAGCTACTCAGGAGGCTGATACAGGAGAATTGCTTAAACCAGGGAGGCAGAGGTTGCAGTGAGCCAAGATTGCACCACTGGCTCTCCAGCCTGGGCAATGGAGTGAGACTCTGTCTCAAAAAAATAAATAAATAAACATAAAATAAAGTAAAATAAATAAATAAATAAAAATTAAAAAATCTAGAGTGGCTAACCTAGATGGAAGTTTGCCTGTGGACACACGAAAGGGGGCTGGCCACTCCATGGTTTTAGGCAGGTTTCTCTAAGGGGACAAGGTTTGAGAAAAGCTCTCAACAAAGAGAAGGATGGGGGTTGGCAGATGTGGAAAAAGAGCTTCCTCTTGCCTGTTCCTGGCACCTCGGCCCCAACCCAGATGTAGAGAGCTTGACTTCAGAGACTGCTGCCAACCAGGCAGGAATGGGGCCAGGGGTGACAGCTGGCTTGGGAAAGGTGGAGGCTGCCCAAACTTTAGGAAAACTCTTTATCTTGGCAATGGCAGGTCTTCCCATTCATCATGGAAAGGTAAATATAGGAAGCCATGAGATAACCATCTGCTAATGAGGGTTTACTTTACTAAGGCAGTTCTTACTTACAGATCAATCCCTGGCAAGTAGTTGGTATTTCCCATTGTTAGGGAAAATAGATTTGTCCTCCAAGATACTCTCAATACTTCAAATCTGACACTAAATAAAAGAACAAACAGTGTTTTCTATGCTCACACTCAGCACAGAACACTTCTGTGACCAGATGTGTGGCCTGTTCCCATGCCAGACAATTCTCCAATTCCCACGCCAGACAATTGTAGGACAACTGGGTGTCCTACAATTTAATTCAATTCAGACACTATGTACCTGGAAGTAGCGTCAGATCCCACAGGTTCAGGGCTCAGTACCACAAGACTTCTCCCCACCTCTCCCCCACACTTCAGACACCAATCATGAGCCCAAGTTGTCACTGGTGCCTCTGACTGATTGGCTGTAAATCAGAGCTTCCCAGAACCCATCTCAGGTTCCATCGTTTCCTAGAATGGCTCACAGAACTCAGAAAAACATTTTGCTTACTAGACTACCAGTTTATTACAAAGGGTACTGATAGGGACAGGAGGCAGAGAAATTCTAGGCAGAAAAGGGCAGGGTCCCTGGTGAAGCCCCACCTTCAAGCATGGAACCATAACCTAAAGTGAAAACGTGCATTCCTGCTTTCCCGCTCAAATGTTGCCTTTTCCAAAACCACACACGGCCCTCTCCACCCCCCATCCTGTACCCATAAAAACCCCTAACCCAACTGGTGGAGGGCAGAGAAGGGGAGAAGAGAAGAAGCAGATGGACGTCAGAGACTGCGGTTGCACATCAGAGAGAAGCAGCTTGACTTTAGAGGGACAGCTTGACGGTGTTGCTTCAGAGAGGAGTCCAGCTGGGTATGGCTGTACTCCAGGGGAAGATCACCTTCCTGCTCCATCCCCCTTCCAGCTTCCCTTCCCACTGAGAACCACTTTCATTGGCAATAAAATCCTCCACATTCACCACCCTTCAATTCGTTCATGCAACCTGAGTTTTCCTGGACACCAAACAAGAGCTTGGGTGCCACAAGTGCAGACACTAAAGGCTGTTATGCTGATCCTCTGCCCTCATGAATAGGTAGAGGGCCCACTGAACTGTTTAACACTTAAGGCATCTGTGGACAGCAATGCTAAAAGACCACTGTAACACACGCCCTCTGGGGCTTCATGGGTCACAGGGACCACACCCCCTCTCCGCCCAGATGCTGTCACAGGGCCTCACAGAGTTTTGCTCCTGCTGGCGCCCAAAAACGCTTACTCCAGCTCCTGCACCCGCTCACCTGCATGCTCCCCCTCCCTCAAGGGGTTAAGAGCTGCAGGCTGAGTAAGGGAAGCACCCCATCACAAGGGTCAAGGGAAATTTCTTGTCTCAGTACAACTCAGAAACAGCCAGATGGAACAGATATGTTGCCCTTGCATATGGGAAGATACTGGACACAGGGTGCAGAGCTTCCTTGCCCTCTCCAGGTATGCCACCCACCAGGCACCTCCGCAAGGTCAGCAACCCACAAACTCTCTGAGCCCATCCTTCTGAGTTTTTAAGGAAGCTTCATTACTGCATAGGCATGATCGATTACATCACTTGCCATCAGTGATCAACCCCCTCAGCCTTCAGCCCCTCTCCCCTTACCTGGAGGTAAGAGTTGAGTGGTGGGGCTGAAAGTCCCAACCCTCTAATCACATGATTGTTTCCCCTGGCAACCAGCCACCCTACCTCCACCCCACCCTGCTTGTCCAGAGGCCATCCAGAAGCCCCCAGCCTTCAGTCATCTCATTAACATACAAAAAGACACTTATCACTAAGGAAATTCCAGGATATTTAGTTAGTTAGTTAGTTAGTTTTTGAGACAGAGTCTCACTATGTTGCCCAGGCTGGAGTGCAGTGGCATAATCTCGGCTCACTGCAACCTCCATCTCCTGGGTTCAATCGATTCTCCTGCCTCAGCCTCCCAAGTAGCTGGGATTACAGGTGTGCACCACCATGCCCAACTAATTTTTGTATTTTTAGTAGAGACAGGGTTTCACCATGTTGGCCAGGCTGGTCTCAAACTCCTCAAGTGATCTGCCCACCACGGTCTCCCAAAGTGCTGGGATTACAGGCATGAGCCACCACACCCAGCCAATTCCAGGGGTTTTAAGAGCTGTCTGCCAGGAAATGGAGGCAGTGACCAAATATATTTTTGTTACTATATCACACCATGTACATTTTTAAAGGCCTGAGTGTCATTTCTAAAGAAAGGAGGGGGTAGTAGGGGCTGTCAGAAGTGGGTGCAACATTCTAAACACAGTTGCCCTCACTGGCATTATAAATCATTGCTGTTCATTTTTAAATAACTGTGCACAAGAAAAAAAAACAGCTTTAGAAACCTTTACAAATTTAGGTAAACTTGTCTGGAGTTTTTGGTTGTTTCGTTTGTGAAAAGCTGTTTTCACAATCCCAAGCATTGATAAATGAAAGCTACAGCATGCCTGCATAACCCAGGAAGGCTCTGGACAGATGACCTAGCTGAGAATGAGCCAGCACTTGTATCCACAGTTTCTACCTTCTAAAGATAGAAATAACTGGGCACGGGGCAGGGAAGGGTGTCCCACAGGGACATTTTGACCAATGCTAAAGAAATAAAGAGGACAGGAGCCCCCACCACAAGTTCAGCCAGATTCAGCCAGATGAGAATGGTAAGTGGGACTTCAGGGGAGCCAGAGCCAACAAGAGAGAAGTCCTCGGTCATGAGGGCATGAAATCAGAGGGACACCTTAGGGTGGCCTATTGGCCAGCTTTCAGTGTCCCATTGAAAAAGCATGGGTTGTTCCAAGCCACTGAGCAGCTGCCCTAGGGAGCATTCAGATACTTGCCCAATAGTCCACAGGGTGACCCACATTTTTGTTGCTGTTGTTGTTCTTTCAAGAGGATTGAGCAAGGCAGTCGACTGACAACTTGAAACCCAGCCCAGCTCACTGGCCTCATGGGGGTAGACCAGCCTGCTTTGTGTAGTACATCCAACTCTAAACTAGATTTCCTTGCTTCCTACTGGGCCAGTCCAATGTGATGCCCATGTCTTACAGTCTTCCAATAGTTTTAAAAAAAAGAAAATGGAAACAAAGGAAGGAAGGAGGGAAGGAAGGAGAGAAAGAAAGGATGGACAGACAAGCTGGATTTCTGCACCTAAGTATTCCAGTTAGGAGACAGGCCAAAGGCTGGGCTTACTTTACCCTCAAGACAATCTGTAATTGCCCAAGGGGTTCAGCTTACCCACTGCCTGGACAGAGTTAATTTCTCAAGACAGGGGGATTGCAATAGAGAAAGAGTAATCCATGTAGAGCCAGCTGTGTAGACTGGAGTTTTATTATTACCCAAATCAGTCTCCCTGAGCATTCAGGGAGCAGAGCTTTTAAGGGCAACTTGGTGGGTGGGGGGTAAGGCAGTGAGCCAGGAGTGCTGATTGGTCAGGGATGAAATCATAGAGAGCAGAAACTGGCTTCTTGGCTGGGCACGGTGACTCACGCCTATAATCCCAGCACTTTGGGAGGCTGAGACAGGTGGATCATTTGAGGTTAGGAGTTCGAGACCAGCCTGGCCAACATGGCAAAACCCCATCTCTACTAAAAATATAAAAATTAGCCAGGCATGGTGGTGCGCACCTGTAATCCCAGCTACTGGGGAGGCTGAGACAGGAGAATCACTTGAACCCAGGAGGCAGAGATTGCAGTGAGTTGAGATTGCACCACTGTACTCCAGCGTAGGTGACAGGGCGAGATTCTGTGTCAAAAAAAAAAAGAAGAAGCCAGCTTCTTGCACTGAGTCAGTTCCTGGGTGGGGGCCACAAGATCAGATGAGCCAGTTTATCAATCTGGCTGGTGACAGCTGATCCATCAAGTGCAGGGCCTACAAAATATCTCAAGCACTGATCTTAAGAGCAGTTTAGGAAGAATCAGAATATTGTATCCTCCAGCTGCATAACTCCTAAACCATAATTTCTAATCTTGTCGCTAATGTTAGTCCTGCAGAGACAACCTAGTCTCCAGGCAAGAAGGAGGTATGCTTTGGGGAAGGGCTGTTGTCATCTTTGTTTTAAACTATAAATTATAAACTAAGTTTCTCCCAAAGTTAGTTCAGCCTACGCCCAGGAATGAACAAGGACAGTTTGGAGGTTAGAAGCAAGATGGAGTCAGTTAAGTTAGATCTCTTTCACTGTCTCAGTCAAAATTTTGTAAAGGCGGTTTCAAATCCTATGAAGGAAATACTATTCCTTTTGTCTACAGATAAGAACATCAAGGCACAGAGTGCTTAAGTAATCTGCCTCAACCTGTCAATATTTTTTTAAAAGTCTATGTGGCTCTAGAATCCAGATGTTTAAACACTATCCTGTCCTCCCTCTCAATTAGATGATTAAAGTGGTTTGACAGTACCTGCTTTATAGAAAGAGTTCAATAAATATTGGCTACAATTATTATTCTCCTTTTATACATGGACCTTCATATTTTAGTTAAAATTATCAGCTAAGATTATCAGTTAATTAAAACATTTAAAATAATAATATAATAATTTGTCAAGTCATATTTCCTAGGAATTTCTACTAGGTTTAGGAAGTATCTCTGGTAGCCAGCCTCCAAGATGGCCGCCAACAATCCCTGCCTCCTGGTATTCACACCCTTGTATGGTCCTCTCCCATATGGTATCAGGGTTGATCTGTACAATCAATGGAATGCCACTTCTGAGACTAAGTTATAAGAAATTGTGACTTTTGCCTTTCTCACTTTCACAATAAGATCCCTAACTCAGGTGGGATAAGTTAGCTGCCATGTTGTGAGTAGCTCTATGGAAAGGCCCCTATAGTGAAGAACTGAGGCCACCTACCAACAGCCATGTGAACGGGCCATCTTGAAAGTGGATCCTTCCCCAGTCAAGCCTTCAGATGGGCACAACCCAGGAGAGACCCTGAGCTAGAACTACTCATGTATTAGTCCATTTTCATACTGCTATGAAGAAATACCTGAGACTGGGTAATTTATAAGGCAAAAAAAGTTTAACGAACTCACAGTTCCACATGGCTGGGAAGGCCTCACAATCATGGTGGAAGGCAAAGGAGGAGCAAAGGCACATCTTACATGGTGGCAGGCAAGAGAGCGTGTGTAGGGGAATTGCCATTTATAAAACCATCAGATCTAGTGAGACTTATTCTCTATCATAAGAACAGCATGGGAAAACCTGCCTCCATGATTTAATTACCTCCCACCAGGTCCTTCCTACAACATGTGGGGATTATGGGAGCTACAGTTCAAGATGAGATTTGGATGGGGACACAGACAAATCATATCAACCTAGCTAAGCCACCTCCAGACTTTCGAGCCCTTAAAAACAATATGAGATAACAAATGTGTATTGTTCAAATCCACTAAGTTTGGGGTCACTGTTATGCAGTGATACATAACTAATACATCATCTCTTCTAGAAGCCTTCAACTGACCCCCAGCATTCTGTGCCATATCATAGCACCTACTATATTCTGACTTACATCTTTTCCCTTCATTCTCCCATTCTAGATAATGAGATCAAGGACAGGGACTAGCTCATACTGATTTTTGAATTCCCAGGATCTAGCATAATGCTGCAATTGGTGTGGACTTCAATAAATGTATATTATTGAGCTGAACTATCTTCACTTACTGTACATCCTTTGTCCTTAAAATATAGTTTGCATTTCAGATTTCTCATGAATTCAGGTAGTTCCTGCCATCTAAACAATTAGGCCTGGTTTCACTCAACTAGTATTTGATTATTAAAGTCAATATTAAAATTGTACTATCCAAGATCTTAGACACATCTTTTTTATTTTTGCAATAGAATCATATCAACTTGTAACAGAAGAGGTTTGATAGTACGTAAGGTAGCAACATTCCTCTGTTTTCAAAGTAATTGTGCCATTAGCCCAGAATTTTTCTTTTTTCCAAATAGGATTAAATAACCTGGAGATAAAAGTAGTTCTCCAAAGGAAAAGGTAAAATAATTTCACAGAAAATATTTCCTGAGTTGGTCATATGACATCAGAGATTGGGATTAAAGATTTTATTTTTTTAACTCATTTAATTCATGGAATATAAATTTATTGTTATCAAAGATATCAGTTCAATTTTATTATTGAACCTGTAATTCATTCTATACTTTGATCCTGTGAAGACCAAATTCATCATTTTCTTCAAAAATGTCATATAAAACTTGAGTGATCAGTGACATTCTTTATTTTGTTTTTGTAAAATAAGGAAGACATTAAAGCCATATGAACTTCCTCAGTAAATGGAAAGCAGTCCACATCAATGCATTCCTCATCATGGTCATTACCAAGGGATTCACTACTTCTAGGAGGCTCTATCCTCAGCAAACAAACAATGGCCCACTTCATCATTTCCAAGTTGAAGTTCCTTGCCCCAAAATATACTACAATCCAACAAAGGAATGGACATCATTCTTGCTGATATGTCCCCAGATGACAGCATTCTTAAGAGAAGTTTCACAGCTCTGGATAATGTGAGTTTATCTGCAAGCATTGACACAATACACATTCAAGGGAAGTGGTGGTGGTCTTGGCATTGACACACAGTGGAAACTCAACAGTGACGTAGACTACAGTCAACACACATGTAACATCCTCAGGTTATATCCCACTTCAGTCTAGCCTGGCAGAAACAACTAAAATAAAATACATAAGCATGCAACATCCATATAATAAGTTCAGGAATTAAGGATGAGAATGAAAACCATCTATCCCATATACACAGCTTGGGAACTAAGGACTTGACCTGTCTCTCTAACTCTCTCCCTCTCAACACACACACACACTCACACACTCACTCACACACATACATACACTTTCTTTCCTACATTAACGTAAGTTTACTACTCCACTGTCTTCATTAGCATAACTTTACTATTCCAGGAGATTCTAGCCTAAGCAAATAATTTGATTATTCATTACAGAAACTTCCCAAAAAGATCCTTCACTCTTCAACAGGAAGTACCAGCAGACGGTTAACACCCTAAGGATCTTCAAATCCCTCAACTCAAAATCCTTTCCTTGCTGTTTCCAATTCTACACTGTTGTGTTATTATCCTTATTCAATCTTCATCAAGCTCCCTTACCGAAAGATCACCTTAAACCAAACTCCCAATAAAACATATTTTTTAATTCACCACTGATCGGAAGGCATAAAATAATTTTTTAAATAATAAAATACAACCTTGCTTTTTTCCCCTCAGAGATATTACCAAAGCTCTGCCTAGGAGGTGATCTTCCCTACCACAATAAACAATACAGATAGCTTTGACTTATCAGCAGGTTGTGTTGGTGATATTTGGAGAGCCAGCATTTGACAAGTACTTAGTATGGATCGAGCAATAAGCTAAAACATTTGGAAACTGATATATGGCTTAATCTAAGCTAAAACTAAAGCATCTGGAAACTTAATCTATTTCCCCCTAGAGGTCAGAGGCCCTCACTGTTTAAACAATTCCACATCTGGACATTTAAATTTCTGCCTGGTCCAGCATTTGCTACCGTATGTTAAGAGGAATTATTTGTCTAAATGAAAAAACGTTTCCATGGTCAAACAATTTGAAGACTGATGAGTTAAGAATAAAAAGCATCATTTCTTCACTGTGGGACTTCTCAGGGCCTTTAGGGTATACTACTGGGTATCAAAAATATCCAAGAGGGAGTTATTAATATATAGCCTACGCAAAATGTATATAGATGCTTTGTCCTACAGTAACTCCCTAGATTCTCACTGGATACAACAGGGATGATGGACAGTTTTATCTAACCTTCCATCCTGCCGTTTATTCACAGGCCATTTCCAGAGAACATGGTCAGAAAGGAAGATAAATGACCACAGCTGTCTTAGCCCTCAGCAATCAGCTCCGTGGTAATTTTAGGGCTGCCTTGATCTGTGGGCAGGGGAAAATGAAGGAAATGAATTAGCCTGAGTCCTGCCAGCCTTTAAATGAGGATGCCTGTGTGCCCTGAGCTATGCTTAGCTAATTCCAGCCCTTCTCCCCAAAGGGAATGCTGGTCTTTCAATATACTGCCAGGAGTTCCTTAAACCTTTCCCACATCTGTGAACACCAGGCAGAAGTTGTCCAAATGGTCCAAGTTGCTGATCTTTGCTCAAAGGAAGGCCCTGCTGGCATGGACCCCTCAGTTTACAAAGAGGTGGCATCTGACATACTCTGCCCCACTAACAGCTAAAATCCTCATGCTGTTATCTTTCTTGACTGTACCCTTCTGCTAAGATCTCCACTTAAAGGACATTGTTTTGGTCAGCACTCTGACTTGCTTGTTTTGGGTAAAGGAGAGGAAATTGACATTTACTAGACACTTTCTATGCGTCTGATGTCACATAAGACACTTTACATGCTTTATTCCATGTAATTCTAACAAGTGCAAAAAAATCATAATAGCAAATGTTTATCTAGTGTTTCCCATGTACCATGCACTGTTGTAAATGCTTTACATAGTCTCACTCTCTCAAGGCTCAAGGCAACTCTACGTGGTAGATGCTGCTATTACCCCCACTCTATAAATGAGCAAATAGAAGGATAAAGAGGTGAAAATAATTTGTGTAAGGTCACATAGACAGTAGCAGAGCCAGATCGGAACACAGTCACAGTCCATGCATCTAACCACACTACCATTGTCTGCCATTATCTGTCCTGTCAGATGAGAAAACCAAAGCTCAAAGAAGCAGCTCTCTCAAAGGCACACCGGAAGTGGAAGAACTGGTACCAGAACCCATGTCTGTCTACTCCCAAGTCCGTGTTTCTCCTCTAGACCACAGGCTCTCAGAGCATAGTTCCCAGACCAGCAACATCTGTAACAACTGGGAAACTTGTTAGAAATGCAAATTCTTGGCCCCACTCCAGATCTACTAAATCTGAAAGTCTGGCATGGGGCCCAGTCATCTCTATTTTAACAGGACTCCAGGTGATTCCCATGCAGACTAAAGTTTGGGAGGCACTCCTCTACACCATGCTGCCTTCTGTAGAGCACTGAATTTTGATTTTACCGGCAAGGACTAGAGATAGTGCTGTCTAGTGGTTAGAAGCTCTGGGAAGCTAAGAAACAACTTGGTCATGACCCAGCATATTTCACTGTCCTTGACAGTAGACAGGCCAGGGGTTGCTTTTTCCCCCCTTAGCAAATTCATGGAGCAGAAAAAGAACAGCTGCACTGTGGTCAAGAGGAAGACTGGATTCTGTCCTTGGCCATCCTTTACCCTGCTGATCACTTTTCAGATCCAGAGATTCTCAGTGCCTTTCTGTTCAATGTTCTGCTGCTTTTGCCTGCCAGCTTTGTCAGCTCCTACCTGTGACCCTTCTTGTCTTTCAACCCCTCCCACTTCAGGAGGAAGCACTTCTGTGGCAATATGTTCAGCTGATGAGCTGCCCTCCTGGTTCAGATATTGTGCAATGCAAAACATTTCTTAACAATTCCGGAAGCAAACTTTTTTTTTCTCCTTTATTGCTGTCAGGATCAGTTCAGTAGCTACACTAAAGCTTTCACCACTCACTGCTTCACTGAAAAGTTTAAGACCAGAGCGTTCTGCTGAATCAAGCTGTTGTTGAGAGGTTCAGTGTACGTATATAAAACAGAACAATAATTGATTTTTATAGAGGCTGAAAGAAAGTTAAGGAATCTTGGATGGCTCAGGGTGGGAGCTTGAAAGGCTTTTGACTCAGGATGAAGGATCACATGGTCCTCAATTTGTGCTTAATAGCTACAACATGGGGAAAGAGAGAGAGAGAGACACGGTATATAGGGGAAGAAGCTAAGTTAGCGCCAAGCTGAGTATTTTGCAGTCAGGGATCAAAAGGATACTACTTTTAAAAACCATATTTCTTCTTTAACAAACATTAATTCAAGCTCATTGAGTTTCTGTAGGTCATACGTTTCAATCCAGGATCAGCAACACAGAGTGTGTTATTTCACTTTCAATGCTGAGGGTGGGGACCTCCCCCTGCGAGAACATGCTGTATGTTGATTAAAGTTGCAAGGAGAGCTATGAAGGATCTGCCCAAATCTCCTTAATCTCTTTTTCTTCCTTCTTGATAGGTTTCTAGGGATCTGTTGGTTGAATTGTTCTGTGCTTGATATGGAATCTTGGTTTTTATTGGCCCACAGTAAAACTAATTACTACTGGAAAGGGCACCAAATTAAGATTAGCAAGCCTGACTTGATTTATCAAAATGGAATGTATGTATGTAATGGGTGAGTGTGTAGATGTTAGAATCAGGCAGAACACTCCTCAGTTTATGACCTCTCCAAAACCTGGTAGCGGCCGGGCGTGGTGCTCACGCCTGTAATCCCAGCACTTTGGGAGGCTAAGGTGGGCAGGTCATTTGAGGTCAGGAGTTCAAGGCCAGCCTGGCCAACATGGCGAAAACCCATCTCTACTAAAAATACAAAAATTAGCTGGGTGTGGTGGCACATGCCTGCAGTTCCATCTACTCAGGAGGCTGAGGCAGGAGAATCACTTGAACCCGGGAGGCAGAGGTTGCAGTGAGCCGAGATCGTGCCACTGCACTCCTGCCTGGGCAACAGAGCAAGACTCTGTCTCAAAAACAAAACAAACAAACGAAAAAAACCTGGTGGATTATCTTAAGGATTAAGTGGGAAAATACAGGTAATTCCCAACCTGCACAGCTGGGGCATTCAATACTGTTAACTGTTATCAGTGAATTCGCACTCATCGGAGTCTAGTTGGTGCCCGCCCCTGTGCTGGCGAGGCCCTGCAGGATCACAGAGGGACTCTCTGTTGGGGGCAGGCCTAGTTGCAGCTGCACTATTGTCAGCACACCTGCCCCCAACCTAGCCCTGTGACTTTCGAGAAGCTCTGTAAACCCCTAATCCTCCATACCTTCTCATCTGAAAAAACCCACATCCTCCTGGGGCTTACAGAGAGCAAGTGAATGAAATTGTCTGAAAATTTCAAATTGCTCTTCCAGGCTAATAAGAGAGTATCATAATTTGTTATATAAATAGAATATACACTTTTAAATTTCTCAATCTGATTTTAGTTGAACTTTTAGTGCTGTGGCATAATAGAAAGAATTCCTTAAATTGGGATTAGAAAACCTGAATGTAGGTCCTGGTTCTGAGATACTGCCATTTATTAGCTGTGCAACTCTGGGCTAGTCACCTAACCACCCCGGACCTCAGTTTTCTTATCTAAAAACCTGGCTAAGATTATCTACCCCTTAGGCGGATTTTTTTTCTTTTCTCTCCACACTCTGCCTACCCCACAGGTTTTTGTTTGTTTGTTTGTTTTTTGAGACAGAGTCTTACTCTGTCACTCATGCTGGAGTCCAATTGCGCAGTTTCAGTTCACTGCAACTTCTGCCTTCCAGATTCAAGCGATTCTCATGCCTCAGCCTCCTGAGTAACTGGGATTATAGGCACGCACCACCATGCCCAGCTAATTTTTGTATTTTTAGTAGAGATGAGGTTTCACCATGTTGGCCAGGCTGGTCTCGAACTCCTGGCCTCAAGTGATCCACCCACCTCGGCCTTCCAAAGTGCTGGGATTACAGGCATGGGCCTCCGTGCCCAGCCCCCTATAGGTTTTTATATCAAAAACATCACTCCAGCCTGGTCGAGAGAGTGAGATCCTGTAAAAAATAAACAAACAAACAAACAACAACAACAACAAAAAACACCTCACAACTCTACAGGCAGGAATTACTCTTCCTGGCTTGCAAATGGGCTCAGGGACTTAATTATCCAGAAGTCACACAGTGAATAACCTGAGATTTCAAACCAATACCTGAGCCCACACATGTAATCACTATTATTATCACTGTTCTTTTATTGTGCGTGCCATTTTTGGAAGAACAATGAAGTCTATTTGGGTTGACGATCCCAAATCCTCCATCTTAAATCTTCTTATTAAACTGTGTGAAAAAGTTACCATGTAATCTAAATTATGATCTGTTTTCCTACCTTCACTCCTCCAAAATAATTGCAATTATAAAACACTTGATGTAAATTAATCTCTGTTCCTCAAACTTGAGAGTTACATTAAAAAGTCTCAATTATAAATGACAGATAGATGCTGTTCCTAGAGCGAAATCTATCTTGGTTTGTTCTAGGATTTTAAAAAATATTTGATGTAGGCCAGGCACGGTGGCTCACACCTGTAATCCCAACACTTTGGGATGCCAAGGTGGGTGGATCACCTGAGGTCAGGAGTTCAAGACCAGCCTGACCAACATGAGAAACCCTGTCTCTACTAAAAATACAAAAATTAGCCGGGCATGGTGGTGCATGCCTGTAATCCCAGCAACTCGGGAGGCTGAGGCAGGAGAATCACTTGGACCCGGGAGGCAGAGGTTGCGGTGAGCCAACATCGCGCCATTGCACTCCAGCCTGGTCAACAAGAGCGAAACTACGTCTCAAAAAAAAAAAAAGAAAGAAAAAGATGTAAAATATGCCACAGAGAGAGAGAGAGAGACAGAGAGAGAGAGTCTTTAAAGCTTCCCTCACCCCATTCCTGACAAAAGCAACAGAAAAAAATTTTCCCAGGACCCAAGCTCGAGATATTCCTGATACCAGCCACCTCCACAAGCAAGGCTGCTGTCAGTGGAACTGAGAAGCTGCCAAGAAGCTAGGCCATTTCTACTCCACATTTGGTCTGAGGCCAGAGTGTTGTCTTTCAGTTTTTAGACAAATCTCCCAGGGTGATGTAGACCCAGCAATAACCATATGTGACCATCACAGCCTGCAGGAAAGAGAAGAAAGGTAAAGACGGCTTTCATAAATGGCCCTGATCTTATCTGCAAAAGCTGGACAGCTCTTTTTCCAATACAGAAGCAGAAACAGTCGAGATTAAGCTTTGCTTAGGGAGGTAGGGAGTTCTAGTTCAATGGTCCAAATCATGCTAATCAACTTCTGCAAAGGACAGTGTCCTGGAGCTGTGGGCCTTGAACAGCAAGCTCGGGTCCACAGGTTTGGCCACAGTATGACTATGCCTGTGTTATTTAAAGTTTGTCCCAAGGAGTGTTATGATGTGCTTGGTATGGGCTTCACCCCCAGCAGGCACAAGCATGTGCATGCCTCATTGGCACTGTGTCCGTATGGAGCATTGTGAAGGGACTATGTGGAAGGAACAGGAAAAAAGAGACTACTTAACATCCTTTGCTTTGCTCTGCCACGTTTTATATTTACAAGCTTCTGTGTAGAAGGATACTGATGTATGTTCTTGGCTTCCATAAGACAGTGGGGGTGACAGGAGTAAAAAGGAAGACGCCTAAAGACACTGAAGTTTCCTGGTCTATTTGGTCAACAACTATTTAATAGGGGCCCACCATGAATCAGATAAGGTACACATGCTGCAGATACAAATGACCAAGAGCAAGCCTGACTGCTGCCCTTATGGAACTTGGTATCTAGTAGGGGAGTCAGCCAACAATCGAATAGTCACATAAATGTATGGAAAATGGAAGCTGTGGCAAGTGCTAAGAAGACATGGTCATGGTGCCGTGAGCACCATTAATGGAATCTGACCCAGTCCAAGAGGTCAGCAAGGGCTTCCCTGAGAAAGTGATGCTTCAACTGAGACCTTCAAGATGAGTAGGTGCTAAGTAGTGAAAGGAATGAGGATGGGAGGCAAAATCCTGGCCAAGTGAATAGCACATGCAAAGGCCCTGTTTTGGGAGAGAAACAGCTTGGTGGAAGGTAGGAGATCTGACCTAAGTGTTACCAGGAAGGCCCCCCAACCCCTAAACACCTCTGCCTCCTAAAATTCCACCATTATTAAGGAATGCTTTGGGTTAAGATTGTTTTTCTCTTGAAATATTCCCTTTTTTTTTTTTTTTTTTTTGGGCAGGAGACCAGAGCTTATTATTACTCAAATCAGTCTTGCTGAACATTTGTGGATCAGAGTTTTTAAGGATAATTTGGTGGGTGGGGGAAGGCCAGTGAGTTGAGAGTGCTGATTGGTTGGGTCAGACATGAAATCGTAGGGAATTGAAGCTGTCTTCTTGGGCTGAGTCAGTCCCTGGGTGGGGGGCCACAAGATCAGGGGGCCACAAGATCAGATGAGCCAGTTTATTGATCTGGGTGGTGCCAGCTGATCCATCAGGTTCCGGGTCTGCAAAATATCTCAAGCACTGATCTTAGGAACAGTTTAGGGAGGGTCAGAATCTTGTAGCCTCCAACTGCATAACTCCTAAACCATAATGTCTAATCTTGTGGCTAATTTGTTAGTCCTACAAAGGCAGTCTAGTCCCCAGGCAATAAGGTTTGTTTTGGGAAAGGATTGTTACTGTCTTTGTTTTAAACCATAAACTATAAAATAATTTCCTCCCAAAGTCAATTCAGCCTACACCCAGGAATGAACAAGAACAGCCTGAAGGTTAGAAGCGAGATGTAGTCAGTTAGGTCAGATCTCTTCCACTGTCTCAGTTACAATTTTGCAATGGCAGTTTCAATCCCTCCCTTTGGGTTTTATAACACCTTAACCTCAAGATGTTGGCAATTGAAGATGGAAAAAGAGCAAAGACTGCTCTAACTTCTTCCTGCTGATCAAGGGCATAGTGAGGGTAGGTGTCGACCCCAAGGTAAGGGGAGTAGAACTGCTTTGCAACTGTCTGAAAGTACTCATGCAGGCCTGGCTGGGGTCCCAAGGCTTGCATGGCAAAGGCGTTAGTATTATTATTTGCAGTTTTAGTACCACGTTTGAGGGAATAGTATGCTATAACGTAAATAATGAGTACTAGTGTAAGGAATGCAATTCCCAGTTTTAAAAGCAAAAATTTTAAAGCATTACTTTGGGAACTTGTAGCCCACAAAGAATTTAGGATTTAGCCAAACTGAAGAAAAAACTCAAGAACAGCTAATAGCAGATGTACTATAGACTTTTGTTTTGTTTTGGTTTTGGTTTTGGTTTTGGTTTTTTTTGAGACAGAGTTTCACTCTTGTTGCCCAGGCTACAGTGCAACGACATGATCTCAGCTCACCACAACCTCTGCCTCCTGGGTTCAAGTGATTCTCCTGCCTCAGCCTCCCGAGTAGCTGGGATTGCAGGCATGAGCCACCATGCCCGGCTAATTTTTTCTATTTTTAGTAGAGATGGGGTTTCTCCATGTTGGTCAGGCTGATCTCGAACTCCTGACCTCAGGTGATCTGCCCATCTTGGCCTCCCGAAGTGCTGGGATTATAGCATGAGCCACCGTGCCCGGCCCAGATGTACTATAGTTTTTTGAAGCATAATTTTTTTCTTTCTAGTTTCCATTTTTATTAAAAACAAATTATGATAGAACTGATTTGTTTGCAAAAGTAAATTTTAGTCTTATTAGATTTGGTCTGATTATTTGCATAAAGTGTAGCAAGAATGATTATTTCCCACAGAGGCTTTTTAAATTGGCTTTGATGGAACTCTATTCCATAAGGAATCTTAGATAAGACTTTTTAAAGCTGAGCCCAGCCATGGGTTTGTAAGCTTAAATACCTATAAGTTGGGTAAATTTCTCTTGACATCCCAAGATAACTTGGGGCTCCTGAGCCTGTTAGAAAGTGACATTTTTTTACTTACTACAGGTCGGGAACCCTGTACAGGGATTGTGTAGACAAGGTATGAGGTCAGTTTTCCCAAGGGGCTTTTATTGGCTTTGTAAGTCAACTTTGATTTTTTTTTGTTTGCTTTTTTTTTGTTTTGCTGAGACAGAGTCTTGTTCTGTTGTCCAGGCTGGAGTGCAGTGGCACCATCTCGCTCACTGCAACCTCTGCCTCCTAGGTTCAAGCAATTCTCCTGCCTCAGCCTCCCAAGTAGCTGGGATTACAGGTGTGCGCCACCACATCTGGCTAATTTTTTGTATTTTTAGTAGAGAGAGCGTTTCCCTATGTTGGCCAGCTGGTCTCAAACTTCTGACCTCAGGTGATCCACCCGCCTCAGCCTCCCAAAGTGCTGGGATGACAGGCATGAGCCACTGTGCCCAGCCACATTAGTGCATCTCTAATGCTAAAGGTAGTTTTCAAATACAATTTTATAAATCTATTCAGTTTTAATTAATTTGACCAGAAGGTAAGATTTCCATAAACTTTTTAGAACCCTTTACAATTTTCCATTAAACAGCAGATTAATTTTTTAAGAAAACCGTATTATTTGGACACATGGGCCCATAAAATCAGTATGATTTTAATGTTTTAACCTATAGAAACAAGCTAAATAATCTCCTTTAAATTTTAGCCAACTTGCTTATACCCACAGAATGTTTTACAAGGTTAACCCTTTACAAACCCTTTTTTAATTTGCTTAAACCTTCGATTTTGTCCCATTACTCTTCTAGGTTAAGACAATCTTTTAAAACCCTCTGAACTAGACAAAATTACATTCTCTTTAACAAAAAGCATATTCCCATATCTTCTTATAATCTCCCACCAAGATTATATTCTGCTTTTCTTCTATACCTGACAACTTATATGTAAAACTGTTTCTCCAGTAGTCTCAATTGTATGTTACAATGTTAACTCTTAGCAACTTTTATTTTTGGTGAAAAACCTAATAAGTAGGCGATTTATTTAGGTACGAGGTGTGGAGCCTAGGACATCAGGAGTACTGACCCTTTTCAGCATAGCTAGGGGACATGGCTTTCCATATGTCCCCAGGCCTTATCTATAATATCATACTCCAAAGTAGGTAAATTGAACAATTTTCAAAAGTCAAAGAAGCAGTTTATGACTTAAAGCATTTAGCAAATCTAATATCTGACCTTAATTGAGACCAAATGTCTAAATTTTGAAGACATTTTTATTTTACTAATAATCTTTAAAACTGAAGGGTTACTTCTTGTTGTTACTTCTTGTTGTGAACAAGAAGGCATTAAAGTTTCTATTTTTCTGATAAAATATGATTTAAGTGCTTTTTTTCTAAGCCAATTAATCAGCTCTTTTATATATAAACATCACACACACACATATAAATACACAGACAGACAGAAGATCCAGTAGTTGTAAGACTTTTCATTTGCCAGTTTTTTAATTGGATTACTGGCTTCAGGGTGGATCCCTTGGATGAGCAGGGCCAGGAAAGCATGCAGTTTTTAGGACCTAATAAGTAGGCACAGCTGGAAGGCAAAGACAAATCCTCAAAATTAAAGGTGCCATTTTATACTGGATCCTGGATCCCCAAAAAGGAGGGAAATACTACAAGAGAAGATAGTGCAGTGCTTCTACCATGCATTTCATTGCAAGGCAATTCAAAGCCAATCAGCCCATTTTTTAATTAGCCCATCCCCAACGGGAGTCTCATCTTTCAGTGGGGGTTGGGGATGTTTCCATATCCCACTTCCAAGTGGCCAAGAGCATGCTTCTTTGACCCAAGCAAGTAAAGAGATAAGTATCTCTTCATAACTGACATTAGCCATTTCTTAAAGTATATATATATTTTTTACCTAGTTATTACACACCAAGGCTAAAAGCTTTCCCATAAAATAATTTGATTATTATTTCCCATAAAGTAATTTGATACCCTCAAAAGTCAAAACCATTAGCTAAAGCAAGGCAAAACAAAACAGAGCCTTAGATTTTGAGAGGGATTTATTGTTTTCAATTCCTGGGGTTCCATGAGGAAAAGAAGTTTTTCCCAGAATGGGGTCTGTGGTGCCATCTCTGTTTTTCCCCAGGAGTCCCAGGTTGTTAGTAATTATCTTGAGTTTTTTCCTGTGGACATTAACAGTGGCAAGAAGACAAAATGGAGAAAAACAATTCAGTCTACTGAGAAGAAAAAAACTTTTTCAGAAAAACACAACTCAAGAAGAGGAAAAAAGATAAAGGCCTTTTAAGTATGTATACCTTGGGTATCCATTTTTAATTAAGTTGAATTTAACCATAAAGTTCTTTTCTCAAAAAAAAATTGCTTATTACCCAGGACAGCCAATATTTTTGGCTTTTGAATTGTACCACAGGTAACCTTCCATGAGAAATTAGTAAGTTTTAACTAAGGTTATGACTTAACCATGGATGCACAAGGTGTTTCAAAGACATGATAAGCAGTTTTTTTCCTTATTTATTTCTTTTCTTCTTTTTTTTTTAACAAGATTTAGAATCTCCACAAGGGTCGTTCAGAGAAAGGAAAATCCAATCAGGAAATCAGAAGCTATCCATGGGGCAGGGGGAAAAATACACCTCAATATTAGTGGCAAAGTTACACAAATGACAAACCAGAAAGGAATCATTCTGGAAGCCAAGAATTGAACCCGAGCCACCATTGTCAAAAGGCAAAGCCTTACCTACTGAGCTACACGCCATTGAGCAGTTTCTATTGCTGTGCCCTGAAGAAGTCTAAAGCAGCCAATTCCAAGCTTGCAAAGCCTCTTAACTGTTCAAAATAATTTTTAGGGCTAACTATGACATGAACCCCCAAATTCCTGTCCTCTGGTTGGAGGAAACCAAAAGAAAGTATCTCCACATGGTCACAAAGTTAAGCTCTTGAGGACACAAAACAAGACAGAGAAATTTCATCTGGTATTCGTTTCAGGGACCCTCAGCAAAGTTTGTAACAGACCAGCCTGCCAGGCTGGCTTGAAAAGCGGGAATATAGGAGTTCTAAACCTACGTTTTATCTTGTGATGCCCATCTCTCCATTATAGAACAACATAGAAAGACAAATTCTTAGCACAAAGTACACCAGATTTGCTACAACCTAAGACTAGTCTCACAAATCCTTTCTTCTATTAATCAAACCCTTGTAGAGGAGACAAATAGTGGTGTTTACCATTTACACACATACACACACACACACACAGAGAGAGAGAGAGAGAGAGAGAGAGAGAAAGCCGAAACTTGGCTGGTAAGATTTTCTTATCCTTTTTGCTGGCATACTAGGTTTCCAGGTTCTCTTTCTTCGCAGCTTCCACAGAAACAGAGTGGCTTTTGATGATCCTGACCACTGTGCCATAACTGTGAGGGTCAAGCCACCCAACAAAAGAAAATCACCCCTTTCTGTTTTATGGAACCATAGGCAAAAGATTCTCAATTTTGCAAGATGTTGCCCAACAGGCTGCTTGGGGAACCAAATTAACATTCTCCATCCCAACAAAATACACACAACAAAACAGACACTAGTCACCTCGTTCAGTACCCAATATTGATATGGCAAGGCTCAAACTTTCTCCTCTTGGTTTCTGTTGCCTTTGGTCTACTCCAGGTGGTTGAGGGATGACTTCAGAACAGTAATTCAATGGGTGGTCTCTGGGAAAGACAAAGAGCAGACAGTCACCCCAAGTCAGTCCTGTTGAGCTTACTTCAGGGTTCACTGAATGTAACCACACAAATAAGGAGGGTTCTCCGAGTTAGGCCTGTTGGACTTCTGTCAGCAATTCCTTCGGAGATCCCCTCCACATATACAAACACACATAAACACAAGACAGACAGAAGGCCTTCCAAATCAAGATCCCTAACCAAGAATTCCAGGAGTACTTCTTCTAAACTATCTTACTATTCTCCATTTGAGAAATCTCCCCAACATCTTCTGATGGAGGAGAAGTCTCCCAAACCAAGACTCTTCCTACTAGTTAGGGAGAGCCAACTGAGAACCCCCAGGAGCTGAACTGAGACAGACACCCCATGGTGGAGCTCCAGGCAGACACCCCACAATGCGGCTACAGCTAGACACCCCACCATGGGGTTACAGAACCAGTCAGGAGAAGGAAGGAGACATTGGCAGTGCCTAGGATACTCACCAACCCAGATACTCCATAATGGGGCTATAGCTACAGACACTCCATGACCTGGCTACAGCACCCCGCCATGGAGCTATGGACAGACACCCTGTGACAGGGCTTCAGTTATGAGATGTCTCCTGAGGACTATTTCTCCATTGCAATTAAATCCATGCACATTGGGTTGGCAGTGCCCAACTGGAAGAGACGGTGCCAGAGTCACCCACTGTCCAAGAAAATTAGGTGGCCACTTGAGCTGACCTCCAGATCCATTGCCAGAGGCAGGCTACCAAACCATGGGCAGCTAGCCACAAGGGCTATCCTGGACAAGCCCCCAAATTTGTAACTGCCCAATGGGTTCACCTTGCCCACTGCCTAGACAGAGCCAATTTATTAACACAGGGGAATTGCAATAGAGAAAAAGTAGTTTACACAGAGCCAGCTGTGCAGGAGACTGGAGTTTTATTATTACTCAAATCAGTCTCTTGAAGTGTTCCTTTATGCTCAGAAGAATGACTCATTAAGTCAAGTGAATGGTTTTATCTGATAAATTCTCTCCCTAATAGCAGAAGTCATGGCCACAAGTCCCTGAGATTAGTATGGGAATTTGGGTAGGTGGGTTTATTTTAAAGAGAAAAAGAGTTACAAAAATGAGAGATGTGTGCCTCAAAGATCAAACCTCATATTTTTCTAAATTTATCCCAAGACCAGCCCTACCAGAATTTATTAAAAGTCTGATCTCCAGGAAATCACGTAAGCTTTTGCATTCAGCAAGACTAATCAAGATGGTCTCAGCCTTTGAGAGAAATCTATGAAAAGGAGCAATTCAAAGAAAAGAGGTAAACATCATATTATGAGAATGCCGGCATTTTTTTCCATAAGCTGAGTCCTCCATCCTAAACCAGCTTCATCAGCTTGAGCATCCTTAAAAGTTTCACAGCTGACAAAATATAGTCATGCACTACATAACAACCTTTCAGTCAATGACAGACTGCACACACCACAGAGGTACCATAAGATTATAATACTGTATTTTTATTGTACTTTTTCTATGTTTAAATATGTTTGACTACACAAACACTTTCCACTATGTTACAGTTGCCTACAGTATTCAGTACAGCAACATGCTGTACAGGTTTATAGTCTGAGAACAATAGGCTATACCATGTGGTCTGGGTGTGTAGTGGGCTGCAGCATCTAGGTTTATGTAAGTATATTCTATGATGTTCACACAATTATGCACTTCTCAGAACATATCCCCATTGTTAAGCAACACATGACTGTATATTAATTCAGTATTTTGTTCCTAGAGTCTCATAACAGATGTTTCTCCCCCATGGCACATAAACAAGCAGTAAACCATACCAGCTTTTCAGTCACTTAGGCCTGGATTCAAATCCTGACTCTTCAGCTTAGCCATGTGACCATGGGGAGGTCATTTAACTGCCCTAAACCTTGTTTTCTCAACTGCGAACTGGGAATCATTGTCCCTATCCCATAGAATTGCTTGGAAGATGACATAAAAATAATGCATTAAAGAGCTTACCGAAGTGCAGGTCATACAATCAGCACTTAATGGGAGAAAGTTAAAAAGAAGGGCCAGGTGAGGGGAACTGGCAAAGACAGAGAAAGAGTGTGGAGCTCCTGAGAGACACAAGTGCATGGGTTCCAGGTGATGCATTGCTTGGGCAAAACCACACACACCAAGTCTCAAAAGAAGTTGAAAAGCCTGAGAGAAAGCAGGCCTGGAATTTACAAATGGAAAGAGTCCTATCTCTCTTGTATTTTCTCTTGGAACATGTGAGATGAGTTCACCCAGAGACAGGAAAGAAAACAGCAAGGACCGCCCAGGCATTACAGCATGGGTTCTGCCTGAAGAGGCCCATGACAAAAGAGAATTTAGGGTAGGACATCCACCTGGAAAACTTCCAGGCAGAGTGGTGCCTGGGAAGCTGCTAAAAGCTTAAATAAGGGGGAGTAAACCAGAGAGCTGGACGAAAAAATAAAAAGCCAAAAGGACCCTCCTGGTCTCCCTGCAGATTGCCAGCCTCATCCCATGAAACTGGCCTCAGTTATTACAGACAGAAGAATTTCCTGCTGGAAAGCTCTTTGACCTTACTGAGCTTGGCCTAGGATATTCAACATTCTCAGGCTTGGCATGGCATTCCCCAGTAAGATTTTCTCTTTCTGGAAAAAAGTAATACAGAAAAAGAAAAGGCAACTATATAGTGAAAATACCAAAGAATGTCAGGAATCTGAATCATGGGGAAGAGAATTCCTAAATTTATCTTTCCCAAAGTTATTTTTATCAAGGAGAAAGACATTTCCTTACTGAGGCTCTGAATCTATAAGTCCCTAAAACTCTTTCTTATGAAATTCATGCTTGTGCTTTATTTTTTATTTTATTTTATTTTATTTTATTTTTGAGACAGAGTCTCACTCTATCACCCAGGCTAGAGTGCAGTGGCGTGATCTTGGCTGACTGCAACCTCCACCTCCCGGGTTCAAGCAATTCTCCTGCCTCAGCCTCCCAAGTAACTGGGATTATAGGTGCCCACCACCACACCCAGCTATTTTTGTATTTTTAGTAGAGACAGGCTTTCACCATGTTGGTCAGGCTGATCTCCAACTCCTGACCTCAAGTGATCCACCCGCCTCGGCCTCCCAAAGTGTGTTTTATTTTTTAAAGATATAGGCACTTTGCATACCTCTTTCTGTATCAACCCTTTTCCCTCCTGCCCACATAGCTGTGAGAAGAATTTCAACAGGCCCAGCAAATGACATAAAATGATATACCATGTGCATTTTGGAGGCTGAGGTATGAGGACTGAGAGTTGTAAATAAAGTGCTGACCCAAGTGAGATCCAAAGAGCACCTGGGAAGCTCTGGGTGCAGGGTAGCAGCCCAGAGCCGCTGGCCCCTTCCTGGCCATCTGGGTGCTGGGCATAGATTTCTCAACAAGAAGACTCTGCTACCTCCCCTCACCAGGCCTCTATTCTTCTGAGAAACACAAAGCAATAATAAAAGAAAGTGTTAACCAAATAAATAAATAAATAGTGCTGAAAAGGGCTCACTGCATCCTGGAGTTGCAGCTCCTGTAGCTGTAATAATGAATCTGGTAGCCCTTAGTGATTCTCCTTTATTTGTTTTGAGTTGGGGTCTCACTCTGTCACCCAGGCTGGAGTGCAATGGTACCATCTTGGTTCACTGCAGCCTCTACCTCCCAGGTTCAAGTGATTCTCCCACCTCAGCCTCTTGAGTAGCTGGGATTACAGGCACCTGCCATCAGGCCCAGCTAATTTTTGTATTTTTAGTAGAGACAGTGTTTCACCATTTTGGCCTGTCTGGTCTTGAACTCCTAACCTCAGGAGATCCACCTGCCTCAGCCTCCCAAAGTGTTGGGATTACAGGCCTGAGTCACCACACCTGGCCTTCTCCTTTATTTCTCTAAGCCTAGTTTCCTACCTGTCTGAGGAGACCAAGCAGGGAATAAACAGAGAGCATCTGCAACGCCTTGTTAGAGGGAACTGCTGTCCTCAAGCATCCAACAACCCCAGTGAGGAAAATACGGCCAAACCTCCCTCCCAGTGTTACAGGAAGCAAGGCTAGAAATTGGACCAGCGATAAGTTTTCCAAGAAAGTGAATCACACACGTGAGACTTCAGGACCACTTAATGCAGAGCAGATTTTCGGACCACTTAATCCATGGAAAAAAAATAAACGGATTAATAGTTGCATAGAAAAAAATATGCTTTAATAAAAAACAATGCATCACTTATGCATACCCTTCTGGGTTATGAGATTGTAGCCATGTTTATTGTCTTTGAGCTACTTTGTAAATCTTCGTAAGTTGTAGGTAACTGATAGATATATAACTTCTGTCCTATCTGGTAGTGATTTAATTGACTCCCCCTGGCCCTATCCTTCACTCATGGATAAAACAGTTTTGCCTCCATTTGCAATTCATCTCAGCATTCCTTTACTTGTAAAAAAAAAAAAAAAACCTGTGCTGTTTTGACTTTTCCTTTGAGCCAGTTGCTATGGGTTGAATTGTGTCCCCTTCCCCCAAAAATATTGAAGATATGTCCCAACCCCCAGTACCTGGGAATGTGAGCTTATTTGGAAATAGGGTCTTTGCAGACGATCAAGATGAGGCCATGAGAGTGGGCCCTGATATAATATGACTGTGTCCTTAAGAAAAATAAAAGGTGATTTAGACACAGAGACAAATTACCTTCCTCTTCATGCATACACAAAAGAATGCCAAGTGAAGAGGAAGTGAGAGATAGGATGATATGTCTCCCAGCTAAGGAACACAGAGGATTGCCACCAAAACCACCAGAAACTGGGAGAGATACACAGAATAGATTCCCCTCAAAGCCCCCAGAAGGAACCAACCCTACCAACACCTTGATTTGGAACTTCCAGCCTCGACAACTGTGAGAGAACAAATTTCCGTTGTTTAAGCCACCCAGTTTGTCATACCTTGCTGTGGCATCCCAAGCAGACAAATAAACCAGTTATAACATGTTTCTTATTCCCTAGTATCATATAAGCAAAATAAATTTTTTAGCACATGTTCATTTTTGTATCTATAGAAGAGTCATGATTTCATTAGGTTGGGGAAAAAGCTATTGTGATTTTTGCCATTAAAAGTAGTGATCCAAACCGCAATTACTTTGCACCAACCTAATACCTTTTTCTGAACGTTATCTTTTAACAGTTTCAGAGGATTCACCAAGATGTCCTGTGGATTTGCTGACCAGAGCCAGGTAGACTTCATCCACAGAAAAGTGCACCACATGGGCAGTTGAAGCACAGAAATATATTTTCCTGATTCATGAGGTCAAGTAACATGAAGTGAACAATAGAACTTTGCTGACTCTGTTTTTCTAATTTTATTTTGCCCTTACTAATTTTGGTTTTGGTTTGTTTATAGCCAGTAAATTATTCCCCATTGAGAATTAGTTTTAGGGTCTGACCATTTATGATCTTTGTAAATGTCGCATAGAGATCTAGTCTCTGTTGGGTGAAAGGCTCCAGGGAATTTAGTTTGTTTGCCTTTTTGGTTGAGAATTTGGTTGCTTTTTTTTTTTTTTTTTTTTTTTTTGAGTCAAAGTCTCACGCTGTTGCCTGGGCGGAGCTCAATAGCTTGATCTGGGCTCACTGCAACCTCTGCCTCCTGGGTTCAAGTGATTCTCCTGCCTTTGCCTCCTGAGTAACTGGGATTACAGGCACGCATCACCACACTCAGCTAACTTTTTGTATTTTTAGTAGAGACGGGGTTTCACTATGTTGGCCAGGCTGTCTCAAACTCCTGACCTTGTGATCTGCCCGTCTTGGCCTCGCAAAATGCTGGGATTACAGGTGTGAGCCACAGTGCCCAGCTGGAATTTGGTTTTATGATGAGATCATCGGAGGATCTCTGCAAATGAATTAATAGTTTACATAGAACTTGTTTCTGCTGGGTGAGAGATAACAGAGAATCTGGTTTGTTAGTCTTTTCTGCGTGTTCACCTTTATATTTTGAATGCAAATTATTAAGAGTTTAAACTGCAAGGGAGGAAAAAAATTTCCTCCTCTCCTCTAAGTTCAATGGCTGGGACCCTGCAAATTAAACAATCTGACAAAAGACAGATTAACAAGAGAAAAACAAATTTAATTAAGTATATTTGCACACATAGGAGTTCACAAACAAATGGAGCTTGAGGACATGGTTAGAATTTGCTTTTTTTTCTTTTCCTTTTTTTTTTTTTTTTGAGACAGAGTCTTGCTGTGTTGCCCAGGCTGGAGTGTAGTGGTGCAATCTCGGCTTACTGCAACCTCCACCTCCCAGGTTCAAGTGATTCTCCTGCCTCAGCCTCCCGAGTAGCTGGGATTTCAGGCGCCCGCCACCATGCCCGGCTAATTTTTTTTGTATTTTTAGTAGAGATGGGGTTTCACCATGTTGGCCAGTCTGGTCTTGAACTCCTGACCTCAGGTGATCTGCCCACCTTGGCCTCCCAAAGTGCTGGGATTACAGGCATAGACCACCACCCCGCCAGAATTTGGAGCTTATCTACCATCTTAACAAGAAAGATAAGGTGTGGAGAAGAGATTAGACCAAGGAAAGAGGGTGCTTTTTGGTTTCTTGGAGGGTGGGGGCTGTAAAATGATCATGGGAAGGTGAGTAAGAAATTAGGAAATGTATGGTAAGTAAGGTTGTTTAGTATGGTTTGTTATACAGATGAGTCTCCAGTGATAAGAATTGTCCCTAGTAGTTCTCTTCCTCATATAGAAGAGGGAGACAACTTTACAAAAAAGGGATGTGTATGCCCTGCTTTTAAACAGAAGGGAGTTTTTTCCTGCATCTGCTATTTTTCAATTATCTTCAGCTCAAAATAATCCTTATGCTAAAGTAGCATATTTTGGGGTGACATATTCTGGTCCCCTTCGATACCTACTAGGAAAAAAGCTCTTTGACTGGTGAGTTTTATAAATGTATGTTTACTTTGACTCATGACTGAAAATCTAGAATTAAAACTATAAGCTCCCTCTGTCTGTTTCCACGCTTATGTTTCTGCAATTCAGAAAGGCATTTAAATCTCACATAACAATTTTCTTTTTTATTTATTTATTTATTTATTTATTTATTATTTTATTATTATTATACTTTAAGTTTTAGGGTACATGTGCACAATGTGCAGGTTAGTTACATATGTATACATGTGCCACGCTGGTGTGCTGCACCCATTAACTTGTCATTTAGCATTAGGTATATCTCCTAATGCTATCCCTCCCCCCTCCCCCCATCACATAATAATTTTCACCTCTTGTTGGTATTAATAAATTGGGTTAGAAAATCCCTGAAATTAAAGGAGCTCTATTCTGATTAGCTTATAGAGATAAATAAGTGTTTGTATTGATTGTTTCTAGAATTGCTAGAAAATAAGGAAATCGAACTTCTAATATTTTCAATGTAATTTTTATAGAAAGTAACATGGAAATGTTTTAAGATTGCAAGTTCACATAATTTAGGTAAGTCTTCAGCAACCAAGACTAGTTAAATAATTTTGGTTTAATAAAAACAGCTACAGATTAGCTGATAATCAGATTAGTTAGATAAATTCTGATTTATCAGCATTAAATATAATACCTGCTAGTATTTTAATTCTACTTGGGCATGTACTTCTTAACACAGGTTTCTTGATTGAACAAGCTACCATTACTTCTACTTAATACTTAAGATTACAGAAAATATAAATTTGTGTTTCATTGACTCATTCTCACAATTTTGTTTGCCTCGGGTTATGGCTTGTGCAAACAATGAGTCTGAAAGGCTACGAAAGCTGTCAAATTTTGCTCAATTTTGACAGACTTGTTCCCTTGGTTACTGTTTATTGCCTTCATCTACAAGATGAAGGGCTTTTTGTTTTTCTTATGTAATCGGCGTAGACAGCAAAGATTCTGTGTTTTACTGGAATAGCCTTCAATGGTTTATGCTGAATTTATTATTATGTCCTTGACTATTTAAGAAAACAAAAGTTTCTCAGTTAGGAAAGATCTAAGCCTCCTTACAGTCATGTTACCTTCTATGTTTACTTTTTAAATACTTTATTGTCACTTAGAAATGAGGAGCCAAAGAGTTTTGTTTCAGTTTTTGTTTTGTTTTGGGTTTGTTTTTTGTTTGTTTGTTTGTTTTGAGACGAAGTCTCGCTTTGTTGCCCAGGCTGGAGTGCAGTGGCACAATCTCGGCTTACTGCAACCTCCACCTCCCCAGTTCAAGCAATTTTTCTGCCTCAGCCTCCCCAGTAGCTAGAATCACAGGCATATGCCACCATGCCTGGCTAATTTTTGTATTTTTAGTAGAGACGGGGTTTCACCCCCATGTTGGCCAGGCTGGTCTCGAACTCCTGACCTCAGGTGATCCACCAGCCTCAGCCTCCCAAAGTGCGAAATTACAGGTGTGAGCCACTGTACCCAGCTCCCAAATAGTTTTTTAGACACCTAGATCCGATTCCTGTCATAGTGTTCAAATTGCCTGACAGTGTCTGGTTTTTGCCTCCCTAAAATGGAATTCTAAATATAAAATAAAATGAAGCTTTCAGGATTTTTTTTGCTACTAAAGCTATTTTGAGATTTCCTAGGGGGCCCCTGGAAAATCACAAAGACTTATTTTTTAGCCTTTTGAAAAGAGAGGTGTTAGAAATAATTAGGTTTACTTGCTGGATTACTATTGATGAACCACATGAAAGGCTTGTGAAATCAGAAGAGATGCTCAGCCTTTCCTAGGTTAAATTGGTATATGTTGCATGTTGTTAGTATATTTCAGAAACTGTACGCTATATGGGCATTTTCCAGAGCTTTGCAGTGTCCTCGCCGTCCATGACACATTTCTTCTTATTAGGGCCCTAGTGCTGCTTTGCCATATTAGACAATGACACTACAGTGTTATCACTCATGATTTCAGTTTTGTTTTGTTTTTTTTTTTAATAGAAATGGGGTCTCACTCTGTCATCCATGCTGGTCTCAAACTCCTGGGTTCAAGTGATCATCCTGCCTCAGCCTCCCAAAGTGCTGGAATTACAGATGAGAGCCACTGTGCCTGGCCCAATTTCAGTTGCTTTCTAAGTGTTAACTTGATCACAGCTTTACTTATTTAATTTGAATCTAGTATCTTCTAGGGCAGTGGTTTTCAACTGGGGATTGACATCACTTACATAATTTTACTAACAAACAGATGTCTAAGAATTACTGAGGACCACGAACTCTCTTTACTTGATATTCTTGATATATTTTTGTTATATTCTTACTTAGCAAATTCATGTTATATTATGTTTCAGCATTATTACGTTATATCTCAAGATTTTTTTCTCTGGAAAGATTATGTTCATCCATTTTTATAAATTAGATATAACGTTCACTGTCTTCTTTTGTTGTTGTTGTTGTTTTGAGACAGAATCTCCATCTGTCGCCCAGGCTGGAATGCAGTTGCAATCTTGGCTCATTCGAACCTCCGCCTTCCAGGTTCAAGCAATTCTCCTGCCTTAGCCTCCTGAGTAGCTGGGATTACAGGCGTGTGCCACTACGCCTGGCTAATTTTTTTGTATTTTTAGTAGAGACAGGATTTCACCATGTTGGCCAGACTGGTCTCAAACTACTGACCTCAGGTGATCTGCCAGCCTCGGCCTCCCAAAGTGCTGGGATTACAAGTATGAGCCACCCAGCCTGGCCTGTCTTCTTTAAAAATAGAGCTAATCATTGTAAGTTTTTTTGGTTTTTTTGTTTGTTTGTTTGTTTTTTAGAGGGAGTTTTGCTCTTGTCGCCCAGGCTAGTGTCCAATGGCGCGATCTTGGCTCACTGCAACCTCCGCCTCCTGGGTTCAAGAGGTTCTCCTGCCTCAGCCTCCCGAGTAGCTGGGATTACAGGCTCCCGCCACCACGCCCAGCTAATTTTTTGTGTTTTTAGTGGAGACAGGATTTCACCATGTTGGCCAGGCTGGTCTCGAACTCCTGACCTCAGGTGATCCACCCGCCTCAGCCTCTCAAAGTGCTGGAATTACAAGCGTGAGCCACTGCACCTGGCCTGTCTTCTTTGAAAAAGGGCTAATCATTATGTTTTTAACTATTTTATCTAAAATTTTTTTGAATCGACTTTATTTTCTTTTTGGCATGCCACAGAAGCAACCAAATTTTCTTATCGGTTGCATTTTTATTGGAATAAATTCTTATCAGAACTTTTGCTTTTGAAAATTATCAGTAATACATTAAGCACAGTATTTTAAGCCTTTTGTCATCTAGAGGTAGTTTTTTTGTTTTACTCTGACGCTTCCTTGAAAATGTTTCCTCTTCAACAAAGGACTGTCTCAGAGACCCGTGGAAAAGGACTATGTTGGGTATTTTGGGGTATGTGCTGCTGATGGCATCACTTAAACAATTTTGAGACCATACCAGCAAACTGAGTAAGGATTTCCAGAACTCTAGGCAAGAAACAAATGGAGTCATGAAAATGCTAACCCAAGATCCAGTGAAACAAGAATTAATTACATAGGGCTAAATGAACTGATGAGGAATGATTGTAGTTTATGGTGGGCGGGGGGAGTATTACTGATTTTTTTTCTTTTTCTTTTTACAAAATTATTTTTATTCTTCTTCACAGCATCTGCAGCTGTGAGATTATTGATGTTTTAATATACAGAAGCCCTTTCTTTTTTCTTTTATCTATAACCCATAACAATTTAGTAGACTCTGTTTTTGTAAATGGAAATGAAACATTTATAAATGATATCATATTCTTCCAGCCTAACCCCTCCAGAATCTGGAAACTCTTAATGAACATTCTTCTTTTCATACCAATATAGTTATTTCCGTAGATGCAATAAGGACATATCTGGGACTTAATTTTACTGGGATTTCATTGAAAACATTGGTTATACAACCAAGAACTTGCCTGGAATGTCATATTTGAAAACTATGTTTATTTACTCGTATATCACCAAGTCCTTTTAAGTAACTAAAGTTGTTTTATGGAGTCAAGGCTTACAAAACCATTGGGTGCAGTGGTGCACACCTGTTGTCCCAGCTACTTGGGAGACTGAGGCAAGAGAATTGCTTCAGCCCAGGAGTTCAAGACCAACCTAGGCAACATAGTGAGACCCCATAGTGAGACCCTGTCTTTAAAAAATAAACAAATAAAAAATAAAACGCTTATACAACCCTCTTGAAAAAACTGGCCTGGGACCTGGTTTACAGGGTTTCCAGACTTACTCTTTTTTCATTGAGTTTTTGAGTTTCACGAAGGCATCACAATATATCTTTTTAAAAACAACCCATAATTGGAAACTTAACTAATCAAAATGGGCCACCTCTCCTCATTCATACAAATGAATGGAAGAGATTGGAGCCCACACAGCTGCCAGGCTCTATGCAGGGCACTTGGCACATAATCTACAGGATGTTTAAATTTTTATTTTACTTTATTCTTATTTTATTTTACTCTTATTTATTTATTTTATTTTATTCTTTTTTTTTTCTTTTTTAGAGTTTTTTTGAAAGTCCTTGTCAGACAGGTAATGTGTCAACATCATAACGAGGTTTAAGGGAGGTACAGCTCACACATGAGCATGAAAACCCAATTATCATGCTTATGAACTACAAAAGGATCACAGGATATTTTTGTAAGTGCCTACCCAACAGATCTCCCCTCCTTCTGTGGTACAATGTGTCCAGTGTTGAACTAGTAGCATTCACATTTCCCCACAAGTGTCACGAAAGGGGGACTGTCTCCCAAGTTTCCCCAGCAGTAAAACCCGATTGGTTTAAGGTCTGCAGGGCGGATCTAGTCCTCTTGCCAGTGATTAATTAGACATGACTGTATAACATGGCTGGGAGGTGGGAGCAGAAGATGAGATTCCAAAAGGAAAGGGTTTATGCTCTTGAAAAGAGCTATGTGATGCCTCTGATGAAGCCTATGTTAGTAGAGACATCTGAGAGTGTAGATGAATGCCAATGGCCCTCATGGAAAGAGAGAGAGATGAGAAAAAGCACACTCTTTTTTTGCATCTACATGTGATGTCTGGAATTACAGCAGCCATTTTGTGATCATGAGAGCAGCTGGCTTGGCTAAGGACAAAATTCGTCACACCAAACATGGCAGAGAAGAAAGAAGATTCTGGATTCCTGATAATATTTTTGAGCCACTGGACTAACCAAGACTGGAATTGGTCTTCCTTGGGACTTCTTAATATGTGGGATAGTGAATTTTCACATTGAAGTAAATTTTGAATGGAGTTTTCTGTTTCTTATAGCCAAAACCATCTTACCTGCTACAAATATTTTATTTAATTTCATCTTTACAACAGTCCTATATCTGTGGACATTCTCATTTTATAGATAAAAATCTGAGATTCAGAAAGTTTTAGTAACATGGCCAGGCACAGTGGCTCACAACTGTAATTCCAGCACTCTGGGAGGCCAAGGTGGGGGGACTGCTTAAGCCCAGGAGTTTGAGACCAGCCTAGGAAACATATTGACACTCTGTCTCTACCAAAAAAAAAAAAAAAAAAATTACCTGGGCATGATGGTACATGCCTATAGTCCAGCTACTCAGGAGGCTGAGGTGGGAGGATTGCTTGAGCCCAGGAGGTCAAGGTAGTAGTGAGCTGTGATCGTGCCACTGCACTCCAGCCTATGAAACAGAGCAAGACCCTGTCTCAATAATAATAATAATGACAGATAGAACAACCACACAGAAGATAAGTAAGGAGAGAGAGGACTTAAACAACATAATAAACCAACTAGAGCTAACGGACATATACAGAACACTCTACACAACAGCATATACATTCTTCTGAAGCACATGAGACATTTTCCAGAATAGACTATACGTTAGGCCACAAATTAAGTCTCAATACATTTTAAAAGATAGATATTATAGGCCTGGCACAGTGGCTCATGCCTGTAATCCCAGCACCTTGGGATGCCAAGGTGGGTGGATCACCTGAGGTTGGGAGTTCAAGACCAGCCTGACCAACATGGAGAAACCCCATCTCCACTAAAAATACAAAATTAGCCAGGCGTGGTGGTGAATGCCTGTAATCCAAGCTACTCAGGAGGCTGAGGCAGGAGAATCGCTTGAACCCAGGAGATAGAGGTTGCAGTCAGCCGAGATCATGCCATTGCACTCCAGCCTGGGCAACAAGAGCGAAACTTCATCTCAAAAAAAAAAAAAAAAGATAGATATTATATAAAGCATCTTCTCTAAGCACAATAGGATGAAGTTAGAAATCAATAACAGAAGTAAAACTGGAAAATTCCCAAGTTTGTGGAAATTAAACAATGCATCAATAATCAAAAGACCAGGTGCAGTGGCTCAAGCCTATAATCCCAGCACTTTGGGAGGCCAAGGTAAGTGAATCGCTTGACCCCAGGAGTTCAAGACCAGCCTGGACAACATAGTTAGACTCCACCTCTATTTTTAAAATATATATATAAAATAAAAATAAATACAGTAAAAACAATGAAAAACCAAATAGATGAAAGAAAAAATTGCAACAAAAATTTGAAACTACAGAAGAACAAAAACAAAAACACAACCAACTAAAACTTACAGGACATAGCAAAAGCAGTGCTAAAAGGAAAAACTATAGCTATAAATGTTTAAATTTAGGAATAAGAAAGTTCTCAAATCAACAACCTAACTTTACAAATAAGAAACTAGAAAAAAAAAAACAAACAAAACCTAATGCTAGCAGAAGGAAGAGAATAACAAAGATTAGAACAGAGATTAATGAAATAGAAAATAGGAAAACAAAAGGGAAAATTAATAAAACCAAAAGTTGTCTCTTTGAAAAGATGGACAAAATTGACAAACCTTTAACTAAATGGACTAAAAAAAGAGAAAAGACTCAAATTACTAAAATCAAAAATGAAAATGGGAAAATTACTACCAACTCTATGGAAATAAAAACGATTGCAAGAGAGTACTGTGAACAATTGTATGTCAACAAATAGGGTAACCTGGATAAAATGGAAAGATTATGAGAAACACAAAACCCACTAAAACTAAATCATGAGGAGACAGAAAATATGAATAGACTGATAACTAGTAAGGAGACTGAATCAGTAATCAAACATCTCCCAACAAAGAAAGGTCCTGGACCTGTTGGCTTCACTAGTAAATTCTACCAAACATTTAAACAACTAATACCAATCCTTCTCAAACTTTTCTTTAAAAATTAAAGAGGAGGAAACACTTCCTAAATCATTCTATGAGACTAGCATTACCCTAATACCAAAGCCAAAAACACTAGAAGACTACAAATCGATATCCTTTATGAACATGTGTGCAAAAACCCTCAGCAAAATATTAGCAAACTGAATTTAGCAGCATAGTAGAAGGATTATACACTATGAGCAAGTAGGATTTATTCCTGGAATGCAGGGACAGTTCAACATATGAAAATGAATTGGCCGAGCACAGTGGTTCATGCCTGTAATCCCAAAACTTTGGGACACTAAGGCAGGAGAATCACTTGAGCTCTGGCGTTCAGCCTGGGCAACATAACAAGACCCTATCTCTACATAAGTTAAAAAATTAGCCGGGCATGGCCGGGCTTGGTGGCTCATGCCTGTAATCCCAGCACTTTGGGAGGCCAAGGGAGGCAGATCACTTGAAGTCAGGAGTTTGAAATCAGCCTGGCCAACATGGTGAAACCCACCTCTACTAAAAATACTGAAAAAAAATTAGCCAGGTGTGGACGGGCACAGTGGCTCACACCTGTAATCCCAGCACTTTGGGAGGCTGAGGTAGGTGGATCACCTGAGATCGGGAGTTTGAGACCAGCCTGGCCAATGTGGCGAAACCCCATCCCTACTAAAAACACAAAAAATTAGCCACCCATGGTGGCGGGCACTTGTAATCCCTGCTATTTCGGAGGCTGAGGCAGGAGAATCGCTTAAATCTGGGAGATGGAGGTTGCAGTGAGCCAAGATAGTGCCATGCACTCTAGCCTGGGCAACAAGAGTGAAACTCCATCTAAAAAAAAAAAAAAATTAGCCAGGTGTGGTCATGGGTGCCTGTAATCCCAGACTCAGGAGGCTGAGGCAGAACAATTGCTTGAACCCGGGAGGCAGAGGTTGCAGTGAGCCAAGATCATGGCACTGCACTTCCAGCCTGGGCAACAAAGCAAGATTCTGTCTCAAAAAAATAAATAAATAAATAAACAACAACAAAAAAAGCTGGGCATGGTAGCACACAGCTGTAGTCCCAGCTGGTCGGTAGACTGAGGTGGAAAGATCACTTAAGCCTGGGATGTTGAGCCTGTAGTGAGCTATGACTGTGCCACTTCACTCCAATCTGGGCAACAGAGTGAGACCCTGTCTCTCAAAAAAAGAGAGAAAATCAATCAATGTAATACATCCCATTAACAGAATGAAAGGGTTAAAGAACTACATGATCATCTCAATGGATGCAGAAAAAGCATTTGACAAAATTCACCACCTTTTCATGATAAAAACCTCAACAAACCAAAAACAGAAAAAAGCTACCTCCGCATAATAAAAGCCACATATGAAAAATCTACAGCAGACATCATACTCAATGCTGAAAGTCAAAAAGCTTTTCCCTAAGATGAGGAAAAAAACAAAAATGCCCATTCTCGGCCTGGTGCGGTGGCTCACGCCTGTAATCCCAGAACTTTGGGAGGCCAAGTCAGGTGGATCACCTGAGGTCAGAAGTTCAAGACCAGCCTGGCCAAAATGGTGAAACCCCCATCTCTACTAAAAATACAAAAATTAGCCAGGTGTGATAGCATGCACCTGTAATCCCAGCTACTCTGGAGGCTGAGGCAGAAGAATCACTTGAATCTGGGAGGCAGAGGTTGCAGTGAGCCAAGATCACACTACTACACTCTAGCCTGGGTAACAGAGTGAGACTAAATCTCAAAAACAAAAACAAAAACAAAATGCCCATTCTCTCCACTTCTATTCAACCTAGTACTAGGGGTTCTAACCAGAGCAATTAGGCAAGAAAAAGAAATAAAAGACTTCCAAGTTGGAAAGGAAGAGGTATAAATTATTTCTGTTTGCAGATAATATGATCTTACGTGTAAAAAACTTAAAAAGATTCCACACCAAAAAAAAAAAAAAAAACCCTGTTGGAGCTGATAAATTAATTCAGCAAAGTGGCAGGTTAAAAAGTCAACACACACACACACAAAAAAGTCAACACATAGAAACCAGTTGCATTTCTGTACACTAACAATTAATCTGAAAAGAAAATTACAAAACAATTTCATTTACAATAGCATAAAAAAAAAAAGTAAACCTGGGAATGAACTTAACCAAGAAGGTGAAAGACATGTACAATGAAAACTACAAAACATTAATGAAAAAAAGTAAAGAAGACATAAGTAAGGCCAGGTGCGGTGGCTCATGCCTGTAATCCCTGCACTTTGGGAGGCTGAGACAGGCGGGTCGCCTGAGGTCAGGAGACCGAGACCAGCCTGACCAACATGGTGAAACCCTGTCTCTACTAAAAATACAAAAATTAGCCGGGTGTGGTGGCGGGGGCCAGTAATCCCAGCTACTTGAGAGGCTGACGCAGGAGGATCACTTGAACCCAGGAGACGGAGGTTGCAGTGAGCCAAGATGGTGCCACTGCACTCCAGCCTGGGCAACAGAGTGAGACTCCGTCTCAAAAAAAAAGACATAAGTAAATGAAAGCATATATTATATTCTTATATTCGTGGACTGGAAGACTTAATATTGTTAATATGTCAATGCTACCCAAAGTGATCTACAAATTCACTGCAATCCATATCAAAATCCTTGTGAGGTTTTTGCAGAAATAGAAAGTTCCATTCTAAAATTCATATGGAATCTGAAGGGACTCTGAATAGCCAAAATAATTTTGAGAAAAAAAAAAAGCTGAAGGACTCATACTTCCTGATTTCAAAACATACTACAAAGCTACAGTAACCAAAATAGCATAATACTGGCATAAAGACAGACATATACACCAAAGGAATAGAATGGAGAGCCCAAAAATAAACCCTCTCATATACAGCCAAATTATTTTTGACATAGATGCCAATATTATTGAATGGGAAAAGCCCAGTCTTTTCAACAAATTGTGCTGGGAAAACTGCATATCCAGATGTAAAAGAATGAAGTTGGACCGTTATCTAATACCATATACAAAAATTAACTCAAATTTCATCAAACACCTAAATGTAAGACCTAACGCTATAAATCTCTTAGAAGAAAGCCAAAAGCTACATGACATTGGATTTGGCAACAACTTTTTTGGATATGACTCCAAAGGCACAGGCAACAAAAGAAAAAAATAGACATATTGGACTTCACGAAAATTTTAAATATGTGTGCATCAGAAGACAATATTAACAGAGCAAAAAGGCAACCCACAGAATGGGAGAAAATATTTGCAAATCATATATCTGATAAGGGATTAATATCTAAAATATATACAGAACTTCCAAAACTTAATAACAACAACAAACAACCTGATTTTAAAAATGGGCAAAAAGGCTGGGCGCAGTGGCTTATGCCTGTAATCCCACCACTTTGGGAGAGATCACTTGAAGCCAATGGATCACTTCAGCCCAGGAGTTCAAGACCAGCCTGGGCAACATGGCAAAACCCCGTCTCTACAAAAAATAGGAAAATGAGCAAGGTGTGTTGGTGCATCCCTATAGTCCCAGCTACCTGGGAGGCTGAGGTAGGAGGATCGATTTAGCCCAGGAGGTGGAGGCTACAATGAGCAGAGATCAAACCACTGCACTCCAGCCTGAGGAACAGAGTGAGACTCTGTCTCAAAAAAAAAAAAAGAAAAAAGAGAAAATGATTTGAATAGACATTTCTCCAAAGAACATATACAAATGGCCAATAAGCATAGGAAAAAATGCTCAACAACACTAATCATTAGGGAAATGAAAATCAAAACTACAAGATACCATCACCTCACACCCATTACAATGACTACTATCAAAAAAATGGAAAATAACAAGTGTTGGTGATGATGTGGAGAAACTGGAAGCCATGTACACTGGTAGCAGGAATGTATTAGGTTGGGGCAAAAGTAATTGCAGTTTTGCCACTGAATGTAATGGCAAAAACTGCAATTACTTTTAATGAAATGGTGCAGCGACTATGTAAAACAATATGGTGGTTCCCCTAAAAATAGAATCACTATGTGATCCAGCAATTCCACTTCTGGGTATATACCCAAAAGAATTGAATGTAGGATCTCAAAGAGATGTTTATACAACCATGTCGATAGCAGCAATATTCGCAATAACTAAAACGTGGCAGTAACCTGGGTGTCTATCAATGGATTAACAGATAAACTATGTTATAGCCATAAAATGGAATATTATTCAGCCTTAAAAAAGAATGAAATTCTGACATATACTACACCATAGATGAACTTTGAGGACATTATGCTAAGTAAAGTAATCCTGTCACAAATGACAAATACTGTATAATTCCACTTATATCAGATACTTAGAGTAGTCAAAATCATAGAGACAAAGTGAAATGGTGATTGCCAGGGACTGGGGAGAGGGAGGAATGGTGAGCTATTTCTTTTTCTTTTTTTTTTTTTAGACAGTGTCTCACTCTGTCACCCAAGCTGGACTGCAATGGCCCAATCACGGCTCACTGCTGCCTCAACCTCCTGGCTCAAGCAATCCTCCCACCTTGGCCTCCCAAAGTGCTGGAATTACAAGCATGAGCCACCATGCCCAGCCTACTTTATAATGAGTATAGAGTTTCAGTTTTACAAGATGAAAAGAGTTCTGAAGATGGATGTTGGTGATGGATATACAATATTGTGAATGTATTTAATACCACTGAACTGTACAATTTAAAATGGTTACAATGGTAAATTTTGTGTTATGTGTATTTCAATTGAAAAAGTTGAAAAAAAGAAAACTTTCTTTTTTATGTGTGAGACAGACAGGGTCTCACTCTGCCGCCCAGGCTGGAGCACAATGGCATGATCTCAGCTGAATACAACCTCCGCCTCCCAGGCTCAAGAGAAAAGAAACATTTCTTAGACCATAGAGCTTAGTGGTTAAGAGAAAACTTTGGTGTCAGCAGACCTGGGTTTAAATCCTGCTTCTGCATGACCTCAGGGCCTCTTTAGGGCTCCTTTTCTCTATGCAGAATGAAGATAGCATTACTGTAACATAAGGTTGTGATGTAGACTCAGTGAAACTATGTATGTAAAGTACTTCTGCATGCCCAGAAAAAGAATGATGGCTATGGCAATTATTAATATTATCATGCCTCTCATTGTTACCCTAATCAGTAGGCAGCCAGCATTTTGTTTTTGTTTTTGTTTTTGTTTGTTTTTCGTTTTTTTGGTTTTTTTTTTTTTTTAGATGGAGTCTGGATCTGTCGCCCAGGCTGGAGTGCAATGGCACAATCTAGGCTCACTGCAACCTCCGCCTCCCAGGTTCAAGCAATTCTCCTGCCTCAGCCTCCCTAGTAGCTAGAATTACAGGCACCCGCCATCATGCCCAGCTAATTTTTGTATTTTTGTAGACAGGGTTTCACCATGTTGGTCAGGCTGGTCTTGAACTCCTGACCTCAGGTGATCCGCCCACCTCGGCCTCCCAAAGAGCTGGAATTACAGGCATAGCCACCATGCCCAGCTAGCAGCCAGCATTTTGAATGGAAAGAGAGCATCTTGTTCCCAATACCACAGAGAGGTGTCATCAATTTCACTTCAGGCCTCTTAGAGCCTCCCTGTCCATGCTAAAACTTGGAGCTCCTGCTCTTCCTGCCCAGCCACCATCAAAAGCAGCCCAACTCCCTGGGAGCACCTTTGTCTCTGCTCACATTACCTCCCTCCCACCATTCCCAGGGCGCTGAGAGCTTTGATGTTCACGTGGCTGCATGGCAGGGGCAGGAAGATAAAATCCCACTTGTTCTCTCTCTCTACAATACCACCTTTCCGCAATTTAGAGGGGGACAGAGATAAAAGAGCAGGTTTTTTCTCTTTTTCTTTTCTTTTTTTTTTTTTTCAACAACAAATGGTGGTTTCTCTTTACCAGCCGCTACTTCAGAGCCATGCCAACATCAAAGAGCATGAAATCAGTGGAAACTCAAGCCAGAGGACTTCTGTCCCACCCTGGGGTGGTGTGTCGGGGTGGGGGGAGCTTGGCTGTTTACAAAAGAAACAGAAAGTGGAGAGGAGAGGAGGGAACTGTGTGCAGAGGAACATCCCACTGAGGATGGCAAAAGTTTGTTTTCTTAGCATTTCCCCTATGCCACATTAAGCTTGCCAAACAGATGGGACTGAGACAAGGAGGGATGCGGGAAAAAGAAAGCTCAACTTGTCTCACGAATAAATCTTGAGTTGACTTGACATCTTCTAGTCCAGAGGGATTAAGGTGGTGACAGTGGGTTGGCCTGTGTATGTGAGTATTCAGGTGGGACTCACAAGTCCGATGACATTCTCTGCTCTAAATCCATGTGACTGTGTGCAAGGGCAGAAGGAAAAGAAGAAAAGGGTCTACTTGCATAACTAGGAGGCCTGTTGTTTTCCAGAGTGTGCCCCATGTGCCAGGTCCTGTGCTAAATACCTCACATGTAGCAACCATGGGGTAGGTAGGCTTGCTTTTCCCACTTAACATATGTGAGAACTGAAGTTTAAAGAGCTGAAGTCCAAAAGGAGAAGCAGGATCTCCACTCAGATCTGCATCAAAATGTGTGTTCTTGGCCAGATATTATAAAGCTGCTTCCCACGGGGATTGAGTGTAACTTTGAAAAGTGACAAACAAGATACCATTGTAGGGCATCAGTTATTGGTGGGAATGTGATTCCAAAAAAAGATATGTTAAAGTCTGAACCCGCAGTCCAGTACCTGTAAATGTGAACGTATTTGGAAACAGGGTCTTTACAGATGTAATCAAGTTAAAATGATTTATTGGGGTCAGGAGAACACTAATCCAATGACTGGTGTTTTTATTTGAAGAGGGAGATTTTGCCACAGATCCTCACAGAGGGAAGATGGCCGTGCGAAGGCGGAGGAGGGAGCTGGAGTTGTGTTGCCTTAAGTGAAGGAAGACCAAGTATGGCGCAGCCCCCAGAAGCTGGGAAGAGGCCCGGAAGGGTCCTCCCCTAGAGCCTGCGAGAGCGTCTCATGCCAACCCCTTGATTTTGGACTTCTAGCCTTCAGAATTGTGAGGGAATAAGTGTCTGTTGTTTTAAGCCACCCAGTGTGTGGTACTTTGTTACAGCAGCCCTAGCAAACTAATATCACATCTGCCTTTCTGAGTTTGGAGAGAGACCAAGACAGAGAGACAGAGAGTCAGAGAGTGTTGTGGGGTGGGAATAAGGCAAGACTTCAATTTTCAGACAAATATCGTAAAGATTATCTCTAGCATACTGGTCTGGGGAATGAGGCAAAGATGCCAGCCACCAGAGAGAGAGACAGAGAGAGAAATCGAGGGGGGCGGTGGGGTGAAAGCAGTGAAACAAGGGGTTTCACTGAAGTAAGGGGACCAGGAAGAAAGAGAAGGGAGCTGGAACCCAAGTGAGACAGGTCAGCTCCTTGAACATGAGGAGAGTCAAAGAAGGTTCCAAGGTTCCCTGCCAGGAGGGGAGGGGTTGAGAAAGAGCAGGATGCTGCCACCGTCCACGCCTGAGGACGACCTTGCCCGCGCCAGCGCCCCTGCCTTCTCACACCTCAACAGGGCTCTTGCATCAGACTCTTCTTCAGTTACTGCACTCAGGGAACATGTATTTAGCACTCACAAAGTGACAGGCACTGATGGGGAGAGGTGGGGAGGACTGCCAGGGTCAGAGAGCCGCACTAAGGACCCAGGGAATGGAGAGCCCTATGACATCCTCAGCCTGGACTGCTCTTCACTTCCCAATCAGCCTAGAAAATGTCCGCTCAGATTTCTAGGCCCACTCAACTTGACTAGGGCCTTTACCACCTTGCTGGGCCCATGATACCTTCCGTACACCTTTAATGCTTGGTAGCTGTATTGTTTCTTTCTACCTGTATCTAGATCTAGATTTCAAAGAAAGCAGATCCAGAAGCTCACAGTCTAATGGAGAATTCATATATCTCAATCTCTATCTAGACCTACATATAGACCTAGATCTAGATAGAGACATACACGTTTTTCTCTTTTTTTAGGGAAAAAAAAAAAAAGGCCAGGTGCAGTGGCTCATGCCTGTAATCCCAGCACTTTGGGAGGCTGAGGCGGGTGGATCACTTGAGCTCAGGAGTTAGAGACCAGCCTGGCCAACATGGTGAAACCTCGTCTCTACTGAAAATACAAAAATTAGCTGGGCATGGTGGTGGGCACCTGCAATCCCAGCTACTTGAGAGG
This sequence comes from Homo sapiens, assembly GCF_000001405.40. Lineage (NCBI taxonomy): Eukaryota > Metazoa > Chordata > Mammalia > Primates > Hominidae > Homo > Homo sapiens. The sequence goes on from NC_000012.12 coordinate 93,276,442, forward strand.
CTGAGGCAGGAGAATCACTTGAACCCATGGGGGCGGAGGTGCAGTGAGCAGAGATTGTACCATTGGATTCCAGTCTCGGAGACAAAGCGAGACTTCCTCATTAGACTGTGAGCTTCTGGAAGGTGGGGCCAGCATCCTATTCATCTCCATCTAGTCTGTGCTTTTGTGGAGCCTGGTGCAACTTAGTTGATCAGCAAATAGTTGACAAATGAATGTTCTGAGTATTTTAGAACTCAAACAACAAAAAATGTAAATAATTTTAAAAAATAAGCAAGTGACATAAATGCACAACTCATGAAATAAAATACAAATGGCTCCTAATCGCACGTACTAGTCACGTCGATTCCAGTCATAATAAGAACGCAAGTTAAAGCTATGCTGAGAAAATATTTTACCTCTTAGCCTGGCAACATGTCGTATCAGGAGGCTGGGGAGGGAGCCGGGCACAGGCAGGCTCATACCTGGAGTGTGAAATGGTGTGTCCCTAAGGAGGGTAATTTGGCATCGTCAATCAAAATTACAGATATGTTTATCTTTAGTCCAAAAATCTCACTTCTGCAGGATACCTGCTGAATATCTTACAGATCTGCAAACATAAAATAGCTATATGTATAGGGTTACATTGCTACATTGCTTGTAACAACAAGATATTTAAACCAAATCAAAGGCCCTTCTCTAGAGAACTGGGAAGATAACCTGGGTAGGAGCGGGGACCAGCGTGGATAGCTGGCGAGAGAGGAAGATCTCTCAAGGCGTAACTTTCATATCAGGTTGATTTTTTTTTTTTTTGAGACTGAGTCTCTCTCTGTTGCCCAGGCCGTAGTGCAGTGGCGCTATCTCGGCTTAATGCAACCTCCATCCCCTGGGTTCCTGTGATTCTCCTGGCTCAGCCTCCTGAGTAGCTGGGATTACAGGCACGCACCACCACACCCAGCTAATTTTTATATTTTTAGTAGAGATGGGGTTTCGCCATGTTGGCCAGGCTGGTTTTGAACTTCTGACCTCAAGTGATCCACCCATCTCGGCCTCCCAAAGTGCTGGTATTACAGGCATGAGCCATCACACCCGGCCGGGTTGATTCTTGCATTATGTGAATGTATTATATAGTCAAAAATGATGAATTAGAAATGAAAAACAGGTACGTAGTGTTAAGTAGTAGATCTAAAGATAGAGTTGGAAAAGTCTTATGCCTGTCTTGTCCACTGCAGGAAGGTTCATGGAAAGAAATAAAAATGACTCTCAAACTCAGAATAACTTAAAATTTTAAAATGGCATTAAAATGTACCTATCAGTTAACTAATTTTCTGAAAGACTTAAGATGGCGTCTGTTTTCCTTAAGAACAACAAAAAAGCATCATACCAACCAAAAACCCCTAAGTCATCTGAAGGAAATGCCCCATTGCTCACTGTGGGGCATTTTATATGCTCAGGACATGGGCTGCCTAACCACTATGTTCCCTCATTTTCCCCTGCCAATCCCATCAGAATTTTATTTATTTCCTACTTTCAACTTTTTCTAGCCAGTTTCGACCTCTTTTTCAGAACGCAATATCCTCACATATCTTGGACTTTTCTTTTTTAATTTTTTCCCTCTCTGCCCCACCAATCTGTCTTGGACTTTTTTTTTTTTTTTTTTTTTTTTTTTTTTTTTTTTTTTTTTGAGGCAAAGTTTCGCTGTTGTTGCCCAGGCTGGAGTATGATGACGCAGTCTCAGCTCACTGCAACCTCTGTCTCCTGGGTTCAAACAATTTTCCTGCCCCAGCCTCCTGAGTAGCTGGGATTACAGGTGCTTCCCACCACGCCCGGCTAATATTTTGTATTTTTAGTAGAGGTGGGGTTTCACCCTGCTGGCCAAGCTGGTCTTGAACTCCTGACCTCAGGTGATCCACCTGCCTCAACCTCCCAAAATGCTGGGATTACAGGCATGAGGCTCTGCGCCCAGCCTGTCTTGGACTTTTCTAGCCTCCATGCCATCTATCAAAGTCTTCTAAGATCTCTGACTCCATTCAACTTACACATTTATACTCAAAAATCTAGATTGCCTTCTATGCATATGATGCCCTACCCAAGCCAGGACACAATAAATACCTCATGTAACCCAATAAATATCTCATAACAGTCCTGTAAGATGAAGACCATCACAATCCATCTTCTCAGCATTTTACAGGCTTTTTTTTTTTTTTTTTTTTTTGAGACTGAGTCTCACTCTGTTGCCAGGCTGGACTGCAGTGACTCAATCTCCACTCACCGCAACCTCTGCCTCCCGGGTTCAAACGATTCTCCTGCCTCAACCTCCCGAGTAGCTGGGACTACAGGTGCGCACCACCATGCCCAGCTAATTTTTGTATTTTTAGTAGAGATGGTGTTTCACCATGTTAGCCAGGATGGTCTCGATCTCTTGACCTCATGATCTGCCCACCTTGGCCTCCCAAAGTGCTGGGATTACAGGAGTGAGCCACCACACCTGGCCTTTACAGGCATTTTTTAAATGGAGCCTGGAGAGGTCTAGTACTTTGTCCAAGGTTATGCAGTAAGGGGAGGTGGGGCCAGGAAGTCATCTTGAGCAGTCTGACTCCATGGCCCACTATTCACTAGCACTGCCTCCCTAGATGCCCCCAAAATGCTTCTGGCCATAGACCTTTCCTTCTGCTTCTCATCCCTCTATGCTTCTTTACCTTCCATGCATGCATTCATTTGTCCATAATATCCCTGGCCACCTGCTGTATGCCAGGCACTGTGCTAGGCGAGGAGGATGCAAAGATTAAGAAGACAGTAGTCCCTGACAGCAGTCCCTGACTTTGAGAAGCTTACATTCCATAGAGAATGCACAGAGGTAAAGGACAACCCCATGCACAGGAGGTTCTACAATGTGAGCCTAGGATAGGGCCACCCACACACACTTGTATGCCTTTCTTGTTTTTCCTCCTCTGCTCAAAAAGTCTTCATTTAAGGCCCTGTGTTCATCATGATGGGAAAATCAGCTCAAGAAAACTTCAGGAGGATTCCTCCAGGTAAATTAAGTTACCCAAACAGACTAACATGCTAACAACTTTCAGATTTGGAATCTGCTCCTCTAGAGCCTACAGTTTGATGACTGTCATTTCATGTTGAAACAAGAACAAGAGGATTGCTTATGTTTGCTTCTCTCTGCAAGAATCTAGGTTGAAAACAAAATGAAAAGGAAATCTAATCTGAGGACACTTCTCAAGTAGAAGTCAGAGGAAAGAGCAATAAAGAAGAACTCAGAGGTCTTACCTGTTACCCTTAAATGTCTTCTTCCTGATCACAGTCCAAAGGACTCATGTTACTAATACCATTGTTCTGACAAAGCTAGCAAGGACAGTCTGCTGAGCAAGTATGCAGTCTTCTCTGTGATCTATTCTGTCTTCACAGGCAAGAGTGATTGCCCATGTTCCATCCCCCAACAAAGCATCAAAACCAACCACACAGACCTGGGTTCAAAGGCAGACTCTACCACTTACTGAGAGATCATCAGTGTCCTTATCTGGAGAATGGGAATCATCCCTAACAGGTGCAAAGACTCTAGCCTTGGGCATGATCAAATTCAAAGCCTTCTTGGGACACTCTCATAATCAGTCACTGCAGGCTTTCACCTGCACAACCATCTAGCTCAGCTCTTGTGCTAATATATCAGAGCCCTGGCCCCAACTGCCCAAGGGACTTGTAATTATTTTTGCAGCCGTAAGTCTGGCATCTAGTCCTGCAGATGGGTAGGGAGAACAGGTCCTATGACCTGGGAAGAGAGGGAGTTGAAAGCAACAGAGTATCCCAGCTGCAGTCACACAGGCTGGGGCTCAGATTACACTCCAGACAGGATGCAGAGCAAGAGTACAAGGAAATCCAGGCGAAAAGAAATGCTGCAAGTTGGAGGGAGGGAAGTGTCCAGGATGCCCCCAGAGACAGACTGAGTCCATAGTTAGATATCAACAAAGCAGCACCCAAAAAATGACTACAGAAAGAATTCCCTACTTCCCAAAAAACACTCAGAAAATCACATTGAGGGAAAAAAATCTGAACTATGTTGGACTGGCCTGAACTTTTGTATAGTTTAATATTGTTTTTAGTTTTAATACACAGAAGCCAGGTGAAGGTAGGGATTGGAAGACATCATATTCTTCTCCACGCTAGGTCCACTATGGTTCCTAATCCAGCCTGGCCTATTAAATACCAATGAGATTTAATGTATGTCTCTCTAGATTGAGGGTCAGAAACCCAAATGCCTACAGAAGTCAGGCAGATTAGATAAACGAGAAACTGTGCTAGGTGGGGGTGTAGGAGCTGGAACACAAATGCTCTATGGATGCAGGCAGTTGTTAATCAGTCAATTGCTGCCACAGAGAAGCATGGCCTGAGTTGCTGGATCAATTTACTTTTACATTCCCACATATTAATTCTAAAAATGATTTTTCCAACTGTCTTAGTCTATTTGAACTTCTATAATAAAATTCCATAAGAGGAGTGGTTAATAAACAACAGAAATTTATTTCCCCCAGTTCTTGAGGCTGTCAAGTCCAAGATCAAGGTACTGGCAGATTTGGTGTCTAGTGAGGGCCTGCTTCCTAGTTCATAAACTGCTTCCTTTTTGCTATAACCCTACAGGGAAGAAGGGGTGAGGGAGCTTTCTGGGGCCTCTTTCATAAGGGCGCTAATCCCATTCGCTACGGCTCTGTCCTCAAAACCTAATCACCTCCCCAAACCCCACCTTCTTATACTTCACATTGGTGATTAGGTTTTAACATATGAATTTGGGAGAACATAAACATTCAAATCATAACACCAACCTATTTTGGGGGTTTTTTGGGGGTTTTTTTTTTTTTTTTTTGAGACAGAGTCTCACTCTGTCACCCAGGTTGGAGTGCAGTGGTGCGATCTCAGCTCACTGTAGCCTCCACCTCCTGGGCTCAAGAAATTCTCCTGTGTCAGCCTCCCAAGTAGCTGGGATTGCAGCTGCCTACCACCAGGCCCTGCTAATTTTTGTATTTTTTTAACTAGAGATGGGGTTTCACCATGTTGGCCAGGCTGGTCTCCAACTCCTGACCTCAAGTGATCTGCTTGCCTCAGCCTCCCAAAGATAGCACCAACCTTTGTTCAATTTATAAAAGATGTTTGAAATTAAAGTCTGATTAATTTCTATTTTCATTATGGATTACTAATAATATCAGCTAACACTTCCATAAAACTTACATGGCAGGCAGCATTCTAAGTGCTTTATTCACGTTGACCCATTTAATCCTCACAACAGCCATTTGAGGCAAATCTATCATCATCCTCCTGTTGTAAATTAAGAAATTGGGAGTCTCTGAGCCTACTCTGGCTCAAGAGGCTGCCCAATAAGAAATAAGAAATTGTTTTTTAATATTTAAAAGAAAGTTAAAGAAAAAGAACAAACAAATTAAGAAATAGAAGCATAAAGTATCAAGCAAATTCTCCCAACTCACTCAGATAATTTGTGGCACAGCTGGAGCTACATGGACAACTAACCCTGGGTTCAAGATGAGTTTAACTTTGAGGCTTCCAGAAAAGACATGAGAGAGCCCTCCTGTAAATGGTGAATGGTTTTCTTTTACCAAAGTCTTTATAATAGCTCATTCCCCCAAAACCCTATAAATCAGAGAAGTCAACTCTGACCCCTTGTCTGTGTTAGTCAAAAAGTTTCATTGGAGCAGAACCATACCTACTCGTTTATGTGTCCTCTGAGGCTGGCTTTGGTGTATGGTCTCTACCATGAGTAGTCATAACAGAGACCATGTGGCTCCCAAAGCCCAATATGTTTATTATCTGGCCCTTTACAGAAATAGTTTGCAAACTGCTACTCTGAATTTAAAAAGATTTTTTAAAGTTCTTATACTTTATACTTAATTGTACTAGACTCAGATTAAGAAAAATATGTCCTTGAGGCCGGGCGTGGTGGCTCATTCCTGTAATCCCAGCACTTTGGAAGGGCGAGACAGGCGGATCACCTGAGGTCAGGAGTTTGAGATCAGCCTCACCAACATGGCAAAACCCCATCTCTACTAAAAATACAAAATTAGCCGTGTGTGGTGGCACACGCCTGTAATCACAGCCACTTGGGAGGCTGAGGCAGGAGAATCGCTTGAACCAGGGAGGTGGAGGTTGCAGTGAGCTGAGATCATGCCATTGCAGTCCAACCTGGGCAAAAGAGCGAGATTCCATCTCAAAAAAGTAAAGAAAAGAAAAAGATGTCCTTGAGGCCAGGTGTGGTGGCTCCCACCTGTAATCTCAGCACTTTAGGAGTCTGAGACAGGCGGATCACTTGAGGTCAGGAGTTTGAGACCGGCCTGGTGAACATGGCAAAACCCCATCTCTACTAAAAATACAAAAATTAGCTGGGTGTGGTGGCGGGCACCTGTAGTCTCAGCTACTTGGCAGGCTAAGGTGGAAGAATCACTTGAACCTGGAAGGCAGAGGTTGCAGTGGGCCGAGATTGAACCATTGCACTCCAGCCTGGGCAGCAGAGCGAGACTCCATCTCAAAAATAAGAAAAATATGTCTTTGAAACTTCAATTAAAAGTATCTCCTCCTAAAGTTGAATTCATAGAAGGAAGAAAGCTCTTAACTAGAAAGTTCCTTAAAAACACACAGATATGGCCAGGCGCGGTGGCTCACACCTGTAATCCCAACATTTTGGGAGGCTGAGGTGGGTGGATCACCTGAGGTCAAGAGTTCGAACCAGCCTGGCCAACATGAAGAAACACTGTATCTACTGAAAATACAAAAATTAGCTGGACGTGGTGGTGCGTGCCTGTAATCTCAGCTACTCGAGAGGCTGAGGCAGGAGAATCGCTTGAACCCAGGAGGCGGAGGTTGCAGTGAGCTGAGATCATACCATAGCACTCCAGCCTGGGCAACAGAGTGAGACTCTGTCTCAAAAAAAAAAAAAAAAAAAAACACAGATACATAAACTTTTATGGAAATTTTCAGTTTCTTCTATAAAAGCAGAAAAAGAAACAATTCAAACCACAATTCCATTTCTCCAATTATCAAAAATCTGCCAATCCTTTTTTTATCCAAAAAGACAACTTTTAGTGGTAAAAGCTGCTTTTTTGTGGCAACTGTTCTTGTTTCTATTTTATTTAAGGTTTTTTGAATAACTAGAACATACTAGAATTGTGTTTAAGAAGACTGAGAATACATCTTACATTTGTGACTAATGACCCTCTTAGACTGAAAATCAATGTTTAGGCAATAAGTGTAAATTTTACAGATTACAATAAAATAAAAACAAGTTAGTACACAGCTATAATTTGATGAAGTTAAGATGGTATTTTTAAACTGAAAGGTCAAGTTTCTTGTGGAAACAAATATGTGTTTCCAAGGATTGTCTCATTAGTAACTGGTGGAATCATTTATAAACAAATAAGACAAACAACCTTTCCAGGCCTCAATTCTTAAGATAAGATATAGAAAAAGGTCATTTTAAGACCCTAGGAAGTGTCACACCATCAGGACCTTTCTACAAATGAGTGTTTAAATATACTGATGATAAATACCTGAAGAAATTAAGTTGACCTTAAAGAAATTAAATTAAGTTGAATCATTGGATTTTGTCCTAAACTTTGCAGAATCAGAGATCATTTCGACTTTGCAGACTTCAAGCAGGGTATTTTTCTGCTCAACTGCAGTTGACATTTCTTGCATGGTAGGGGAAAAAATATCTAAACAAATGGAGGGATACACTGTGTTCATGGATTGGAAGTCACAATATGTTAAAATATCAGTTCTCCCTAAATTGATCTATAGATTCAATGCAATCACACTCAAAATTCCACCAGACATTTTTGCAGAAATTGACAAGCTGATTCTAAAGTATATAAGAAAAAGCAAAGGAAGTAGGATAGCCAAAACAATTTTGGAAAAGAATGTTAGCTGCCTCACACTACCTGATTTCAAGGTTTTGTTTGTTTTTTTTTTTTTTTTTTTTTTGAGACGGAGTCTTGCTCTGTCGCTCAGGCTGGAGTGCAGTGGCGCCATCTAGGCTCACTGCAAGCTCCGCCGCTCCCGGGTTCACGCCATTCTCCTGCCTCAGCCTCCTGAGTAGCTGGGACTACAGGCGCCCGCCACCACGCCCGGCTAATTTTTTGTGTGTTTTTAGTACAGACGGGGTTTCACCGTGTTAGCCAGGATGGTCTCGATCTCCTGACCTCTTGATCTGCCCGCCTCGGCCTGCCAAAGTGCTGGGATTACAAGCATGAGCCACTGCGCCCGGCCTTTTTTTTCTTTTTAATTTTTTTTAGAGACAGGATCTCGTTCTATCGCCCAGGCTGGAGTGAGTGGCATGATCGTAGCTCACTGCACCTGGGCTCCTGAGCTCAGGCGATCTTCCTGCCTCAGCCTCCTGTGTAGCTAGGACTACAGGCACACACAACCACACCTGGCTCTGATTTCAAGTCTTACTGTAAAGTTAACAATAATCAAGATATTAAAGAAGGCCAGGTGCGGTGGCTCACGCCTGTAATCCCAGAACTTTGGGAGGCTGAGGCAGGTAGATTACCTGAGGTCAGGAGTACAAGACCAGCCTAGCCAGCATGGTGAAACCCCGTCTCTACTAAAAAAAATACAAAAATTATTCGGGCATGGTGGTGTATGCCTGTAATCCCAGCTACTCAGGAGGCTGAGGCAGGAGAATTGCTTGAACCCGGGAGGTGGAGGTTGCAGTGAGCCAAGATCGTGCCATTGCACTCCAGCCTGGGTGGAAAGAGCGAAACTCCGTCTTAAAAAAAAAAAAAAAAAAAAAAGATAGTAAAGAATAACTGCTGCAAATCACTTGGGCTTAATCAGGTGGTAAAGATTTTTGTTTCCAGAGTAACTAAAATTTTAAAAACTAACAATATCAGCCAGGCGTGGTGGCTTACGCCTATAATCCCAGCACCTTGGGAGGCCGAGGCGGCGGGCAAATCACCTGGGGTCAGGAGTTCGAGACCAGCCTGGCCAACATGGTAAAACCCTGTGCATACTAAAAATACAAAAAGTAGCCGGGCATGGTGGCACATGCCTATAATCCCAGCTACTCAGGAGGCTGAGGCACTTAAACCCAGGAGGTTGCAGTGAGCCAAGATTGTGCCATTGCACTCCAGCCTGGGCGACAGAGCAAGACTCCGTCTCAAAAAATAAATAAATAAATAAATAAATAAATAAATAAATAAATATAAGAATACAAAAATTAGCCAGGCATGGTGGCACACACCTGTAATCCCAGCTACTCAGGAGGCTGAACCAGGAGAATCCCTTGAACCTGGGGGGCGGAGGCTGCAGTGAGCCAAGATCGCACCACTGCACTCCAGCCTGGGGGACAAAGAGAGACTCCGTCTCAAAAAAAAACTAACAATATCAAGTGTTGGTGAAGATGTGGAGCAGCCAGAGCAAAGTGGTGTGTAGTTAGAAAAATGAAATTAAGTCAAAGAAAAGACTTGGACAAGAGTGTTTATAGCAGATCTATTCGTAATAGATCCAAGTGTCCAGCAACGAGAGAGTGGATTAAAAAGTGTGATATGTTCATACGATGAGATAACAAACACTCAGCAATAAAAAGGAACAAACTACTGATACGCAGAACATTATGGATACATCTCAAAATCATCAGCTTGGTTGAAAGAACCCAGAAACAAAAGAGTATATTCTATATTATCCCATGTGTATAAAGTTTAGCAACAGGCATAACTAGTGACAGAAATCAGAACAATGGTTGCCTCTGCAAAAGGCAGGTATTGACCACCAAGGGACACGAAGGAACTGTCAAGGTGAGGGAAATGTTCTATACATATCTTGACTTGGGTGACAATCACATGAGTGTAATCATTTGTCCAAATTCGTTGACAAATTCACTTAAAATTGGTGCATTTTCCTGTATGTAAAATATATCTCATTTTTAAAACTTGTGTTTCCACATTGACCAGAAAGATCAACACATGATCTATCTCTTATTCATTGTGCTTTCATTTTTAGGACTAGTTGGCAGAAATCTAAGGCTTTAAACAGGTTGTCTATGATTCTAGTCAGAGCTACCAACCTCTTAACACAAGACGCTCCTTCTTTCATTCATTCTACAAACAGACCACAAAACAATCAAACACTGTTTCAATATATAATTTATACAATACATAATTTATGCACGAACATGGCACTCTTCTGGCTTTTTATATTCATTAGTTAATCTAAATTCTACTTTTTAAAAATATGCAGTACGGGCCGGGCGCTTTGGCTCACACTTGTCATCCCAGTACTTTGGGAGGCCGAGGCAGACGGATCACGAGGTCAGGAGATGGAGACCATCCTGGCTAACGTGGTGAAACCCTGTCTCTACTAAAAATACAAAAAATTAGCCGGGTGTGGTGGCGGGCGCCTGTAGTCCCAGCTACTCCGGAGGCTGAGGCAGGAGAATGGCGTGAACCCGGGAGGCGGAGCTTGCAGTGAGCAGAGATCGCGCCACTGCACTCCAGCCTGGGAGACAAAGTGAGACTCCGTCTCAAAAAAAAAAAAAAAAAAAAAAAATGCAGTACGGCCAGGCATGGTGGCTCATGCCTGTAAGGCAGGAGGATCACCTGAGACCAGGAATTCAAGGCCAGCCTTATGAACAGAGCAAGACCCCATCTCTACAAAAATTTTAAAAATAAAAATAAAAAAATTGCCGGGCATGGTGGTGTGCACCTGTAGTCCCAGCTACTCACAAGGCTGAGGCAGGAGGATTGCTCGTACCCAGGAGTTTGAGGCTGCAATGAGCCGTGATGGCACCATTGTACCCCAGCCTAGGTGACAGAGCAAGACCTTGCCTTAAGAAAAAAAAAAAAATTGGGGTAGGAATATTTAACACATGAGAATCAAGGTTCAGAAAGATCAAGGAACTTCCCCAAGATAACATAACTAAGGAGTGATGTCATGAAGACTCAAACCCAGATCCTAAGCACACACCCTTTCCTCTCCCCAGTAAATACTCTTACAACGCACACTTGTGTGTGTGTGTGTGTGTGTATGAAATATTCAAATTGCTAATTGTAGATTTTCCATTCTTTTATCATGAATCTGTGATAACAGTTTTTTTGTGATATTTAAAAATAAATAATCAAAGCCTTTATAAAGGTCTGGAGCACATGGAAAGTTTGAAACCATAGCCTGATTCACCATACCTGGCTCTCATTCTCAAACCCCTGTTTGCTTTGAATTCTAGGGGCTGGAATACTGACAGTAAAAGAAGGAAACATTTGTAGTGCTTGCCAAAGGGTAAAGGGGGAGTTTCTCTTGCTTTGTTTAGGTGTAAAACATAATCCTCTATTATCCTGCACACCGAAGTATTGCCAGCGTCTTTAGAAGGGAGGTAGACATACTGTTTGCATTTTCAAATTTTAAAATTGAGGTAGTGGCTCATGCCTGTAATCCCAGCACTTTGGGAGGCTAAGGTGGGTGGATCACCTGAGATCAGGAGTTCGAGACCAGCCTGACCAACATGGTGAAACCCCATCTCTACTAAAAATACAAAAATGAGCTGGGCGTGATGGCAGGTGCCTGTAATCCCAGCTACTTGGGAGGCTGAGGCAGGAAAATCACTTGAACCCAGGAATTGGAGGTTGCAGTGAGCCGAGACCACACCATTACACTCCAGCCTGAACAACAAGAGCAAAACTTCATCTCAAAAAATGAAATAAAATAAAATAAAATTGAAAGCAATTAGCAGGAAAAGAGAAATGAGCTTCCTCATCTGCAACCACTGGCTGCTCTTCCAAGCCATGGTCCTTAGAATATGGTTCCTTACTGAATTTTTTGTTCTCATTAGTGGTTTTTAACAGTGAATTTCTAACTACCCAAGTCTATACCAAAGCCATAATTATTTAATTCTGATCTGTTAGAAACTTTCTAAGAATCCACCCAAAAATGCCAGAAAAATTCAAATGACTCTCGTGTATATAGTGAGATTAGTATTCCACAGAAATGCCTCATTAATGTCAAAATAATTCACTTAAATCTTATCCTAGCAAAGCATAAAACAGCTATGAAAAAGAATAATATCGTGTAGATACCAAGACAGAAACAAGCTGAATAGCTGGTAATGTTTATAGACGAGCAATCAATTAACTGATGAAGAAAAAGAAAAAAAATCACTATTGAAAAAGCAGGCTTCTAGTCTACTTCCATAATACTAATGCTCTAAAAGTCATTTTGCATCATCCACAGAAAGCTCCCACATATCTGGCCAACAAAATTGGAAGTTGGTTTCCAATCTGTTTTCAAGTCCTAATCCTAGTTTCCCTAAAAAATAGTTTGCACTTTAAAGAGCCCAGGACAATAATTCCCCTGGAGACAATTTACTTTTGTGGCTGGCTTGTCATTCTACATATAAACCATCTTAGGCATCAGCTATAAGCTAAAAAATCTCATTCCTCTCCTTGGCTCTTGGAGCATGGAAATAATAAAAGTGTTTCCCCAGATCTTACACCCTTCTGAGTTCCAAGCAGCAGTGAATATGATTCCCAGGATTGTAAATAGTCTTATAAATCTTGCCTTCCCTGACAGGTTTAACTTTTCATTTTTCTTAAATATTAGCAATAAAAGTACTGTGTGTAAATATCCTTAAGATTTGGGCAAAGCTATCACAGGATTCAAAATACCCAGTGCCTATAAACACACGGCTTTTCATACAGCTAACAGTGGAGAAACAATTCCAGGAGTGTGCCAGGAATAGAGAGGAAAGATTCTAAATAATACAGGTGAGGTAGAATCATAAAGGAAAAAAAGTTAACTTTAAAACACATAATTTTTGTTCTGCAGGCAGTTTCAAATTGGGTCGTTCAAGCCAGGGTGTTTTTTGACTTTGGTTCTCCCTAGGGAAAAGCACACAGTAGCAAAGGATAATGAAAAGGCCTGGAGAACTTGGATACAGACGGTCTGGGATTTCAATCCCACTTTAACTCTCCCAAGACAAGAAACTTGAACAATAATAAATTGATAATAACAGTGAACAGTTATTGAAACTTAAGGTGTGGTGGGCTGTCCTAAGTGTTTTGTTTTTGTTTTTGTTTTTGAGATGGAGTCTCTTGTCGCTCAGGCTGGAGTACAGTGGTGCGATCTCAGCTCACCGAAACCTCTGCCTCCTGGGTTCAAGTGATTCTCCTGCCTCAGCCTCCCGAGTAGCTGGAATTACAGGCGTGCACCAACAAGCCCAGTTAATTTTTGTATTTTTAGTAGAGACTGGGTTTCACCATGTTCGCCAGGCTATTCTCAAAATCCTGACCTCAAGTGATCCGCCTGCCTCAGCCTCCCAAAGTACTGGGATTACTTTGGGATTACTGAGATTACAAGCCCGGCCTTGTCCTAAGTGTTTTATGTACATTAACTCATTTAATTCTATGAGGTAGTGAAGTGTTTAGGAGGATAAGTTCCGGAGCTACACTGTGTGAGTTCAAAAACTTTCCCATTTGCTAACTATATCATCTTGGGCAAATTCCTTTTCTGTATAATGATCCTTCAATGGTATCTACCTCCTAGGTTACTTATAAGAATTAATGAGCTAATACTAACCATAAGCACTTAGAATAGTGTTTGGCACAATGTAGGTGCTTAATTGTTTGCCATTCTTATTTTCATTTTACATTAGGAAACTGAGGCATAGAAAGTCTGTTTACTAGAGATGCAGTAATTAATATCTAATGAACCTGTAATATCTGGTACTTTGTAAATATTTTACACGATAGTTATTTTTTATTCCATAACAAACAAAGAGGTTGAAAGGTTCTTGTATTGGTTCAAACCCCGAGAGCACACCAACAGATAACACAAGGCGGTGTGGAGCAACATGCTGTTTTAATGAGCGCCTGGGTGCAGGCAGGCTGAGGCCTAAAATGGCGTCAGCACCAAGTGAGGATGGGGCAGGGGTTTTATAGTCCTCTGTAAACAAGAAGTGTCCCAGTCTGACGTGACTGCTACGTAGTACCCAGACGGCCTCTTTCTCAATCTTCAGGGGTACATGTCTCCCTGCCAGAGTAGGTGTCTTCCGGCCAGGGTAGGTGTCTTCCTGGCAGCTCTCTTCCTGCTTCTGCTGTCTTGCTGATGCACGCAAGTGGCCTTGAGCCTTGGGACTGGGCCTGAGAAGGGAGGAGTTATCCCTCCAAGCTTTCAGACCCCGGGAGAATCTTTCAGAGGTCACTGTGAAAACAACTCCCCCTTTGTAATTCAAAATTGCGCTTCGCCTATGTAAACCAAAAATAAAATTATAAGCCTCCCAACTGACTGAATGGATCCCTCCTCTTGGCCAAGGGGATTCCAGAATAAGCCTGAAAAACTACTTCAGGCCATGATGGGAAGGAGGGGTTGAGTATGCCTCATTATACTCTCCTCCCTTTGGAATTCAGGTACAACTGACCAACAGTAACATTAAAATAGAGATCCCAAGACTGACAAAACAGATTCTTTGTAGCAATAAGATACCAAATTCCAACCTGACTCTAGTATAACATCACATGACAGATAGCAGGCCCTGAAAGAAATTGAGGCATTTTACCCCAAAATATATTTCTTTGACAGATTTTGAAATGGCCCTGCAAAGCTATCTCCTGTGGGGAAAAATCTACATTCTGTAGAGAATCCTCTTCCCTTTTCAGGTCTTTTCCTGATCTGGGGGAAATTAAAAGTCTAGCACCTAAAAAATAAATTAAAAATAATTTTAAAGAAATAAAAATAATTTTTAAAAAATAGTCTGACACTTTTTAAGGTCTGATAAGAGACATTTACTATCTATCCTCTCTGAAGCCTGCTACCTGGAGACTTCCTCTACATAATAAGAACCTTGGTCTCCACAACCCCTTATCTTAACCTACACATTCCTTTTGATTGATTCCAGCTCTTTAGATAATGACTTAATTCTTTTTTTTTTTTTTTTGAGACGAAGTCTCACTCTGTCACCCAGGCTGGAGTGCAGTGGCATGATCTCGGCTCACTGCAAGCTCTGCTTCCTGGGTTCACGCCATTCTCCTGCCTCAGCCTCCCGAGTAGCTGGGACTACAGGTGGCTGCCACCACTCCTGGCTAATTTTTTGTATTTTTAGTAGGGACGGGGTTTCACTGTGTTAGCCAGGATGGTCTCAATCTCCTGACCTTGTGATCCGCCTGCCTCGGCCTCCCAAAGTGCTGGGACTACAGATGCCTGCCACCACGCCCAGCAATGACTTAATTCTTTCAACCAATTGCCAGTCAGAAAATCTTTGAATCCACCTATGACCTAGAACCACCCCACTCTGTTTCAAGTTGTCCCACCTTTCTGTACACTTTACATGTATTGATTGATGTCTGCGTGTAATTCCTGTCCCCCTAAAGTGCATAAAATCAAGCTGTAACCCAACCACCATGAGCACATGTTCTCGGGATCTCTTGAGACTGTGTCTCCAGCCTTGGTCATTTATATTTGACTCAGAATAAAACAAAACCTCTTTACATATTTTACAGAGTTTGACACTTTTTGTCAACACCTAAACTGATCATAAAAAGTTCCAACTGTAGATTTCTAATACAAAACTTTTTTTTTCTTTTTCTGAGATAGAGTTTTGCTCTTATTGCCCAGGCTGGAGTGCAATGGTGTGATCTCAGCTCACTGCAACCTCCTCCTCCCAGGTTCAAGCGATTCTCCTGCCTCAGCCTCCTGAGTAGCTGGGATTACAGGCCTGCGCCACCAAGCCCAGCTAATTTTTGTATTTTTAGTAGAGATGGGGTTTCACCATGTTGGCCAGGCTGGTCTTGAAATCCTTACCTCAAGTGATCCGCCCGCCTTGGCCTCCCAAAGCGCTAGGGTTACAGGCGTGAGCCACCGCATCCAGCCATAAAAAACATTTAAATAGCTGTCCATTACTATCATGCCCTTCTTGCATTCCTGGTAATAAATCCAGAGCACATTAAAACTCTACACATTGAATGGAGACATTCTGCAATAACTCTTGTGTTAAATCATCTTTCCAATAGTAGTCAGTTTACTGATCTGTAAAATGGGAAACCAACACTAGTCCCCACAGCAGGGCACCTTAGGGTGAATTCTCTGCTGTCTACATTGTGGCCCACACACTGGACAGCCTTGGAAGCTTGAGTAGAGAACACAGCCATCTCTCAGCGACAAACTCCCCTAAACCAGGCTCATCATCAAGGCCCATATATAAAACTAAAACGTCAAATTATTTTTCTTTTTATTTTTTATAGAAATGGGATCTCACTTTGTTGCCCTAGCTGGTCTCAAACTCCTGGCTTCAAGCAATGCTCTTGCTTTGGCCTCCTAAACAGAATGATGAATTATTAATTTATAAGGAGATATAGCCCGCCAAGCAGGCCTGAGAATAGATTAGTTGATGGCTATATTTGCTCCCTGGAGGCCAGAGTATAATTAGGTTGCTTGATGAATGCAGAACCAGAAAGCAGGCAGAGTCATCCACCTCCAGAGGAACTGGAATTGAAGAGTTTGTACTGGGGCCTGATGAGGCGGGGCCTTTGCTCTGTAGCCAACCCCCCTTAGGCACAGTTTAGTTTGCCCTCCTCTCGGGCGAATTAATTTCCTTTCTGAAGGGCACATTCTTTCTTTGTCTCTGTAAATAACTTCAAGCCTATTAGTCAAGTCTTGGGACCTAGAAGCCATTCCATCCTTTAAGGTAATTTGCCTACATAATCTGATTCCTTTTATGTTTGTTTTGCAATTTAGCTCTCTCTGAAGGCAATCTCCTTTCTGAAGTTCAAAGCCCATAGGGAAGTATATCCCTGTTTCTTCCATACACCAACAGTAAGATAATCACCTAGTC
Source organism: Homo sapiens (assembly GCF_000001405.40). Classification (NCBI taxonomy): domain Eukaryota; kingdom Metazoa; phylum Chordata; class Mammalia; order Primates; family Hominidae; genus Homo; species Homo sapiens. The sequence continues at coordinate 93,293,240 of NC_000012.12, forward strand.
TAGCACAAAACAAATGCTCCAGAAAAGTAATCCCCTTTCGTAATGCCCTTCTTCCAAAAGGTCAACAATAGTTTTACCTACCGGTGGAACTTTAGAAATGCTCATGGGGGGACACTGGCAGATCTAAGGGTGAGTTCATTCATTCATTCATTCATTCATCTTCTACTTTCTGGCTATTAGGTGCCAAGGGCTGAGAAATGTGCTATGAGTCAACAGGATGTGAAAAAGACATGGACCATGCCAGCCTGAATCTCTAAGGTCTTTGAAACAAATATTAACAAATTAAGCTACACTGTAATCCTACCAGAGAAGGCAAAATTATAACCTGAGAAAAGTACTCTGAAGAAGAAAAGAAATACAATTCTTTTAGAAAACAAATGATCAGGCCAGGCACAGTGGTTTACACCTGCAATCCCAGCACTTTGGGAGGCCAAGGCTGGTAGATCACGAGGTTAGGAGTTCGAGACCAGCCTGGCCAACATGGTGAAACCCCGTCTTTACTAAAAATATAAAAATTAGCCAGGTGTGGTAGTGCACGCCTGTAATCCCAGCTACTTGGTAGGCTGAGGCAGGAGAATCACTTGAACCCAGGAGGCGGAGGTTGCAGTGAGCCGAGATCACACCAGTGCACTCCAGCCTGGGTGATAGAGCAAGACTCTGTCTCAGGGAAAAAAAAAAGAAAACAAATGATCAGACCCAACTCAGGCAGTTGAAAAGGCTTTCCTGAAGAAATGAGATGTTTGTTGAGGTTAAGAGGAGAGAAGTAGATGTTAGCTGGTGGGGGCAGAGAGTGGGTGAACGGGCTTAGGAAGAGGAGAGCCTTTCATCCGAAGGAAACTGCACTTGCAAAAATCTTAAGGCTTGCAACAGTGAGCAGCAAATGCATAAGAAGAACCTAAGAAAGGCCAGCCAAGCAGGGGAGCAAAGAACCATTGAGCAAAGCAGTGATAACACAGGTGGCATAGGCCAGGCATGGTGGCTTATGCCTGTAATCCCAGCCCTTTGGGAGGCCGAGGCAGGCAGAACACTTGAGGTCAGGAGTTAAAAGACCAGCCTGGCCAATATGGTGAAAATTCGTCTCTACTAAAACCACAAAAATTAGCCAGGTGTGGTGGTGGAGTGCGTCTGTAATCCCAGCTACTAGGGAGGCTCAGGCAGGAGAATTGCTTGAAGCTGGGAGGCGGAGGTTGTGGTGAGCCAAGATCGTGCCACTGCACTCCAGCCTGGGCAACAGAGTGAGACTTTGTTTCAAAAAAAAAAAAAAAAGACAGGTGCCATAGGTAGGAAGGGGCTGACCCATGCAGGGTCTGGCTGGCCAAAACATCAATTTTGATCTTTATACCAGGAAGAAGAGTTTTAGGGCAAGTTGAAGATCCTTGAGCAGATGTGTACTTCTAAAGATCACTCTTCCTGCATAGTGGAGAGTAAGTTGAAAGGGGCTAAAGAGGAGGCTTGGGGACCAACTTAACAGGATCTGCGGTTGTCCAGGTGAGGGATGCTGGTTCCCTTAGTGCAGATGAGGAGAAATGGACAGGGCTGAGATACAGAGAAAATAAATGCCTATTAATAAGCAAAGGTTAAGAAAAATTGTCCATACCATGATGTCAACCTAAAGGAAAAAACTGAGGCAAAATTTGTATAAGTATAGCGTTTATTTGGGCCAGATTTGAGGACTGCAACCCAGAAGCATAGATTCAAGTTGCTCCGAATATACACTCCAAATAGACTCAATGAAATAATGGGACAGAAACTTAGGGGATTGGCCAACGAGAATGGCCAGGAAAGAGCACTAAGGAAACTTGGGAGGTGAAATCTTGTGTTGGTGGTTACATGAATATAAATTTTTTTTTTTTGACATGGAGTCTTGCTCCGTCACCCAGGCTGGAGTGCAGTGTGCGATCTACAACCTCTGCCTCCTGGGTTCAAGCAATTCTCTCGCCTCAGCCTCCCACGTAGCTGGGATTACAGGCACCTGCCATCATGCCCGGCTAATTTTTGTATTTTTGTAGAGATGGGGTTTCACCATGTTGGCCAGGCTGGTCTCGAACTCCCGACCTCAGGTGATCCACCCACCTCAGCCTCCCAAAGGGCTGGGATTACAGGCATGAGCCACCACGCCAGGCCATAAACATTTTTTTTAATTCATCCAAATATATGTTTAAATGATTAAGTTTCATTGTATGTAAAGTACACCTCAATAAGGTTAATATTTTTTAAAAATCAGTTTAGCTTAATTATTAAGAGCAAGTACATGGATTTTGGAAGTGTACAGATATGGCTTTGAATCCTAGCTTTACCATTAGTAATTGTGCACTCTAAGAAAGTCAGTTAGCCAATGTAAGCTTTAAGTCTTATCACTGGTAAAATGGGGAGGGAGGATGGCTGTTTTGAAGACCAAATTGCCTAGCTTAGCAGACTGCCAAATACAAAGGCAAGAGGGCTTTTCATTCAAATTTTATTCCTTGCCACAGTGGAAGTATTAGGTGAAAAATTAATGTTTCTTGAGTGTTTCCTTGTTTTCTTTTTCTTTTTCTTTTTTTTTTGAGACAGGGTCTTATTCTGTCACCCAGGCTGGAGTGCAGTGGCATGATCACAGCTCACAGCAGGCTCAACCTCCTGAGCTCAAGCAATCTTCCCACCTCAGCCTCCCAAGCAGCTAGGACTACAGGTGCATAGTCCCACATCTGGCTAATTTTTTTAAGTTTTTTTATTAAAAATAACTATATTGCCCAGGGTGGTCTCAAACTCCTGGGCTTAAGTGATCCTCCCAAAGTTCTGGGAGAACAGGCATGAGCCAGCAGACCCGGCCCATTTCTTGAGGGCTTCCTATTATTAGGCCTATGGTAGGCCCTTTACAGGTGTTGTCTCATTTGATCCTAATGGAAACTCTAAGAGATGGTCTTTGTTCCTATAGCTTAGAAACTTCCCAGGAACCAGTAAGTTGGTCAAGGTCATTCACAGACAGAACATGGAGCCAAAGTTCCTTGCCACAGTGAGAGAATGCTGCCTTCGCCCCACCCTCAGTGACTGGGGAGGAAACATGAGGGTCCTCACAGGGGATTTTCCAAAAGAGAGTTTAACCCCAAGTGGTCTGAAAGATGATTCTAAATGGCACACAGTAGGTCATTTATTATTTTGCTTTTATTGTATTCAGTTAACTTCTGTTTCATAGTAGTCTTCCATTTATGATAATTAATTTAATCTCCTTTTAAAATAAGCTTAAGTTTTTAAAGTGAGTCAAATTAAAGAAAATTATGAAAGAATTGATAGTATGGGCATTACTTGTGTATTTTTCAAAATTGGGAAGAAGATTTGGAAAGCTTGAGAAAGGATGGGCCAGCCCAAGCAGAGACATGTTAAGGCCCTGAGATGCCAGAAAGACAGTCCAAGGAGGCGGGGAGGATTCTGGCTGGCTTATGACCCTAGAACACCTGAGAAGAGGCTAGAGGGTCAGAAAGGGGGTGATCCCTTTCCTCACCATCACAGGGGTTACAGCTGACACCTATAACAAAAGACAGGTCAACAAGAGAAAAGCCTAACACATTTATTTGATCACAGTTTTATGTGACACAAGAGCCTTCAGAATAAAGACCCACAGATACAAGGAAAACTGTCCATTTTTATGGCTTAGGTTCAATGAAGAATGGACAGCCATGTAGAACTGTGGTTGGACAGAAAAGGAATAATCTAAAGGAAATAGACTGAGTGGGGAAACCTATTAAGCCCTGTGGACTCAGATTCTTCTTGGCCTCTCTGCAGCATTTCTTTCTTCCCAGTATGGGGCCAGACCCTTTCTGCAATGGGAGTCTTATGACCTATTACCAAACAAGGTAGGTTAGAGAATTTTTTATGGCCCCTCTTACACAGAAAGGCCTGGGAAGTTTAGAGTAATATTTTTAGCTTTTCTGGCTGGCTTTGGGGAAGAGCAGTTCTATGACCCGCCTTGCGGAAGGATTCTAGTTTCTACAGCTAGCCTCAAGGGAGAACAAAGGGTGAGAGACAGGAAGGCAGGGGAAAGTCAGAGAGAAACTTTGCTTCAGTGGCTGCTTCTGATACCTTCACTTTGGGGTATTGTTTTCGGAGCCCCACTGAGGGCTTATGCTCACATTACTATTGCCTCCTATTTGAGCAGCTTCAAGACATCTAGGGAAAATACCTGGACCCCAGAGAAGGAATAAAGATGGGGAAGGAAGACATGGGAGGAGGAGAGTAGGAGGAGGATGGAAGGAAGCTGGAGAAAGTGATCCAGATCGAGTAGCTGTCAGCTCCAGGCTGGGATTCCAAGTACCATCATCTGTCCGCCCCAGCTAGGGCAGCAGTCTGGGGAAAGCCAAAACAGCTCAAAGCTTTCAAAAGCCCTATTTTCCCCTATGAACTAGGGAGAACCTGGCTGTAAAAGTGATCATTTTCAAAAACAAAGAATTAAAATAATGAATCCTCTTGCAGTTTCAGCTTTGCCCAGTCACTGTCACAGGTGGCCTTTGAAGATGAGGCAAGAGATAATAGGGTAACTATTCCTAGAAAAAGACAGTGATGGTCTGCAGATTTAAATCCAGAGCTTCTTACACCAGGTATTGTGTTTTCCAAGCAAGAGCTTTGCAGAGCAGCTGAATGGCCCACAAGATACATTCTTCTCAGAAGCCACAACTGCTTGCGTTTTTCCTAATCTTTAGGGGATTTTTTTAAATGCTTATAGAATTTATTCTATACCTTGTTTCTGCTCCTGTTTTTCTGGTACCAGCAGGGTGTAGCATTGGATTTGGTCAAATTAACTTTTAAATAAAGCCCCTAAATTCTACTCCTAATACCCTTACCAGGATCATCCCCCAAAACACACACTGTCTATGCCCAGGCTCTCAAGAGAGATGTTCCGGAAGCTTATTCATCTACAAAGGGAGCAAGAGCAAGAGAAATTAAGAAGCTTCTTTAAAACTGCAAATCAGTTTGCACAAAGAAAGAGCAGGAAAATAGGAATGAGTGGCCAGGCTTCAGTGTTAGACAAAGTCTAGACCCAGGAGAAAGAACATCAAACCTACACACTATGGGTGGAACTTTGTGGGGGTTGAAGAAAAGGATTATAAGCCAGGGGCTGGCTAATGCAGGAGGATCACTTGAGCCCAAGCATTCAAAACCAGCCTGGTCAACATAGCGAGACCTGTCTTGAAATAAACAAACAGCCAGCACAGAAAGACAAACTTCACATGTTCTCACTTAGTTGTGGGAGCTGAAAATTAAAATAATTGAACTCGTGGAGACAGAGAGTAGAAGGATGGTTACCAGAGGCTGGGACGGGTAGGTGGGGGTAAGGGGGTAGCAAGGATGGTTACAAAAAAATACAAAGAATGAAAAAGATCTAGCATTTGCTAGCACAACAGGAGGACTATAGTCAAATATAATTTAATTGTACATTTTTAAATAACTAAAAGAGCATAATTGGATTGTTTGTAACACAAACGATAAATACTTGAGGTGACGGATACCCCTGATGTGATTATTACACATTGCACACTTGTATCAAAATATTTCATGTAACCCATAAGTATATACACCTACTATGTACCCACAACAATTAAAAATTAAAAAAAATTAATAAAGGAAACAAAAATCGGGGGGCTTGCGGGTTCACAAGAGATTATTTGGGAGAAGGCCTAGTTCAAAATGAACACTGAATGTTTGCAGATTGAATCAATAAATGCATGAGTGGCTGGCTAAGCTAGTGGGCCCATGGCAAGCCCAGGAGAGAGAAGACAGGGAGCAGACCACCAGAAGCTTATTCTTATGCTTCTCTAGTCTCAGTCAAATTTGGGTCAAAAAAATAGAGGACACATCTAGGTACCTTAGGGCCCCTTTGTCCAGACCTGTGCATTGGAACAATATGAGAATCAGCACCTCCCCACCTACATTTCATAATAAAGATCGTAGGAGTTTTCTCAATTGCTAACAGTCAGTTACAGTTGGAACTGCTTGTTCTCCTCTTTCTCCCCTTCTTACAACTGCACTTGACTAGTCTTATTTATTTTTTTTCTTTAAAAAGATCATATAAGCTCCTAGGCCTTTCTAAGCTTAAAAAAGCTGAAACTCACTAAGGGGAAGAGAACTGTGAACATGCTGCATGATAACTTCCATATGAACTAGTAAAACTTCCCTAAACATATGGTTGTTATCATAGATAGCATCATTGTTTCAGGGAGCACTTACTGAAAGGCTACTACGTACCTACAGACCTCATGTTGATGCAGAACAGGTGCTTGATCCTAAACGGTGGTGACAGTTCACATAGACAGAGAGCACTGGGTGAAGAGTCAGGAAATATGAATTCCAGTCCTGGCTCAGACACTAAGTGGCTTTAGGAAATAGGCATTCCAAGCAGAGAATAACTTGTGAGCCATCACAGACTGACAAGAAAAAGCATGTGTGAGATCAAGAAACTATAAGCAGCATGGTGCTCAGTAGAATCGCTGGGCAGGAGTGGCTAATACTTATTGAGGGCTCAGTAAATAGTTGTTGAATGAACGAATGAGGGGGAGGAAGATACAGATCACAGAGGATCTTATATTCATTCTATGCTAAGAAACATGAATGTCTCGGCCAGGCATGGTGGCTCATACCTGTAATCCCAGCACTTTGGGAGGCCAAGGCAGGTGGATCACATGAGGTCAGGAGTTTGAGAGCAGCCTGGACAACATGGTGAAAGCCCTCTCTACTAAAAATACAAAAATTAGCCAGGCGTGGTGGCGGGTGCCTGTAATCCCAGCTACTCAGGAGGCTGAGGCTGAAGAGTCGCTTGAACCCGGGAGGCAGAGGTTGTAGTGAGCGGAGATCGCACCATTGCACTCCAGCCTGGGCAACAAGAGCGGAACTCTGTCTCAAAAAAAGAAAAGAAAAGAAACATGAATGTCTCTTGGAGGCAATGGAGAACCACTGAGGACAGAGGACTTTATTCAGACTTAGGTTGTAGCTAGGGGCTGTGCTACATAAGGAGTTAATTTAGGAGAACAAGGAATTACACAGAAAGACCCATTAAGGCCGGTCGTGGTGGCTCAAGCCTGTAATCCTAGCACTTTGGGAGGTGGACGCAGGAGGATCACTTGAGGCCAGGAGTTCCAGACCAGCTTGGCCAACATAGCGAAATCCCATCTCTACTAAAAATACAACAAAAAATTAGCCAGGCGTGGTGGCACACGCCTGTAGTCCCAGCTATTCAGGAGGCTGAGGCAGGAGGATCGCTTGAACCCAGGAGGCAGAGGTTGCAGTGAGCTGAGATAGTGCCACTGCACTCCAGCCTGAGTGACAGAGTGAGACTCCATCTCAAAAAAAAAAAAAAAAAGAAAAGAAAAGAAAGAAAGACCGGTGAAGAAGCAATGATCAAAGAGAGGGAGAAGAGCAAATGGCTTGGAGAAACCAGACCTGAAACAGACAGCACTTGCTGGGTGATTAGATGAGGGAGATAAGTGGAAGAAAAATTGAATCATGGGCTTTTAGGGTAATAAAGTTCTTGATAGTAACACTAGTTTACATAGAAAGTGCATAAAGTGCAAGTAACTGATAACTTCGGTTTGGAATGTTAAGTGGAATATCCATGTGGAAATAAACCAGAGCTAACATTTACTGAGCCTTTCCCATACGCCAAAAGCTGTTTTAAGTCCCCTACAGATGTGAACTTGTGTAATCCTGCAACAGCCCCATGAGATAGGTACTATTATTAGAGTCCCTTTTTTAGACAAGGAAAACAAGGTACAGAGAGTTTAAGTAACTTCTCAAGGTCACACAGCTGGTCAGTGGCAGAGTCAGATTCAAACTCGGACAATCAACTCCAAATCCCACTTTCTTAACCTCTGTGTAAATGGGTATTTGCCATATAGTGAGGGCACAAAGCCATCACTCTACCTCTTCTTGGAGAAGTAAAAAACAAAAAATAATCAAATCAAAGTGATGATTTACATTTTTTAAGCACACGAAATGCAAGAATTCCAACCATCAGATTGTGAATGCCATTATTTTTGGTGCTGTAAAACATATTAATAGTTAAATCTAAGTCTACATTTTAATATACATCTAGTCTCCAAAGCAAACAAGATGTAATGTGATTTGTAATATGCACTTGTCAAGTCCTGCTTTATTTATTTATATATTTATTTATTTATTTATTTATTGAGACAGAGTCTTGCTCTGCACCCAGGCTGGAGTGCAGTGGCAGGAGCTTGGCTCACTGCAACCTCTGCCTCCTGGGCTCAAACGATCCTCCCACCTCAGCCTGCCAAATAGCTGGGATCACAGATGCATGCCACCACATCAGCTATTTTTTTGTATTTTTAGTAGAGACGGGGTCTCGCCATGTTGCCCAGGCTGATCTCAAACTCCTGAGCTCAAGTAATCCGCCAGCCTTGGCCTCCCAAAGTGCTGGGATTACAGGCATGAGCCACTGCGCCCGACCCTAAATCATGCTTTTTTATATAATCTATTTAGAGTAAATTAAGTAGCATACGTCATTTGTTTAAGGAAAAGTTAAAGCTGGTGTTTATATGCATTATAAGTATTATTACAGAACATATTAAGACATACTTCAATATAATCTTTAAAAACATAATTCTCTTAAGTTGATTTTTTCTTTTTTTTTGAGACAAAGTTTCACTCTTGCCCAGTGAAGCAGCATGATCATAGCTCACTACAGCCTCAACTTCCTGGGCTTAAGCAATCCTCCTGCCTCAGGCACCTGAGTAGCTGGGACTATAGGTGCCCATCATCATGTCAGGCTAATTTTGAAAAATTTTTTTTTTTTGAGACGGAGTCTTGCTCTGTTGCCCCAGGCTGGAGTACAGTGGCGAGATCTCAGCTCACTGCAACCTCTGCCTCCCAGATTCAAGTGATTCTCCTGCCTCAGCCTCTTGAGTAGCTTGGACTACAGGCGCCTACCACCATACTTGGCTAATTTTTTTGTATTTTTAGCAGAGATGAGGTTTCACTATGTTGGCCAGGCTAGTCTCAAACTCCTGACCTCAGTTGATCTGCCCACCTCGGCCTCCCAAAGTGTTGGGATTACAGGCGTGAGCCACTGCACCAGGCCCTAATTTTTTTTTTTTTCTTTTGTAGAGATGAGGTCTCGCTATGTTGCCCAGGCTGGTCTTGAACTCCTGACCTCAAGCAATCTCTCACCTTGGCCTCCCAAAGTGCTACAGTTATAGGCATGAGCCACTGCACCTGGCATTAAGTTGATTTTTAAAAACCTAAAATAATTTCTTTATTTCCTAACTACTTTGCAGAAATAACATAATGACTTTAGTTCCTTAGAGGGGATCATAACATTATTTATTACTGTAAAATAGATTTGAATTTTAAAAGATCAGGAACTACTGCTTGGCACCGAGGTGTAATTTCTGCCATTTTGAGACATATTCCATAACCCAGGGATCCCCACAAACAACTACGACAAGAATAAATATGAGATCCTTTCCATTCCAGGGTTTGTGGTAGAGGGTTTAGCTTTGACTTGGACCCCTTACTGAGTGACTAACCATTACACAGACAGAGCTTGTGACCTCATGGACATGCTCAGCTGGTGAGCTATTCTGCCAGGAGCTCAGTGCTATTTTCATTTGGCTTTAATCTTTCCTAGATCAAGACATAGCCTTCTTTGAAAAGCCAGGTTTAGTAAGATATACACATGACGTATTCTCAGAAATGAAAGAAAACACTTTTAGCTTCCTTCCCTAGTTACCAAAACTCTAGAACTTACTGTAACCCTAATAGCAGCCAAAAAGAAGGTCTTTTCTCTTGACCCTTGGCTGACCCTTCTTCCACTTCCACGAATTTTCTCCCTCTTTCTGGCTATGGCATAAGTTTTGTTCCCCTTGAGATTCAGCCCTTAACAGAAATAATTCAGGCAGGGTAACAGAATGTTCTAGAGCACTCAGCCATGACTACTGAGCACTCAAAATATAGCTACAGTGACAGAGAAAGGAGATTGTAATTAATTTAAACTTTAATTTGAAAACTTGGACCAGATTTAGTTATTGAAGAACTTCTACATAATTTAGTTATTGGAGAATTTCTGCATATGTTTGGAATAACTTTGATATGTAAATCTACTTTTTCAACTGTAAATTTTGTGAAACCTAAATTTTATAAAATCTAATTTTATGAAATTTTATGAAATCTAAATACAGACCAAGTATTTCCAATGAAAATTTAGTCTCCAAACCGAGATGTGCTATGTGTTACATCCACACCAGATTTCAAAGACTTAGCACAAAAAAAGTAACTGTCTCATTAATAGTTTTTATATTGATTACATGTTGAAATGATAATATTTTGGCTATATTGGGTTAAAGGAAATATATTATTAAAATTAATCTCACATGGTTCTTTTTACTTTTTAATGTGGCTATTAGAACACTTTAAATAATATATGGGGCTCACATTATTTCTATCAGATGGTGATGGTCTACAGCATGGGTGATAGTGTCACAGAGACTAAGCTCCCCCGACTTGCTGGCTGTGTGACTTTAAGCCATCTTCTTAACCTCTTTATTATTTTATTTTATTTTATTTTTGAGACAGAGTCTCACTCTGTCGCCCTGGCTAGAGTGCAGTGGCACAATCTTGGCTCACTGCAACCTCTGCCTCCCGGGTTCAAGCGATTCTCATGCCTCAGCCACCTGAATAGTTGGGATTACAAGCATCTGCCACCATGCCTGGCTAATTTTTGTATTTTTAGTAGAGACGGGGTTTCACCATGTTGCCCAGGCTGGTCTCGAACTCCTGGCCTCAGGTGATCCACCCACCTAGGCCTCCCAAAGTGCTGGGAGTACAGGTGTCAGCCACCGTGCCTGGTCTACTTAGCCTCTTTAAACTTCTGTTTACTCATCTGCAAACTGAAGAAAATATTGGCCGGGCGTGGTGGCTCACTCCTTTAATCCCAACACTTTGGGAGACCAAGGCAGGCGGATCGCCTGAGGTTAGGAGTTCGAGACCAGCCTGACCAACATGGAGAAACCCCATCTCTATTAAAAATACAAAATTAGCTGGTCCAGATGGCGCATGCCTGCAATCCTAGCTACTCGGGAGGCTGAGGCAGGAGAATTGCTTGAACCTGGGAGGTGGAGGTTGCTGTGAGCCAAGATCACGCCATTGCACTCCAGCCTTGGTAACAAGAGAGAGACTCCATCTCAAAAAAAAAAGAAAGAAAGAAAAGAAAATATTACAATTTTCTGAATAGGCATACAGTGAATTTTACATGAGACAGTGAGCATAAACTGTGCCTGACTTATAGTAAAATATTCTGCAAATATTCACTTTTATTATCATTGTTATTATTCTCTAGCAATCATCCAGATGTTTAGCAAAAGAATGCCTCAAAATAAATATTAGTTCCCTATGGGTTGCCTCTTGTATCTCATGACTAGATAAATTGTAACCTCATTTTCCAAAATGAAAAAAAAGGGACTTGAGGTCAGATACAGGTTTTTCTCATATTTGTCAGTTTTTTAGTATTTAAAAAATCACTTTTTTTAGTTGATGAAATGCTTTTGGGGGGGGGGGGATTAAAATAATGAAATTACTTAAAACCCAGACTTCCCTGAAAAATCTAGGGCATGAGTTTTACTCCTAATAAATAGTGATTCTCAATATCTCAAATAATCCAAACTTAGCAATCCTTCGTTTAGATTCAATTTTGGCCAGGTGTGGAGGCTCATGCTTGTGATTCCAGCATTTGGGGAGGCTGAGACAGGAGGATTGTTTGAACCCAGGAGTTCGAGACCAGCCTGGGCAACATAGTAAGACCCCATCTCTACTAAAAATAAAACATTAGCTGGGTGTGGTGATGTATGCCTGTGGTCCCAGCTATTCAGGGGGCTGAGGTGGGAAAACAGCTTCAGCCTGGGGGTCATGCCACTGCACTCCAGCCTGAGTGACAGAGGGAGACCCTGTCTCAATAATAATAATTAGATTCAGTTTTGAAGACTAAAGTTTCATTAATGTCCACAGTTTTTGCAGCGGAGGGGCAGAATTAAAGAGACTTCCAAATAAATGGGCTGAATATACATTAGGGACATCTGCTTTGAGAAAAATGGAGAAGTACATTTCCCTATTCCTTCTGCAAAGTACAACTGAAAATCATGGACCTTATATATAAAGGTGGAAAGAAGAATGCAGACTACTAGGAATCTCAGGACCCAAAGAATGACATAGCAGTGAATTCCCTGGGTTTCTTTATTGCCTCTTATATCCCAAACTGTGCTGGAGCTGGAGAAGGTAGATGCACAGAATGCCAATGGATACAGACAAAGAAAGTCCAAAACAAGCCTGATGTCTCTAGCCAAAGGACCAGGAAAAGAGAAGGTTAGCCAAACAGCAAGACAGAAAACTTTTCGATAATAACCACTCTACTCCAGCTAAACATCATAGAAAAACTCTGACTCCACCTCCACCCATGCCAGCAAAGGTAAAGGAGGGAGTCTGGACTTCCACTTCTGTTAATGGGGCACCCTTCCCCTTCTCCACTGGGATGGTGTCAGAGTAGCTCTAGTGGAGATAATAAGACTTTTTCCAGTGCTCAAAAGTAACAAGGCTACTCCAATGCTTGTGGTATCAGTGGAGGCAACATGGGGAGCCAGAATTCCCACCTACACCCGGCACTAATGAGGAGCCCTTTCTGTCCTGAGGATGTTAATGGATGCTGAGTGGGGAACCTGGATTTCTACCACACCTGGCATTAATAAAGAGGTGGCTCCCTCACCACCAGCCAGAGTGGTATTAGAAGAAGCCAGCTAAAACAGAAGGCTTAAATAAGATCCAGAGTCCCATAACACAATACCCAAATGTCCAGGTTTTGATAAAAAAACATTCATCATAGTAAGAACAAGAAAAATCTTAACTTATCTAAAAATATAACCAATAGGTGCCAACACTGACATGACAGAGATACTAGAATTATCTAACAAATATTTGTAAACAGCTATTATAAATATGCTTCAATTAGCCATAATAAACATATTTAAACAAATGAAAAAAATAGAAAGTCTCAGCAAAGAAATAGAAGATTTAAAGAAGCACCAAATGGAAATTTGGAACTGAAAACTACAACGATAGAAATTAAAAACTCAGCGGACGAGCTCAACAGCAGAATGGAGGAGACAATAGAAGTAAACAGTGAACTTGAAGATAGATAACTAGAAATTACCCAGTCTGAACAACAGAAAGAAAATAGATACCCCACCCCCCATAAATTAACAGAGCAATAAGGATCTATAGATTATTTTAAACAGTCTAACATTAATATCACTGGAGTCCCAGAAGAAGAGAAGAAAGAAGATGGAGCTGAAAAAAGTATTTGAAGAAATAATGGCTAAATATCTCAAGTTTGGCAAAAGATGTAAACCTAGAGATTTAAGAAGCTCAATGCACCTCAACAAGAAAAACCAAATGAAATCCATGCCAAGACACATCATAGTCAAACTTGGGAAAACTAAAGACAGAGAAAAAATTATTAAATTAAGTCTCTTCCATGCTTCATGACCAAAAAGAAAAAAAAAAGTAATGAAAGCAGTGAAAGAGAAATAACACCTTACTCACAGGAGAAAACAATTCTAATGACAACAGATTTCTCATCAGAAATCATGGAAGCCAGAAGGAAGTGGCACAGTGTTTTTCAAGTGCTGGAAGGAAAGAACTATCAATCCAGAATTCTATATCCAGAGAAAATATCTTCAGGAATGAAGGGAAAACTTAGACATTCTCACATGTAAGAAAACTAAGATAATTTGTCATCATCAGACATAAACTAAAAGATAGGCTAGGCTGGGCACAGTGGCTCACGCTTTTAATCCCAGTACTTTGGGAGGCCAAGGCGGGCAGATCATGAGGTCAGGAGTTCGAGACCAGCCTGGCCAACATAGTGAAACCCCGTTTCTACTAAAAATACAAAAAAATTAGCCGGGTGTGGTGGCACACGCCTGTAGTCCCAGCTACTCGGGAGGCTGAGGTGGGAGAACTGCTTGAACCCGGGAGGCAGAGGTTGCAGTGACCTGAGACCATGCCATTGCACTCCAGCCTGGGTGACAGAGTGAGACTCCGTCACAAAAAAAGAGAAAAAAAAAAAGTGCTAAAGGAAGTTTCCTAAACAGAAAAACAACAACAAAAAAATGATAAAAGCAGTAATCTTGGAACATCAGGAAGAAACAGTAAAATTATGAGTAAATATAATGGATTCTTCTTCTCCACTTAAGTTTCCCAGATTCTTTTAAATAGCTAAAGCAAACATAACAGTGATGTGGTTCTAAATGCATATAGATGGGCTATTTAAGATTTATGGGCTGGGCGCAGTGTAATACCAGCACTTTGGGATACCAGGGTGGATGGATCGCTTGAGCCCAGGAATTTAAGACCAGCCTGGGCAACATGGCAAAACCCCATCTTTACTAAAAATACAAAAATTAGCCAGGCACCAGGAATCATGCCTGTAATCCCAGCTACTCAGGGGCTGAGGCAGGAGGATCACCTGAGCCTTGGGAGGTTGAGGCTGCAGTAAGCCATGATTGCACCACTGCCCTCCACCCTGGGTGACAGAGTGAGACCCTGTCTCAAAAAAAAAAAAAAAAGAATTATAAATATGGAGAGTAAAAAGACATAAGGAGAAGTAAGGTTTCTATGCTTCACTTAAACTGCTAAAATGTCAATTCCAGTAGACAGTGATAAGTTATGTATATATAACCACTAAAAATACTATGCAAAGATACACTTAAACGCACTAAGTTGTTTTTGTTTTTTGTTTTTTTTTTTTTTGAGACAGAGTCACACCGTCGCCCAGGCTGGAGTCTAGTGGTGCGATCTCAGCTCACTGCAAGCTCCGCCTCCCTGGTTCACGCCATTCTCCTGCCTCAGCCTCCCGAGTAGCTGGGACTACAGGCACCTGCCACCATGCCCGGCTAATTTTTTTTTGTATTTTTAGTACAGACGGGGTTTTACTGTGTTAGCCAGGATGGTCTCAATCTCCTGACCTCGTGATCCGCCGGCCTTGGCCTCCCAAAGTGCTGGGATTACAGGTGTGAGCCACCACGCTCGGCCTAAATGCACTAAGTTTTAATAACCCATAGGAAGTTAGAAAAAAAACAGAAACATAAAACTGAGAGAAAACAAAAGATACAAAATACAAAAAATAAAATGTCAGGCACAAGTCCTATCACATCAATAATTATATCCAGTGTAAACGACCTAACACACCAATGAAAAGACAGAGATTTGCAGAGTAGACGAAAAAACATGACCCAACTATACATGTGTCTACAAGAAATTCCAATTATAATTAGATAGGTAGATTCAAAGTAAACAAATAGAAAAAATATATCTCATCTAAACATTAATCAAAAGAAAGCAGGAGTTGCTATATTAATATCAAATAGAGTAGACTACTGAGTAAAGAAAATTACCAGAGATGGGGCAAAACATTCCATAATGATAAAAGGGTTAGTCCATCCAGAAGACGTAGCTTCCTAAATGTGTGTGCAACAAACAACAGAACTGCAAAATGTGAAACACAAACTGATAGAACTGAAAGAATAAATAGACAAATCCACACTAATAGTCATAAACTTCAATGCCTTCTCTCAACAACTGATAGAACAAGCAGACAGAAAATTGGCAGGGATGTAGAAGAAGTCAGGAATACTTTGTTTGTTTCCTTGAGACAGGGTCTCACTCTGTCACCCAGGCTGGAGTGCAGTGGCATGATCACAGCTCTCTCCAGCCTCGACCTCTCAGGTTCAAGTGCTCCTCCCACCTCAACCTCCCTTGTAGCTGGAACTACAGGCACCTGCCACCACACCTGGCTAATTTATGTTATCTTATTTTTTGTAGAGATAGGGGCCTCACTATGTTGTCCAGGCTGGTCTCAAACTGCTGGGCTCAAGCAATCCTCCTGCCTTGGCCTCCCCCAGTGCTGGGATTAAAGGTGTGAGCCGCCGCTCCCAGCCTGATAATACTATTAACCAATAGGACCTAATCTACATTTATAGACTATTCCACCCAACAATAGCAGAAAACACATTATTTTCAAGCGCCCATGGAACACATCCCAAAATAGACTATATCTTGGGCCATAAAACCAACATCAACAAATTTAGAGGACTAAAGGCTGGGCGCAGTTGCTCATGCCTGTAATCCCAGCACTTTGGGAGGCCAAGGGGAGTGCAGATCACTTGAGCTCAGGAGTTCAAGACCAGCCTGGCCAACATGGTGAAACCCTGTCTCCACTAAAAAAAATTAACCAGGCGTGGTGGCGGGTCCCTGTAACCACAGCTACTCAGGAGGCTGAGACAGAAGAATCGCTTGAACCTGGGAGGCAGAGGTTGCAGTGAACCGAGATCGAGCCACTGCACTCCAGCCTGGGTGACAAAGAGAGACTCTGTCTCAAAAAAAAAAAAAAAGTATAAATAAAACTGCCATATTTAAGAAAAATATTGTTGCAGGTTGGGTTTCCTGGGAAACAGACTTAGAGATGGAGGCTTACACACAGGAGGTTTATTGGGAAGTGATCTTGGGATTAACACCTGTGGAGATATCAAAGCTGCTGATTCAGGCAGAGGGAGAAGTTGGGCTGCAACGCAGTCACAGCAAGGGCTTCCGCCCATCTCCTGGGGAGCCCTTGAGCTAGGATGGTCTTACAGAAATATCCCAAAATAAAGCAAGGGGGCTGGACATTTAGACCTCACATCATGATATGAAGGGAAATGACCTTGGACAGCTGGCTTCTCATCACTAGGGTTGTCGGGGAGAGCAGGAGGAGACAGGTGTGAGCTGTCAGCCAATCAGACTGCCGGTTTCAGTCATGAAGTGGGAGATCTGGGCAGCCCACCCAGTGCTTATTCTAAGTTTGAATCACCTACTCATTCACTCTCACCAGGGAAACCTTTATGTAGACCCAATAGACAGTAAAGGCTACCTCCTGAAGAAAGAGCAGGCTGTTAGAAAAAAATAATCATAGCTACAAAACTTTTTCTTACCAGAGGTAAGATGACTTGTCACCACCAAGGTAAGGCAGCATCTTATGCTCAGCACAGGACTGATTCCAGCTTCCCTGTCCCACGTAAAGGCAGCCCAGCAGTGAACCTCATGCCATTGACCCACTCTTCTCTCTGCCCCTTGCCAGCACTGACGATATCTTACCAAACACTAGTGACTGACACATGAAATGCATTCCATCCCAGAGAGCCTCCTGAATGTTAATTTTTTCACGAACGGACAGGGAGAAAACTTTTATGTGGAAATCGTTGTGACAGAAAAATGGTCTATGGCTGGGTGTATACTTTCAGCAGAGCTCAAAGGTCAAACCTTCAGTCTGATCATACAGTTTTCATGCTTTCTGCCTGCTGGAGATTCCCAGAAAAATTTTCCAATAGAAAAAAGAAAGACAAAAAAATCATTAGAACCAGAAAGAACATCCGCCCGTCATACTCAATGTTAAAAAACCATGTGACTCTGCCGGGCATGGTGGCTCATGCCTGTAATCCCAGCACTTTGGGAGGCCAAGGTGGGTGGATCGCCTGAGGTCAGGAGTTCAAGACCAGCCTGGCCAACATAGTAAAACCCTGCCTCTACTAAAAATGCAAAAATTAGCTGGATGTGGAGGCAGGTGTCTGTAATCCCAGCTACTCAGGAGGCTGAGGCAGGAGAATTGCTTGAACCTGGGAGACGGAGGTTTCAGTGAGCCGAGACTGTGCCATTGCACTCACTCCAGCCTGGGTGACAAGACCGAAACTCAGTCTCAAAAAAAAAAAAGTGACTATTTAAACAAGGAAACTCATTCTTTTGCCCACTTATGGTATGATCATTTAAAATAACATTTTTAAAAATGTATAGTATAAACTTGGGGGAGGGCGTGGGGAGAAAGAAGGAAGGCTTTCTTCTCAGCACTTTCCAAAAGCAGACAGATGAAATATAGACCTAGCACTAGAATAATGACTTCAGATGAAGTCCTGTGAAAGCAAGTTCTATCTGACTGTCTCTCCGTCTGTCTGATGTGACATCAGTGGTCAAACCCTGGAAATGATGGCTAGAGGGCAAAATCTATTTTAGGTGTTCTCTCAATCCCCTTAGCCTCACCAACCCACTTGTCCCAGGTTTATCAAATCCATGCTAGAACCTGGCCACACTGCTAAGTCTAAATCTCCAGGAAAAATAACGTTTAAAAAAGAAAAGACTGGGCCAGGCCCGGTGGCTCACGCCTGTAATCCCAACACTCTGGGAGGCCGAGGCAGACAGATCACCTAAGGTCAGGAGTTTGAGACCAGCCTGGCCAACATGGTGAAACCCTGTCTCTACTAAAGATACGAAATTAGCCAGGTGTGGTGGCGGGCACCTGTAATCCCAGCTACTCAGGAGGCTGAAGCAGGAGAATCACTTGAACCTGGGAGACGGAGGTTGCAGTGACCTGAGATCGCACCTTTGCACTCTAGCCTGGGCAAAAATAGTGAAACTCCATCTCAAAAATAAATAAAAGACTTAAATACAGATGAAATTCAAAGGTAGGGGCAGTAAACCTACTTAGCGAATAATCAAGTTTCTGCATTTCCTTTTCTCTTTGGTATGAGTGCAATAATCTTGTCCCCAGTCTACGGGCTCTTCTGGTACTTCCAATAAATTCCTTCCAGGGACCCCACCTAATCCTTTGTACATGGTCCCAGTTGTCTGCCTTCCTGAGGTAAACGCATTCCTAAAACATTCTGTGTGAAGGAGATGTTCATAGTACAAATAATACTTTTCCACTGACTTTAATTCTGATTCCCTAGTATTTTTATCATGGCTTCTAATCTATCTTCTGGCTACAAGAAGTGAGTCATTTGTAAAGTGAAGAATTTATTTTAAAGTGAGCAATCATACCACCCATTTTCTGTTTTCCTCCAGAGAGGCATCTAAAAATGACTTTCCCCTTGTAGTCCCAAAGTTCTCAAACCTACACTCACCTCTTTGCCCAAAACTTCCAGCCTCAACTATGTTAAGGTCTCTCTCTGCCTTGCTTAGAGCCCCACCGTCGCTGTGATAGTTTTCTAGAGATGCCCAACGAAGTATCGCAGAGTTGTTAAAGAACAGGAATTTATTTTTCCACAGGTCTGGAAGCTAGAAGTCCAAGATCAAGCTAACAGCAGGGTTGGTGTCTTCTAGGGCCTCTCTCCTCAGCTTGCAGATGGTTTTCTCTCTGTACCTGTCTATATCCACATTTCTTCTTGTAAGGTCACTGGTCATATTGGATTAGGGCCTACCCATAATTTTATTTTAACCACTTCTTTAAAGACCCTATTTCTAAATACAGTCACATTCTGGGGCCCCCTGCCTTAAGGGACAACATCCACCACATTGGCCGGTATGCTAAATGGAAGCATTACATTTCTTTGTGCCAATTGCCATAAGAAGTAAGGCCGAAAGCAGGAGAAGCATGTCTTCATTTTCTCAACTCACTACTCCACCGTCTAGGTCCTTGATTTAAATGATTTCATGACACAAGTAGGAACAGACCCTTTGGGCAACTCAGCAGCTAAGCCAACATCACCTTAAGCAAAATGTTAGACATGAAAATGTCACATTACATGGAAAACAGCGTTAAGGGACCACAACTACAATAAGGAAAAGACTGTGGTTTTTTTTCTCTCTTATATTGTTTGTGTAACTAGGATGATTCCTGTACATAATTTATTCGTATGCATATGTATCCATATATTATATATAACATTTATTGAGATCCAGCCATGTGCCAGGCACTGCTCTAAAAGCATTATGTGTACTAGCTCACTTAATCCTCATGATAGCTCCATGAGATAGATACTTTTATGATCCCCAAATTATGGACAAGGTGCTGCAGCACAGAAGTTAAGCCGCTGCCCAAGGACACACAGCTGGTAAGTGTTGCAGGTGGGATTTGGCCCTGGAAGTCTGGCTTTTGTATCTTATGCATCAGTTAGCAGACTATTGCTTATTTTGATCAAGTCTTTTCTATTTCTAATATGCAATTAACATATAAACACCATTAGTTCCATTGAAAAACCCACTGCAGAGATTTCAGAAGGGGCTGCAAACCCCTTTGAGCAGGCTCCCATCAGGCTACCTTTCCTGGGTGGTCAGCAGCTGCTTTGCTCCTCTGTGAACTTTTTCCTTAATAGCAAAGTGGCCTCAAGAAGACCTCTGGCCTCAAGAAGCTCCCCACTCTTGTACTGGCAATTGGCAATACAGTGTACAAATGTACACTGCTTCAACTGGTCCTAGAAAACCTGGGAACCGATGCATCCCCACAAGGAAATATTAGAGTTGGGGACCAGGTGAAATCACAGTCATACCTTCAGGACCTTCCATATATACTTGCCTTATTCAGCACGTACTCAGTACTAAGAACTTAAGTTATTTACACATATTAGCTCACTTTAGCCTAGAAGAAGCCTACAAGAAGATATTAATGTTCATCATTAAGAACAATGTATATAAAAATGTAAACTGCAAAATGTGTTAAAAATCTTAAGCTTTAATAAACTGGAGTTAAAAGAGAAATTGAATTAAACCACACTATCCTTACTCAAGTTCAAAACCATATATATTTTCAAAAATTATTTTCTGTAGAGATGTGGCCTCACTATGTTGTCCAGGCTAGTTTGGAACTCCTGGGCTCAAGCAATTTTCCCATCCCAGCCTCCCAAAGTGCTGGGATTACAGGCACAAGCCACCTCAGCCAGTCCAAAAATATTTTTCTTAAATCATACTCTCACAAAAACGTTTTGTCTCACTCCACTTCCAAAGTGACTCATGGAAGCCGTGAAAACCAGAACCAATAATAGTAATGGGATTAAAAATAAATAGAATTTATTAAATATCTACTGTGTCCCAAAGTGGCATGTGTTTCTTTTCTTCTTTTTTTTTTTTTTTTTTTTTTTTTTGTAGAAATGGGGTCTCACTATCTTTGCCCAGGCTGGTCTGGAACTCTTAGTCTCAAGCAAGCCTCCCGCCTCAGTCTCCCAATGCACTGGGATTACAGGCATGTGCTGCCCAACGGTGTTTCCTGGACTCAAACTTGCTTTGATGTCTCAGGTCTGCATCTACAAACTACTGGATGTTGAGAAAGTCCTGTAACTTTCCCATGCCTCAGTTTCCTCATCTGTAAGTGGGATGACAAAGATACCTATCTTGTAGGCTTGTTGTGAGGATGAATTGAGTTAGCTTATGTAAAACGCTCAGAAAAACACATAGCATGTTGTAAGAAGACAGAAGTGCCTGCGGCTATCATCAAAATCTCACAACCTTGGTAATACACATTTTTACATCTGAGGAAAACATCTGAGGCTTAGACCTAAACTTGCCGCAGGTAACTCATTAGAATGTGGCTGGGGCGGGGGACAGTGGTGAAGGTTCCAACCCAGGTGTGGCAGATTCCAGAGCCTGCGGTCTGAACCAGCCCCTGGTGACCTTTACCCCGAGAGCGGAAGAAAGGCAAACAGGCGGAAGCCCACAGCCGAGGCCATCGCGCTGCGCATGATCCGTGGCAACCGTCCTTCCTTGACCTTTGCCCACTGGAAAAGCCAATCCCAAGTCAGCCTGGGGTAAAGGGGCGGGGCCTTGTGGTTGGCATAGCAACAGACATGGGTCAAACTCACCTGGGGGTTAGGGCGGGGTTGTTTGTCACTAAGGAATCATTGCTGAATGACACTACAGTGGAGAACCAGAGCCCCGGGCTTTTCTAAACAAACAGCCCTGGTCACTGCTGAATTCAAAGTGTACTGCCGGGGCCGGGCGCGGTGGCTCACGCCTGTAATCCCAACACTTTGGGAGGCTGAGGCAGGCGGATCACGAGGTCAGGAGATAGAGACCATCCTGGCCAACATGGTGAAACCGAAACCCCGTCTCTACTAAAAATACAAAAATTAGCTGGGCATGATGGCGGGCGCCTGTAATCCCAGCTACTCAGGAGGCTGAGGCAGGAGAATCACTTGAACCCAGGAAGCGGAGGTTACAGTGAGCCGAGATGGTGCCACTGCACTGCAGCCTGTCAACAGAGCAAGACTTGTCTGGAAAAAAAAAAAAATGCGCACCGCCGGGCCCGCCTCCCTCAGCACCCAATGCTGGTCGGAGCCCTCGGGCAAACAAACTACCTCCTGCATCCGGGAACTTACCCTCCAGGCGGAAGGAAAGAATGCGGGGACAGAGACCTGTCCTGGGAGAAGCTCCTTAGGAGATGAAGGAGCACCGAAAGATGCCTGACGTTTTT
Source organism: Homo sapiens (assembly GCF_000001405.40). Lineage (NCBI taxonomy): Eukaryota > Metazoa > Chordata > Mammalia > Primates > Hominidae > Homo > Homo sapiens. Next base: position 93,315,477 of record NC_000012.12, read on the forward strand.
ACGACTCCTCTTTCATGTTTGTGTCCCATCTCTTCTCAGAAGAATTAGCCATGTTTTGTGAATTCCAGGTGCCATCTTCAAAAACACCCTTGGATTCTAGCCAATCACCAAAATGGCAGAGACGGCCACCTGAGACCAATTAGAATATCCACACCAGTGGAAGAGAGCTCCAGTGGTAAATTTCCTAGATGTACAACTATTGATTTCATGATGTATTGTTCCATAAGGTGACTTTAAAACAGGACAAAAGTCATGATTCGTATCTTTGTTTCATCTTGTCGTTAATATTATATCTGGTAATTTTCTTGAAAACATAAGGACTTATTTTACAAATTTGTATGCTTTCATAAGTACTTCATTGTAACTTTAATAGTAAATAAACTTTGGCTTTATTAAGGTGTAGGAGAGAAAACCCTACGAACAGAAATAAAACAATTGTGATGAATCATTCATTAATCCCTGGGAGAAGCAGAGTGGGCGTACTGTGGGCTTAGGCTCACTAAGAAGGACCTGGATTCACATCCTAGCTTTGTCCATTGTATGTGGCCTTGGGCAGGTCTCATAAGCCACACTCCTTTGCAAAATGAAGATAACAATATCTACTTCTGAGAGCTGTTTTCAGAGGATGAAAGTGCATAATAAGTGCCTTATCTTACACATGGCCCAGTCTTGGCTCAAAAATGTTACTTTTCTTTCTTGAATATCCCCACTTCCTCTTGAACAGCCTCCCCCAAGGCAGTTAGTTGCTCATCTTTCTCCCTAATCCCCAGATAATTTGTTCTGAGCAGAATAATTTTTATCCCGGTAGCTTAGAACAGTGGCCAGCCCACAACAAGTACTTGGTGTCTGTTTATCTGGACTTGGTTGTGCTGTAATTTATGTGCTGACTGAGAGCTCCCAGGGATAGGAACCACATCAGCTAGCATCTAGCATAGTACCTAGTACATAGTGCCTACTACATAGGCTATGCTCAGTAACATAGTTGTGTTACTATGCATTGCACTCCTCATTTTTGCAAGGTACACAAACATATCTGTCTTCAGCAGCCAGGCAGGTGAATTAAGATAAGAGCGATAAAGTCCGTGACAAACTGGAGGCATTCCCATTCAACTAAACAAAAAACACTTTTCTGGCCAAACACAACAATCTGTCCACAGGATTTACCCCTCTACCATAAAACTGCCACCATAAACAAAGCTTTGTAATTAACAAGTTCTTTTTTTTTTTTTTTTTTTTTTTTGGGCAGGGTATCAATCTGTCTCCCAGGCTGGAAGGCAGGAGTGAAGTGAAGTGGCATGTGGTTCACAGTAGCTTCAACCTCCTGGGCTCAAGTGATACTCTCATCTCAGCCTCCCAAGTAGCTGGGACCACAATCACATGCCACCATGCTGGGCTAGGTTTTTTATTTTTTGTAGAGATGAGGTTTTGCCATGTTACCCAGGCTGGTCTTGAACTCCTGGCCTCAAGCGATCCTCCCACTCCAGCCTCCCAAAGTATTGGGATTATAGGTGTGAGCCACCATGCCCAGCCCACAATTACTTTCTTATATGTTATCTCATTTGATACTTGAGCAATTTTCTGAAGAAAGCGTTTTTGAGTTCATTTTACAGGCATCTGATAGAGAAACTGAGGCTCAAATACAGAGATTTATCCAAATCAAACTAAGTTAATAGCCAGCCAGGGATTTGCATTCATGTCTTCTAACATCGACCCAGGACTCCCGCTTCTCTTTACACCATATACTGTTCTTTATGTGCCGCTGTTTTTCTCTTTATAGTTTTTCTAGGACAAAAACCAAGCTCCATCAGAAGGTTAAACCTGTGTCAGGTTTACAGTCCAATGACCGCCGTGGGTCATAATCCATCTAGAGCTCTGAGACAGGTGCCTTTAGAAACAATGCCTTCTTTGCAACCAGAGGAGCGTGTTTTCCTCGAGTCATCAGCATAGAGAGGCCTGGCAGCAAGGTATGATGAGCATGATGAGTGGGCTGACAGGAAGAACTCTGCACCCAAATGGCAATGAGGAAGCAGGCTCCTTATATCAACGTGAAGAATCTTTAAAGGAACTTGAGTTTGTAAAGAGAGCAAGAAAAACAAGATAGAGTCTTAGCAACTAGAGGAAACAAGCATCTCATTTCTGTAGGCCAGTGTTGTCCAACAGAAACAAAATGTGAGCTACATATAACTTTAAATTTTCTAAAGAGTAAAATTTAAAAAGTAAAAAGAAACAAAAGAAATTAATTTGAATAATACATTATATTTAATCTAATATATACAATATATTTTTAACATGTGACCAATATAAAAATTATTAATGAGCTATTTTATTTATTTATTTTTGAGACAGAGTCTCACTCTGTCGCCTAGGCTGTAGTGCAGTGGCTCAATCTTGGCTCAGTGCAACCTTGCCTCCCGGGTTCAAGTGATTCTCCTGCCTCAGCCACCTGAGTAGCTGGGATTAATTAGCATGTGCCACCATGTCCGGCTAATTTTTGTATTTAGTAGAGACAGGGTTTCACCATGTTGGCCAGGCTGGTTTTGAACTCCTGACCTCAAATGATCTGCCTTCCTCGACCTACCAAAGTGTTGGGATTACAGGCGTGAGCCACTGCGCATGTAATTCTTTTTTTAATTTATATTTCTTTTTTTTTTTTTTTTGGACAAAGCCTTTGACATCCAGTGTGCATTTTATATTTACACTCAGTGGCACTGGCCATATTTCAAGTATTCAGTAGCAGCTGGGCACAGTGGCTCACACCTATAATCCCAGCACTTTGGGAGACTGAGGTGGGCGGATCACCTGAGGTCAGGAGTTCGAGACCAGCCTGGCCAACGTCGTGAAACCTTGTCTCTACTACAAAAAAAACCCAAAAAAATTAGCCAGGCATGGTGGCGGGCACCTGTAATCCCAGCTACTCGGGAGGCTGAGGCAGGAGAATCGCTTGAACCTGGGGCAGAGATTGCATTGAGCCAAGATCGCGCCACTGCACTCCAGCCTGGGCGACAGAGCGAGACTCTGTCAAAAAAAAAAAAAAAAAAAGAAGTACTCAGTAGCCACATGTGGCTAGTGGCTGCCATCTTGGACAGCACAGATCTAGGCCAAAGAAATTCCTAAAGGTCTATATTTCTGGCATAGTAAAAATGAGTGACATGGCTCTCTTCAAGGCCACTGAGAGGTCTCATTTCCAATCCTGCTAGTCCAGTTTGAAGACTGATCTTTTAGGGTCAACTTCAAACTTTGCCGCCATTTAGAGAGCAGCCGTGTCAATTTCCAGCCAGTTGCTCTGCAAAGCCAATCAGAGCCCATTATGTTTGGCTCCCTGTTTTTGCCTTGCAAGAGTGCAGTCCTCAGCATGTCCCCTTTCAAATACCTATTATTCTGGTGCTGTCTTCAGTGGTGCCATGACTGGCAGTGATTAGGGTGACATTTTTTATGTGCCTGAGTTCACAGAGCAAATTACATAGCGTGAGTGGCATGGTGATTAAGTGGCTGTGTGTAAAGACTAGAATCGCTACATTTGCATGTCTCTGAATAATGAGATTCTTATCTCCATTATGTGGCAATGAGGTCGAAATTGATAGCGCTATTAACTGTTTACACAGTAAGCACAATTTTCTATTCTCTCTTTCTCTCTCACTGGTTTCAAAGCAGCCAAAAGCTTTGAGCCCCCCAGCAACCCTCCCAAATAAGTTTTCCATAAAAAGAGATTTCCACAACCCCTCAATAAATTTTCTGGCTGCCTTCCAGAGCCCACAGATAATCCAATCCACCCTCTTGGTTTCACAGGGAAGAAGCTGCAGTGTAGAGAGGTGAGATTTGTCCAAGGTCACACAGAAAGAAAGAGGGCTGGAAAACAGAGGACTCCAACAATACTCATTCCTTCTCTGATTTGTGTCCTCTGGTGCCCGGCTGCAGCTTTGGAATAATGAAGTCCCACCTTCCAGCCTACATACATATTGTGCATTCTGGTCACACACCCATTTTGCTGCTGAAGAGATGATGAAACTGGCTGAAATTATAATTTGATTCTCCAAACACAGAGACCTTTTCAGTTGACCCTAGAGATGAGCCCTAACTATACTTTGAATCAACAAATATCAATTTTCGCAGCAATGAAATAAATATATGGAGAGATAGTTATAGTTACAGTGGGTTATAAAACAGGGCAAGGGAAAGCTGTGACTATTTATTTGGCTCTGCTCCTAGCAATGAAGTATTTATCCATCAGCTATGTGGCAGTGACATTTTTTATATGAAGGGCAAGTTTGAATTAATAACTAAAGAGACCGTTTTTAAAAATAGATCATCAGTGTAGCAACCCAAAAATGTATCCAATAAAGTGCTTCACTAGCAATATTGCAAAACATGAGGAGGAAAAAAACTCTCTCCAATTAAATTCTCACTCACCAGTGCTTTCGTGGTGGAACAACCACAACAGCATGAAGGTTAACTGCCTTGGCATAAAAGAGGAGACGGAGTAACAGGATTTGTCAAGTAGATCGTGGCATCAGCTTAACATTTGTGGGAGTTAAATGTATGCATGAACAGTTGTAATGCTGAGTTCCATTAAAAAATATGATGGTGAAATGGCCTGGAGTGAAGCATTATTATTTATTATGAACTAAAACGGACTATTTGTTTGTGATATATCTTAAAAGTACTGAGTGCCTTGAAATCACTAGAAGGGTTCATTACCTCTGTATCCCATCAATAACCAAAAATCTTGTCCTAGGAGTCAAAACTGAAGGAGATTCCAGATGGCATAAAGCACAAGAAAACTGGTTCCTATTTAGCAGTGGGTAAAGAAGTTGTGAAATCCTTCAGGACTCCACTTAAACTTTGCGGGGTTGAAAGAGGCCCTCCCTGGAACCCATAGTCTAAATTACACTTCTTTGGTATAAGTCACCATATTTCTTTTTTTTTGAGATGGTGTTTCACTCTTGTTGCCCAGGCTGGAGTGCAATGGTGCAATCTTGGCTCACTGCAACCTCCGCCTCCCAGGTTCAAGTGATTCTCCTGCCCCAGCCTCCTAAGTAGATGAGATTACAGGCAAGTGCCACCATGCCTGGCTAATGTTGTATTTTTAGTAGCGACAGAGTTTCACCATGTTGGTCAGGCTGGTCTCCAACTCCAGACCTCAAGTGATCTGCCCTCCTCGGCCTCCCAAAGTGCTGGGATTACAGGTGTGAGCCACCATGCCCAGCGAAGTCACAATATTTCCACATGCGCTGTTTGATTTATTATATTTGTTACACGAAGGTACTTACTACCTGTCTTCTCCACAAAGTCTGTGAACTCTAGCAAGGCAGGTGCCTATGCACCTAACAGCATATTCATCCATTCAAAATGTACCTACAGAGCACCTACTAAGAGTTAGCCAACACAATTCTGCCCTCATATGTTTACATCCAGATAGGGGGACATAGACCATAAACAATTAAACAAGCGAGTTGATTTGCTTTTTTTTTTTTTTTTAGGCAAGGTCTCACTCTATTGGCCAGGCTGAAGTACAGTGGCATGAACATAGTTCAGTGCAACCTCAAATGCCTGGGCTCAAGCAATTCTCCTGCCTCAGCTTTGCAAATACTTGAGACTACAGACTCACCATCACACCCAGCTGATTTTTTTTTTTTTAGATGGAGTCTCACTCTGTCGCCAGGCTGGAGTTCAATGGCACGATCTCGGCTCACTGCAACCTCCACCTCCCGGATTCAAGTGATTCTCCTGCCTCAGCCTCCCAAGCATCTGGGACTACAAGTGCTTGCCACCACACCCAGCTAATTTTTGTGTTTTTAGCAGAGACAGGGTTTCACCATGTTGGCCAGGATGGTCTTGATCTATTGACCTCGTGATCTGCCCGCCTCGGCCTCCCAAAGTACTGGAATTACAGGTGTGAGCCACCATGCCCAGCCACACCCAGCTAATTTTTATATTTTTTTGTAGAGACAGGGTCTCACTATGTTGCCCAGACTGGTCTCAAACTTCTGGCTTCAAACAATCCTCCTGCCTTGGCCTCCCAAAGCATTAGATTACATTTGTGGGCCACCACACCTGGCTTGATTTTAGATAATAATATGGGAGACTGATCAGAGAAGGTTTCCCTGAGGAAATGAGATTAAGGAAACCTGATACTGAAAGTTCTGGGCTGGACATAGCAGCTCACGCCTGTAAGCCCAGCATTTTGGGAGACCGAGGTGGGCAGATCGCTTGAGCTCAGGAGTTCAAGACCAGCCCAGGCAACATGGCGAAACCCTGTCTCTACTAAAAATACAAAAATTAGCCAGGTGTGGTGTTGCATGTCTGTAGTCCCAGCTACTCGGGAGGCTGAGGTGGGAGGATGGCTTGAGCCTGGTAGGCGGAGGTTGTATTGAGCTAAGATCACACCGCTGCACTCCAGCCTTGACAACAGAGTGAGACCCCGTCTCAAAAAATAAAAATAAAAATAAGTTCTGGATAGATATGAGCTGAGAGGAGTGAAAAATAAAAATAAAAGAAAAACAATTTTTTAAAAAGAAGAAAGTTCTGGGTAAGGGGCATTCCAGGCAACCAGAAGAGCAGGTGGAAGGACCCCAAGGTGGAAATAAGTGGCTATGGCTGGAACCTAGTGGGTGAGGAGAAGATGAAGTCAAGGAGGCAGATTGGGGCTGGATTATGTGCTTGGCACAGAGTAAACACTCAGTAAACATATGTTTCATGAACAAGTGAGCCCATATCAGCTATAATTGCAGGCGGAATGTAATTCTTGCTACCCTGGGCAAGACTGCAGGTGACCAAAATACAAAAGTAAAGCGTAGATATTAAGTGTTGTCTCCACAAAAATAACTACATGATGTATATTGCGTTTGTTAATTAGCTAGATTTAACCATTCCATAGTGTATATACACTTCAAAACATCATGCTGTACACAAAAAATACATACAATTTTATCTGTCAATTTAAAGAAATAGTGGTTGTTCTAGGGTTTACAATGTTCATATTTTATGTATCATAGTCTCCCTTCAAAGAATATTACACTACTCCACATGTAGTTTAAGAACCTTATGATAGTATAGTTACAATTCCTCCACCCTTTGGTCTTTTAATCCTCACAATACACTTATTGTATATTTGTTTACACTGCTAAATATCATTGATTGGTTCTTTAAAAATCCTCTGTTAAAAAAAAAAAGGCTGGGAACAGTGTTTCTCATGTCTGTAATCCCTGTAATCCCAGAGTTTTGAGAGGCTGGGGCAAAAGGATTGCTTGAGCCCAGGAGTTCGAGGCTGCAGTGAGCTATGATCGCGCCATTGCACTCCAGCCTGGGCAACAGAGATAGGCTCTGTCTCTGAAAAAAAAAAAAAAAAAAAAAAATAGAGAGAGAGAGAGAGAAAGGTAGAGGCTAGAAACTTGAAATTTCAAGAGAACCACAACAGGTAAATAAGATAAGTCCTGGGGACTCAGAGAAAATGAAAATGAGATATTTAAGGCAGCCTATAATAAACCCCAAATTGCTGCAGAGGAAGTCAGGGCAAGGGAGCTAAATGCAGGCTGACATCATATGGGGCAGGTTCCTGAAGGCAGGATGTGAACTAGGCCTTGAATCACACACAGGAATTTATTGGGCAGAACAAATAAGGAAGGTAGGGCACTCCAGGAAAATCGGTCTTATCACATTATCCCAATGGAACTACCACATTTATTTCTAGGACGTTATGTAAATCCATACTATGCTCATTACACAGAGGGACAATTGATTATATGCATGGAGTATAGAAGTTGGATCAAATTTATTGGCCAGGCACCGTGGCTCACGCCTGTAATCCCAGCACTTTGGGAGACTGAGGCAGGCGAATCACCATGTCAGGAGATCGAGACCATCCTGGCCAACATGGTGAAACCCCATCTCTACTAAAAATACAAAAATTAGCCGGGCATGGTGGTGTGTGCCTGTAGTCCCAGCTACTTGGGAGGCTGAGGCAGGAGAATTGCTTGGCCCGGGAGGTGGAGGTTGCAGTGAGCAGAGATCGTGCCTCTGCTTTCCAGCCTGGCGACAGAGCGAGACTCTGTCAAAAAAAAAAAGAAGTTGGATCAAATTTGTTTTAAGTTTTAGGCTTAAATTGTCTCCCTTGAAATTCATAGACTCCTCATCTAGTGGAGAATTGCCTATCTTCAGCTCATGCATAGTGAAATTGATGAGTTATGGATCTATAAGGGATGTTCTAATTCTCTCATTTGCTGGAAACTCAGTAGCCTGCTATTCTTGTTGTAATGGTTTAGTTCTTTTTAGCACTTTGTTAATCAAACTGTGTTGGAGATTGTGCCAGGGTGATCCAACCTCCTATTATAAGGTCTGTGAGACATGAGTCACAGCACAACCAAGAGGCCTCACCAGAAACTAGGGTAGCATCCTTGACACCACCGTTTCTCTCATGACCCCCAGTCAATCTAACCAGTGAAGTGCTATCAATTCTACCTCTCAAGTAACTCTCAAATCTGTCGTTTTTGCTCCTTGCTTACCACACTGCCTTATTCAGCCCCTTAACATTTCTTACTAAATCCCACCCTTTAATTTCCACCTCACCTCCAGCTATTTTTAAACATTCCTTTCCAATCCCCATAACCTCCCTGTGACTGCTTGAACACTCACCATAATATACATACACACCCTTCACGATTTGCCTACTCTTTCATCCTTGTCTTACTTCATGCCTCCCAAACAGCCCGAGTTCAAGAAAACAGCCATTTATGGTTTCCCCAAAGCCACATGCTGCTGGTAGTCTCCACTCCTTTGTGCTTGCAATTTCCTCTGCCTAGAATTTCTTTGCCCAGCCCTGTGTGGTCTCTTTTATTCGTCCTTTAAGACTCAGCTTGGGCCAGGCATGGTGGCTCACGCCTGTAATCCCAGCATTTTGGGAGGCTGAGGCAGGTGGATCACCTGAGGTCGAGAGTTTGAGAGCAGCCTGGCCAATATTGTGAAACCCCAACTCTACTAAAAATACAAAATTAGCCAGGCGTGGTGGTGCATGCCTGCAGTCACAGCTACTCTAGAGGCTGATGCAGGAGAATCACTTGAACCTGGGAGGTGGAGGTTGCAGTGAGTCGAGATCATGCCACTGCTCTCCAGCCTGGACAACAGAGCAAGATTCCATCTGATTTCTATAAGCAAGATTAGGGGTTTTTCTTAATTTTTTTTTTTATTTTCCGAGACAGTCTTGCTCTACTGCCCAGGCTGGAGTGCAGTGGCATGATCTTAGCTCACTGCAACCTCCGCCTCCTGGGTTCACACTGTTCTCCTGCCTCAGCCTCCTGAATAGCTGGGATTACAGGCGCCCGCCACCACGCCCGGCTAATTTTTGTATTTTTAGTACAGACGGGGTTTCACCATGTTGGCCAGACTGGTCTCAAACTCCTGACCTCATGATCCACCCACCTCAGCCTCCCAAAGTGCTGGGATTACAGGCGTGAGCCACTGTGCCTGGCCAAGATTAGGGGTTTTTCTTCTGTAGGTTCTGCAGCATCCTATTTTAGCATTCCTACATTGCTGTAATTAATACTAGGCATATCCGTCCCACCTGACATGGGTAGGAACCATGTGCCAGCCATATTTTTATCCCTTTTTTTCTCTCTCTCTCTTTTAAGAGGCAAGACCTTGCTCTGTCACCCAGGCTGGAGTACAGTGGCATAATCATAACTCACTGCAGGCTTGAACTCCCATGCTCAAGGGATCTTCCTGCCTTAGCCACCTAAGTAGCTAGAACTACAGGTACGTACCACCACACTCGGCTAATTTTTTTATTTTTGTGTAGAGACAAAGTCTCACTATGTTCCTCAGACAGGTCTCAAACTCCTGGTCTCAAGTGGTCCTCCTGCCTTGGCCTCAAAGAACTCTGGGATTACAGGTGTGGGTCACCCTGCCCAGCCTATTCCCATTCACAGTACACCATCAGTAAATACTTATCAAAGTAATGACCAAGTAAATGCATTTTTATATTTTTAGGACACTATTATACATGCCTAGTCCTTACAACTACTACTAGACCAGGGAATTATTGTTAACATCCCAGGAAAGAAATAAAGTTAGAGTACAGGCTGGGTGCAGTGACCCACACCTGTAATCCCAGCAATTTGGGAAGCTGAGGCAGGAGGATCACTTGAGGCTAGGAATTCGAGACCAGCCTGGGCAACATAGGGAGACCCCTCTCTACAAAAAAATTTAAAAATTAGCTGGACATCATGGCGTGTGCCTCTGGTCCCAGCTATTCGGAAGGCTGAGGTAGGAGGATCACTTGATGCTGGGGGTTTGAGGCTGCAGTGAGCCGTGATCATGCCACTACACTACAGTCTGGATGACAGAGCAAGACTCCATCTCAAAAAAAAAAAAAAATTAGAGTACAAAGAAGCCATCAACCCCACTTCCCGCTAAGAGACTACAAACGCTGAGTTTCATTTGGAACTTTTGCCCCTTGGTTTATGGGGCACAAAAGATGGCCTGGCTCCCTTAAGCCTTCTTTGGCAGTGAATGAATGGTCCTGCTCATGACTATCCCAGCTCCTACAGCCACTGACCAAGAGGCAGTTCCTGACAGCCATCTGGACTTACACCTCACTCCGTGACTCACCTATTCATAAGTGTCTCGGGAACTTTCCTCCGAGTGTGTGTGGTATAGTAACACTCAAGAGAACATAATTCCGAGCATGTGTCATAAACTAACTAGAACAAATTCCTCCCTTTAATTAATTACTTTATTTATTTATTTATTTATTTATTTTTGAGACAGAGTCTCACTCTGTCACCCGGGCTGGAGTGCAGTGGCACAATCTCGGCTCACTGCAACCTCCACCTCCCAGGTTCAAGCGATTCTCCTGCCTCAGCCTCCCGAGTAGTTGGGATTACAGGGGCCCACCACCACGCCTGGCTAATTTTTGTATTTTTAGTAGAGATAGGATTTTACCATGTTGGTCAGGCTGGTCTCAAATACCTAACTTCGTGATCCACCTGCCTCAGCCTCCCAAAGTGCTGGGATTACAGGCATGAGCCACCGCACCCAGACAATGGGACACTTTTTTTTTTTTTTGAGACGGAGTTTCACTCTCGTTGCCCAGGCTGGAGTGCAATGGCACGATCTCGGCTCACTGCAACCTCTACCTCCCAGGTTCAAGCGATTCTCCTGCCTCAGCCTCCCTAGTAGCTGGGATTATAGGCATGTGCCACCATGCCCAGCTAATTTTGTATTTTTAGTAGAGGCGGGGTTTCTGCATGTTGGTCAGGTCGGTCTTGAACTCCTGACCTCAGGTGATCCGCCCACCTTGGCCCCCCAAAGTGCTGAGATTACAGGCATGAGCCACCACGTCCGGCCAATGGGACACTTTTAAGACAGTCTCAAAAGAATCTCTAAGATTTTGGCCAGACTCAGTGGCTCACGCCTGTAATCCCTACACTTTGGGAGGCCAAGGCGGGTGGATGACCTGAGGTCAGGAGTTCAAGACCAGCCTAGCCTACATGACGAAACCCTGTCTCTACTAAAAATACAAAAAATTAACTGGGTGCAGTGGCGTGCGCCTGTAATCCCAGCTACCTGGGAGGCTGAGGCAGGAGAATCACCTCAACTCGGGAGGCGGAGGTTGCAGTGAGCTGAGATCGTGCCACTGCACTCCAGCCTGGGCAACAAGAGCAAAACTCCGTCTCAAAAAAAAAAAAGAATCTATAGGATTTCATCAAAAATTGATGTCCCTGTGACATCTTCTCTCCCAACAAATTAAGAAGGCCCCTAGACTTCTCTAGCTAAACTAAGAGGCTCTAAGGACCAAGCACGAATGACCTCTGAAGTTTTCCTTTCTCACTTTCCTAGCTCTCAGCCCAAATACTAGTTATCAAATGGTACCTGGGTAACTTTCGGAGATATTTTTTGTTTGTTTGTTTGTTTGTTTGTTTTTGAGATGGAGTCTCGCTCTGTCGCCCAGGCTGGAGTGCAGTGGCGCTATCTCGGCTCACTGCAAGCTCCGCCTCCCGGGTTCACGCCATTCTCCTGCCTCAGCCTCCCGAGTAGCTGGGACTACAACAGGTGCCTGCCACCACACCCGGCTAATTTTTTGTATTTTAGTAGAGACGGGGTTTCACCGTGTTAGCCCAGGATGGTCTCAATCTCCTGACCTTGTGATCCACCTGCCTCGGCCTCCCAAAGTACTGGGATTACAGGCATGAGCCACCGCGCCCGGCTTTTTTTTTTTTTTTTTTTTAACTTTCAGAGATATTTAAAGCTTCTAAAGCAAGACTCTTGACACTGCTCTAAGATGAACTTAATCATGATGCACTATTAAAAACAATGTCTGGGTGTGGTCCAGCTTTGGGTTTATAAACATGCTATCTATTTTTCTTCATATTTTTATAAGTAATTCTGCATCATTGCTAAACCATGCAAACGAGCTTTTCATGATTCTTAATGAGCAGCCTCTCAATCACAGCACAAGACATCCTTCATGATAACAAATGTGGAAGGAACTTGTTTCCATCTTGAATACAGATCTTTCTTCTGTCCTAAGGATAGAAAGTGGAAAATCAGAGAAACATACCTTGTGTAATGTCCCATTTATTCTTCTTTCTGAAAGAGAGAAGGTAGGAACTACATTAGATGCATTCTGAGGTTTCCAATTCGGCAATACCAAACAAATGTTACAGGCTAAATTGTGTCACCCAAAATCCATATGTTGAAGTCCTAACCCCAGTACTTCAGAGTGTGACATTATTTGGAGATACGGCCTTTAAACAGTTGATCAAGTTAAAATGACATCCTTCAGGGTGGGTCATAATCCAACCTTACTGCTGTCCTTATAAGAAGAGATCAGGACCCAAACTGGACACAAAGGGAAGACCATGTGAGGACACAGCCAGATGGTGGCAAGCCAAGGAGAGGGGCCTCAGCGGAAACCAGGCCTACGGACACCTTGACCTTCCATTCCAGCCTCCACAACCATCAGAAAATAAATTTCTGTTGTTCAAGCTGACGAGCCTCTGGTATATTGTTATAGCAGCCTGTGGTATCTTGTTATGGCAGCCTGGCAAACTAATACAAAAAATGATTTTTAAATGTTAGAGCAATTTTACAATCCTAGTGCATGATGCATTTTGTTTGTTTGTTTGGGTTTTTGTTTTTTGTTTTGTTTTGTTTTGTTTTATTGAAATAGGGTCTCATTCTGTTGCCCAGGCTGGAGTGCAGTGGCATGATTTCAGCTCACTGCAACCTCTGCCTCCCCAGCTCAGGCGATCCTCTTGCCTCAAGCCTCTTGAGGAGCTGGGACTACAGGTATGTGCCACCATGCTCAGCTACTTTTTAAATTTTTTGTAGCGATGAGGTCTCACTATATTGCCCAGGCCAATCTCAAACTCCTAAACTCAAGCGATCCTCCTGCCTCTGCCTCCCAAAATGCTGGGATTACAGAAGTGAGCCCAGCCATGATGTGTTTTATCTGCCATTTTGGCTAACAATGTTTTGACTCAACATCTATAATACAAATATTTTAAGTAAAATAACACCATTACTAATTAATTTGGGTTAAGAAATAATTTTTGGTGTGAATGCCATTAAGCCAATTTAAATTTTTAGTCCATTTTCTATGGAGAACAATGAAACCATTTTCAGCTTTTTCCATTTTAGGTTTTATTCAGCCGCAGTAACTGTCACTGAATCAATTTTTATGAACATACATTTCATTACAAAGATATGATTCATCAATGAATGTTTTGCCCAACTATAATTATATCAATTGTGGCCTTTTATAATCTTTCTGCTGCAGTTAGTATTTATATTATATGGAAAAATTTATCAAATTTTTCAGGTCAAATTTAACAGGCAAAATTTTACTCTTTGGTCATTTTTTTAAAATAATAGTTGTATTGAGACATAATTCCCTAACCATAAAGTTTATCCTTTTAAAGTGTACAGCTAACTGGTTTTAAGTATATACAAAGGTTTATGCACCCATCACCACTATCAATTTCCAGGATATTTTCTTTTTTCTTTTTTTATTTTTTTTTGAGACAGAGTCTTGCTCTGTTGCCCAGGTTGGAATGCAATGGCGTGATCTCGGCTCACTGCAACCTTCACCCGCTGGGTTCAAGCGATTCTCCTGCCTCAGCCTCCGGAGTAGCTGGGATTACAGGCACGCACCAGCACTCCTGGCTAATTTTTGTATTTTTAGTAGAGATGGGGTTTCACCATATTGGCCAGGCTGGTCTTGAACTCCTGACCTCAAGTGATCCACCCTCCTTGGACTCCCAAAGTGCTGGGATTACAGGCGTGAGCCACTGCACCTGGCCAAATTCCAGAACATTTTCATCATTCTTAAAACATACTTCCCATTTCTCCTTCCATGTCTCCTGGCCTCTGGCAACTACCAATCTACTCTCTATGGACTCACCTATTCTGGGCATTGCACATTCAGTCATGTGTTACTTAACAACAGGGATACCTTCAGAGAAATGTGTCGCCGGGTGGTTTTTGTTGTTGTGTGAACCTCATAGGTGCATTTATACAAACCTAGAAGGAATAGTCTACTGCATACCTAGGCTATTGTAACACAATGGTAAGTATTTGTGTATCTAAACATATCTAAACATAGAAAAGATATAGTGAAAATGGCCGGACATGGTGGCTTACGCCTGTAATCCCAGCAGCTTGGGAGGCCAAGGCAGGTGGATCGCTTGAGGCCAGGAGTTCAAGACCAGCCTGGCCAACATGGCAAAACCCCGTCTCTACTAAAAATACAAAAATTAGCTGGGCATGGTGGCACACACCTGTAATCCCAGCTACTCAGGGGGCTGAGGCAGGAAAATTGCTTGAACCTGGGGGTCGGAGGTTGCAGTGAGCCAAGATTGCGTCACTGCACTCCAGCCTGGGTGACAGAGCAAGACCGTCACAAAAAAAAAAAAAAAGAATTTTTAAAATATTGATAGATGGTTGAAAAACTCAAAAGAGGCATAATATTTTTGTAATTCATGAAAATTATGTAAAATTCAAATTCACTAACTATAAATAAGGTTATATTGGAACATCACCACACTCAGCCACACCTACTCATCTAGGTACCATCTATTACTGCTTTCTCACTGCAGTGACAGAGTTAAGTAGTTGTGACAGAAATCATTTGAGCCACAGAGCCTAAAATATTTACTAGCTGGTTCTTTACAGAAAAAGGTCTATCATACGGCTGAACCAATTCATCTTTATCTTTCAGATCATATGGTATGATGGGCACTAACTGTCCAAATAGTTGGCAGAAAGAGCAAATGGAAGCTACCCAAAGTATGGGTCTCAGGCTGTTGCCAGTTGAACTGTTAGGATCATAATGAGATAAATACAAAAATTGAGAGTAAGCCTTAGAAAGTTATAGAAAATTGACAAAGTAATTTTATGTCTATTTGAATATAATACTTGAAAAATGAGGTTTAGGCCAGGCATGGTGGCTCACGCTTATAATTCCAGCACTTTGGGAGGCTGAGACGGGAGGATCTCTTGAGCTCAGGATTTCGAGACCAGCCTGGATAACATAGTCTCTACCAAAAATACAAAAAATGAACCAGGTATGATGGCATGTACCTGTAGTCCCAGCTACTCAGGAGGCTGAAGTGAGAGAATGGCTTGAGCCTGGGAGGCAGAGGTTGCAATGAGCTGAGATCACGCCATTGCACTCCAGCCTGGGTGACAGAGCAATATCCTGTAGAAAAAGAAAGACAGAAAGAAAGAAAGAAAGAAAGAAAGAAAGAAAGAAAGAAAGAAAGAAAGAAAGAAAGAGAGAGAGAGAGAGAGAGAGAGAGAGAGAGAGAGAGAGAAAGAAAGAAAGAAAGGAAGGAAGGGAGAGAGAAAGAAAAAGAAAAAGAAAGAAAGAAAGAAAAAGAAAGAAAAAGAAAGGGAAAAGTGAAGTTTCTATTTTGTATGTCTTTGGGAGTTTTTAAATTTCATCTTTCTAGCCATTGATTTTTAGACTAATTGAATTTTTAAGACTGACCCTTTAATACAGTTTGAGACACACTGAAATAGAAGATCAGTATCTTTAGAATCAAAGAAGTGGATCTACTAGGACATGAGCATGCTGAGGGCAGGTGCTTCATCTGCCTTGTGCACCTGTTTCCCCAGCACCTGGTACACTATAATAGGTGCTCAATAAACACTGGAAGAATGTACAGATCCAAAACAACTCACTTCTTAACTCTAGTATCATTGTCAAGGATTATCATTTTCTAGGTTTGTTTTTGTTTCTAATTTATTTTCAGACGCAATAGATAGCATAGAAGCTAGCAGCAAGCCTGTGTTCATATCCCAGCTTATTTAATTAATTAATTCATTTATTTTCAAGATGGAGTTTCGCTCTTCCTGCCCAGGCTGGAGTGCAAGGGCACAATCTCGGCTCACTGCAACCTCTGCCTCCCAGGTTCAAGCAATTCTCCTCCTCAACTTCCCAAGTAGCTGGGATTACAGGCGCCTGCCACCACACCTGGCTAATTTTTGTATTTTTAGTAGAGACAGGGTTTTACCATGTTGGCCAAGCTCATCTCGAACTCCTGACCTCAGGTGAGCCGCCTGCCTGGGCCTCCCAAAGTGCTGGGATTACAGGCATGAACCACCGTGCCCGGCCTGAGTCCTAGCCTTTTAAAACAGTCCCTCCAGGTTAAGATCACCAGATATTTTAGCAAATTGTAAGATATCTATTTGCATATGATTTTTCATGAATTCATAAAGTAGTTCTTGTAATTTTTTTTTTTAAACGGAGCCTAGCACGCCCAGGCTGGAGTACAGTGGTGCCATCACAGCTCATTGCAACCTCGACCTCCTCTGCTCAAGCGATTCTACCATCTCAGCCTCCCGAGTAGCTGGGACTACAGTGTGAGCCACCACACCTGACTAATTTTTGTATTTTTTGGAGAGATAGGGTTTCACCTTGTTGCCCAGACTGGTTTTCAACTCCTGGGCTCAAGTGATCCACCTGCCTTGGCCTCCCAAATTGCTGGGATTACAGGCATGAGCCACCATACTCAGCCCATAAATTTGATCAATACAGTCCAAAGACCTAACTTCAGGTATATAAAGTACAGCTCATGAGTTGATGCAAGTAATGTGCAGAAGTTTCCATTCTGACATCCTGCACACAGTTCCACCCCAATCCCAAACAACCTTTACAAAATACAAAATTTTTTCAGAGTGAATCTCCCTAAGTCTGTGGTAGCCCTTTCTTAGGAAGGTCCCCAGGCATTGTGAGGGTGGCAGAAATACTGAGTGGCTGTCCGAGGAATGACCCTCTTTATTCTTACATACTAGCACAATATTCAGGGTTACTGCAAGACATAGCAGAACCAGAAAATGTCTGTGTCTCCATGAATCTTGCTGCCTTGTTGCCTGGCTGTGTTCTTCCTTGAGCCTGGAATAAATCTTTTTTTTTTTTTTTTTTGAGATGGGAGTCTCGCTCTGTCTCCCAGGCTGGAGTGCAATGGCACTATTTCGGCTCACTGCAACCTCCGCCTCCCAGGTTCAAGCGATTCTCCTGCCTCAGCCTCCCAAATAGCTGGGACCACAGGTGCACACCACCATGTCTGGCTAATTTTTGTGTTTTTAGTAGAGATGGGGTTTCGCCATGTTGGCCAGGCTAGTCTCCAACTCCTGGCCTCAAGGGATCCGCCCACCTCAGCCTCCCAAAGTGCTGGGATTACAGGCTTGAGCCACTGCAAGCCTGGAATAAACCTTCCCCCAGTCTCTGCCTACTGAGAACTAGACATCCTTCAAGAACATCTATGTCTTCACCTCACTTATTTATTTATAGTGTCACAGTCACTAAAGTTCCAGGAAGTCACAGAATCATAGCTATGAATGCTAGAAGGAACCATAGAGAGTCGAATCCAGGGACTGCAAACTCAAAGGCCTATAGTAGCTGCACAGGTTATTTGATAGAAAGAAGACTGGCAGGTGGGGGCTGGGGAGAAGAGCAAAGAATAGAGCCATTTAGAGAGGGCAGATACTCAGCTCAAGTGGGCTGTTGCCAACTGGTACATGTGGCCCAATATGCCAGATTTGTTTTAATATATTTTTTAAGTCGACTATTCAGGTTTTCATGAGTTACCACTCTTTATTTTAATTGTGGTAAAATATACATAACATAAAAACTTACCATCTAAGGATTTTTATGTGTCCAGCTGAGAAGTGTTAAATACACTCACATTGCTGTGCAACAATAATTCCCCCTCTTCCCCGCCATCCCTGGCATCCACCATTCCATTTTCTGTTTCTGATTTTAACTATTCTAGGTACCTCATAAAAAATAAATCAGGTCAGGCACAATGGCTCATGCCTGTAATCCTAGCAGTTTGAGAGGCCGGGGTGGGAGGACCACTTGAGCCGAGGGGTTTGAGACCAGCTTGGGCAACACAGCAGACCGCATCTCTACAAAAAAATATATTAATAATAAATTAAAATTGGGTGTGGTGTCATGTGCCTATAGTCCTAACTGCTTTGGAGGCTAAGGCAGGAGGATGACTTGAGGCCAGGATATCAAAGGACATCAAAGCTGCTGCAGTGAGCCATAATCTTATCACAGCACTCCAGAAGAAAGGAAGTGGAATCATACAGAATTTGTCTTTTTATGACTGGCTTATTTCACTCTATGTAATGTCCTCAAGACTCATTCATGTTGTAGCATGTGTCTGAATTTCCTTTTTTTTTTTTTTTTTTGAGACAGGGTCTCACTCTGTCACCCAGGCTGGAGTGCGCTGGCACAATCTCAACTCACTGCAGCCTCGACTTCTGGGGTTTTGACAATCCTCCCACCTCAGCCTCCCAAGTAGCTGGGACCATAGGTATGCTCCATCACTCCTGGCTAATTTTCATATTTTTGGTAGAGACGGTGTTTTGCCATGTTGCCTAGGTTGGTCTCCAACTCCTGACCTCAATTGATCCACCTGCCTCAGCCTCCCAAAGTGCTGGAGTTACAGGCATGAGCCACCATGCCCAGCCTCCATCTTTTTAAGGCTGAATAATATTTTATTGTATATATAGTCCACATTTTTTTCCATTCATCCATCAATAGACTCTTGGTTGCTTCTACCTTTGGCTATGTGAATGATGCTGCTACCAGCATGAGTATACAAATAATGTATCTTTTTTTTTTATTTTGAGACAGAGTTTCACTCTTATTGCCCAAGATGGAGTGCAATGGCACGATCTTGGCTCACAGCAACCTCCGCCTCCCAGGTTCAAGCGATTCTCCTGCCTCAGTCTCCCAAGTAGCTGGGATTATAGGCATGCGCCACCACACCTAGCTAATTTTGTATTTTTAGTAGAGACGGGGTTTCTCCATGTTGGTCAGGCTGGTCTCAAACTCCCAACCTCAGGTGATCCACTCACCTCAGCCTCCCAAAGTGCTAGGATTGCAGAAGTGAGCCACCATGCCTGGCGAAGTATACAAATAATATATCTTTTGAGTTCCTGCTTTCAATTCTTTTGGGCGTATATCCAGAAGTGGAATTGTTGGATCATGTGGTGATTCTATTTTTACTTTTTTTTAGGAACCACCATACTGTTTTCCATAGCAGCTGCACCATTTCACATTAATACTAACAGTACACAGCATTCCAATTTTTCCACATCCTCACCAGCATTTGTTGTTTTTTGTTCTTTTGATAATACCCATCCTAGTGGGTATGAGGCAGTAGTATCTCACTGTGGTTTTGATTTGTATTTCTCTAATGATTAGTGATGTCAAGCATATTTTGATGTGCTTGTTGGCCATTTTTTAAATTAGATTGTTTTACTATTGTTGAGTCCTTTTTTAAATGACGAACACTAGTTTAAATTTTATAAAAACAAAAACAAACAAAAAATGGCCAGGTGCAGTGGCTCACACCTGTAATCCTAGCACTTCGGGAGGCTGAAGTGGGCAGATTGTTTGAGTTCAGGAGTTTGAGACCAGCCTGAGTGACATGGGAAAACCTCATCTCTACAAAAAAATACAAAAATTAGCCAATTTAGTGGCATGCGCCTGTAGTCCCAGCTACTCAGGAGGCTGAGGTGGGAGGATCACTTGAGCCCAGGAGGCAGAGGTTGCAGTGAGCAGAGATCGTGCTACTGCACTCCAGCCTGGGTTACAGAGCAAGACCCTGTCTCAAACAACAACAAAAAACAAACTAACAAAAAAACCGCCGTAACACCATATGGATAAAATACATGATTTCAGGCAGTATACGGCCGGAGACCTCCATTTGGTGACCTCATCTAGGCCCAACAAACTCATCTTCCAAACAGGGAAACCAAAGCCTAGATCATAAAGCCAACAGTTGCACATGGCTATCTGATATCTGAGCCAGCATTAGATCTGAGGTCCTCTAGTGCACAAGGCATTGACACATTTCTTAGAACACTCACCAGAGCCAACGCGTCTGATTTGTAAGGAGTTGCAATTTGCTAAAAATTCGTAACTGGGCTTAATGACTTGTGGGTGAAAGTGCAAAAGTCAGGCAAGGCGCAGTGGCTCGTGCCTGTAGTCCCAGCACTTTGGGAAGTTGAGTGGGTGGATCACTTGAGCTCAGGAGTTTGAGACCAGCCTAGGCAACATGATGAAACCCCATCTCTACCAAAAATACAAAAAATTAGCTGGACATGATGGCACATGCCCATAATCACAGCTACTCAGGATACTGAGGCAAGAGGATCACTTGAGCTCAGGAGGTCGAGGCTTCAGTGAGCCAAGCTGGCGCCACTGCCCTCCAGCCTGGGAGACAGAGAGAGACCCTGTCTAAAGAAAAAAAAAAAAAGAAAGAAAGAAAGAAGGAAAGAAAGTGCAAAAGGCAGCAGCACAAGACAGAGTCAGGAACTTTTTGAAAGGAACTCTCTCTGGCAGCTGCTTCAATCTTCTTTCTCTAGAGGTAGTAAGAGGGGGCTGGAGATCTATTCATTATCTTTTAACAATGGACAAAGAGAAGCCTGTCTGCTGCGTTAGTCATTGCTTGGAGGTCCCCGACTTCTGCTTCCACTACTGCTCTCTACCCCCAAAGTGACTTCTCTTTGATGCTATTTATAAAATGGAATGTGACCCTCCAGCTAGGCAGGGCTGGGGGCATGGGGCGGGGGGGACATGAGTGAGATATTAAAGCCGTATTTCTGCTTGGGTCTGGTATGTGGCTTCTCAAGAGTACATGAGGCAATGAGAAACTGGAATGATTGTTATTTAGGGTATAGCTCTCTAGGGAGGAAAACTGAGCAACTTTCTTGAGAAGGAATAGTGAACATGTGAAGGTGTCCAATTTAGAAAAGGGGATGGGCTTCCTCTTTCTGGGAAAGACTCACCCCTGACTTGTGGATTACTAAGGAATGGAGTATTTCTGCCTCCAACTTGCTGTGCATCCTAAAGTGAGATCCTGTACTTCCTTCTACCTCAATTTCTCTCTTCATAATATTGAGGAAAAGTTACATAAATGCAGGGTTTCCTGCCTTGCTGACTGTGGCACTTAATTACACTAAATAGACATAAGTCGCATATCCGTGCCACCTGCCTTGACTGGTGTCTTCTGCTCAACTGGCCCCTTGACCAACTTCAGCTGCCTTTGGTAGTTCAAGAATTGAGAGTTTGAGGAGACATAAGAGCAACTGTAATAAACTGAGGGACCTCATTCAAACTCATTTGTTGCTAAAGACCATCTTAAAATTTCTGGTCACCTGGAGCAAACCATCAGCCAGCAACTCCCAGATCTGATCATATTTGATGTCGCTGTGAGAAGTGCCACTCCCCACTTCCATCATGGCTGGAGGCTAGGAATGTGCAGGGGAATGTCTAAAGGGGTAGTTGATATTTGAAACTGCATTTGGGGGATCTGGGCCGGGCGCGGTAGCTCACGCCTGTAATCCCAGCACTTTGGGAGGCCGAGGTGGGTGGATCACGAGGTCAGGAGTTCGAGACCAGCCTGGCCAACATGGTGAAACCCCGTCTCTACTAAAAATACAAAAATTAGCTGGGCGTAGAGGCGCGCGCCTGTAATCCCAGATACTCGGGAGGCTGAGGCAGGAGAATCGCTTGAACCCAGGAGGCGGAGGTTGCAGTGAGCCGAGATTGCGCCATTGCACTCCAGCCTAGCGATGGGGCGAGACTGTGTCTCAAAAAAAAAAAAAAAAGAAAAAGAGAAAGAAAATGCATTTGGGGGATCCTCAGAAAAAGCTACTAATTACACCTAACGGCTGGCAACCAGCTGTGTTATCCACATTCTAGGGTTGAGTATCATGACACACCATAGTTTAAGACCATCTGGGCTGGGCACAGTGCCTCACGCCTGTTCTCCCAGCACTTTGGGAGGCCAAGGCAGAAGGATCACTTGAGTCTAGGAGCTGGAGACCAGCCTGGGCAATGTAGGGAGATTCCAGCTCTATAAAAAAATAAAAACAAATTAGCTGGGCATAGTGGCTTATGCCTGTAGTCCCAGCTACTCGAGAGGTCGAGATGAGTTTGAAGACCAGCCTGAGCAACAGAGTGAGATCAAGATGGGATCATAGGCTGTACCTGTCATCGCACCACAGCACTCCAGCCTAGGCAACAGAGCAAGACCCTGTTTCAAGAAAAAAACAAGACCATTTGAATGATGCCTTTTATACCAGGGCTGGAACTTGGGATGCTCAGTTGTCTACTTCTTTAACCTCCAAATTCCATAGTATAAACTCAGGAGAGTAGGTTTAACAAATGTTTGACATAGGCAGTAAATGGCCCAGGGTGGAGCACCACTTATTGAAGAAGTGTGCCCAGGTTTGTGAGTGCATTAATATACATTGCCTGATAACATTATACACTATCTGGATTTAGCCAAAAATGAGGCTTTATTATAATCTCCTATAATCCCCTTTTCAGGGCAAAGGCCATGTCTTACTCATTTTGGTATTCCCAGCACGTATAATAGTATAAGGCCTGGCCCAGAGTAGAGCCTCTCAACCCCTGATTAACTCCTAATCATCCTGCAGTTCATTCACTCAAGTTTGAATGCTGATTGAGTACATATGTGTGCAAGGCAGTGTCGTGGGAACTGGGGGACAGCAGCACAGGACAGCGAGGTCCCTCCCTAAGGTCACTTGCAGCCTACAGGAACTTCACCTCATGCAGGAAGGTTCCCTTTCCCCCCATCCCTCCTGGATGCGCCCTGAAGACCCTGCACCTATCCCAAAACCACACTTACTATACAGCACTATAATTACCTGTATGGATTTCATTAGTACAGGGCTGTGAATTATTAATCCTTGGAACCTCAGAGTCTAGAACGAAGCACAGTTCTCTGTAGATGCTACTCAAATGCTCATTAATCACTGAATCCACACCTCCCTTCTGGCTTCCAAGACAGGAAAAGGAGGCTCAGAGCGGAATATGCAATGCTGCTCTCTTGGCTTATTCCTTGTGCTAACCAGCTGCTTCGTAACTGCCCGCTTACTAACCTGGTTGCCCCACTAGAGTGTAAGTTCCCCAAGATTGAGGGCGGTACCTTATTTACCATTGTATCCCAACATGCAGCACAAGCAGGCGCTCCATAAATGTTTGTTAGATCACTGAATAAACAAGTGAATTATGAATAAAATGAAAGAGGCTTAGATATAAAAATGATGCCCAGTTATACTTATAATGATAGAGCCCTAAAGAGTAAAATAAGACTATTCTGTTTTTGTTTTTGTTTTTGAGACAGGGTCTTGCTCTGCAGCCAGGCTGGAGTGCAGTGGCACAATCATGACTCATTTCAGCCTCAATCTCCTGGGCTCAGGTGATCCTCTCGTCTCAGCCTCCTGAGTAGCTGGGACTACAGACGCGCACTACCACGCCCAGCAAATTAATTTTTTTGGTAGAGATGGGATCTCACTGTGTAGCCCAGGCTGGTCTTGAACTGCCGGGCTTGATCCTCCTGCCTGTGCCTCCCAAATGCTGGGATTACAGACATGAGCCACCAAACCCAGTCTATTCTGATATTTCTAACCTGTTATTGGAGACCCATTAGGTTTGCTTCTTACTTAGAACAAAACCTAACCAACCAGGCACGATGGCTCACACCTGTAATCCCAGCACTTTGGGAGGCCAAGGCGGGCAGATCACCTGAGGTCGGGAGTTCGAGACCAGCCTGACCAACATGGAGAAACCCCATCTCTACTAAAAATGCAAAATTAGCCTGGCGTGGTGATACATACCTGTAATCCCAGCTACTCCGGAGGCTGAGGCAGGAGAATCGCTTGAACCCGGGAGGCAGAGGTTGCAGTGAGCTGAGATGGCGCCATTGCACTCCAGCCTGGGCAACAGGAGCAAAATTCCATCTCAGAAAAAACAGACACACAAAACAGCCTAACCCAAGATAGATAGAAATCTGTCAACAGTTGAACTATTATGGTTTCTATTATCGGATCATGCAATGAAAACACTTTAACCCTTCTTCACTTAACCAACTCACTCAATTAATATAGGTCTCTGTTTCCTCTCTAAAACACACTGACCTGTCACCAGACACCCACTGAAGGGATGCCGCGGGAAGGGTCTTGATTTGCATGTCTGAGTGCTTCTGTTCCTATCTGCTGAACTGTATGCTTTCCAGTTCCAGTGGAGATTGTGCCCACTCCCATTGATGTCCATTGTTATTATCATTTTACAATTTAATTAAATATTACATAAGTGCTGAAATAGGAATGCAAAACAAGAGTTGTTATTTTTGTAAAAATTAAGTTGAATGTTTTGGGGAAAGTTGATAGAATAAATCATTAAAAATATTGTCATACAGGTGCAAGCTAATCAACTCTAAAAGTTTAGGGCAGAAAAGCCTACTAAGATTCTGCCCTCAAAACCAGAAAATGTAACTCGGACACGGTGGCTCATGCCTGTAATCCCAGCACTTTGGGAGGTCAAGGTGGGCAGATCACTTGAGGTCAGGAGTTCAAGACCGGCCTGGCCAACATGGCAAAACACCATCTCTACTAAAAATACAAAAATTAGCTGGGCATGGTGGTGGGCACCTTTAATCCTACCTACTCGGGAGGCTGAAGTGGGAGAGTCACGTGAACCTGAGAGGCAGAGGTTGCAGTGAGCTCCAGCCTAGGTGATAAAGTGAGACTCAGTCTCAAAAAAAAAAAAATAAACAAATAAAATAAATTTTTTAAAATTAGGAAATGTGGATAATATTTTATGAAAATAGTTTGTGCAAAAAAAGACAGAGTAGAACCTGAATCAGCAGGTCCGTCTTGAAAGGAAAAGCCTTGAGGTCTAAACCAAAAATAGACAAATGAATCTATAGTATATGCTGTGAACTGTATAAAAATATTTAAGGCTTATAGGTATCATATCATATCTTTTTTTTTTTTTTTTTTTTGGTCTCACTCTGTCACCCAGGCTGGAGTGCAGTGGCACAATATCAGCTCACTGCAACCTCCACATCCTGTGCCCAAGTGATCCTCCCACCACAGCCTCCCAAGTAGCTGGGACTACAGGCATGCACCACCATGCCCAGCTAATTGTATGTGTGTGTGTGTAGAGATGGGGGTTTCACCATGTTGTTCAGGCTGGTCTTGAACTTCTGGACTAAAACAATCCTCCAGCCTGGCCTCCCAAAGTGCTGCAATTACAGGCATGAGCCACTGTGCCCGGCCTGTCATATCATTCTTTATGATTATAAACACTTCCAGAGTTTTTTTCAGTTTACTAATTTACTGGTTCCTGGTCTATGGATCTGGCAGATTTTCTACTGTACATTGGATTATTCAAAAGCTCTATCTGAAAATGGTATCTCTCCAGGAAGGTCCCTGTAATTCCATCCTCCTGGCCCGCTACCCTACTAATTAGAGTGATATGGGATGGCCATAGCTACGTTTCCATCTTGCCGTTTTCTCTAACGTCACGTCCTGAATAAGGTAGGAGAGTCTAACCAACTGTAAGGCATTTAGATATCCATCATCATAATCTTTCTAAAAGGAAATTTTACTTTAACATTATAGTGAAAAGAAGAAACTCTTTTCTGAAACAGAAGCCCTCTCTGGAGAGCTTATTTTCAGAATGGTAAAATGGGGAACTAACTTTAGTTAAGTATCTTCTGAGAGCAGATGCTTTCATATCTAATTTTCTGTAATCTTTGCAAACATTCTGTGAGTTCAAAATCACTGGCCCCATTTTATAGATGAGGAAACTGAGCTCCAGGGAGGTTAAGCAAGGTCACACACAGGCAGTACCAGAGAGGTGGCATGTGACCCATTGTGAGCCAATATACTTCCCAAGTCACCAAATTACATCTGATGATTTGCCCCAAATGTGACATCCCAGTTTTTTTCAGAAGTAAAGTAGTATGGTGGCTACGTATTATGTTTCTTAAGTTCCAGCTACTTCAAAGGGATTGCCCTTGTTTCATTATTGGAATGTGTCCAAACTGAGCAGCTCCCCTGCCCTCCTTCGACACTGGCTGAGGATGGATGCAGAGGCTCTATAAAAAGCCCGAGGATGGATGCAGAGGCTCTATAAAAAGCCCTTTGCTACATGCTATGCTATGCTATGCTATGCTATGCTATGCTATGCTATGCTATGCTATGCTATGCTATGCTATGCTATGCTATGCTATGCTATGCTATGCTCCAGTTATTCTAGAAATTCTCCAGGCTATCCCCTACCCCTCTACTTTCAACTCTGTCTCTTTCTCTGTCCCTCTTTGTCCTTTCTCTCTCTGTTATGGGTTAGTTTCTCCCCAAAAGATATTGAAATCCTGTGACTATGACCTTATTTGGAAATAGGTCCTTGCAAATGATCATGTTAAAATGTTAAAATGGGTCCTGGCCAGGTATGGTGGCTCATGCCTATAATCCCAGCACCTTGGGAGGCCGAGGTTGATGGATCACTTGAGGTCAAGAGTTTGAGACCAGCCTGGCCAACATGATGAAACGCCATCTCTACTAAAAATACACAAATTAGCCAGGCACGGTGGCACACGCCTGTAATCCTAGCTACTCGGGAGGCTGAGGTAAGAGGACAGCTTGAGCCTGGGAAGCAGAGGTTGCAGTGAGCCAAGATCGCGCCATTGCACTCCAGCCTGGGTGACAGAGTGAGACCCTGTTTCAAAGAGATAGACAAGAGGGAAGATGATGTCAGGACACAGGGAAGGAGGATGCCACCTACAAGCCAAAGATACCAGAAGCCAGGATGGAAGCAAGGAAGGGATTCTCCCTCACAGCCCTTAGAAGGAACCAACCTCTGCAGACACCTCAATTTTGTACTTTTTTTTTTTTTTTGGTGACGGGGTCTCGCTCTATTGCCCAGGCTGGAGTGCACTGGTGCGATCTTGGCTCACTGCAACCTCCACCTCCTGGGTTCAAGCGATTCTCCTGCCTCAGCCTCCCGAGTAGCTGGGATTACAGGCATGCACCGCCAGGCCCTGCTAATTTTTTGTATTTTTAATAGAGACAGGGTTTCACCATGTTGGCCAGGCTGGTTTTGAACTCCTGAACTCAAGTGATCCGCCCGCCTCGGCATCCCAAAGTGTTAGGATTACAGGCGTGAGCTACCGCGCCCAGCCAGGGAAGAGCACTTTAATGAATTTAATTTCCTTGGGAATCCCCAAATTTAATTGTGCCCTTATCAGTAATGTTCATTTTGTTAATGTAAAAGAAATATATACACCCTGCAGAAAATATAGAAATTAGAGGAACTATGAAGAGTAAAAGGCCAGGCGAGGTGGCTCACACGTGCAATCCCAGAACTTTGGGAGGCCAAGGCAGGCAGATCATCTGAGGTCAGGAGTTCAAGACCAGCCTGGCCAACATGGCAAAACCCTGTCTCTACTAAAAATACAAAAATTAGCTAGGTGTGGTGGCACACGCCTATAAGCGCAGTTACTCGGGAAGCTGAAGTAGGAGAATCGCTTGAACCCAGGGCTCATAGGTTGTAGTGAGCTGGGATCACACCACTGTACTCCAGCCTGGGCTACAGAGTGAGACTTCATCTCAAAAAGAAATAAAATAAAATAAAATAAAATAAGAGAGTAAAATTTAATGACAGTAAATCAATCATGTAGCGAGAACTATTGTGAATATTCTGGAGTATTTCCTTCTTGTCTTTTCTTCTATGAGCACACACACACACACACATACACACACATAAATTCATATACTCAGCACCCTCTGCAGTGTCTGAAACATCTGTGTGCTCAATAAAGTTCAAAGAATAAATGAATGAAGAAAATTTTATTTTTACACATAGTCAAACTTACGTACAGTAGGAAATTCATTTTTAAAAATCTTACTCAACACATTATGTGTATTTTTCTATGTATTATATAGATTTTTAAGGCATTTTTTATGAAAGCATAAGTGCTATAGAATAATGCTGACCTAAACGAACATCTAGTACATAACCCTACATTTGTATCTCTGAAGATTCCCTTAGCCTAAATTCTTTTTTTTTTTTTTTTTTTTTTTTTGGTGAGATGGAGATTTACTCTTGTTGCCTAGGCTGGAGTGCAATGGCACGATCTCGGCTCACAGCAACCTCCTCCTCCCAGGTTCAAGTGATTCTCCTGTCTCAGCCTCCCGAGTAGCTGGGATTACAGGCATATGCTACCATGCCCGGCTAATTTTGTATTTTTAGTAGAGATGGGATTTCACCGTGTTGCCCAGGCTGATCTCGAACTCCTGACCTCAGGTGATCCGCCCGCCTCTGCCTCCCAAAGTGCTGGGATTACAGGCATGAGCCACTGCGCCCGGCCAACCCTTAGGCTAAATTCTTAGCCATGAAATTAATAGGCGAAAAAGAATAAACTATTTAAGGTCCTTGGTGTCATTCAGCGTTCACAAACGTCCCGAATTGAAGTGATACTTCACATGAAAACCCAAGCAAGCCTTTGCAAGCTCCCTGGCAGCCCATAGGCACAGATTCTCCATCTGTGGGGTGATCCTCTTATATAGACTGTAGCTCCATTATCCCCTCAGACCAGGGATAACCCTCCTTCTCCAGCATCTTTAGGTCATCCCTGGAATGACCTGAGCTGGATTAAGCTCCAGCTCAGCTGCCCTGGTCCTCCACAAAGGCTCAAAGGAGAGATCGAACTTTTGGTGTTACATTCCATTTATTTATTTATTTATTTATTTATCAATCAATTTATTTTTCTTTTTGAGATGAAGTCTTGCTCTGTTGCCCAGGCTGGAGTACAATAGCGTGATCTCAGCTCACTGCAACCTCCGCCTCCCGGGTTCAACCGATTGTCCTGCCTCAGCCTCCCGAGTAGCTAGGACTACAGGCGCTCACCACCACGCCCAACTAATCTTTGTATTTTTAGTAGAAATGAGGTTTCATCATGTTGGCCAGGCTGGTCTTGAACTCCTGACCAGTGATCCACCTGATCAGGTGATCCACCTGCCTCAGCCTCCCAAAGTGTTAGGATTATAGGCATAAGCCACTGTGCCCGGCCTTGCATTCCATTTAATTCTCACTTCAGCATGTCTTTAATATCTTTCTACTTTCTCTAGCCCTATCTATTCCAAAGAAATTCTGTGTCACGAGCTATTTCTTTTTTTATTAGTTTTTTTTTCATATTGTGTGCAGTGTGAGATGGAATGTAAGTGGGTGGCTTTGTCCTTCCTTGAAACATAACTTGTGCCAAAAATAACATCATTTGAATTGTGTGTCTTTGGTAACAACATGACATATGCCACCGCAAGTACATTCATCCAATATGTGCATGTTACAGGGCTATGCACTGCGAAGTCTTGTTTGCTTGTTTTTTGAGATGGGAGTTTCACTCTGTCGCCCAGGCTGGAGTACAGTGTCGCGATCTCGGCTCACTGCAACCTCCACCTCCCGGGTTCACGCCATTCTCCTGCCTCAGCCTCCTTAGTAGCTGGGACTACAGGCATCCGCCACCATGCCTGGCTAATTTTTGTGTTTTTAGTAGAGACAGGGTTTCACCATATTAACCAGGCTGGTCTCAAACTCCTGACCTTGTGGTCTGCCTGCCTCGGCCTCCCAAAGTGCTGGGATTACAGGCATGAGCCACCGTGCCCAGCTTGTTTGTTTTTTAATAACTAAAACTCTGCCTTTCAGAATTCAGATTCACCATATAACATCTTCACCCAAATGTTACTCCCCTGGAAGCCTTTCCTGACCATCTTTTTTCCATTTGCAACGCCCTTTCCTCCTATGCTTAATTCTTTTCATAGCAGTTATCACCACCTCATCTACTATATATTTTACTCATTTGTCTTGCTAACTATTTTTCTCACCCACTAGAAGCATAACCATGACAGAGCCATTCATTCATTCATTCACTGTGTATGTAGTGAACACCTACAGGTGCCCAGGAATGTGTTAAGCATGAGAGTACGGCTGCTTTCCAGCAGCTTACAATTAGAAATACCAAACAGCTAAACAAAGATCAGAGTGTAATCTTTTTTTTTTTTTTTTTTTTTTTTGACACAGGGTCTTGTTCTGTTGCCCAGGCTGGAATGCAGTGGCACAATCTCGGCTCACTGCAGCTTCAACCTTTCAAGCTCAAGTGATCCTCCCACCTCAGCCTCCCAAATAGATGGGACCACAGGGATGCGTCACTACACCCGGCTAATTGTTTATTTTTAGTAGAGAGGAAGTCTCACTATGTTGCCCAGGATGGTCTTGAACTCCTGGGCTCAAGGGATCCGCCCACCTTGGCCTCCCAAAGTGCTGGGATTACAGGTGTGAGCCACTGCGCCTGGCCTCAGAGTGTAATCTTTCAACACTAAAATAAGTGGGGCAGGACAAGTTAGGTTTCCAGAGGAAGAGAAGAGCTCAGACTGTCTCAAATGAGGGTCAAGCTATAGGAAGTAGGTGAGAGTTAAAGGCAGGTCAGAACTTGATGGAGGAATTTGAGGTAGAAACATTTGGCTCATCCCATAAGCAGGGCAGATTTGTGAGCAGGAGAATGGCATGATAAAAATGATTTATTTAGATTAAGCCACAGTGGCTCACACCTGTAATCCCAGCGCTTTGGAAGGCCGAGGCAAGCAGATCAATGGAGGCCAGGAGTTTGAGACCAGCCTGGCCAACATGATGAAAACCCATCTCTACTAAAAATACACAAATTAGCCGGGTGTGGTGGCACGCTCCTGCAATCCCAGCTACTTAGTAGGTTGAGGCAGGAGAATCGCTTGAACCCGGGAGGTGGAGGTTGCAGTGAGCTGAAATTGCACCACTGCACTCTAGCCTGGGCAACAGAGCAAAACTCTGTCTCAAAAAAAAAACAAACAAACAAACAAAAAAGAGAATGGGTGAAACTCTAGTTCGAGAGTCAATTTGGCCCTGGGATGGGGAGACACTAAAGGAAGGTGATAAATAAGAATGGACAAAGAGGGTGGAAGCTAGCACTCAGTCAAAACACATTCACCTCAAAGCAGGCAATTCTCAAAATAAGATGTTTAAGATCATCAACCATTAAAGAGGGCCTCGTTAGTGGGTTACAGGAGACTGAGTTTTGCTGCCTGAATTGGGAGAGAGGGAGTGAGAGATACAAAAAAGCAGAGGGTAAAGTCAGCTCGGTTATTCTATGCTAAGTTAAACCCATTTAAAGAGCCCAGATGAAGAGGAAAAAAAAAAAATGAGAGGAGGGGAAAAAATGAGAATCGCTATTTTAGACAAATCCCATATGGGTTATACTCTTAATTTACTTAAGCCAGATGGCTAGGCTGGGGACCGACTAATTTATTACCATCCTGCCATTCAGAGCCAGAGCCTTCCTTAGGTTCCTAAGCAACTCTGAGGGGGAAATGTCAGATTGCATGAAATTTCCTGATTAGGTCACATGACCCAAGCACAGCCCACTGAAATGATTCGAATCCTCCAAATCGCATATTCCAGATCACAGCTGTCAGCTCGGCCCTCTCCTGCTTATGGCAGATGCACGGGCCTTCCCCTCTTTGCAGGCAGTATGGTGGCAGTTCTAGGAATAAGAAACACCAAAATAAAGGCTGGGGGAGGACTGACAAAAAAAAACTTTAGAATTTGGCATTTCAGATTCTCCCTTTGTACCATGTACATCCCAAAATTTTCTATAAAAGAAGGAAAGTAGCAAAGTATTTTTAAAAGGAGCATTTAAACTACTGTGGCAATTAAGCAGCAATCTCTGAGTCAGCAAATCCCATCCAGCAAACTGAGTAACATTTGAGATAACATGAGAGGATTAAAAAAGTAGGGACACTAGCCGGGTGCAGCGGCTGAGGCTGGTAATCTCACCACTTTGAGAGGCTGAGGAAGGAGGATTGCTTGAGCCCAGGAGTTTGAGACCAGCCTGGGCAATATGGCAAAACCCTATCTCTACAAAAAATACAAAAAATTAGCTAGGCATTGTGGTGTGCACCTGTAGTCCTAGCTACTCAGGAGGCTGAGGTAGAAGGATCATTTGAGCCCAGGACGTTGAGGCTGCAGTGAGCCAAGATCACACCACTGCACTCCAGCCTGGCCAACATAGTGATACACCATCTCTACTAAAACTACAAAAATTAGCTGGGTGTGGTGGCAGCCGCCTGTAATCCCAGCTACTCAGGAGGCTGAGGCAGGAAAACCGGTTGAACCCGGGAGGCAGACGTTGCAGTGAGCCAAGATCGTGCCATTGCTCTCCAGCCTGGGCAGCAAGAGCAAAACATCTTCTCAACAAAAAATTAAATTAAAAAATTGGGAAAAAATAAGCAGCTAGGCTGGTTTATGATCTGAAGAGGAAAGCATAATGATATAACAAAAGCAACAATGAACATGTTTTAAGATGGAGTCATTATGTAACAAGCCATGTAGAAACTATTGTTACCCGCATTTTGTATTATGGATGAGAAAACTGAGGATTTCTAAAAGACTTAAGTTAGGTCTCACCGCTAGTAAGTACCACTGTTAGGGGCCAATTCTATTCATTCGTCAGAGAATAAGAAAATGATTGGCCAGAAAGGTGAAGGGCAGGCCGGGCATGGTGGCTCACACCTGTAATCCTAGCACTTTGGGAGGCTGAGGTTGGTAGATCACCTGAGGTCAGGAGTTCAAGACCAGCCTGATCAACATGATGAAACCCCGTCTCTACTAAAAATACAAAAATTAGCCGGACGTGGTGGTGGGCACCTGTAATCCCAGCTACTCAGGAGGCTGAAGCAGAAGAATCGCTTGGGCCCGGGAGGCGAAGGTTGCAGTGAGTCAAGATCACGCCACTGCACTCCAGCCTGGGCAACTCTGTCTCAAAAAAAAAAAAAAAAAAAAAAAAAGCGAAGGGCAGCAGGCTGCAAATGCCAAAATGAGAGCATAACTAGTGGTTCCTGGGGCCTGTCTATGAGCAGAGGTGGCTAGAAAGCTAACAGAACAGTGACTGCCAAATGCGGAATGGAGCATGTGCCAAATTCAACGGGGATTGAATCCTGGAACAGAAAAAGGATATTAGTGAAATCTGAATAAAGTCTGGGGTTTAGTTAATAGTAGTGTACCAATGTTGGCTTCTTGGTTGTGACAAATGTACCATTGTCATGTGAGATGTGGGTAAGGGACACAGGGGAACTCTCTGTACTCTCCTGCAACTTTTCTGTAAATCTAAAATTATTCTAAAATTAAAAGTTTTAAATAAATTTAAATGAAATTAAAAGTTTATTTTTAAATTATTTAAGAGAAGAGAGTATTGGTGACATGTTTACAAATATTCTTCAGAAGAGTAACATTTTAAATGGCAATGGCGAGGGTAACGCTGCATTTTTGTAGCCAGTCATATTTCTTGGCAGACAAGATGACTAATGACAATCACAAGGACTAACATTACTGAATGCCTATAATATTTCAGCTTCCGCCCTAAGGATGTTACATGCATGCCCATAGCATCTTCAAGATTATTTTCCCAATTTACAGATGAGAAAAGTTCTTAGAATAGTGCCTGGAATCTGGCAGGTGCTCAAAAATTAGATCTTTTTTGTTTTTTTAACAGAGGCTAAGAAATGTACCCAGCTTTTGAACAAGAGTCACAATTCAAGTCCAAACTCTAAAAGGTTTTTTTTTTTCCTTGTGATGGAGTCTCACCTGTCACACAGGCTGGAGTGCAATGACATGATCTCAGCTCCCTGCAACCTCTGCCTCCTGGGTTCAAGCGATTCTCCAGCCTCAGCCTCCTGAGTAGCTGGAACTACAGGCGCCCACCACCACGCCCAGCTAGCTTTTACATTTATATTTTTTAGTAGAGATGGGGTTTCACCAGGTTGGCCAGGCTGGTCTCAATCTCCTGACCTCAAGTGATCCGCCCACCTCGTCCTCCCAAAGTCCTGGGATTACAAGTGTGAGCCACCGCGCCCAGTCCCTTCAAGGCTTTTAAATCTCAGCCTTGCCACTTACTAACTCTATGACCTTGGGCAAGTTTCAAAGCCAAAACAAAGCTAACTGATATCACAGAATGGATTTTAAAAGTATGTTGAAAGTTGCATAGTATCAACCTAAATTTCTAAACAGACAAATTATTTATAGAATATTTCAAAATTGTCAAATTGAATAACTGGAAAATAATCAGGCTGTATCGTTCTGCATTGAAATCAATAAAAATAGGGCTCAAAATAACAGTTCTGAAGAATCCTTGGGCACACCTCTGGATGTAAGAACCAAACAAGAGACAACTAAGGAAATTGTTAACTCCTGGTAACTACCAGAGCCTCAAGGAAAAACGTGTTTTCAGCTCTCCTCTGGGGTCAAATGACTATAGCTCACTGGGCCAGACAGGATCCATGATGAGATTTTCTCAAGAGGGGAAGGTGGTAAGGGCAAATTATAAAGATACACCTTCTGGCTGGGTGCAGTGGCTCACACCTGTAATCCCAACACTTTGGGAGGCCAAGGGAGGCAGATCACTTGAGGTCAGGAGTTCAAAACCAGCCTGGCCAACATGGTGAAACCCCATCTCTACTAAACAATATATAAATATAAAAATTAGCCAGGCATGGTGGCATACGCCTGTGATCCCAGCTACTCAGGAGGCTGAGGCGGGAGAATCTCTTGAACCCGGGAGGCAGAGGTTGCAGTGAGCCGAGATCATGCCACTGCACTCCAGCCTGCGCAACAGAACATGACTTTGCCTCAAAAAGTAAAATAAAATAAAGATAGGCCTTCTGATGACTGACGCTCAGTCATCTCACTGACGCTCAGTCATCTCTACTAAAAAATAAAAAATAAAAAATCTCTCGTAGTTCATGAGCATGATGATTGTGTTCACACGCATGTGTGAAACGTACCACCACAAATCTTATTACAACGTTGGTACATTACCTGCCTGGCATGAAAAAAAAAAAAAAAGAGTGAGAGAGAAATCCCTGAGTCACACCTCTGTTCACACATCTGTTCATTTTAAACTAGATCTTGGCCTCAACTGTTACAGCAAAAGGGAGGTCACAGCAGAAAAACTAAAGTTTTTTTTGGCTTCCAGGTAGGCAGAAATCCAGATTCAACCAATATAAAGACTATTGAGGGAGGGTTTCAAGAACTAACTTCAGAGGCCTACCACATCATTAACCGTACCCATCCCTGCCAACCTAGGTACAAAGATGGGGGTGCTGAAATCCAATTCATACCTTGCTGATACAAAGCTGCTTAGAGCCTGAGAAGGCTGAAGCCCTCTTCCAATACATCTGCCCAGACCTCCAGCCATTCTAATTAACATAAAAGCAAGAAACATGCCTCACCCTTCCCCATCCCCATACCCCACTAAAATGTGACACCCTTGCACATCTTGATCCAAAATAGATTGCCCAAACAATAACAAAACCCTAAGCCTAGAGTCACATATTTATTTTTTTTAACAAATACTTGTTCAGCCCCTGCCAAGACCAGCTTGGTCGGGGAGACCCTAACCCAGCAGCACTAGAGGAATTAAAGACACATACACAGAAATATAGAGGTGTAAAGTGGGAAATCAGGGGTCTCACAGCCTTCAGAGCTGAGAGCCCCGAACAGAGATTTACCCACATATTTATTAACAGCAAACCAGTCATTAGCATTGTTTCTATAGATATTCGATTAACTAAAAGTATCCCTTATGGGAAATGGGATTAACTATAAGTATCCCTTATGGGAAACGAAGGGACAGGCCTAATTAAAGGAATAGGTTGGGCTAGTTAACTGCAGCAGGAGCATGTCCTTAAGGCACAGATCGCTTGTGCTATTGTCTGTGGCTTAAGAATGCCTTTAAGCAGTTTTCCGCCCTGGGCGGGCCAGGTATTCCTTGCCCTCATTCTGGTAAACCCACAACCTTCCAGCGCGGGCATTATGGCCATCATGAACATGTCACAGTGCTGCAGAGATTTTGTTTATGGCCAGTTTTGGGGCCAGTTTATGGCCAGATTTTGGGGGGCTTGTCCCCAACAAGCCCCTACTCTGTGCCCTGGCCCATTTTCTTCTCCCTGGATCCCTGGGCTGCCTTTAATCTCCCTATTCCACCCTTGCTTGCCCTGCAGGTCTCCAGTTCATAATCTATTTACTGTTCCTTCTCCAGGGCCCCACCTTCTGGTGTGCAGATCCGCCATCCCTTTTCTCCAGCATGGATTATTGTTCTATACTCCTCTCTGCCCTAGGCTTTACCTCTTTCCTCCTGGCTTAATTTCATCACCCTTAATCTCTTCACTGTTCAGCCCTTCTTGCAGCTCTTTCCCAGTCTCCTGCCACTAATGTCTGATCTCAACCAACCACACAACAGCCCCTGAATACAGCAAATGGGGCTGAAAGAACGTAATTCATTTGCCTGTGCTAATCCCACAAGCAAGTGGTCCCATTCAACAAATTCTGTAAATCAGTAATGGTAACAATAATAGCTGGCACTTGAAATTGAGCTGATGGACAGGTTGCAGTTATTAGTAATGAAGTCTAAGGATTGACTTTGGGTGTGAGTGGCATGAGGCATGGAAGGGTGCAAGGCCATTTGAAGAGGGGAAGCCTAAGAACACTAAGACTAGATACCATATTGAAAAAAATCATCTGTAGGGATAAAACAATCATCAAGGATGACAGAAACCACGTGGGTGAGAGGAAGCTTGAAGGAATGAGGGCGTGTGTGGGAAGGAGGAGGCGTTAGAGGACAGCAACACGGTGGGGTAGAGTTTGATGATGTGACAGTCGGAGGTGGTAGTGGGAGCTACAGAGTGGGAGGGAAAATGGCCTGGACGCAGGAACGAGAACACTCACCCCATTTGCAGGCCTGTGGTCTGAGGAGTGTGGGAGAGAAAACGGCCATCCACAGCAAGGGGAGCAATGTGCTCAAGAGAACCAGGTCTAGCAAGCAGGCAAAGAGAGCATTCAGATAAGTGAGGAAGTGAGGTTTTTGAAAGAATACAGCTGAGGTCCCTGTGGAAGAGTTGCAGAAGTTGGGGAGTGGGCCGGTGCAGTGGCTGACGCCTGTAATGCCAGCACTTTGGGAGGCCGAGGAAGGTGGATCAAATGAGGTCAGGAGTTCGAGACCAGCCTGGCCAACATAGTGAAACCACGCCTCTACTAAAAATGCAAAAATTGGACAGGTGTGGTGGTGCGCACCTGTAGTCCCAGCTACTCGGGAGACTGAAGCAGGAGAATCATTTGAACGTGGGAGGTGGAGGTTGCAGTGAGCTGAGATCATGCCACTGCACTCTAGCATGGGTGAGAGAGCAAGACTTTGTCTCAAAAAAATAAAAATTAAAAAAGTTTTTTTTAAAAAGAAGTTGGAGAAGGGTAAGACATGGGATCAGAAAAGGGGATATCCAAGGCCATGTGGATATCAGAGTCTAAAGGATGAGCGATGACCTGGGAGACTGGGCTGACATAAACAGGGAGGAACAGGAATGACATGAGGGGATTAGTCCCAGGATCCCAGAGCAGATTGCAGTGGCACAGCTGTGAGTGCGGGGGGCAGGATAGTAAGGGTTGTCAGGAACATGAGGAGTTCTTGCCCACTGCAAATTAATAATCTGTTGGGGGAGCCCCATATACATGACAGAACCATACATCCCAGATGCCTTTGAAAATTGCAGATATGGAAACCTACAGGAGAGCGACCCAAATCCAACAGGGAGGGTCATAAAAAACTTCGAGGGAGAGAGAGAGAATAACGGAATTCCATAAAATGATTGCAACCACTAGAAAAAAAAATTTTTTTTTTTTGAGATGGAGTCTCACTCTGTCTCCCAGGCTGGAGTGCAGTGGCATGATCTTGGCTCACTGCAACCTCCACCTCCCGGTTTCAAGCGATTCTCCTGCTTCAGCCTCCCAAGTAGCTGGGACTGCAGGCATGTGCCACTAAACCTGGCTAATTTTTTTTGTATTTGTAGTAGAGACAGGGTTTCACCATATTGGCCAGGCTGCTCTTGGACTCCTGACCTCGTGATCCACCGGCCTCGGCCTCCCAAAGTGCTGAGATTTCAGGCGTGAGCCACCACGCCCAGCTGGAAAATAATTGAGATGC
Organism: Homo sapiens; assembly: GCF_000001405.40. Taxonomy (NCBI): domain Eukaryota; kingdom Metazoa; phylum Chordata; class Mammalia; order Primates; family Hominidae; genus Homo; species Homo sapiens. The sequence continues at coordinate 93,353,864 of NC_000012.12, forward strand.
TTCTCCTATGGCAATGAGTCTTTGTATAAATGAACCATAAGTTGAAAAAAGTTGTATAATATTTTATATTCACATTATTTGAATAGTCTTTGGTCTTGCCAGAGTGAAATGTATTGCATTTGGCTAGAGAACTTTGCAAGATTTACACAGCACAAGGTGAGTATATTACCTTTAATGTAAGTTGTAAAATTCTAAATAGATGTAGGTTAGAGATTTTCTAAGATTCTAATTCTTTCCCTATCCCTTTATTACCTGAAATCTCTGAAATTACCTCCAGTATTTGGGGTGATGGCTAGAGATAGAAAATTAAATTGATGGAACCTTCCCTGACTCCCTTATCTAAATTAGCTAAACTACCTTTATGTCAAAATGTGTTGATTGCCTGAATGTATCTCATATAATCCTCATAACAACCAGCAAGGTAATAATTTCTATTTTATAAACAAGAAATCTAATGTTCAGAGAGCCAAGATAAGTTGCTCCCACAGCTAATGAACAGCTGAAGAGGGACTCATGATTGTCTGCTAACTGCCCTTTCCTGTAGACCATAATGCAATCACATTTTCAGCGTTGTTAAAATGCAAAAAAAAAAAAAAAAAAAAAAAAAGCTATTGTGTTGTCCACGCTAGATGGTAATTCGCTTACCTCTTCTAGTAGTTTCAAGGGCGAATACTAGTTGATTAGACCTTGAAGCCTTTTATACGGTCATTGATAACATAAAACAAATTAAAATAGAATATGGAAGAATCCCCCTAGGGAATTCTTAAGATTACAAGCTAGTTTTCCAAGAAGAAATTGGCTTGTGTTTAGTAGAAGCAATAGATTAGAGACAGACTGATAGACTTGGACAGCCAGACAGTCCAAATGGGACCACTCATTATATCATAACCAGACAGGTAGTGTTGAAAGCGGGCTCAATCTACAGAGCATCCTCATTTCATTTCATTTTATTTTGAGGCAGAGTCTCACTCTGTCACCCAGACTGGAATGCAGTGGTGCAGTCATGGCTCACTGCAGCCTCAACCTCCTGGGCTCAAGCGATCCTCCCACCACAGCCTCCCAAGTAGCTGGCCCTCATTTTTAAAAACAGACAAAAAAGGCATCTGTCAACCCACATAGATGGACTACTATTCAAATGTAGAGCATTTACTCATCTTAAATCTGTGGCTGGTTGCAGTGGCTCACACCTGTAATCCCAGCACATAGGGAGGCTGTGGCAGGAAGATCGCCCAGGAGTTCAAGACCAACCTGAGCAACAAAGTGAGACACCAACTCTATAGAACATAAAAAAATCAGCCAGGCATGGTAGTACACTCCTGCAGTCCCAGCTACTCAGGAGGCTGAGGTGGGAGGATTGCTTTGGCCCATGAAGTCGAGGCTGCAGTGAGTGGTGATTATACCACTGCACTTCTAGGGCAACACTTTCTCAAAAAGTGAGACCCTGGCCAGGCGCGGTGGCTCACGCCTGTAATCCCAGCACTTTGGGAGACCGAGGTGGGCGGATCACGAGGTCGGGAGATTGAGACCATCCTGGCTAACATGGTGAAACCCCGTCTCTACTAAAAATACAGAAAAATTAGCCGGGCATGGTGGCGGGCATCTGTAGTCCCAGCTACTGGGGAGGCTGAGGCAGGAGAATGGCGTGAACCGGGAGGCAGAGCTTGCAGTGAGCCGAATCGTGCCACTGCACTCCAGCCTGGGCGACAGAGTAAGACTCCATCTCAAAAAAAAAAAAAAAAAAAAAAGTGAGACCCTTTCTCAAAAAAAAGAGAAAAAAGGAAAAGAAAAGAAAAAGAAATGGATTTAGATTCAGGATCAGAATCCTGGGTTTACCATTATTAGCTGTGCAACCTTGGGTTACTTAACCTTGGGTTCCTCATTACCTTACCTATAAATTGGGTATAATATTGGCACTCACCTCACAGGGGTGCTGTAAGAATTAAATGGATTAATGTTTGTAAAGTTCTTAGCATAGGCCTGGCTCATAGTAAACCTTTCATAAATGTTCACTATTATAATTATCCCTGGTTCTTAGACTTTTTTTTTTCTTTTTTCTTGAGACAGGCTCTTGCTATGTTGCCCAGGCTGGTCTTAAATGCCTGGGCTCAAGCAATACTCCTGCCTCTCGGCCTCCCAATGTGCTGGGATTACAGGTTTGAGCCACCTCACCTAGCTGGTTCTTAGACTTTCAAACTTCCAAAATCAGTGTTTAAAAGAAGAATTAGGAGATCAATATGGGTTTGTCTTCTTTGCTTTTTTGTTTTTTTTAGCTTTTCCCAAATCAAAACAGTTTTTAAAAGCCAGTATTTTCTATAATAACCAATATTTCATAGAAAAAAATAATATTTTAATAACACAAAATTTAGGCAGAAGATAATGTCAAAATAAATGACTTCTATTATTACATTTAGCTTTGAGAGAAACTTAAAATTTTTTGTTTTAGAGACGGGGTCTCATTCTGTCATCCAGGGTGGAGTGCAGTGGTACAATCCTAGCTCACTGCAGCCTTGAACTCCAGGGCTCAAGCGATCCCCTAGCGTCAGCCTCCCACGTCGCAGGGACTAGAGGCCGTGCCACTACACGTGGTAATGAGAGACATTTTTTATGTTATACATATTTTTCTCAGTTCTCCTTGGAATAGTAAGCATATTTTTTGTTCACTGTATTTGAGGACGACTTAGTCATATTTTCCAACACCCTTACATGTATAGTTTTTACTAATTAGTAGTTAAATGTTTTTAACTTTTAAAAAACTAATCATAGACTATAGACAGTAGTGTTTGTAAACTGTGAATGAAAGACCAGGATCATAAGGTCAGTTACTGGCTTTGCACATTGCAAATAGACAAAAAAAGAAATATTTTTCTGTAAGACACTGGAAAAAAATAAAAGTGGAGTTAAAACCTATTCTTTGGACAAGAAACTTGGCATTCCTACTTTTACTGTGATAGAGGAGTCCCTAAAAACAGTTGAAGTGAAGATGAAATTCCCAAGCACCCATGTGCCAACTCATTTGTGGAAGAGCAAAGAATCTAATTAACTCGAAGCAAGACCTGAAAGGGGACAGAATGCTCAGGAAAACCACATGAACTGTCCAAACTATTGATTGAGCAATTTGCAATCATTTCTAGTTTAAAAACAAATAGTTTGGGTAAATGAATGAATATTCCTATTGCATTATTGCTATTGCATTACTTCTTGCAAAGTTTTCCAAGGAATTTCCTAGTTGTCAGGCATATATATATACACATGCCCAGCCTTTTTTTTTTGTTGGGGGAGGGGGTTCCTAGCCACTAGACCATCAGGGAGGAATCTTAAGAATTATTATTTTAGAAGACTAGCAGTCACTTTTCTTTCTTTTACTAGTTATACATCTAGCAAGGCCATATTAGTTACAAGCACACATAAAGTTATATACCAGGATCTTGGAATATTCATTTTACCAAAAAAAGTCAGTAAAGTCAGTTGTGCTGCTACAGTTTTCGTATTTTCCACAGATTCCAATGAGCCAACACAAGTTCTACTAATAAAATCCACACAAAATAAAATGCAGTCAGTGGAAACACTATATGTACATTGTAGTCATTTATACTAAGACTGTTGAATACAATACTCCAGAGTAAAATGATCTCAATAACAGCTATGAGGCTTCTTTTTTTTTTTAAGAGATGGAGTTTCCCTACGTTTCCTAAGTTGGACTTGAACTCCTGGACTCAAGAGATCTGCCTGACATGGCCTCCCAAAATGCTGGGATTACAGGCATGAGCCATTGTGCTGGGCCTGTGAGGCTATTTTTAAAGTCTGAATCTTAATGTCTAGGTTGGATGATATTAAATCCCCATTTACTCATTCATTAGCTCTTCTGAGAGAGATTTTTCTCTCTTAGAACCAGTTTTCTTTTTTCTTTTTTTGAGACGGAGTCTCACTCTGTCGCCCAGGCTGGAGTGCAGTGGCGCGATCTTGGCTCACTGCAACCTCTACCTCCTGGGTTCAAGCAATTCTCTGCCTCAGCCTCATGAGTAGCTGAGATTACTGGCACCCACCACCATGCCTGGCTAATTTTTGTATTTTTAGTAAAGACAGGGTTTCATCATATTGGCCAGGCTGGTCTCAAACTCCTGACCTCAAGTGATCTGCCTGCCTCGGCCTCCCAAAGTGCTGGGATTACAGGTGTAAACCACCGTGCCCGGACTGATTCTATATATTCCTGATTGTGTTGTTGATAACAACAATAATAGCAGCTACTACATATTGGGTATTTCCTATGTTTCAGGCAATTATTTCAGTGCTTTATGTTAATTTTTTACAATAACCCTACAAAATAGACAGTGTTTGCAAATCTCCACTTTACAAATGAGCAAACAGAAACTGAAAGGTTAAATAACTAGCTAAAGGCCACACAGTAAGTAGTGAAGCTGGGTTTCAGACCCTGAACTGTCTATAACTCCTGAACCTGAATTCTACCCTACGGCCTACATGCTTATGGAATCTCTAAATGGCTCTATGGACATTCGAAAGAAGAACTCATCAAAGTGCTCTCTCCTTTTTACTAACTTCTATTATAATAAACATATTACTAACATTTACTAGAACAATTATAAATTTTTAAATCTTAAGAGTTTTAGGTCTCAAAGGGACCTTTGAGGTATTTAATCAATGCCCACAATTCTACAAATAAGGAACTGAGCTATCTCAAGTTCAACTGAGCTACAACTAAAACACCAACGATTCTCTTAAAAATGTTAGACAATGGCTGGGTGCGGTGGCTCATGCTTGTAATCCCAGCACTTTGGGAGGCCGAGGCAGGCGGATCATGAGGTCAGGAGATCGAGACTATCCTGGCTAACACGGTGAAACCCCATCTCTACTAAAAATACAAAAAATTAGCCAGGCGTGGTGGCGGGTGCCTGTAGTCCCAGCTAGTTGGGAGGCTGAGGCAGGAGAATGGGGTGAACCCGGGAGGCAGAGCTTGCAGTGAGCCGAGATGGTGCCACTGCACTCCAGCCTGGGCGACAGAGATTCCATCTTAAAAAAAAAAAAAAAAAGTTACACAATATAGACCTCATTGTATGTATACATGTTGTTGATGATAACTACAGTTTGAAATTAAATGACCATGTACTAGGAAGATGGTATCAGCCTAGCCAAGGATTTGACACAAAAGACTGGAATGTTTTCAAACCTTACTTAGTAACTTTGTTGCTGGACTACAAGGCCAAAAGCAAGTGGCTGCTTGGACACTGGCTATTCAGCTCTCCTTTAATCTTTCTTAAAATATCAAAGATATGTTTATTTTAAAGATGTCTTCAGTGGATGCATTTTTATTTAAAAACCTGGTCATCCAAAACTGAATTTACTTTTCCCCTAAAGCAAAAGCAAAACCTTTCTAGAAGTAATTGAAAATAAAAGCATTGCCTAAAAAACAAACACTATTCAAAAATCAAGATTATACAATAAGGCCATTGGCTAAAAATAACAGAGACAGAAAGTTCAGCTTGTGGTTTTTTACATTGTTTATTTTTTATCCTCCTATCCTTAATAGGATCAGTTTTTTTCCATGAACAGTTTATTGATCATTTGGTAAGTTTGTTTTTTTTAAATAAAAGACCATTTTTTCCACTGTAAAATGAGAAAATAAAATTTTCCTCAGAAGAAAAAATGTACAACTTCATTAATAACCTGAGTGATAACAGATTAAAATGAGATACCATGTTATAAACAATGAAATTGACTGAGATCAAAGACTCCCCCCACCCCACCCCAATTCGCAATGTTGGTCATGGTGTGAGAAAACAAGCTTATATGGTGTTTTGATAATATTAAGAAATAAACTAAGGCAGTCTTTCTAGAGGTCATTTAGCAAAATCCCTTAAAAAGTGCATTTTTGGCTGGGTGCAGTGGCTCACACCTGTAATCCCAGCACTTTGGGAGGCTGAGGTGGATAGATCACCTGAGGTCAGGAGTTCGAGACCAGCCTGGCCAACAAGGTGAAACCCTGTCTCTACTGAAAATACAAAAATTAGCCTTAGCCAGGTGTGGTGGCACGTGCCTCTAATCTCAGCTACTCCGGAGGCCGAGGCAGGAGAATCGCTTGAACCCAGGAAATGGAGGTTGCAATGAGCCGAGATCACTGCACTCCAGCCTGGGTGACAGAGTGAAATTCCATCTCAAAGGAAAAAAAAAAGTGCATTTTTTGGACATAGCAATTTCACTTCTACGAATGTAAACTACAAAAACAATTAAGCTTTATGTGCAAAGGCTTACCTATAATGATATTAATAACAGGGTTATTTGTAATAAGATGGAAGGAAGGAAGGTTAGAGGGGGAGGGAGAGAATAAAGGAAATCAGAATTTCCATCAATAGGAATTGGTTAAATAAACAAATGTGGTACAGTGCATGCATCAAAAGCAGTATTATTTTTCCATTGAAAGTGATGCTGTGGATAAATATTATTGAAATGGGAACTGTTCACATAGGTTACTAGATTTAAAAAACAGATTACAAAACTCTATGTAACTGTATGTTTCTATTTATATGAAGGTCAAGATCAGGCAAAGCCAATCTGCAGTGATAGAAATCTAAACAATGGTGCAGGGAAACTGGGTAGAGCAGAGGCTGATTTGGAAAGAAGTAAAGGAACTTTCTGGAGTGATGGAAATGCTCTAAGATGATATTCTTGCCATATGGCTTGTGGGGGGGTGGGAAGCACAGAGTAGGTGGACATTTGTCAGAATTCATCAAAATGGTCAGTTAGCATCTATATATTTCATTTCATGTGAGTGATACCTCAATTTTAATAAGAAACAAAATCCTCAAATGTACAACATGATCTTAAGTTTATAATAAAAACAACGGTTTCTATTTGTACAGACAGAAAAGGATTTGGAGACTGTCTTAGTCCATTCTGTGCTACTATAACAGAATATCACAGACTGGGTAATTTACAATAAACAGAAATGTATTGGCTCACAGTTCTGCCAGTATCTGGCAAAGACCTTTTTGCTGCATCATAACACAGCAAAAGGCATCACATGGCAGAAAAGTGATAGAGAACGGGTGTGGGGAGAGAGAGGGAGAATGAGCAAGACAGCAAGAGGAGACCAAACTCATCCTTTTATAAGGGACCCACTCATGCAATAATGTAATAATGGCTTTAATCTGTTTGTGATGGATCCACCCCCATGACTAAATTCCTCCATTAGGCCCCATCACCATCAAGTTTCTAACCCGTGGACTTTGGGGAACACATTTAAACTATAGCAGAAAGGATTTAGAGGTAGTGGGATTATGGGCATTTTTAAACTCTTTTTTTTCCCCACTTGTCTCAACAAATGTTGTAATAATTTAATCATAACAATTAAACACAAAATGCAAATGTATCCAAATGTGTTTCAGTGAGCCTCTCTTGCTCTTAATCTGAATATTTCCTAACACCGCATTAAAGGGTACTGTGAAGATTACCCAGTGCATCACCGACTTGCTTGAAATTCCTTGGAAGGATACCAATGGCGTCCCACCCCTTGTGGAGGTCTTTCACCATAGGCACTTCCGGCCATTTGTTTTACTCTTTCAAACAGCTCAAAATGCCAAAATTAAATCAAGAATTTTATCATTTGGAGGCATGCTTGAAGTAGATTTTATTTCTGGTGCCCAAACCCCTCTCAGGTCCAGAGTAAAAAGCTTCAAATTCCTGAAGGTAATGCAAATACTTTATGGGCTGAGAAGTAGCTGTTTCTTTGCATGTGTCCTGCCAAGCTTCTAAGAATGGTTTTGCCATTAGTTCCAAACCCACAAGCAGCCTGGTCTGAGCTCCACCACCTCCAGCAGGCTTATTACAGATAAGTCAGCTGGTCTTCATGTGACAGAGAAGCCTTCTGTGCCAGGTGTGCTCACAGCCAAGACTGGGTGTCTGCCACCTCATGCTGATGGCAGCTCATGTTCACATGCAGCCCACAGATCTCAGCACAGGCTGCTGGGTGGTTAACGATGCAGGCACAATTACCTCCTGACAATAATAGTGCAAACAACTATGGGCAGTTGGTTGAAGGATGGGAGAGAGGAGGAATAGTAAAAAGCAGATGAAACGTCATTACACTTCTCTAAACTCCTGCAGGATGCAGCCCAGCATCGTGGCTCACATCTGTTATACCAGCACTTTGGGGGGCCAAGGTGGGCGGATCACTTGAGGTCAGAAGTTTGAGACCAGCCTGGGCAACATGGCAAAACCCCATCTCTACTAAAAATACAAAAATTAGCCAGTCATGGTGGCGTGGGCCTGTAATCCCAGCTACTCGGGAGGCTGAGGTGGAAGAATAGTTTGAACCCGGGAGGCAGAGGTTGCAGTGAGCCAAGATCGTGCCACTGCACTCCAGCCTAGGTGACAGAGCGAGACTTCATCTCAAAATAATAATAATAATAATAATAATAATAATAATAATAATAATAAACTCCTGCAGGATGGATACAAATTGAGAACTGAAGTAGGTGGGAATAAGTGAGAACTGAAATCTAGTTTTCCCTTGGGATATAGCCAAAGAAACTAATGGATGAACAGTGCCAAAAGAAACTCACCTCCAACAACCTGGCCTGGATCTGGTGCAGAGAGGAAGACATATGTCCACGGATCTGTATCTCTAGTCTACTGGATAGCTAGACAAAAACGTCCCACAGGGCCATCACAATTACCTGGTCTAACATCCCTGAACTGAACTCAACATCCCTTCCTTGCCTCCAACCTGCTATGTCTTTTGCAAAGACGTATAACAACCAGTGTATAACACAGGCTGCTGGGTGTATAATAACCAGTGACCCCTTTACAAGAGCGAGAACTTAGAAGCCCTTTAGACCTCCTCCTTCTTCATCTTCCACATATGATTAGTTCCAGTTCCTAGTTAGGACACTATCATCCTAATATCTTTCTGACTAGCCCTTCCTTCTTGTTGTGCTGCCAACTGTCACAAAATCTAATTTCCACCTCACTGCCTGAATGATCTGTCTACACTGCAAATCTGATCATGCCTCTGGCCTATGCCAGTCTTTCCACAGTTCTCCATTATCTACCTAGCATATTCTTGAGAAGATCTCAAATGCCTTCACTACCAGGCACTCAAATGTGTGAAGCCATGGGGTTTAATATGGCCAAGAAGGAAGTTGTATGGACCTGGAGAAGATCTGTCCTACCTGAAGTTATTCAAATCAAAAATTATTTTAAAACAGCTGCACTGGCCTGGGAAAACTTTCTGAGGTCACTTTGATACTCTTGGTCTACAATAGAGTCAAATTCCTTAGCCTGTGATGTAGCTGAAGCCTGCTTCTCTAGCTTGTCTTCACCTATTTTCAATTAAGCAGCCTGCATTTTCCTGAAGGTTCTCTTTCACACAGTGATGCCTTTGAACATGATCTTTTCTGCTTGGGTCCGTCTCCTTCTTTCCCCATCTTGCCTAGAAACTTATGTCAAGACCTCATCTGCCAGCCTTTGTGGAGCCCCGGGAAGAGTTATACCCTGGACATGCATCTGTTATTGTTGTTCTTTCCAAGCTTGCAAATATTTATTTTCCTTCTCTGCAAGTAGTACTTAGGGGGCCTGTCTTATAATGGCACAAATTGTATGTTACAAAATAAACGGCAAAGGCTAGAGACAGTTTTCCTCCCCAACATTTTAAATAAGATTGAGAAATTATTGTTTACATCACAAAATGTCATTTAAAAAAAATTCAGAGTGTCCTTTAGGAGCTAATAGAGATTTTATGAGGACCTCCAAATGTGCCCTGTGTCCCTAGCTAGCCTTCATCAATAAACCTGTATTGAATGTGATAGTACAACAATCCTAGGCCAGAAAAACTGCTTCAGGCCTTGATCAGGTTCCCAAAATATTAGAGGTGATATTAATCATTATCATAAAATTTTAGTTGTTCAGAAAAAAAAAAGAAAAAAGAAATGGTCACATGCTCCAGTGCATTTTTAAAAATCACTTAAAGAAATAAAAGAGAACTCAACTCCACTCCCACAACTGGGTCACAAGCTCCATTGGCTAAGGTAGTTGAGTTCCCAGCCACATGAAATAGTTCTATTTCTCAGAACTTGTCCAAAAGACCTCTCCTGCCTGCAGAGATAGAAGTAAGGAAAAGAGAATCTTTCCTACGCCTTTAAGTTTGACCTGCCTCATTTTTTTTTCCCCTCCCTTTCTGTCCATTGATTTAGGCCATCAAGGAACTGTAGAAGTAGAATAGGAAGTGGGAAAGGGAAGAGATAGTGAAGGATGAAGGGGTGGGCCAATCGTGGGGGGCTTTCAAGGGATCTATGTCTATAGTGGCTGAGGTTAAATGAAGTTAACCACAAAGCTAGAGTCACCTCACCACTTCCTACTTTGTAGACTAATAGGCTGAGCTCTGGTTTAACTTAAACTTGAGTGGTCTGGAGTGAACTCATTCGTTCTACACCAGTTCCTCACAGAATATTATATATTTTTTATCATTATTATTGAGATTTTACGTGTTTTTATTCTTTCCTTTTTTTTTTTTTTTTTTCTGAGACAGGGTCTTGCTCAGGTGCCGGGACTAGAGTGTAGTGGCGTGATCATGGCACACTGTAGCCCTGACCTCCCAGGGTCAAGCAGTCCTCCAGCCTCAGCCTCCCAAGCAGTTGGGACTATAAGTGCACACCACAACACCCAGCTAATTTTTTTTTTTTGAAGAGATGGGGTTTTGCCATGTTACCCAGGCTGGTTTCGAACTCCTGAGTTCAAATAATCTGCCTGCCTTGGCCTCCCAAAGTGCTGGGATTACTGGCGCAAGCCACCACGCCTGACTGTTTTTATTCTTATTAACCAATCTGAAAGCAATTTACTTAATGTCTGGCTGAACACACACACACACAGACGATATTCTAATACAAATGAACATGCACATGACATGATTTTGAGAAATACAGGAAAGCATAAGGAAAAAAATCTATAGTTAACCCAAAAATAAAAATTATTAACTATTTTGTCAATTCTGCTATTAAGATCTTTATATAGTTGGGACTGTATTGTATTCACAACTTTTTTTTTTTTTTTTTTTTTTGAGACAGAATCTCACTCACTCTGTCACTCAGGCTGGAGTGCAGTGGCACAACCAGGCTCACTGCCTCCTGGGTTCAAGGGATCCTCCCACGTCAGCCTCCAGAGTAGCTGGGACTACAGGCATATGCCACCATGCCCACATAATTTTTGTATGTTTTTTTAGAGATGGGTTTTGGGTTTGGCCACGTTGCTCCAGGTGATACAACCTTTAATACTTAGAAATCTAACTTTGTAACAAGCTCTTGCCTTGCTTTTAGAAACTATGTAAGCATTGTTATTTATAGCTACATAGAACTCCTTGAAGTGTATATATTGTAATTTATATAACCATTTTTCTTTTTTCTTTTCTTTTTTTTTTTTTTTTTGAGACAGAGTCTTGCTCTGTCGCCCAGGCTGGAGTGCAGTGGCATGATCTTGGCTCACTGCAAGGTCCGCCTCCTGGGTTCATGCCATTCTCCTGCCTCAGCCTCCTGAGTAGCTGGGACCACAGGCGCCCGCCACCATGCCCGGCTAATTTTTTATATTTTTAGTAGAGACGGGGTTTCACCATGTTAGCCAGGATGGTCTCAATCTCCTGACCTTGTGATCCGCCTGCCTCGGCCTCCCAAAGTGCTGGGATTACAGGCGTAAGCCACCATGCCCGGCCTACTTATATGACCATTTTTCTACTACTAGGCATTTAGTTTTTAACTAAACATATTTTGGAATAATAATATGGATTTCGACCTTTTAAAAGCTCTCACTACCAGCAATGAGAAAATAAGACCTCTTTAAAGAAGGTATAGGCAGCAGTAGTTTAAAAGTATTTTAGTCATTGGTTTCCTTCAGCCAAGAAAAACAGGTACAATATCACTGAATTATGGACAAAAGCAGGAAATACCCTGAAATTTTCCCAAGAATAATATATTTCTTAAACACATGCTGATGTGAAGGTTGGACTTGTTCTAGGAAGGCTTTAGGAAAGAAAGGAGTCTTGAATAGGAGAATAAATATACAAGAGGTGGTATAAAGACATGATGTTGGGGGTAAGAGAAAAAACATGGCAAATGTCGTGAGGTGAAGAACTCAGGCTCTTAACGTGGTGCCTGGCAGAGTTCCTCTGCCATCATTGCCTTTGATGGTGACTGGATTCTGGTAAGCTTACCACAAATCCTTAAATTCTAGGCAGAACACTTGCTTAAACAAAGAATTTAAACAACCATTTGCTAACGGTAATCTCCTGCCTACTCTAAGTGTCTTTTCACCAAATCGTTCCTCTTTTTCTATGCTATTTAGACTTTGCCAGCATTAGAGTGGGCAGCCAGATGTTATTTCACAGAATTCACACGGCTGGAATCGCTGCTGTGAGAATTCTTTTAAAGGGATGTAGAACTTATAGTCTTCCTAAAGCCCCATGTCCCTGAACTTTTGTAGCAATCTGGGGAAGATAGAATGCTGCATTATTATATTACATTTGATTTTCATTTAAATCAATTCTTTTCTTAGAAAGTTATCTAAAAATTTTGATTCATTCTACGTTTTGCCCAATATGTTTCCCATTATTTATCACAGTGTGTCTTCACAACACCCTGAGAGATGGGTAGGCCAGATGTTGCTACTTCCATTTTCTTCAAAGAGAAGAAAACCGATGAAGAGACTGAAGGCATTGCCACCAGAACCCAGGTGTCTCATCTTTTTGGCCCAGGGTGTGTTCCTCTGACACATTAAACTGTCACCGTGGCTTTGACAGATGGCATTGGCAGAGAGTCCGTAGAGACATGGGTTGTGTCTCTGCTATTGGATATCTCAGGGAAGTTTTATACTTCAGTTTTTCAAACCTGCCATAAACCCTGAGTATTTCTTTAAGCACATATCAAAGTAGTCTATCTTAAAGTACCTCCAAGTTTTTACCAGATTTGGATTTTTTAATTTTTAATTTATTTCATTTTATCTGACACAGAGTCTCACTCTGTCACCCAGGCTGGAGTGCAGTGGCACCATCTCGGCTCACTGCAAACTTCGCCTCCTGGGTTCAAGCAATTCTTCTGCCTCAGCCTCCCAAGTAGCTGGGACTACAGGCGCGTGCCTCCACACCCACGTAATTTTTGTATTTTTTTTTAGTAGATACGGGGTTTCGCCACGTCGGCCAGGCTGGTCTCAAAATCCTGACCTCAGGTGATCCACCCGCCTCAGCCTCCCAAAGTGCTGGGATTAGAGGCGTCACCCACTGCGCTTGGCCTTTTTTTTTTTTTTTGAGACAGAATCTTGCTCTGTCACCCAGTGGCATGATGTTGGCTCACTGCAGCCTCCTGGGTTCAAGAAATTCTCCTGCCTCAGTGCCCCAAATAGCTGGGACTACAGGCATGCGCCACCACGCCCGACTAATTTTTTGTATTTTTAGTAGAGACGGTGTTTCACCGTGTTAGCCAGGATGGTCTCAATCTCCTGACCTCGTGATCCACCCTCCTCGGCCTCCCAAAGTGCTGGGATTACAGACGTGAGCCACCGCACCCAACCAGAACAATGCTTCTTTAAAAATGACTAAAAATACAAAGGGCTGGATGTGGTGGCTCATACCTGTAATCCCAGCACTTTGGGAGGCCAAGACAGGAGGACTGCTTGAGCCCAGGAGTTTGATACCAGCCTGGGCAACATGACAAAACCCTGTTTCTACAAAAAATACAAAAATTAGCCAGGCATGATGGTGTGGGTCTGTAATCCCAGTTACTTGGGAGGCTTAGGTGGGAGGATGGATAGAGCCCACGAGGTTGAGACTGCAGTGAGCTGTGATCACACTACTGTACTCCAGCCTGGGCAACAGAGTGAGACCCTATCTCAAAAAATATAAATAAATGAATAAATAAATAAAAATTTAAAAAAATTATATAGATAATTTTTTCAAGCTGAGCCTTATATAAAATGCATTTCTGTATGTAGGTCTCCCTTTGTAAATAATATGACTTTTCTATAAACCTATAATATAAAAGACTCTTGGAGAACATACAACAGAAAAAGGACATGTCCACTCTATATCATACTTGAAAGTATTATTGATTTTCTTTTTAAGATAGAAAGGAAAAGTCATATTAAAAGCTACTTTTGGCTGGGCACTGTGGCTCACGCCTATAATCCCAACACTTTGGGAGGCCGAGGCGGGCGGATCATGAGGTCAAGAGATTGAGACCATCCTGGCCAATATGGTGAAACGTCATCTCTACTAAAAACACAAAAATTAGCTGGGCGTGGTGGCGCACACCTGCTACTCGGGAGGCTGAGGCGGGAGAATCGCTTGAACCCAGGAGACAGAGGTTGCAGTGAGCCAAGATTGCGCCATTGCACTCCAGCCTGGTGACAAAGCGAGACCCGGTTTCAAAAAAAAAAAAAAAAGCTACTTTCACTTGGGATGTGTGTGTGCACACATGTGTTATTGTTGTCGAAGAGCAGTTTCCAAGAACCCTCAACTAGCCTATGAACGTGGCTGCAAGTTGACACTTGACAATACTCAGTTCAAGACTATACCTGATACTGCCGCACTCCCTTATATTATTTCCTGTTTTCCCAAAAGATAGCAAGTGTCTTGAGGTTAATAACTGTCTTTATTTCTGTTATGTCCCTCATAGTGTTTCCCATCATATCTGTGTTGAAATGAACATTCATGTGATGTTCCAGGAGACCCAGTCCCACTAACTTATCCAGTCTTTGAAATAAATTGCTCTTATTCTCTGAACTGTAAAATTGAATGTTAATATTACTATTTTTTGGAATATCTTGACTCTACAATAATCTACATTTGTATGATATGGTTGCAAGCATTACTATCATGTGAAAAAGAATAGTTTTTTTGTGCTTATTCCCTAAAAATTTTGAAGCTTTGGATATAATTTTATCAATATAGTAAGTCTGTGTGCGCGCGCTCTCTCTCTCTCTCTCTGGCTCACTCCCACCTTCTCTTGCCTTCCCTCACCCTCCCTCCCTTTCCTTACCTCTCTCCCTCACCTCTCCCTCTCTCCTACCTCTCTTCCTTTCTCCCTCTCTCCTTCACCTCTCCCTCTCTCCTACCTCTCTTCCTTTCTCCCTCTCTCCTTCTCTCCCTGTCTTTCCCTCTCCCTCTCCTTCCTCTCTCCCTCTCTTCTTCTGTCCCCTTCTCCTTCTCCTTCTGCCATAAAATGAAAAATAAAAAAAGTAGTGAATAAGAGTAAGTAAATAATAGAAAAGCAAGAGCCCATCACCCCCTGAATCTCTTGTAGATTGTTTTTAAGGTATGAGGAAACCTCTTAGGTTTCTAGGTTTCTCTTAATTTCTCCCATTAGAATTCAACTGACCAGCATTAACATTAAAACAGAGATCTTGAGACTGACAAAACAGACTCTTCTAGTAGAAGATACCAAATCTCAACCTGACTGTATATACTGACTGTAGTATAGCATCACATGACAAATAGCAAGGCCTTAAAGAAATCCAAGTATTTTACCCCAAAATACATTTCTTTGACATATTTTGGAATGGCCCTGCAAAGCTGTCTCTTGTGGGGAAAATCTACATTCTGTAGAAAATCTCCTTTCCTTTCCAAATCTTTTCTTCATCCAGGAGAGATTATCTGTCCCCCTAAAATGTATAAAATCAAGCTGCAACCAACCACCTTGGGTACCTGTTCTCAGGACCTCTTGAGGCTGTCTTAAGCCTTAGTCACTCATATTTGGCTCAGAATAAACCTCTTCAAATATGTTACAGTGTTTGAATCTTTTCATTGACAATTTCAAAAGGTTCATGATCTTTCAGAGGCCCCTTATTTATTTATTTATTTATTTATTTATTTATTTATTTAATTTTTACTGAAAAAGCATCTGGCCATGTTGCCCAGGCTGGTCTCAAACTTCTGGGTTCAAGTGATCCTCCCCCATCAGCTTCCCAAAGTGCTGGCATTACAGGTGTGAGCCACTGTGCCCAGACTAAAACTATTTTTTAACATCATTTATTAATGAATTTATTTTTGAGACAGGGTCACACTCTGTCACCCAGGCTGGAGTGCAGTGGCACAATTACAGCTCACTGCAGCCTCGACTTCCCAGGCTCAAGAGATCCTCCTGCCTCAGCCTCCCAATTAGCTGAGACTATAGGCACATGACACCATGTCAAGCTAATTTTTTGTATTTTTTTGTAGAGATGGGGTTTCACCATGTTGTCCCACCTGGTCTTGAATTCCTGGGCTCAAACAATACACTCCACCTGCCTGGCCTCCCAAGTGTTGGAGTTACAGGGGTGAGCCACTGTGCCCAGCCCTCAGAGACCCCTTTTGAGGGATTTCTGCTGGTAGTAACCTACAGCATTTTTTATTTTTATTTTATTTTATTTTATTTTTTGAGACCAAGTCTTGCTCTGTCACCCAGGCTGGGGTGCAGTGGTATGATCTTGGATCTTGGCTTACTGCAACCTCCACTTCTCGAGTTCAAGCAATTCTCATTCCTCAGCCTCCCGAGCAGCTGGGACTACAGTTGTCTGCCACCACACCTGACTAATTTTTGTATTTTTAGTAGAGAAGGTGTTTCACCATGTTGGTCAGACTGGTCTCGAATTCCTGACCTCAAGTGATCCGCCCACCTCGGCTTCCCAAAGTGCTGGAATTACAGGCGTGAGCCACTGTGCCTGGTGATAGTATTTTTTAAAACTACAAAAAAACAATGTACATATGTTTCAGAAAATCCTCAAATTGTGTTTTTCTTCTGCTCTGACACAACAGTCATAAATACAGAAGACTTCTGTGACCAAATATTGGGGCTTCTCCTCACCACCAATTCTGCAGTAGATACCAGCTGGGTGTCCTCGAATTCAATTCTGGGGTTATCTACCCAGAGATACTGTGAGATCCCACAGTTGAGGGCTCAGCCCCTAAGGCTGGACCCCATCCCCCACCAGTCACAAGGTCAGGCCTCTGGAACTTCTGACTGACCAGCTTCAAGTTGGGGTTTCCATGACCCTCTCTTTGGGTTCGATTAATTTGCTGGGGGCAGATCACAGAATTCAGGGAAACACTTACGTTTACTGGTTTATTATGAAGGATATTAGAAAGGATACAGACAAAGAGATGCCGGGAGCAGTGCCCAGGGAAGGAGCACAGAGCTTCCGCGCCCTCTCTGGGTACACCACCCTCTAAGAACCTCCCTGTGTTCAGCTATCTGGAAGCTCTCTGAACCCAGTGTGTTTACGGAATCTTCATAGTGTTAGCATTCCTTCCCCCAGGGTATGGGGCGGAACCCTCTCTGGAATGAGGGTCTTAGGAATCACAATCGGAAAGGTGGAGAAAGATTACAGTCCTACCTTGGAGCAGGTGAAAGGAGGGAGAAGTTCAAAGAGTTTCTGTTTCCTGAGGTTGGCCAGGCCCAACATAGCAACAAAATGACTGTAACATAATCTAGGATTTTTTTTTATACCTGCCAGTGAAGATGTTCCTTTCAGTTTTGGGGGGTTTTTGTTGTTGTTGTTCTTGTTGTTGTTGTTTGTTTGTTTTTTTGAGACGGAGTCTCCCTCTGTCACCCAGGCTGGAGTGCAGTGGCACGATCTCGGCTCACTGCAACCTCCACCTCCTGGGTTCAGGCAATTCTCCTGCCTCAGCCTCCCGAGTAGCTGGGATTACAGGCGCCCGCCACCAGGCCCAGCTAATTTTTGTATTTTTAGTAGAGATGGGTTTCACCGTGTTGGCCAGGTTGATCTGGAACTCCTGACCTCAGGTGATCCACCCGCCTCTGCCTCCCAGAGTGCTGGGATTACAGGCGTGAACCACTGCGCGTGGCTGTCCTTTCAGCTTTTAGATAGAAGGGAGAAAGAGGTCAACTCAGATATCCAGAACCAAACTAATGAAGTTATATTGTTCTTTTCTATTTCTGATCAAATACGTTTCTAAACAGCCATTCCAGGCTCTAATATAACAAGTATAACACAACTTGTATTCTAGCAGTGTGGGGATTCATGTCCATGTCTACAAAACATTCTTCCTCTCCCCAATTTTCCTAATGGCTTACAACTTAATATTTTAAACACTTATAGAAAATTTCAAAAAATGCAAAAAAATAAAAAATAAAAATAATGCAACCATATCTCAACTATGACAATAATCAACTAATGGCCAATCTAGCTTCCTTCACACTCCTACTCATTTTCCTTGCCCCCAACAACCTAGATTTTTCTCCATCATAGTACTGCAGCTGCAAATATTTTTGTACATATGCTTAAAAGATAAGGACTCCTTTTTTGAACATCATCACACTGCCCCAAAAGCAACAATAGATGCTTAATATCATCACATATTCAGTGTTCACATTCCCTAATTGTCCTTATAAATGTCCTCTTAAAAATCTTTGCTTGCCTATTGGGAAAAATTAGTCATATTAAAAAATTGTTTGAAAGTTTGTTGTTTGGGGCTGGGTGTGGTGGCTCACACCTGTAATCCCAGCACTTTGGGAGGCTGAGGCAGGAGAATCACTTGAACCTGGGAGGCAGAGGTTGCGGTGAGCCGAGATCATGCCATTGCACTCCAGCCTGGGTAACACAGTGAGACTCTGTCTCAAAAAAAAAAAGGTGTGTTTGAATCTGCATCAAAACAAGGTCCCAGGTGGGCATAGTGGCTCACACCTGTAATCCCAGAACTTTGGGAGGCTGAGGCAGGAGGACCACTAGAGCCCAGGAGTTTGAGACCAGCTTGGGCAACATGGCGAAACCCCATCTCTACCAAAAATACAAAAATTAGCCAGGCATGCTGGTGCATGCCTGTAGTCCCAGCTACCTGGAGGCTGAGATGGAAGGATCGCTTGAGCCTGGGAGGCAAAGGTTGCAGTGAGGCATGATCAAGACTATTGCTCCATCCAGCCTGGGCAACAGAGTGAGACCCTGTCTCAAAAACAAACACACAAGGGCAGGGTGTAGTGGCTCACGCTTGTAATCTCAACACTTTGGGAGGCCGAGGTGGGTGGATCACCTGAGGTCAGGAGTTCGAGACCAGCCTGGCCAACATGGTGAAACCCCCATCTCTACTAAAAAAAATAAAAAATAAATTAGCCAGGCATGGTGGTGGGCACCTGTAATCCCAGCTACTCAGGAGGCTGAGGCAGGAGAATCGCTTGAACCCAGGAGCTGGAGGTTGCAGAGAGCTGAGATCGCACCATTGCACTCCAGCCTGGGCAACAAGAGTGAAACTCCGTCTCAGACAAACAAACAAACAAACAAACCTCCAAAAAACCAATGTCAATTTATTGTGATAATTAACATGTCTCTTATGGGCAACATTGTCCTTTTTTAGCCTTTGCCCTCAAATAAAAAAATTGTTATGTAGCAAAAACAACCATTTCCAGATGATGCAAGAGTTCAAAATGCTGGCCTGAAGAAGTCTATGAAAATGTCAAGTCATGCCTTTGCGAGGAGATAACTACTTGGCATATACCTTTCCCTGAATGATAAAGAAGGAAAGAAAAAATGTACTTCCAGTAAACATATTCATTAGCCACAGAGAGCTGCATATAAACATGATGCTTGGAAAACAAATGCTCTGCAGTAAATGGGAATTGAGAAAATAGGTAATAAGTTGCAAATCTGAAAATCATTTCTTTATTTCAATGTAAGGTAAGTTTATAAACAGTCAGACCAAAAGGTCTGCTTTTAAAGTTTTGCAAATGCTGGTCAGATTGATTAGTCCTTTTTTGAATTTTTTTTTTTTTTTTTGAGACGGAGTCTCGCTCTGTCGCCCAGGCTGGAGTGCAGTTTTTTAATCCTAAAGCTTTTTAATTTAAGGCTTTTTAATTTTCAGTTTGCTTACTCCATTCTTTTGTAAAAGAAAAAAATCACTTTAGATTAAATGAAATTGTAATTAAGGCTTCTACTTCCATTTCTCACCTTACGAGCTTATCTTCTGGATCCCCCACTTAAAAAACAAAGTTCCCTTTTCATTTAAAAATTAAAGAAACTCCTGGGTTAGTACTTAACACAAACAAACTAATAATTACCATGTAATAGAAGCAACAGGACAAGCTCACAGTAATATTACAATGCAGGAGGTAAAAACTTGGGCAACATAGAAAGAAGGCTCCGTTTCTTAGTCTGTAAATGGGGACAATAAATAGCTGCCTCATAAGGCTGATGCTGGGATCAGTCAAATGAGATCATGCAAAGCACCCAGCACTGGCTAACACTCAATAAAAAAATAGCCATTATGATCATTAGGAAGATATAGGAAGAGACTTTTGTCATTGTCACAGTTTAATCTTGAAAAGGAACTTACTGTATGGTAGCATTCTGAGTCAGTTACAAGAGAAAGTAACAAGTGACCTGCATTGCTGAGGATCCTGCCTCCTCCAAGCTACCCTGCTACATTGTTAAAACACCCTGGGGGAGAAAAGTATCCTATTCAGCCAATGTTAAACTGTTTCCTTTTCTGAAAGTTAGAAATAGATGAAAATAGCATAAGAAATAACTCTGTATATAGTAAGTTCTGGGTAAGACAATATTGTGGTAAGTGAACTAAACAAAGATTAATCTGAAATTGGACTCTGATCCCCAAGTGAACCAGCCAGTGTAGCCCAGTCCTTACTGGACCTGAGGAGGAAAAACAAGCCTGTGTCTATCTCAAGCGTGATCTGGCTAGATATGATCTAAACTTTGAAAAGTGCCTAAGCATGTTTCAGATGCATATTATGTGTTAAATACTAAGCAGGGAGCTCTGAGCTGGGGCAGTGCACCCTGATGCTGAGGAACTGACATAGGAAAATGAACACCTAGCATTGTAATTTGGCCTTTTGCTATTTATTTATTTATTTATTTATTTATTTTGAGACGGAGTCTCTCTCTGTGGCCCAGGTTAGAGTGCAGTGGTGCAATCTCGGCTCACTGCAACCTCCGGCTCCTGGTTCGAGCGATTCTCCTGCTTCAGCCTCCTCAGTACCTGGGATTCCAGGCACACGCCCCCACGCCCAGCTGATTTTTGTATTTTTAGTAGAGATGGGGTTTCACCATGTTGGCCAGGCTGGTCTCGAACTCCTGACCTGAGGTGATCCACCTGCCTCGGCCTCCCAAATTGCTGAGATTACAGGCATGAGCCACCACGCCCAGCCTATTCTCTCATTTTAGTCAGACAAGTTTTCTTTTCTGTTAGATCTCTCCCCAATAATTGCAAAAACCAACCAAATAAATAAGTATGGGAGAGAGGTGGTTATTTATATTATGAAAGCATTCTTCAGTTTAATTCATTGCAGAATCTAAGATCCTTTCCTCCACAGTGTTAAAATCCATAGCCCTCTCAATTACTCTTCCACGCTTTGAGGAAAAGGAAGACAGGGAGGAGAGATCTCCAATGGAAATTTCCTTGTTAATAACATCTTATGTTTCTCTAAATGTTTTACAGTTTCAAAGCACTTTCAGACTCACTCTGGTATGTTAGTTAAGCCTTGTGCAAGATACCATAAATCATATTATACTCAATTAAGAGGTGAGAAAAGACAAGGCTCAGAGGTGAAGCAAATATAAATAGTAGTAATTAGTTTTATATATATATATAACTAATATATATAACATTCATATATATATATATATATATATAGAGAGAGAGAGAGAGAGAGAGAGAGAGAGAGAGAGAGAGAGGGCGCAATTGGTACATGTGAGACCTGAAGCCAAGATTTTTAAACTAAGTCCAGTGGCCAAGAAGCTGAAGCAAGTAGCTCACACTCACTGCCTTGGTGTTGCTGTTTTTCCTCCCTTCCGTGATTTGGTTCTAAGCATCTTCCCTTTTTTTTCTCAGTTAATTCTGATTCATGACTTCCCTCATGTAATTAATAAATGGGAAAGACTTGAGTGAACAAATATTCAGCCAACTAGTATTTATTGAGCAACAACTAGAAACCAGAACTTTGAAGGGTTTTAAACAAAGGAAATGGAATCTCTTTGTCATTTAAAAGGCCACAATAAAACAAATAAAAGTAAAAAATAAAAAAGACCATAGTGAGGAGGGTGCAGTGGCTCACGCCTGTAATCCCAGCACGTTGGGAGGCTGAGGTGGGCAGATCGCCTGAGCTCAGGAGTTCGAGACCAGCCTGGGCAACATGGTGAAACTCCACCTCTACTAAAAAAATCCACAAATTAACCAGGCATGGTGGCATGCAACTGTGGTGGTTACAGGTACTCAGGAGGCTGAGGCCGGAGAATCCCTTGAGCCTGGGAAATGGAGGCTGCAGTGAGCTGAAACAGCACCATTGCACTCTAGCCTGTGCAACCAAGCCAGGATTAATAACTTTATTGATGTGAACCAATTATCCAAAAATAATAATCACATATTAGCCATAGCGGACTCCCCAGCTAGATGTTTTCTGCCTGTGTTTGTAAATCCTGGACATAGTTAAATTTCAAGTGCCTTCAATAAGAAATCAATGGCTTGGAAAACATCTCTGCGCAGTCTTGATAAGATTTCTAATTGTGGTGAAGCCTCATTCCTTAAATTATTTATTCAACACTAACCCATTCTACAAACTTACATCTGCTGGGCTCTGGGAGTAACAAGATGAGTTAGATGCAGCAGTCCCAAATCTAAAGGAGGTTGGAGACTAGAAAGACCAGTGCCTGCTCTGAGCTCTCCAGTGGTCCCCAGCCTCTCAGTCAGGCCTCACAGGCCCCTCTGCCAGAGGCGGAACCAGCTTGCCTCCGCTCTGCAGCCACACTGGCCTTTTCTTTCATTTCTGAGAACTCTCCTCACTCCCTCCCACTTTGGGCTCTGCAGAAATCCCAGTTCCCTTTGCCTTGAAAGCTCTTGGTCAATTTAGCTCCTCCTCCTTCAGCCCTCAGCTCCTGCCTTGCTGCCCCAATAATCTTTTTCTGACTGCAGATCTGGTCAAATCTTTGTCTGAAACCTTAGAGCCCATTACATTTGTAGTTTTACGTGTACACGTGTGATCATTTAATATTTGACGGTGTGCTCTCAGGTGCCTACGCTCCTGGAGAGGCAGGGGCTGACTGGTTTTGTTAGATGCCAGTGCCTGACACACAATAGGCCCTCAAGGGGTGAAAAACCAACCAACCAAGTCAGGACCCAAGCAACCTGGGCCTCTGTGGAAGGGCAGAATGGCCTGAGTTTGGGTTTCTCGAGCTACCTTAAGATCAGGCCTCCTGGCTCCTATCTTAGCCCTTCTAACACTCTGAAGTGTAGAGGTTGTTTGTTCCAAGTCCCCAAGGTACTGTAAGCTCCCAGATAGCAGAAATCCCATTATATTTTAGTGCTGTGGCCCCAGCATCCAGCTGCGCTGTTACTTAGCATGAGATCCACATGAAAACCATTTCGCAACTATTAGCCATTGCCAGTATTAATACTTTCCGGAAGGTGGCACAAAGTGGGGGATGTTATAGACAGCTTCAAAGAAACGTTTAAGCTAGAGTTGACTCTTTAAATAATACAAGCCATCCCCAACCAAAGATTAAAAATTTAAATACAAAAAAAAAAAAAGGAAATTTGCCTACCCCCCATTTGTGAAAACAAAGAAAAAAAAAACAGTTAACGTCTTAACTTTTCTAGGCCTTCACTCTCGCCTCTCCCCGCGCTACAAGGGCGAATTCTGGACGTATCTACACAGTCACCGCGGAGTCTGCAATCGCCGCGACGTCCCCTGGCATTTCTTGGCCAGGCTGCAACTTTGGTGACGGTGTATGTAGTTACATCCCCTGTAGTGCAGCTGGTATTTAGGGTCCTCATTGGCAAAGTTGAGGGTATAAGCAGGGAGGGAGGGGACCTTGGCTTCTTTCCATTCACTGGCATGTTTTCGGGGCACGGTCATCCCACGCTGGGCTCCAGCGCCAGTCCCAAGGCCTCGCCGAACTCCAGCCCGGGAGTGCGCGCGGCCCCGCCCACCGGGCGGCCGAGGTCCCGCCCCTACCTCCCCCGCCACACCTACCCACCCACCCCATTGCAATGGTCTCTGCACGCAGGCGCAGTGGCGCGCGGGGGAGGCGGGGCGCATGTGGGCTTCATTTAAACAGAGCAGAGGGGGCGGCGCGCGGTCGCCGCGGTGCTGCTGCTCAGTGGGAGCGGGTCTTCGCAACTGTCTCCGCGTGGCGCGCGCCTCTAGCCGCCCTTCCCCTGGCGGCTACGGCCGGAGGGAGCGGAGGCGAGCGGGAGTCGGGCTCCATGGAGAGCGGCGGACAACTGGGCAGAGGCGGAGCTTTCATCTCGGCACCCTGGTTCCAGTGACCCGCGCTAGCGTCCCGTCCCGCCCGCGTCGGAGCGGCCGCCGGCCCCGGGACTGACCGGCCTCGCCGCACCTCCCGCACCGACTAGCGCTCCCGGGCGCTCCTGCGCCCGACTCGCCCTCGCCCCCACTCCCCGGCGGGGTGGCGGCGGCCGGGCCCCCACGGCGGCGGCCGGAGCAGCAGCAGCAGCAGCAGGAGCCCGCCTCTATGATGAAGTTCAAGCCCAACCAGACGCGGACCTACGACCGCGAGGGCTTCAAGAAGCGGGCGGCGTGCCTGTGCTTCCGGAGCGAGCAGGAGGACGAGGTAGGGCGCCCGGCGCCGCACGCTGCCCTCCGGGGCGCCGGGGTCTAGGGCCCGGGTGCTTCCCCTCGCTCCCCGCCCCTGCGCAGGCTGCGGGGCTGGGAGGGATTAGCCCCCTTCCTCCCTCCCTCCTTTCCTCCCTCACTCCTTTCCTCCCTCACTTCTTCCTTCCTTTCTCTGGGCTGATAGATGAGACAAAGGGGGCTCGCCCAGCCCCAGTTTCTCCATCTGGGCACTCGAGAAGGCGCCTGGTCCCCGGGAAGGTCCCGGGCCGCGTAAGTCTCGCCTAGCGGGAGTCACCATCTTAACGTGCGAATTGAGTTGAAAGCCGGATAAACCTCGAGTGCTCAGCGAGAGGAGGGTGGAAATGGCGTGAGTGTTGCAGCAGAGCCCTTGTGCCTCTTTTACATATTTTCCTTCCATGTTACAGCCGTTTGCGGTCTCGGATTCGATCTAAGCATGTTTGTGGAGTAACAGACAGTCCTCGTGCTTGGAATTGAGTCTAGTCTTGGCAATTCTTGTGGGTCCATGAACCCGCAAGCTGTTGGCATAATTATGCCTCATTTTTAAAACGGCCTTCCCTTCTTAAAGTTTTCTGACTGCAGAAAAATGGTTAGTGAAAAATGTGGAATAATGCCAAAAGGGAGACGATGGACTAGAGATGGGCAAAGCTGCCATTTTCAGACAGTAATCTCCAGCTCTCAGCTTATGTATAAAGGGTTCTTTGCTGTCTGGCTTGACATCTGGAAAGGAGTAGCCTTTCTCGTTCTCAGAGCAGTCGTTCTTGGATAATTTACCCATCTGCATTGGGCTGAGAATGAGACCCTTGGGGTTTCCCTGGAGAGCGATTTTTACTTAATTCAGTAGTATTTATTTAAAATGGCTAACTGTTGAAGTTTGCTTAGGGCAATAGTAGCCTTTTGGTATTGCCACTCTTAAGATAAATTACATAGGTGAAAAAAATTAACATTCTGAGTTCTGCTTTCATAACCAACCGTGTATAAAATACTAGGCTAAGGCTGGAGATGGGAATTTAATGGCTTCCTTACTGCTAGTCCCTGTAGTTGTGATGAATATGACACAGAATACACTCAGTGGCTTAGTTCTTGTTATGTTAACGAAAAGTTCTCGAAATTTGCCCTTCAAACCCTTGTTTTGCCTTTATTTTTTTTTGAAAAGAAACCAAGCCCTTTAAATGGGTTGCTCTGTGCTCACTCATAACCTTTACGTATTAGACTTGAATCCCAAACGAGTGTGCAGAGAAATACGGCCCCAGCCTTTGAGATGGGTCTGCTTAGGAGAGCTAGAAACTGCAAAGGGAAAGGTTATTAACTTTTACAAAATGAACAAGTCAACAAGCATTAAGTGTGTTCTGTAAAAAAGATAAAGCCTTAGCGGAAAGGGGCCATGTTGAGGCAAAGTAGTAAACTTTAAATATAAAAGAAATGATAGCCAAAAGGGATCAAGATAGATCAAGGATCTTGTCTGGTTTCCTCAATATTGTGTAATGATATTCTTAATTGAGTGCTTACAATGTGCCAGGCGCTGCCAGAAGAAAACTTGTTATACATTTAATCCTTTTAACACTGGGAGGTAGTGAAGTTACTCCCATTTTATAGGTGAGGAGACAGTTGCAGAGCATAAGTACCTTCCCAAATGACACAATTAGGAAGTGGTAGAGTCAGGATTCAGGGTCCAGTCCTTACTCCTGATGTTGGGCTCTGTTTGTTGAGTGAGTGAGATTTTTGTGAGGCTAAGTTTGGAAGCCTATCTGAAAGTGGTGACTGAAGTGTTGCCATAATGTGAACTTGGAATTCAGGCTTTGTAAAAATACTAGACTCTAGGGGAAAATATGAGTGATGGAAATTGAAATGATGATCTCTATTGTGCTTATGGTAAAGCAAAGACTGATAGAAGCTTTAGGAATTACTTTAGCAATAAAAATAAATGATTATTTTTATGCTTGGATATTATTTCTACTGAAATAAATACTAAATTCATAGCCTCTAGTTGAGTCAAGAGACCCGTGTCATTAGGTAAGGTGAAGTAGGGAGCAAGTTTTGGAGAATGTATTAGAAAAATCCATTGTATAAAACTTTGTAAATCTGATAACCTGTAGGTTGAGAATTGAAGAGAGTGAGTCATCTTGTTAGAGGATATGATCTGAGGGAAGACTCTAGAATTCTCCTTAAGTGAAATGCACAGCCAATTTTAACATCTGGTTTAGCTCTTCAGAATTTTCATTTCTGTGATTGTGTGTAGTTGAGGCTTTATCTATTACATGATTATTACAGAATAAACTCTGTTAGCTTTCCTGGAGATTCTATTGTTTCTCTATGAATTTGCCTTCACTCTGTTGAAATTGCATTGCCAGACTTCCCAGGACAGTCTAGAAAACCAGCTTGAGCCCACCTCTCTAGTTAATAGGTGAGAAATGTTTCCCTCTACTGGATGAAAAACACCTAGATCCTGGTTAGAAGATTTAAATGTATGTTTTGTTTGAGGATGAAATGTTTATATAGAGTACAAATGGAAGTAAAAGAGTAATTGCAATTTGACCCCAAAAAAGCTACGTGGCGCTCCCATCTGGCTGTTCCTGTACTGAAGTTCTCAGTAAGTTTCTACTTTAAAACAGATTGTTCTAGGAAAGAAGGTTGTTCTAAGAGCAGAGTTATTCTTTTAAGGTGGCTTTATATATTAAATATTTTCCATTTTATCTTTTTCTGTTCTGTAGGGTAAATAAGTATTAGTATTTGTTTAGGAAGAAATTAGGTAGCAGAAGTAACCTATCCCAAGGTCACAGAAGCTGGCAGATCCTTTTGAGCTCTGGTCCTTTGTTTCTAAATGTTTTGTTTATTTGACCTACCTCCCCAGCTAGTTATTTCTGTGGGGAAGCACCCTCAGTTTTGGCCGCTGGGCTTCTAGACAGGCCCACAGCTAATTGCCCTGTAGAGTAGCTGGGTACTGTGCTTGTACAGTGAAAGATGACAATGCTTTTACAAATAGGTAATCAGAAATGGATTCTGTTGAATGTATTTGCATATATGATAGTTTAAAAGGGGATGAAGAGATGAGGTCTTAGCTCCTAAGAATCATTCTGTAGGGAAAGGTTGGACAAGGGATCAATGGAAAGGGAAATAAAGTAAGGGAAAAGTGCGGTCGGGTATTCTGGGGTTCAGATCCAATGTGAGTCATTTGGAGTTGGATGTGGGTGACTGGGAGAGGAGGGACCAGGCGTCCCAAATAGAGCAAGACTTGGGGCTGTGATAGATTTGGCTGCAGCTTAGGGATAGCATAGAATCAGTAATAGTTGAAAAATTTGCAACACTTCAAATGTAAGGTTGAGAAGTTGCTACGCAAGAACAAAGTTTTGTTTTGAACTTAGTTTTGAACAAAGAACATTGAGATAGTAGATGTGTTCAAGCTTGAGAGTGATCTGGCAGCAAAATAGGTTTAGACTGCTAAGGGGAGAAGTAGAATGACTTGATCCTGTGTGAAATCCAGACATAGTTGCAAGAGAGGCATTAACAAATCAGTCTGAAGGACTAACCACTACAGGCCAGGCAGGTGGCTCATGCCTGTCATCCCAGCACTTTGGGAGGCGGAGGTGGGCAGATCACCTGAAGTCAAGTGTTTGAGACCAGCCTGGCCAACATGGCGAAACCCTGTCTCTACCAAAAATACAAAATACAAAAAGCAGCCGGGCGTGGTGGCATGTGCCTGTAATCCCAGCTACTCAGGAGGCTGAGGCATGAGAATCCCTTGAACCTGGGAGGTGGAGGCTGCAGTGAGCCGAGATCATGCCATTGCACTCCAGCCTGGGCAACAGAGCAAGACCCTGCCTGCAAAAAAAAAAAAAAAAACAACAAAAAAAACCACTACTCTTCCATAGGACTTGCTGCCCTAATTAGCTTTTAAGCTCTATGAGCCAGGGGCTGTCTTCTACAGATGGTCTGCTATAATGCTGAATATATATTCCTGAAAAATCTTGAGCTGTACAAAATCATGCAGTAAAGCTTTGGTGGGAAAGGTCAAGTCTGAAAACCTAAAACCAGAGCTCCGATGAGCAACAATACTAATTCAAAATATTACTAGAGTTAAATCTCAACTAGCATTTTTATACTTAGAATCAACAGTCAGTCCACCCTTTTCACACATACTCTGGGGCTCATAGTTCTTCAGAGTTAAGTCCTTGAAGGTATTTCTTTCAAATGGAGACCACTTTCATCAAAAATAAGTACTATCCAAAGGTAGCCTTTTTTTTTTTTTTTTTTTTGAGACAGAGTCTCGCTCTGTCCTCCAGGCTGGAGTGCAGTGGCGCGATGTCAGCTTACTGCAAGCTCCGCCTTCCAGGTTCACGCCATTCTCAAGTAGCTGGGACTACAGGCAGCCGCCACCATACCTGGCTAATTTTTTGTATTTTTAGTAGAGAAGGGGTTTCACTGTGTTAGCCAGGATGGTCTTGATCTCCTGACCTTGTGATTTACCCACCTCAGCCTCCCAAAGTGCTGGGATTACAGGCATGAGCCACTGCACCCGGCTTGGAAGCCTTTTTTAAACACAGGGAAGTGTCACCAACTTCTTCATCTGTGCCTCCAGCTCTCCCAGAAGGTTTCCCGTCATTAAACCAGGCATTAACGTAGAATTTGCATTGGATTTTTTTTTTTTTTCTTAGGGTCTTGGTATAGCTCAAGCTTTTCTCTAATTGAAAAAAAGCTTATACCCCGTCACTTTAAAACATTGACCTGCTAGGTAAAAAATCCATGGTCAACCTGATTTACAACATTATTGATAATACTTATCTACCAATCCCATATAAGTTGGAGCTAAACATAGTTTAGAAGAAAGAACTGTTATTTCTGGTCTACTCTGCCTCTGGTCCAAAAAGAAGTACTAATTTTCTTAATAGTAGGTAGCTGTTTAGCATGTATCAAACCATTTTCATAACCTATGTTCTTTTAAAATGTCTATGTGCATAGTGGGTGTTTCTAATAACACGGCTGGCCTAATTTTGGCTAAATTTTGGTTAAGTGTAGTAGAATTAGGTTAACGTAGTTTCAACCATTCATGATACCCTGATTTATGATAATTTGGAAAGAAAGAATAGCAACCTCGAAACAGTTTCTGAGTAGGCCAGGTGCAGTGGCTCACGCCTGTAATCCCAGCCCTTTGGGAGGCCAAGGTGGGTGGATCACCTGAGGTCAGGGGTTCAAGACCAGCCTGGGCAACATGGCAAAACCTCGTCTCTACTAAAAATACAATAATTAGCCAGGCGTGGTGGTGTGTGCCTGTAGTGCTGGCTACTCCGGAGGCTGAGGTAGGAGAATCCCTTGAACCCAGGAGGCGGGGCTTTCAGTGAGCTGAGATTGCGCCACTGCACTCCAGCCTGGGCGACAGAGCGAGACAGCGTCTCAGAAACAGCAACAACAACAAACAGTTTCTGAATAGCTACAATTTTCATAATAAACCTCTTCATTCTTAGGGGTCACTTGAGGTTCTCTGGATGGCTCCTCCGCTCCCCTTCCCGGGAACAGAAGTGGTATCTATAGTGGTTGGAGTTCCTAGAGCCAAGCCATGACAATTGCATCTTTAAGGGTAAAAGCTGAAACACAAATGGGAATTCGAGGCCCAAGGACCTACAGCCTCTGAAGGCATAAATGCATTACATAGCCCTTGAACAGCACCCTTTTATACATCACCAGCGAGGAGGACCCGTCAGGTGATAAAGGGTATAGATTCTATAAAATAGATCAGGGGTGCCCAAGCTTTTTTTTTTTTCTCGCTCTGTCACCAGGCTGGAGTGCAGTGGTGCAATCTCAGCTCACTGCAAACTCTGCCTCCTGGATTCAAGCGATTCTCCTGCCTCAGCCTCCCGAGTAGCTGAGACTACAGGCGTGTGCTACCACGCCCAGCTAATTTTTTGTATTTTTAGTAGAGACGGCGTTTCACTATGTTGGCCAGGATGGTCTTGATCTCCTGACCTCGTGATCTGCCCACCTCAGCCTCTCAAAGTGCTGGGATTACAGGCGTGAGCCACCGTGCCTGGCCTGGGGTGTCCGATCTTTTAGCTTCACTGGGCCTCATTGGAAGAATTGTCTTGGGCCACACATAAAATACACTAACATTAATGATAGCTGGTAAGCTAAAAAAGTAATAATTGCAAAAATATTTTATAATATTTTAAGAAAGTTTACAAATTTGTGTTTGGCTGCATTCAAAACCATCTTGGACTGCATGCAGTCCACGGGCCACAGGTTGAGCAGGCTTGCAATAGATCATTCTAATTCATAGACTTTTATCCAATAAGATTTAGGGTTGGTTTCCTGTTGACTACTGTCAATACACTATTCTTTTTTTTTTAAGAGTCTCACTCTGTCACCCAGGCTGGAGTGCAGAGGCGTGACCTCAGCTCACTGCAACCTCCGCCTCCCAGGTTCAAGCCATTCTCCTGCCTCAGCCTTCCAAGTAGCTGGGATTACAGGCACATGCCATCACGCCTGGCTAATTTTTGTATTTTTAGTTGAATTTTGTATTTAAATTTTAGTTAAGTTTTGTATTTTTAGTCACCATGTTGGCCAAGCTGGTCTCTTACTCCTGACCTCGGCCTCCCAAAGTGCTGGGATTACAGGCGTGAGCCACCATGGCCGGCCAATACACTATTCTTAAAGTGATAAATGCTTTTCTCCAAATGCTTAAAACCTTAGGTATCTAGGAAAAGACAAAATAACTCTTCAGCAGTGCCAGGTGAGTGGTGTTTTTTTCTGGTAATTATCTAATACATGGGAAGAGGGAGTAAGATTTAGTAGAGTAGTAGGAAGAAAGAATGCTTATGCGAAGATAGGTTGAATAGAGTAGGAAGAGATGTCTTCACTTTTCACCACACTAATAGCGTTGGCTTTGGGGTCTGAGTGTGCTCCAGGTCTGGCTCTGCAACCTGGTAGAATGAGTAGCCTCCTTTTCGTAAATCTTTCATATAGTCACAGCTCTGATTTATCTGGAAGGTTGAATGCATCTTCCTTCATCTCTGTCATCGCTAATGTAACAGACCAGTATCTTGATGGATACAGAAAATCTAGTCTACTCAGAGAAGGGAATTTCAAACCTATGAATGACCATGTGTGGCTCTGTCAACTGTTGGTGTGTCTTTGTAGAATGAGCTTTTATAACCCATCTTTAGAGCATTAATTAGCATGCTAACTATACTAGTAGCTTTGGGGGTGTGATAGAAATGTGTAGATGGCTGTTGTGTGCGTTTAGAGTGAGTGTTGAAGAATAATGCATTGTGATAGGGTTCTAGAGATTGAGATTCTTCCACTTTTGTAGGAGGGGCTTAGGAGCAGCTGCCTATTATTTGAAATCAATATTATTGCAAGAAAAGCAACCATTATGGTTATGTTGCTATGATTCAGCAAATGGCGCCCCCAAAACAAGCCAAAAAAAAACCTTACAATAAATTGTGCTGAAATTTGATTTTAGATTTCTGCATGTATAGATTTTATATATATATATATAGTAAATCTTTTTATATATATATATATATATATATATATATACATAATTTTTTTTTTCTTTTTGAGATAGAATCTCACTTCTGTTAGCCAGGCTGGAGTGCAGTGGCACAATCATGGCTCACTGCAGCCTTGACTTCCCAGGCTCAGATGATTCTCCCACCTCAGCCCCCCGAGTAGCTTGGACTACAGGTACATGCCACCATGCCTGGCTAATTTATTGAGTTTTTTGTAGAGACAGGGTCTTCCTATGTTGCCTAGGCTGGTCTTGAGCTCCTAGACTCAGTCCGCCTGCCTTGGCTTCCCAAAGCACCGGGATTACGGGTGTGAGCCATTGTGCCTGGCCTATAGAAGATATTAATAGTTCAGGCTGGGCACAGTGGCTCACACCTGTAATCTCAGCACTTTGGGAGGCCGAGGTGGGTGGATCATTTGAGGTCAGGAGTTCAAAACCAGCCTGGCCAACATGGTGAAACTCAGTCTCCACTAAAAATACAAAAAAAATGAGCCGAGCATGGTGGTGTGTACCTGTAATCCCAGCTACTCAGGAGGCTTACGCACGAGAATTGCTTGAACCCAGGAGGCAAAGGTTGCAGTGAGCCGAGATCACGCCATTGCACTCCAACCTGGGTGACAGAGTGAGACCCTGTTTCAAAAAAAAAAAAGAAGCTATTAATAGTTGAGTTTTCCCACAGAGTTTTAGTAGAAAAGATATAATGAAGCTGAAAAATGTGAGTATGTAACTAGTAAAAACACGGACTGCTCAGAACTAGTATCTCCAAAATTTATGTAAGAAACAAAATTTCCATTATTGACTATACTAGATATTTTCATCATTCTCAAATTTTTGTGGAACACTTAAAATTTGTATTAGCAGATATGTCAAATCTTTTGTCTAGGTTGGAAAACTCTTAACTGGAAGAACATAGCTAAATCTTTGATAATGAAAGTACACCTTCTTATTAATTTTGGCCTCTGGAAAACAATACTGAATGAACTCTGATTTTTTTTTATTATTATTATTTTTGAGACAGTCTCACTGTGTTGCCCAGGCTGGAATGCAGTTGCGCTATCTCAGCTCACTGCAAACCGCCTCCTGGATTCAAGTGATTCTCCTGCCTCAGCCTCCCGAGTAGCTGGGATTACAGGCGTGCACCACCATGCCCAGCTACTTTTTATGTTTTTGGTAGAGATGAGGTTTCACCATGTTGGCCAGGCTGGTCTTGAACTCCTGACCTCAAGTGATCCTCCTGCCTCGGCCTCCCAAAGTGCTGGGATTACAGGTATGAGCCACTGCACCCGGCTAGACTGTTTTATTTGCATGCTCTTTACAAAACGTGTTTTTTCAAGCTGAATTGCTTTAGTAGTTCCATAAAAATGTAGTCCAGAAAAATCTACATTGATGATTTTCATTTTCAACAGATTCCAAGTGAATTCAACAGAAAAGCTGTAATTCTTGAGTTCCTGATAGTTCTGGAGTGACAGTACTCCACTACGGTGCAACTCCTCACCACCATCCCCAGTTTCTCTTTTATAATCTCAGGCTTTTTAACTTGGTGAAATGTTTTTCTGGAAAGAGAAATGGTCATATAGCACTGAACAATAGAGCAGGTGTGGCGGTTCTTAGGAAACACTGAGTTATGTTTTCATCTTAATCTCAACCCCTTGCCTAAAAAGTTGTTAGTGTCCTCTGTTGTCTGCCTAATTAAAATATAAACATGCTCCAATGTGATACCAACTTTTTTTCATCTGTACTGGTCTAGATCTAGTGCTGGGGACCGCTTCCAAGTGCATGACAGACCCCAGGTGATCACAGGATGGCCTAGCTATCACACTAGTTGGCCTTAAGTTAAAAGACTTTTCACTGTTATTGGGGTTGGGGGCAGGCAGGGGACTGTTTTAATTGTCCTTCTCTCTACTAATGCTGTTCATATTTTTCCACCCTGGCAGACATACGCCATCATCCAGTCTATTCTCTTATCTGGAGTGTATCCCTCAGTTCTTGCTCACTCTTAGTCACTGCCTTCTCCCCACCACCACCCCCCCAGATGTGGCCTTGCCCTCATTTGAACACTCAAATGAACTATTCAAGATGAGTAGGCAAGTACTTAATGAAACAGACAGACTTTCAAATCTGTCACCATGACATCTGTGTGAGACCTCTTTTCATAAGCTAGTTGTTTAGATGGCCAGTCATTTCTATATCACAGATATTAAGTACCCATTTAAAGCGATCATTTTATGGAAAGATAATTTGAAGTTATTGGTCTGACCAAATTTATTCTTCCTGAGATGTCAAGGGACTCTTGGATGATAAGTTACTGGATTAGGCTAAATCGTTTGTCCACAATTTATAATGATATAGATTTATATAGATGTATGTGTTCTTGCAGTTTTTAGACACAAAATATTGAGCATTCTATGTGACTGTATTCCAACCCCACCTCCAAGAATATAAGCTCTTTGAGGGAAAGATGTATATTCAGTATCTTTTCATCACATACAATTCTTGTTGAGTATCACACAATTAGTAGATAAGGAACAAAATCAGCAACTTCTTTCTCCACAGTGCTTCTCTTTAAGGTGGAGAACTTGTGCTGAATTGTCACTTTTTGACAGGAGTCAGTCTGTTCTCTGTCCTTCTAGAGGCTGAAGATTGTAAAGACAAAAGTGAATGGATTTAGTTTGGATACCATGTGCATGATGCTTCTTTCCTGCTAGCCCATTTTCATGATTCTGATTTTCTTTCGAAAAGCATTTTAAAGTGGTAAGGTTTTGCATGAAAATTTAAGTGGATAAATAACTAACAGTTACATATTTTACCTGTTCTGAAAAGGATATACCATTAATTGGCTGTAGATGTCCAATATGTGACCCTTGAGATGAGCACTTGAAATATGACTGGACTAAGGAATTGAATTTTAAATTTTATTTAATCTTAAATTTAGCCATATGATGCTAGTGGTGACTGTGTTAGCTGTAGACCCTCAAAAGCATGAAAGGTTCAAAAGTAGCAGAGTTTAGGACAGACTGGAATTAATTGGCAGATCAAGGGCCCAGAGGAGCCCAATTCTATCTGCAGGTTTGTCAATTTAGATGAGTAGACAAGTGCTTAATGAAACATGCTGGATTTTAAAACTACCATCACCAAAAGTTGGATATTAGCACATCTGCCTTAAGCTAGTAGTTTAGATGTGAATCATTTCTGGACCATAGATAATTACTCATTTAAATTTATCGGCCTTTTTTTTGAAAGATACATTTGGCTGGGTGTGGTGGCTCATGCCTGTAATCCCAGCAGTTTGAGAGGCTGAGGCGGGCAGATCACCTGAGGTCTGGAGTTCAAGACCAGCCTGACCAGCATGGAGAAACCCCGTCTCTACTAAAAATACAAAATTAGCTGGGCGTGGTGGCGCATGTCTGTAATCCCAGCTACTTGGGAGGCTGAGGCAGGAGAATCGCTTGAACCGGGGAGGCGGAGGTTGCAGTGAGCCGAGATTCTTATATCATAAATTACTGGATTGTGCTAAATCACTTATCAAATTTATATACTATTTTCATGAGGCTTTCTAAAAAGTAATTTATGAAAGAGAGATGTTGAGACACAAGGGTTCCATATTACTCATTTTTGGAAGAAAAGTTTAGTCATGCTGATGTCTTGTAGATGCAGGATTGGTTTTAAATCTGAAGCATAGACCGGGCGCGGTGGCTGACACCTGTAACCCCAGCACTTTGGGAGGCCGAGGCAGGTGGATCACGAGGTCAGGAGTTCAAGACCAGCCTGGCCAAGATGGTGAAACCCCATCTCTACTAAAAGTACCAAAATGAGCTGGGCA
Source organism: Homo sapiens (assembly GCF_000001405.40). Classification (NCBI taxonomy): domain Eukaryota; kingdom Metazoa; phylum Chordata; class Mammalia; order Primates; family Hominidae; genus Homo; species Homo sapiens. Next base: position 93,389,763 of record NC_000012.12, read on the forward strand.
TGGTGGTGGGAGCCTGTAATCCCAGCTACTCGGGAGGCTGAGGGAGGGAATTGCTTGAACCAAGGAGGCGGAGGTTGCAGTGAGCCGAGATTGCACCACTAGACTCAAGTCTGAATGACAGAGCGAGACTCTGTCTCAAAAAAAAAAAAATCTGAAGCATAAAATGTTTCTTCAGAAAAGCAGACACATCTTATACTAATGGTTTTTCAACATTATTAATCTCCTGTAATTTAGCTCTGTCTTGGAGAACTGGAAACATCATAGTCAATGACCTAGATACATGAGACTTTGCATTTCATTTATTCAGGACTGCAACATTTTGAATATGGATGATTTTGAACTCCCTATTTACTATTTACTAAGTGATGATGTACTTTTCAGGCGGCTAGCCACCTGCGTTATGTCCCATTATTAACGTAATCCAGGAAGTTGCTTAGAGAGCATAGAATTGTGTAACAAGAATTTCATCTAGGCAATAGAAACCAGTTTATTCCTAACCCAAACCTAGTGACCAGAAAAAGAGGCCTGTAACTCTGCAGTCCGGACCAGTAGTTGCTGTTTACTTTTCCAGTGATGCGAGACAAACTCTTAACATTTTTATTTAACTTAAAAACTAACATTCACTTGCCAGTCTTGATAGAGGGCCAGTGCCTTTGGTTGCCATAGATCCTCTGTAAGCCTCCAATTTTGAATAAAATACAAAGGTTTTGAAATCTGATTTGTAGTTTCTCTGTTGAAAGTAGAATTTGAACTTAGAGACCCTTGCATGCACTTTTGGATTTTTAATTTTCTTTTTCTAATTTTCTATAAAGTCTCATCTGGGTATAATTTGATAATGTAATAACCCCCCCTCCCTTTTTTTGAGACAGTCTCATTCTGTCGCCCAGGCTGGAGTGCAGTGGCATGATCACAGCTCACTGTAACCTCGACCTCCTGGGCTCAGGTGATCCCTTCCACCACAGCCTCCTGAGTAGCTGGTATTATGGGCACATGTCACCATGCATGGCTGATTTCTGTATTTTTTTGTAGAGGGAGTTTTGCTGTGTTGCCCAGGCTGTTCTCACACCTGCCCGCCTTGGCCTCCCAAAGTGCTGGGATGGGATTACAGGCGTGAGCCACCATGCCTGGCCTGGAATGCTGCTTTTCTAAGAGGAGGTTCTATGCCTAAATAGATACTCTCTTTTAACTCAGCATTTTGGGGGCTTGAGAGAAGGGTGGGAGTTGCTGAATTGTCAGCTTGAAACTTTCCAGTTTGGAAAAGTTCCTGGTAACTTAGTCAAATGAGAGAGGACTCCTGTGCTGGCTGAGAACTCTTAAAGGCCAGCAGCTCCTGGCAGCAGGGAGGGAGCAGGGCAGATAGAAGTGCTGGCATGCATTTAAAAGAAAAAAAAATCAGTCATGGCTCTTGCCTGTAATCCCAGTTGGGAGGCCAAGGTGAGAAGATCACTTGAGCCCATGGTTTTGAGACCTGTCTAGGCAACATGGCAAGACCCCACCTCTACAAAATAATACGAAAATCAGACTGGGCATGGTGGCTTACTCCTGTAATCCCAGCACTTTGGGAGGCCAAGGCAGGCAGATCACTTGAAGTCAGGAGTTTGAGATCAGTCTGGCCAACGTGGCGAAACCCCATCTCTACTCAAAATACAAAAATTAGCTGGTCTTGGTGGGAGGTGCCTGTAATCCCAGCTACTTTGGAGGCTGAGGTGGGAGAATCACTTGAACCCGGGAGGCAGAGGTTGCTGTGAGCCAAGACCATGCCACTGCCCTCCAGCCTGGATGATAGGACGAGACTCCATTTCAAAAAAAAAAAAAAGTACAAAAATTAGCCAGGCCTGGTGGTGGGTGCCTGTACTCCCAACTGCTCGGGAAGCTGGAGTGAGAGGATCACTTGAGCCCGGGAAGTGAAGGCTGCAGTCAGCAGAGATTGTGTCACTGCACTCCAACGTGGATGTCCAAGTGAGACCCTGTCTTAGTTATCATCATCATCTCTATGCACACTGGGAATTAAACTTCGTGATAAACCCTATGTGTTTTCGAGGGAGAACTGTTTAAATTTACTTGAAGGTAGTATACTAAGATAATTTTGTGGACACTTTTGTTCAAATTGACTTATTTATTTTTATTTTTTATTTTTTTGAGACAGAGTCTCACTCCATTGCCCAGGCTGAAGTGCAGTGGTGCAGTCTCGGCTCACTGCAACCTTCGCTTCCTGAATTCAAGCAATTCTTGTGCCTCAGCCTCCTGAGTAGCTGGGACTACAGGAATGTGCTACCACACCCAGCTAATTTTTGTATTTTTAGTAGAGATAGGGTTTCACCATGTTGGCCAGGTTGGTCTTGAACCCCTGACCTCAGATGTCCACCCACTTCAGCCTCCCAAAGTGCTGGGATTATAGGCATGAGCCACCACGCTCACCTTGAGTTGATTTTAACTTAAGTGAAGTTCAACCTAAGCTAGCCCACAAATATTCCTTTGTTTCCCCCCCCCCCTTTTTTTTTTCCTTTTTTTGAGACAGAATCTAGCTCTGTTGCCCAGGCTGGAGTGTAGTGGCATGATCTCGGCTCACTGCAACCTCCGCCTCCCAGGTTCAAGTGATTCTCCTGCCACAGCCTCCTAAGTAGCTGGGATTACAGGTGCCTTCCACCACGCCCGGCTAATTTTTTGTATTTTTAGTAGAGATGGGGTTTCACCATGTTGGCCAGGCTGGTCTTGAACTCCTGACCTCAGGTGATCTGCCCACCTCAGCCTCCCAAAGTGCTAGGATTACAGGCATGAGCCACTGCGCCCGGCCAGATATTCATTTAAAAGATGGGTATGTAATACCTGTTACCTGTTAAATAAAATCTAGGATACTTGTCTAAGGTAATAGGGTATTTTTGTAACAATTTGTAGATTTCAGTCTTTTTTTTTTTTTTTTTTCCCCCGAGATGGAGTCTTGCTCTGTTGCCCAGGCTGGAGTGCAGTGGTGCAATCTCTGCTCACTGCTCACTGCAACCTCCGCCTCCCAGGTTCAAGTGATTCTCATGCCTCAGTCTCCCGATTAGCTGGGATTACAGGCATGCACCACCACACCTGGCTAATTTTTGTATTTTTAGTAAAGACGGGGTTTCACCATGTTTTGTCCAGGCTGGTGTGGAACTCCTGACCTCAGGTGATCTGCCCACCTCAGCCTCCCAAAGTGCTAGGATTACAGGCATGAGCCACTGCGCCCGGCCAGATATTCATTTAAAAGATGGGTATGTAATACCTGTTACCTGTTAAATAAAATCTAGGATACTTGTCTAAGGTAATAGGGTATTTTTGTAACAATTTGTAGATTTCAGTCTTTTTTTTTTTTTTTTTTCCCCGAGATGGAGTCTTGCTCTGTTGCCCAGGCTGGAGTGCAGTGGTGCAATCTCTGCTCACTGCTCACTGCAACCTCCGCCTCCCAGGTTCAAGTGATTCTCATGCCTCAGTCTCCCGATTAGCTGGGATTACAGGCATGCACCACCACACCTGGCTAATTTTTGTATTTTTAGTAAAGACGGGGTTTCACCATGTTTTGTCCAGGCTGGTGTGGAACTCCTGACCTCAGGTGATCGCCCACCTCGGCCTCCTAAAGTGCTGGGATTATAGATGTGAGCCACCACGCCCGGCCACATTTCAATCTTAATGCTATTCTTGGTAAGGGGTCCATAGACTTCCAAATTAAGGGCCAGACAAACATTTTAAGTTTTGAGGGCCACACAGTCTCTGTCACAACTGCTTTGACTCTGCTGTTGCATCATTAAAACAACCAGACAATATGTAAAAATGAGTAAGTGACTCGATTCTAATAATTCCATCTGTGGACACTGAAATTTGAATTTCACATAATTTTAAAATGTAAAAATACTTCTGGCTCACAGACTGTACAGGTGGTGAGCTGCAGACTGCCAGTCCTGTTCTAGATCATAAATGATAGCTGCCTGTTAGAAGAATGAAGTGACTTTTGCCTATGTATGCAGGTTTAAAATGTGAAGGATGCTTCTTGCCACCTAATCATAACAGTAACAAGCACTCTGTATCAAGAATCGTCTTTATGTGCATTTCCCTATTTCTTTCTCACACATCTGTTATCTTCTTAGTATTCTTATTTTTTAGGTGAGGAAACAAGGTAACCTACCTATGGTCATTTCCTTAAATTTGGAATATTCCATAACTAAATAAACTTATGTGACCATAGACCTCAGTGCATACAACTCTGGCTAATAAGCCAAGTTTCTGTTTTTTGTTTTTTTGAGATGGAGTCTCTGTCACCCATGCTGGAGTATGGTGGCACGATCTCAGTTCATTGCAACCTCCACCTCCTGGGTTCAAGCGATTCTCCTGCTTCAGCCTCCCAAGTAGCTGGGACTATAGGCGCCCGCCACCATGCCTGGCTAATTTTTTTAGTAGAGACGGGGTTTGGGGTTTCACCATGTTAGCCAGGATGATCTCGATCTCCTGACCTCTTGATCCGCCCGCCTCGGCCTCCCAGAGTGCTGGGATTACAGGCGTGAGCCACCGCGCCCAGCCAAGTTTCTGTTTTTATCCTTTGTTATTATCCAATAATTTGAGAGTTTTACCACCAGTAGTTTATTTCATTAGATAAGGTGATTTGGTAGTGTGACCATGTTAATGTTAATTCTGATTTCAGAAAGATGGTGTTTAACAAAGGTTGTCAATTGCATTTTTGTGGTGTAATGCGTACCCCCTAATTTTAATTAAATTTTAAAATATTTTAATCTAGAATAGAGTTATAACCTTGCAGAGGTTTGAGAATGTTGTTTATATACGAAGTGCTTCTCAGGCTGGAAGTATACAGTTATGGTTCACCTTACAGGTGCTGCTGGTGAGTAGCAGCCGGTACCCAGACCAGTGGATTGTCCCAGGAGGAGGAATGGAACCCGAGGAGGAACCTGGCGGTGCTGCCGTGAGGGAAGTTTATGAGGAGGTGAGATGTTCTTTCACACAAATTCTGTTTCGGAGTTTTAAAAACAAGGCCCTTTGCTACATAACACTAAGACAGCGAGACGGGTCCAGGAGTGCTTTTTGCCTGATGCAACTTTATTTTTAATTTTAATTTTTTTTTTTATTTTTTGAGATGGAGTCTCGCTCTGTTGCCAGGCCTGGAGTACAGTGGAGCGATCTTGGCTCACTGCCACCTCCGCCTCCCAGGTTCAAGTGATTCTCCAGCTTCAGCCTCCCGAGTAGCTGGGATTACAGGCACGTGCCACCGCGTCTGGCTAATTTTTGTATTTTTAGTAGAGACAGGGTTTCACCATGTTGGCCAGACTGGTCTCAAACCCCTGACCTCAGGTGATCCGCCAGCCTCAGCCTCCCAAAGTGCTGGGATTACAGGCGTGAGCCACTACACCTGGCCTTAATTTTTGTATTTTTAGTAGGGACAGGGTTTCACCATGTTGGCCAGGCTGGTCTCGAACTCCTGACCTCAAGTGATCCTTCTGCCTCGGCCTCCCAAAGTGCTGGGATTACAGACATGAGCCACAGCGCCCAGCCAGAAATACTAATTTTTGATCAGTCCTTGCCGCTGATGAAGTAAATGACAATAAAAACTTCACAGAAGCAGGAAGATAGTGAGTTGGTATGGGGAGGGGTATTGTATTTAATTAGATTTAAGTAAATAGCCAGAGTGTAACTTGTATTTATATACATTTTGTTATAAAAAGGTAAACATTTTATATTTCATCTTTTTTTAATAGGCTGGAGTCAAAGGAAAACTAGGCAGACTTCTGGGCATATTTGAGGTGAGTTAAAAAGTAATCTTCACTTTGCTGATAATAGAATTAATGATTTCTTCCTAACCAACCAAATAATGTGGCAGCAGCCTGAACCAGACATTTCTCTCAGACTAGCAGTAGGCAGTCAGTCCAGGATTAGGTAGGGAGGGAAGTAAAAGCCACTTTTTCATATGCCACCACTTTTATTTATTTATTTTTAATTAATTTTTTTTAAGACAGAGTCTCGCTCTGTCGCCAGGCTGGAGTTCAGTGGTGCAATCTTGGCTTACTACAACCTCTGCCTCCCAGATTCAAGCAATTCTCCTGCCTCGTCCTCCCAAGTAGTTGGGACTACAGGCACGCGCCACCACGCCCAGCTAAGTTTTGTATTTTTAATAGAGATGGGGTTTCACCATGTTGGCCAGGATGGTCTCCATCTCTTGACCTAGTGATCCGCCCACCTCGGCCTCCCAAAGTGCTGGGATTACAGGCGTGAGCCACTGTGCCCGGCTGCCATCACTTTTATATAGCATTATTATGGTAGTGATTACTTCTGTTTGAAAATACAGTGGAGCTGATACTGAAATGTTTATCTTAATCCACTGTAGACTGTTTAGGGTATAGATCTTTTAGGAGGTACAATATTTTTAGTATGACCTAAGAGCTTAGGTCTCATGTGTTTTATCTGGAAATGTCCCCATTGCCCTTAGCAAATATTATATGATACACCTAGTGACTTAAAGGATTGTACGAAGATATAAATCTCAGGTACATAGAACAGATGCTAAAAGAATAGAATTCTCTTTCATATATTCTCTTATTACTGAAGGCAGAATAGAATTTTCAGGGAGGGAATTTGAATGTGATAGGCAGTCTCTGGAAGCCAGGGAGAAAGGAGGTCCAGATGTATCTTCATCCAAGATTCAGACCTAGATACACAGTATACCAGAAACATGGTCACTTTCCTTTTTTCAGGGTGCTGTTTATAGGTTAGTACAGCCTTTATAGTAGAACCATATAAATTTTATTTTTAAGCCTTAGGAATTCAGAAAAAATCCCGATTTTGTAGCACTTGGTAGAATTGATGATGACTTTTACCGGAATACAGTAATTAAGAGTAAAGTTGGCCGGGCGTGGTGGCTCATGCCTGTAATCCCAGAACTTTGGGTTGGCCAAGGCAGGAGGATCACTAGGTCAGGAATTCAAGACCAGCTTGGCCAATATGGTGAAACCCTGTCTCTACTAAAAATACAAAAATTAGCCGGGCATGGTGACGCACGCCTGTAGTCCCAGCTACTTGGGAGGCTGAGGCAGAATGGCTTGAACCCGGGAGGTGGAGGTTGCAGAGCGGCACTCCATCTCAAAAAACAAAGAGAAAAGTCGTTCAAGTAGAATTCAGTCTTTTCCAGAATTCAGCAGTTGCTTCACCCAGTTAAATAGCACCATCTCCTGGTTAAACTGAAAAACATACTGAGGTTTTTACAAATAACACATTTGTCAATATGCTGACAAGGTGTTTGAAGAAAATGTCTCACATTATAAATAAAGCTTAAATAATATGGGAAGGTAACAGTATTAAGTGCTTTACAAATACTGTTTAACAGCACACGTCAATCAAAAAATACCTTTCCCCTTAGAAAATATAAGGGAAAATTGGATTGCCCTGCCCATTCATCCCAGTGATTTTTGTGAATTTGTGAATATAGCATAATAAATGTACTGATTTGTGAGACATAGAAATAAAACAACTGATTCTTAAAAATAATGAATGATGTGTTAATTGACAGTTGCCTCTAATTTATTGTTGTTTTTATTCCTTCTCAGATATAAAAAGATAATCCTTCCCAGCTGTAAAAACCCACTGTTTTGAGTAGATTTTTCAGGTTGTTTGTGGCCAAAATCAGGACAATTATCTAAAGTCGTGGACTATGGCAAAGAAGGCTAACTTTAATCAGGATGAAGGAAGGCCAACTTGTTTAATTTTTAACCCAGAAACAAGCTCAGTTGCCTGTTTTATTTAATTTATGTTTTTTTTTTTTAGATGGGGTATCATTCTGTCATCCAGGCTTTAGTGCAGTGGCATGATCTGGGCTCATCGCCACGTCCGCCTCCTGGGCTCAAGCGATCCTTCACTTCAGCCTCCCAAGTAGCTGAATTACAGGCATACAACCACGCCCGGCTAATATTTTCGTATTTTTAGTAGAGACGGGGTTTCACCATGTTGGACAGGCTGGGCTCGAACTCCTGACCTCAAGTGATCTGCCCGCCTTGGCCTCCCAAAGTACTGGGATTACAGACGTGAGCTTCTGCTCCAGGCCATGGGCTATTCTTTATGTGCACCTTGATAGGCCTGCAGGAGGAGTGCTTAAAGGAACTGGTGCTGTTTGCTCTTACAAAGGTCCTAAAGGAAGCAGTTTTCCATGTCATTGAAAGGTTGTCAGGATTAGCCCCAGGGAAGAGGGGATAGGATAAAAACTATGGGAATGCAGGTCTATTATTTTAATAAGATTGCATTCAACTCTTAAGATTTTCTTTATGAAAATAACATCAGATAGGCCAGGTAAGGTGGCTCACACCTGTAATCCCAGCACTTTGGGAGGCCGAGGTGGGTGGATCATGAGGTCAGGGTTTAAGACCATCCTGACCAACATGGTGAAACCCCGTCTGTACTAAAAATACAAAAATTAGCCAGGCGTGGTGGCGTGCACCTGTAATTCCAGCTACTCGGGAGGCTGAGGCAGGAGAATCACTTGAACCTGGGAGGCAGAGATTGTGGGGGAGCTGAGATCACGCCACTGTACTCCTGGGCAACAAAGCGAGACTCCCTGTCTCAAAAAAAAAAAAAAAAAAAAAGAAAAGAACATCAGATATATAGAAATAAGTGTTTAAAGTTTAGTACTGGAGGCTGGGTCCTCATACCTGTAAGCTCAGTTTTTGGGAAGGCCAAAGCAGGAGGTTCCCTTGAGGGCAGGAGTGGACCAGCCTGGGCAACATCTCCAGACTTCTACAAAAAAAGTAGTATTGAGAGCCAATTTCACCACCAGTAATGATGAAGCTCTAGTTCTAGTCTTCTGTTTAACTTTTAAATGTTTTGTCTTATATAAAGTCACTTTTGTGTTGGACTGTACAACTGAATATACTTGCCTGTGCTGGGAAATACGCTATGCTAATCAGCAGTATGCCAGACTAATTTTTTTCCCTTGGAAAATGTGTCCATGGCTAGCTCCTGTAGATTAAAATGCATTTCTTTTTATATTCAAGCAGAACCAAGACCGAAAGCACAGAACATATGTTTATGTTCTAACAGTCACTGAAATATTAGAAGATTGGGAAGATTCTGTTAATATTGGTAAGTTCCCTTTTGTTATCTGAATACTCTGTTCTAACAGAAGATTGGGAAGATTCTGTTAATATAGGTAAGTTCCCTTTTGTTATCTGAATACTCTTTGCTTATATTCCTGTGTCCAGTTTCCATCCTAGATTTTTTTTTTTTTGGTCACTTTTCATTTAGAGCAGGGAAGATAATTCAAATGTAGAGATGCATATTCATCTTAATTATTCCCCAACATATTGTTGTCTAAGTCATTTATCGGGGAGTAAGTGGACATTACTTATATGGCTTACTTTTTAAAATGGACTGTCTTGTAACCAATGTCATTCTTTTCTCTAGGAAGGAAGAGAGAGTGGTTCAAAGTAGAAGATGCTATCAAAGTTCTCCAGTGTCATAAACCTGTACATGCAGAGTATCTGGAAAAGCTAAAGCTGGGTTGTTCCCCAGCCAATGGAAATTCTACAGTCCCTTCCCTTCCGGATAATAATGCCTTGTTTGTAACCGCTGCACAGACCTCTGGGTTGCCATCTAGTGTAAGATAGAGAGAACTGGGTAGGCCTCTCCCACCATGTGCAGTCTCATGGGGAGAGGCTTCTTTCGTTTCCTCGTCAAACATCTGATTGACGCTTGCAAACTGTCTGAATTTGCCATGCAAGGTTTTCAAACAATTTGCATGTTTTTCAGATGCTTTCAAATCTTTTTTTAAAAAAATAGTGTAAAATATTTTAATAAGCCAAAGCCATGTGGAATTTTTGTTTAGATGCCTTAACTGTGCCACACCCCACAACCCCCTATATTATTTTGGTTGTCTATTTCTCACAGCATATTTTCAGTTTTTTGTCCATTTGACATCAGTCTGTGGTTTATTTTGTCATCAGATTACTTGTGGGTATACCTACCCCAAAATTGTTTTCTCATTCACAGCATTAGCATATTCAGCAAATCCATCTGTGGTGGGAATTAAAAATATTATTGGTATTAAAGAAATCCATTCACCCCAAAACTTGTTTTACAGGATTACAATTTTAATTCAAAATTTCCAGATTTGGGCTATTTCTGTATGATCCAATAACTTATTTTGTCACAGGGCTTAATTTGCCATTTTTGGGGATTTGTCGACTCATTTTGTCTGAATTTTCACAACTGGTATTATGTCACTAGCTACCTGATACGGCTATTTCCCTTATAACTCAATAGTACCTTAACACAAAGTATAACTCTGTAGAGTTGGTGAATATTTTAGGGAAATATTAGCAAAATGCATGTAGTAAAGACATCTTATGAAAACTGTATTCATGGAATTTGATTTAGCATGCTCAGTTGCCAGTTCCCATTATCGATACTCTTTCTTTGCAGAATACCTTAGAACCGTTATTTCCCTCAGTGTAGATTGCTCTTAAAATGTATTCAGTTATTTAGTGGCCCCCACAGGAGTGGAGTCTTGAAATCTAATTCTAAATGCCAGTCAGTGATGATCGCATCACAGTTGAGTGAAATGGCCTTCCTGTTCAGCTGTTAGAGACTGAAGATTGTTAGGGCACCTTAGAATGTCTCATCTTTTCTAGGTTGTCAACAGGTACTATTTGTCACATAACTAACTTTCGAGGCACTGGAACATACCTGAACTAAGAATTAAATCTTTTACTTTATACTCACTTAAAATCAAGAATCCCATCTAAAACACATAGGTACCTTATCTGAAACTCTTGCACTTCCCCAACCAGGGCAGAAATGAGGTGGGAGAAGTTTGACTAAAATGAGGGATGGGGGAAAGTAAAAGATGTTTTTTTTTTTTTGAGACTCGCTTTGTCACCCAGGCTGGAGTGCAATGGCACAATCTCAACTCACCGCAACCTCCGCCTCCCGGGTTCAAGCGATTCTCCTGCCTCAGCCTCCCGAGTAGTTGGGATTACAGGCGCCTGCCTCCATGCCTGGCTAATTTTGTATTTTTAGTAGAGACAGGGTTTCTTCATGTTGGTCAGGCTGGTCTCAAACTCCTAACCTCGTGATCCGCCTGCCTCGACCTCCCAAAGTGCTGGGATTACAGGCATGAGCCACCATGCCCAGCCAAAGATCATTTTTTTATATAGACTTCAGCCCTTTGTAAATATTGTAACTGGGGAGTATAGAGTAGAAAAAAAGTATAGTTAAAACATTTGTTCTACAAATTAACCTTTAAAAATATAATTACTGCTAAAAATAGAGTGCTGTTACACTTAAGGAAAATTAGTGCCATTTTGGAAATGAGATCTTGTGCCATAAATACAGCTGAACTGAATATAAATGTTCACAAATTAATGCTGTCAAAGGAATGAGTAAAGCAGAAAAACTTTTAACCAGCAACATTTCAAGTACGTAGTGTGATCAAACATGATCATCCAGAATTTTTATATTTTTTTCTTTGTACAGAGGTTACATATTCTGGGTGTTCTTTTATAAAGGAAACATTTTAAATCCCACAAATTGACACTTTCTATCTTCAATGGACTAAGATTTTTTTGGTCAGTAATCTCTGAAATTTCCTTAAATTATATACTTAACATAGCAGAGAAACTGGATTGTTTTTGTATATAAGACTGCTTCCACCTGAAATGCTGTCATAAGTACTGGGGGGGTGGGGGAGTGCCCATCTTGTACATGATATTCTTAGAGGTAATAAGGTAATGATGCATGAATTTATTTTATAAACTCTTGGACTATGTATTTGACATGTAAAATATGTACAGTATTAACGTCAACCATCTCTTTAAAGTTAGCCTATAAATATTGTTGTATAATTTTCTTTGGTCAGAAACACTTGGACTGAATAGTGACACTCGGTAAGGATTTTCAGTGCCATTTAGCAAAACGTCTTTAGTCTATGCAACTAGCAAAAATCTGCATAATGCAACAACACAGTTTTCACACTTCAAATTTTACATGAGGGGTTCTTCACGATTCTCCTGGAACCCAGTCTAGCAAAATGAGAGGAAAGGCCCTAGGGAGATTTATTTCTGTTAAATAGTTAACTCTGCTGAGTATGACAAATAGTGTCTACTATCTCAACCCTCCAAAATTTGCAGAGTGTTGGGACTGTCATTTGTGATTTTTTTTTTTTTTTTTTGGTGGGGTAGTTGAATAAAATTGGGCAGCTAAATTTTTCAGTTCCATGTGCCTCCCAAATAAAAAACAGAAAATAAGTAGTTTTTGTGAATTGACTTGCAGACAAAGTAGAAACTGTGCTGCATGATGTTATTTTGTAAACAGATGACATTTTCTGACCAGGCACATGCCATCCAATTTTCTGTCAATCACACTGTTGTATAAAGCAGCAGAACTGAAGGGGAAAAATGATTGTTGTATACACTGAATTGCTTTGCATGGTCTCATTTGAGATAATTGATGTAAGAATCCTGACTTTTTTATATTTGGAAACATCAAATAAAAATGGAAAAAATGATCATGGCTTTAAAAAAAAAACAAAAACACACACACATGAACTCAGATTTGCAAACCAGGTTTCTGAAACTTTGGGTAAGGTGTATGCTTTTAACTTTGAAATGTATAAACACCCAGCGGAAACGTATACCTTTCAGTGCATAGTGCATTGTGTGCTTACCCTGGGTTGTTTAAACTTGTGTTCAAATATTCCCCCTCCAAGTGAAAGCCTGTCGGGAATTCCACAGTAACACCTTTACTGTTCTCCCATTGATGATCATATACGTTACCTCTTCCTAGCGGTACATTTGTATGATCCTTACTACTGGAATTACCGGGTTAAAAGGAAATGCTTACCACTAAGATGTCAGTATTCTCCTCATGGATATTTTCAGTCTCAATGTTGCCAGTCTAATAGTATAGTATGTGGTTGCTTTACTGCTGTTCTCCCCACCCCCGTGGAGTTGTGTCATTATTTTAATGAATGTGAGCTCTTGACTTACTCTAGAATTCTAATACAGATACTTTCTGCACTAGTATCACTTTTATTATTGCAGTTCCATTTAAAAGCATAACTGGCTAAGTCACCGCCCCACCCGCCGCATTACATTTCCTAAAACATACTGCTGCCAAAGACCAACTGTAGAATCCTTAAGTCCTGTTCAAGTGTCACTTCATTTTTTATTAGGGGTTTCTTAGTTGGAGGGCATGAGAAACTTGGCCCTTTCCAATGTTGTCTTCACATTGGAGTATAAGAATTCTCTATAGGACTCTTTAATTTTTTTTTTTTTTTGGTAGAGATGGGGTCTTGCTGTGTTGCCCAGGCTGGTCTCAAACTCCTAGGCTTAAGCAGTCCTCCAGCCTCAGCCTTCTCAAAGTGCTAGGATGATTGGCATGAGCCACCTCGTCTGGCCTGCAGGTCTTTTTAAGCATTTGCTGTTCAATAATAAGCATCTTCTTTATGCCTAGTATTTGTGATAAGAGCACAAAACAATTTTCTAATCTCAAAGAGCTTATATTCTAGTGGGGTAGAGATAAGTGATTTATCTTGGTGTAGTTTTGGCTTTTTTGTTTGTTTTTTTGAGACAGCATCTCACACTGTCGCCCAGGCTGGAGTGCAGTGGTGCAATCTCAGCTTACTGTAACCTCCGCCTGCCAGGTTCAAGCGATTCTCCTGCCTCATCCTCCCGAGGAGCTGGGATCACAGGCGCCTGCCACCACGCCCGGCTAATTTTTTTGTATTTTTAGTAGAGACGGGGTTTCACCATATTGGCCAGGCTGGTCTCAAACTCCTGACCTCGTGATCCGCCTGCCTCGGCCTCCCTAAGTGCTGGGATTATGGGCGTGAACCACCGCACCTGGCCTATCTTGGTGTTTTTACATCCTTCAGTATTTTTCAAGGTTTTACAGCTTTTTTATCTATAGACTTATACCATCTTCAAAAGCAATACAATTTTATTTGTAGACGTGATTTCCCCCACCAAATGCACATTTTATGGAGCTCTAGGACAAAAGTCAGGATGAAAAGTAATCTATCGCTGGTGCTACTTTAATACCTTCCTGACTGGTGCCACTGGCTAAATTCTAGCAGTACGATGAGAGGGCCATTAAGGCCTATCTTAGCAAGCAAGACATTATAGCAAAGACCTAAACACTCAAAGGTTCAACGTCTTCTAGCCAGGGAACTATTCTCTAATTCTTCCACCTTGATATGATTTCAGCAAATTCTGATAACCCGGTATTACTCTTAATGCATTTTTGTAACATTTGACAAACATCTCCCAATATGTAGACTCCCACTCTCCTGATGCTAATCAGTATCAGACAATGGAAGTAAATTTTCCTGCTTTTCTCAACTTTTCCTCAAATTCATGTTAGTGAAGTACTTTCATTTGGCCATCATTATTTATCAACCTTAAGAAACATGCCTATTGACGAAGTAAATATACTAGGAATTCAACGTATCTACGGGAATGTGGACAAAGACATATACCAAGACAAGGCACTAGAGTGAAAAGCCATTAAAATAAAATGCTCAGCAGCAAAGGATTTGTAATGGTTAACTTGCAATATATCCATATGGTGTAATATTACAGTCATTAGAAATGACATTTGCGTAAGGATCTGAGTGGAAACTGATACAGCCTGTCGGAGAGCTACTGAGTAGTATTTTATCACAGCTGCATACATACCCTTTCACCCAACAGTTCCACTCCTGGGAGTCTAGTCAACAAATGGACAAGTTGCACAACCAAGCTATGGTCAAATATGTGTGTTGTAGGATTTATGAAACTGGTACCAATTTAATATTCAAATGTGATTAAGTCATGGCAATCTATTTACTGGATACTTTGTGGTTACCAAAGAGCTATGTGCTGCCACAGGGAGTCCTTTCAATAGTGATTGAAAAAGGCAGAACACTACTAGACAGAACTACCTGTTTTATGCATGTATTGGCATACACTGAAAAAGCTTAGTCACTTAAAATGAGGTTGTACAGATTGTAGATTTTGTTTTTAAACGCCTGTATGGTTTAAAAAATGTTTTGGGAAATAGACATGAGCAGGGCAGAGAACTACAACCTACAGGCCAAACCCCACCCCACTGCCTGTTTGTACGGCCAACAAGTTTAAAATTTTTTTAATGTTTTAGGTTTTTTTTTTTTTAAAAAAAATACTATGCCCATTTGTTTACAAATCGTCTGTGGGTGCTTTCTCACTACAATGGCAGAATTCAGTAGTTGAGACAGACCTATGGTCCACAAAGGCCGAAATATTTACTGTTTTAGGAGAAAAAAACAACATGAATTGTAATAACTTGGACTTACTTGGTTGCTCAGTCCTGATGTGTCCTGTTAAAACCTAAGAGAAACAGCACCAAGTTCAATCTAGTGCAATCAGCCTATCACATCTAAGCTGCTTTTGCCAGATCTGATATCTACTCCCGACCTTAAGCCAGGAGACTTTGTAAACTTACTAGGTTATAATAAAACTTAAGAACTATCGATATTTACTAATCTACATCATGGAACTATTTCAAAAGCAGTCATATGGTAAGATGGATCAGGAGTCTTTAAAAATAAAACTGAGAAAGAAAAATCATGTGATCAATTCAGTAGTAGAGACAGAGGTTGGTATCAAGTCTATGTTCATACACTTACCAGTGCCACCCAGCAGGGCCATACAAGACACATGAAATGAGATCAGCTCAAGGGTGACAAGATGAAACTGGGAGAGGGCCGGGGAGACCCGAACTCTTAATATTGGATTCCACACAAGAGGAAAAATTTTAGTCCAGCTCCCAGCATGGCAGCTAATGGCAAGTTAGTACCATAAAGCCAACTCTTGGAATATACCTGACTTCCACGATAAAATGGAGATGAGTGCAGGGGTGAGTGTATAGTTAAGAAAACAAACAATATATTACTAGTCCAGGTGGTAGATGACAGATTTTTATTATTTACACTTCTCTCAAATTATTACATTCAGCATGTTTTGCTTTTTATGTTATTTAAAGTATAAACCCTCATATAATTCCCTAAGATGGGTGGCATGCCAAGTAGCTAAATGAAATATCATCCCAGCCCAAAAGTACTTATTCGAATGAAATATTACATTTTTCTTAAATAAAGCAATAAATTAGGTACCCTATTATCATGGTATTTTCTTTTTTGGCCAGCTTTTCTAGATAAGGTTGTATTGCTACTGCAACTAACAAAAAAGATGTGGCAGGGCTGGGCACGGTGGCTCACGCCTGTAATCCCAGCACTTTGGGAGGCCGAGGCGGGCAGATCACGAGGTCAGGAGATGGAGACCATCCTGGCCCAACATGGTGAAACCCCGTCTCTACTAAAAATACAAAAAATTAGCCAGGTGTGGTGGCAGGTGTCTGTAGTCCCAGCTCCTCAGGAGGCTGAGGCAGGAGAATCGCTTGAACGCGGGAGGCAGAACCTGCAGTGAGCCAAGATCATGCCACAGCACTCCAGCCTAAACTACAGAGCTAGAAAGTGGCTAGAGCAGCCAAAAAAAAAAAAAAAAAAAAAAAAAAAAAAGGTTCCTGAACCATTCAACAGAAAAATGAGGCCTATTCCTATCATTTCCTCGATCCAATTTAGTTCCACTTAGGTCACTGTGTTTATAATGTCTTTTAGGACAGATTTCCTTCCCCATTCTCCATCAAACAACCATAGCACCTGTGACTTTTATCTGTTGGTTTGTATTTAATCTTATTTTTAAGTGCTTCTTTGAAATTGTTTTACAAGTACATTCTTGGTCTAGAGTAAGGTTCTATATAGTTGGCCCTCCATATCCATGGGTTCCACTTCCGTGGATTCAAACAACCAGACAAAATATTCCAAAAAACATTGTGTCTGTAGTCAACATGTATATTTTTGTCATTATTCCTTAAACAATAGTGTAACTATTTACATAGCACTTACATTATAATAGGTATTATAAGTAATCTAAATATTAACATAAGCGGGAGGATTTGTGTAGATTGTATGCATATACAACATCATTTTATTCCAGAGACTTGAGCATCTGCGAATTTGGATATCCAAAGGAAGTCCTAGAACCAGTTCCCGACAAATACCAAGAGATGACTTTACTTTAGACCTAAGATCTTGCTAGACAGCCTTTGAGAGGATGAAGGATAACTAGAGCAGAAGCAAATCGCAGCGAAGTAGACTACAACAATCAAGTCAAAAAACATAAAGCTCCTATCAACACCTCAAGATTTTAGAAAAGCCTCTTAACGGGCAATTTTCTTTTAAATAAAGACTGGGTCCCACTATGTTAGCCAGGCTGGTCACAAACTCCTGGACTCAAGTGATCCTCCTGCCTTGGCCTCCTAAAGTGCTGGGATTACAGGCATGAGCCACTGTGCCCGGCCTGGGCAGTCGATTTTCAGGAAGCCACTTAATGTTCAGATTCTTTTCTTCTCTCCCAGGACTTTGCAGATGCTGCTGTTCCCTCTGCCTGGAGATGTTCATCTGGCCTGAATCCAAAAGTCTGTCCAAGTTACTTCTCTTTTCCATGACAGAGTTACAACTATTTGTCTGTCCCCCTTCCCCATTAGAGTATATGGTCCCCAAAGGAAAGCCCCATGCCATTCACTCACCACCTAATCATCCCCAACAACTAGTGGGCAAACATGAAACACTTTTGTTGAATAATGTGTTTCCTTTAGCCCAGGGATTACAAAGTCAAAGGCTTACAAGGGGGAAGGACTAGCAGGTGTGCTCGGAGGGGACTCTAGCCAACTGGAGAGTAACTGGTGAGAAGACAATGACATGCTCTTAGGGTGTCTGCTACTCAGATCCTCTCAGTTAAGTCCCGTGCACAAAGGTGGGTCAGGTCTACTGTTGCCAGATCTTCAGATCATTCAAAAGTTACCCGAATTCTGGATTTTCATGCAAATCTCCCAATTTTTAAAAATGTTGGCATCAAATTCAGAATGTTTTAACCAGCCACACTGTGTGGGCCAGGGAAAACAGGCCCAAAGGCCAGGTGAAGCTGCAGTTTTCAACTGCTGCCTTGGCCTCTCCCAGAGCCCCTTAAGTCCTAAGAAGGCTCAGTCAACACACTGGCACTCGTTTCATCCCACTGGTTGAGAAAGCAAGTCTTAGCAAAGTAATGGGGGAGTCTTACCAAAACTGCAAAGGAAAAAAATATGATACCATGAAATTAGAAATTCACTGCATTTGAAATGAAAATGACTTATTTCTGTACTTCTATAACTCACAAATTTAGCAGACATCATTTAGACATTTTTGTAGTGCAACAGATTTAAATCTGGAATTTCATGGTTTGTAAATCACTATGTGATACTAGCTATAACCATGAGCAATATTACGGGCAGTAAATGTTGATTTCTATTTCGTTTCTTGAAGTTTTGTGTGGTTCATTTTTAAAGTGAGATTCAATTTCCTTAGCTATAGTCAAATGTACCCTTTAAACAGCCCAAGAATTGTTATAAATGACAGCTGCTATCAGTTTTCAAATTTTACAATATTAGGGTTGTTAACTATTTCATTCTGAATTAAGCTAACATTTGTTACCAAGCAATGCATTTATTTGGAAGGATACCAGTTACCAGTCATCAAAAGCTTTTGTATGTTGAAAATGTAATTTTAATAGTTAATTCTTCATCTTACATAGGAGCACAATAAAATACACCACAATCTGAAGAAACTCCAGAATTACGAGAATAAGAGTGAAGAAAATTCAAATGGGCTACAATATCCATTACCTTAAACTGCAAGAGACAAGGTTGCAACCCGAAGGTTAACATTTATGTATTTATGACTGGCTACATTTATGACTTAAAAATAACAAGAATCAGGAATTAGATATGGAGAGAGGTGGGAAAGAACAGTTTTGTGAGGGGAGGAATTCGTCAATAAAGAAGAAAAATTACTGAATTCCAAATTAAAGAATAAAACGAGCTCCCACAGCAAATACTGGAGGGATGAAAGCAAGAATCATTAACTGAGGACTTGATACTCTCAAAGGGATAAACCTTTCTGATGACACACAAGCTAGATAGTTGAGATCTGCTCATCAGGTTTATAAGGAAGACTCACAAATGCCTCAGCAAATCCCAAATGATCAGATCAGTGTTTCTTAACACACATGAAAGGTTACAGATGAAATTTTCAGATAAGAACCAAGAAAAATGTCATAACCCAAATTTTAGGCAAAAATGTGGCACAACTGTGAAAGTCCTACATGTCAGTCACAACTGCTATCTTTGCTGTGACTTTCCTGTACAGTAATTTTTAAACATTGTGGCAAGACACCAATGATCATCTAATCAGACAACACAAACACATTTATTTCAAATTCCTAGAAGGTTAAAAAAAGGTCAGATACTGATGCTTTATGCATGCTCAGGGCCAGTTTATAAATACTCCATTCAGTACTATCTTAACACAAATCTGCATCAGTGAAAAGAAACTGGCAAAATCCACCTCTTGCCATTCAATTTGTCAGATGGTGAAGACCAAGAAAGAATGTTCCATCAGTTTCAATTTTAAAATACGATTGTCAAATTGGGAAAATGAAATAAACACAGTAAAATAAACTGTACAAAGGCAAAGTAGAATAACAAAAAATATTTTACTAAAACATAAGATTTACAGAAGTTTCCAGACAAGCCATACAAAATGGTCACAAGCTTTTTTTGAAGGGGGGAATCTACACTTGACAGCAATGTTATTAGTGAGGGCTGTGATGTTTGTTTAATGTTCCCATTTTGGTTCCAACAATCAAGCTTGTCCATCTACAGCGTCTAAATAAAGTTAGACTTGGCTAGAGCATATTCTAAAGACCTGGTTAGCTGCTTTTAACCAATGCAATTAGATCACCAAAAAAGGGGGAAAGGAGCCCATAAAATTAAACTACCTCCCCCCTCAAAAATAAAATAAAATAAAATAAAATAAAAACACCCACACCCCTGCAGCTAACCTGACAACTACCTTCATTCACAGTGCTTTATACTTAAACCAGGATGGGGGAAATGAATAAAAGCAGGGAGGGGCCACTGCTTTTAAACGTTTCACAACAATCCAGATGATACTTCTAGCCTCTGCTCATGCTTTATGACAGTGAATCAGGACAAGACATAGATTTGCTAATGTGCATTTAATCACCAAAGGACTGAAGATGTCTGGGCTTTTTTATTCTGTAATGTTTCTAAGACTGTGTCCATTAAATGCAAACAAAGAGGAGGAAGTCTTGGCAGAACAGGAGAAGTGATGCACACTTGATGATCGTATCAATTTAAATATTATTCATGGCATATAGCCTAGTCCATGCTCTAGCTGTAGACAGAAACAAACATACGATTATTATTTTACTTAGTTCAATATGTTACTTTCCAAACTATAAATGGCAAACAACCACTATTAATTATGGAAATGTCATGCTGTAATCTGTTAAATTCACGCCTTTTTCTATAAATTGGATCAGGGCTGAAAGATTTTGTAAATGTCCAATTACCAAAACACTACAATAAAATTAAGAAGTTCTAGAAAATTCAAGAGGATGAATCAAGTTGTCCATTTCTAGATACACAATTCTCCCCACTAATTTTCTTAAAATCTGTAGCAGAAGCTTCTTGACTCCAAATTCCGTAGCCATAAACAGCTGAATACTTTAATCAAATGGGTTACAAAAACAGTTCAAGTTTTCCAGTATTCTTTACATATAACTAGATAAATGGTATGCACTCAGTATTTGTTAAACCAGGTGTAGTTACAAGAGACTCCAAGATCTTTCAATTACAGGTTGTCTTTATATTTGGGGGGTCCCATAGCAAGCCATTTTGTTAAGACGTATTTACATACTATAAGCAGGATCTCACTTATTATACTTTTTTCTATTTCTTTTCCTTGCCAAGAGCTTTAGAAAAGTTTAAGTGGTAATACAAATTTGTAAAAGTGGAAGTGGTGTGAAGGAGAATGAATATTAGATACCTGTTTCTATGGCTTGGGCTTCGTTGGTCTTCCACTGCTCCGCTACATCATTTGCTAATGGATCATCTGGATTGGGAGCACTTAACAAGGCCTGGATCGATAGCAGAACTGTGCGGATCTGCAGTGCTGGGGACCACTTATCTATGAAGGCAACAGGCCCAGTATGATAAAGCATGAAAAAAACAGGCCCAGAACTGCTTCACTTCCCTCCCACAGACCTCTCTGATCTTTGTATAATGTTTACATTCTAAACATGGAATGCTTAAGAGAAAAAGGAGAAAGCTTAATAATAGCATATGCTGATAAAGATAACACTTACCTTTCAAAATATCTAAACATATTCTTCCCAACTTGTCTACATTAGGATGATAAATTTTGGTCATGAAACGTACTTTAGGGGCTGCCATTGGGTATTCTTCTGGAAGGAATAGTTCAAGTTTAAAAGTCCCTCCCTCAAAGGGGGAATCCTGAGGGCCAGCAATGACCACATGAAAATAACGGGCGTTGCTCTCATCTGGTTCGGCTTTGATGCCAGGAACTGGTTCTGCCAGCAAACGCTGGGTTTCCTATGACAGAAAAACAAACACATTTGTGAAACAAATGTCATTTTGCTAGACACCAAAAGTAAAATTAGAAAGTTCATCTCTTAGAACTACGCATAATAGAACAGCTCCAATCTCCCAACAGATTTAGCTTATAAAATGCAAAATTCAAAAAAATACCATTTAAATAATTACAACCAGCTGAATGAAACTGCAAGCGAATACTAATGATGTTATCATACATTTTGGCTACAAATGTCTACAAATATGTTAATAAAATTAGCTTAATAAAACTGATTTTTTACTCAAGTAAAATAAAGTAACATTAGGATTACATAAGTAAGGCAACTTGCTCTAAACTCAACCAAAACCAAGCTATTTAAAAAGTAAAATTAGCTTTTTTGGTGGTTTTTTTTGGCTTGTTTGTTTGTTTTTGAGACAAGATCTCACTTTGTCACTCACGCTGGAGTGCAGTGGCAAGATCTTGGCTCACTGCAGCCTCGACCTCCCTGGGCCCAGGTGATCCTCCCAACTCGGCCTCCTGAGTAGCTGGGATTACAGGTGTGCGCCACCACACCTAGCTAATTTTTGTATTTTTAGTAGAGACGGTATCACCCTGTTGGCCAGGCTGGTCTTGAACTCCTGGCCTCAAGTGATTTGCTCGCCTTGGCTTCCCAAAGTGCTGAGATTACAGGTATGGGCCAACACACTCGGCCAAAAATTAGTTTTTAAACCCACTGAAAACCTCCCCTCTGAAAAATGTAACGGACTAAAGAAAGGAGATAAGAAGAGGCCCAGGTACCTGAACAGGACTAAAGAAATATATTTAACAATGCTGATTACTCTAAAATTGACAATTAACTTCAGAGGAACCCTTAATACTCCCAACAATCATACCATTAGTTCTCTTTTTCATCATTCTCCCTCTCCCCTAAATAATTGTATTATTATTATTTCTCTTCTCTCTTCAAACCTCCAGCATCTCCATCCCCATCCTCACTTGTGGCTGATGTCCTGCTTCCTATTTCATGACAAGTTAGATACTTCCATCAGTTCCCACTGTAGCATTTGGACATTTCCCTGCATCTGCACCCATACACTCTGGTTTTTCTCCTGTATAGATGAAATGTCACGTACTCTTGGCTAGGGCCAATCGGTCTTGAGCACTAGATCTTACTGATCTCTGAAATGTTTGTTCTTCGGTACCATAAAGAAATAGCACTTGAACATAAATTTAATTTATTTAGTAAAGCCATTTTTACTTCCTGCAGAAAGGGTACACTCGCCAGGAGTTTTGCCACAAGAGTATACTGAACAAAGGAGACAGGGTCATTTATAACCTGACGCGTCCACCCTACTGCTGTGTCCGGTTTCCACTGGCTGGAACGGGATCTCACATTCTGTATTTGTCCTGACTGGCTAGCAACTTAGAACTTTTTAAAAGAGGTAAAGGTAGAGGGGAACAAAGGAAGGAGGAAGTAACTTGTGGAATGCTGAGAAAGGTAAAAACACTTTTAAATAAGGAAGAGGAACAGGCTATGACCTAATGCTTGCTTGGACCAGTATAAGCATGCCAGGGCAAATATTTAGGCTAAATTGTGGGAGCTAAGAACATAAAGTATATTGATTTCTTTATTATGGCTAGCAAATATTTAAGAATGTTTGCACAGGTCTTCGAATAAATTTTGCTTCTAAGAGAAGTTACTATTTATTCCTAATTAGATGGGGAGGAAAGTCTTTGAAGAGGAACCTCTACTTTGCTTGTCTCCAATTTCTCTCCTCCTCTTCTGTCTTGAACATACCCTCCAATCAAGCTGTAGTTATCGCTAACTTGTTTGTTAAGGTCACCAATGATTTCCACAAGGTTAAATCAAATGTCCAGTGCTTAATCTTTATCTTACCTAAATGCGACATCTTATCCAGCTGGTCTCCTTCCTCTTTGCAAAGCTTTATCTAACTTCCTATAAACATTCTCATGGCTCTCTTCCTCCTTGTCTGGCAGCAGCTTCCTTTAGTTTCCTTGTTGGTTTCTTCTATCTCCCAACATCGCAACACTGAAATGCACTGGGGCTCTATTCTAGGGCTTCCTCTCTGTTTATACATTTCCACAGTGATCTCATGTAATGCAATGAATTTAAATACTAAACACACTCTATAAGCTGAAGCCTCCCCTAATTCATATCTAGCCCAGACCTCTCCCCTCATCGTGCCTCTTGCCTCTATAACTACCTGCTTGATATACACTCTTGAATGTCTAATAAGCATCCCAAACTTAACATGACCTCCCTATCCCCAACCTTTGCTCCTCCCATAAAGTCTTCCCCACATCAGTTACTGGCAAACCCATCTTTCCAAATGATCCACCTTTTCCTTCATATGCCACACACATCTAGCCTGATTGGCAAATTGGTTTTTTTTATACTTCAAATTCTACTCATGATTGGACTGTTTCTCACCATTCCACTGCTACACCTCTGATCCAAGCAACCATCAGCTCTGACCTGGCATACTACAACAGCCTCCTAACCTGTTCTTCCTGCTTCTGACCTCACTACCTCCCTCGCAGGTCTATTATCCACAGACCCTTTAAAAGTCATAGTCCTGAGCCGGGTGCGGTGGCTCACGCCTGTAATCCCAGCACTTTGGGAGGCCGAGGCGGGTGGATCACCTCAGGTCAGGAGTTCGAGACCAGCCTGATCAACATGGAGAAATCCCATCTCTACTAAAAATACAAAATCAGCCGGGCATGGTGGCACGTGCCTGTAATCCCAGCTACTCGGGAGGCTGAGGCAGGAGAATCATTTGAAGCCAGGAGGCGGAGGTTGCAGTGAGCTGAGATCGTGCCATTGCACTCCAGCCTGGGTGACAGGGCGAGACTCCATCTCAAAAAAAGTCTGGGCATGGTGGCTCACACCTGTAATCCCAGCATTTTGGGAGGCCGAGGCGGGTGGATCGGCTCAGGTCAGGAGTTCGAGACCAGCCTGATCAACATGGAGAAATCCCACCTCTACTAAAAATATAAAATTAGCTAGGCATGGTGGCGCATGCCTGTAATCCCAGCTACTTGGGAGGCTGAGGCAGGAGAATCGCTTGAACCCCGGAGGTGGAGGTTGCGGTGAGCCCCGATCATGCCATTGCTCTCCAGCCTAGGCAAAAGAGCGAAGCTCCGTCTCAAAAAAAAAAAAAAAAAAAAAAAGTCATAGTCCTTGTAATGGGCCCCCAAAAGACGCTCTATATGATGCCCTCACTCCACCTACCTCTCTGACTTATCTTCAGCTGTTCTCTCTCCATCCCCTAACCTTCTCTGTTCCAGACAAAAATTAGCTTCCTTGTAGTTCTTCAACGTGCCAGGCATCCGCTCACCTCAAGGGCTTTGTACTTCCTCTTCCTCCCCAAGATATCCATATGGCTTGCTCCCTCAGCTCCTAAGATCTTCATGTTTTCTCAGTGAAGCCATCATAACTGAAATTGCAAACCCCATTCAACCCTACCCTGCACACTCCCTATCCCCACTCCCTGGCTTTATCTCCACAGCACTACTAACAAATCTCATTTCTACTTATTTTGTTCAGAATTTAAGCTCCATGAGAGGATGGATTTGAGTCTATTTTATGGACTGCTATATCCTCAGCATTTGGAACACTGCCTGGCACAATAGATATTCAATTAATATTTACTGAATTCTGAATCTATTTGATGTTATGAAAAGAGGGAAATAAACGATCAGAATTTCATCGTTAACATCATTAAGGCAGGGTTATTTTCAAGGCAGGATGTGCACATTATGGAAGGAAAACAAAAGGAGCCACTCAGGTATGGGGAAAAATAGTCTAACTTCTACTTATATTTATTTTTAACCAGAAAAATGTTCATATTTAAATAAGCTTTTAGGTATGAAAAACAATAAATGAGAACATTTTATTTACACTGCCTTCACCTAAAAAAAAATACATCATAAACTGTTTCATTCCACAAGCTACAGGGCATACGTTAAAAACAACAACAACAAATAACTTCTCTCTCAGCACAGTAATATACTGAAATAGTCATAAGATGTAAATACAAATCAAATGCTTCCCCAAAATGTGTTAATTAAACCCATGGCCATTTTAGGTAATGTCTCTGGTATTTTAAGACTAGTTTTTTGTTTTGATCATGGCGATGTAAGAGCAAGTGAGAAACTGACATGTTCTTTAGGTTCAAACTAAAACATTTTTAGAGTATTAAAAAGCTCAAGAGGCAATAATGAAGCCTCTGACCTTGGGAAGTCCTTTAACATGTGACCAGAACAAAAGAGGCTGGTCTTCATTTTTTAGGAAAAAAGTTAAGATATTAGGGATGAATAGCAGGAGTAGAAAAATGAGAAAATAACTGGATGGTAAAATTCCTTGAATTCTGGGCTCTCCTCACCTCCATCCTTTAATTTTACCCCAGGTCTTCATGTTTTTAGAAAGCCATAAATTGGGTGACTGGAAAAAAAAGAAAGCCAGGGCCCAAGAGTCCCAATCCACCACTCACCAGTTACACAAAGTAGTAGCAGCTCTGTATCTACTATAAAAAGCTACAGAAAGGCCTCCAAAAGCGTATCCCAAAATAGCTTCAAAATCACTCTCAATACACAGTGGCAGAGATAGGTATGGCATTTACTTTCTCATCTTCAGTTCACCCTCAAAATCAGATATTCTTTGTAAAGAATGTACATATTAAGCACATCATGTGACCTGATCAAGCCTAGATTTAATTGGAACACATTCTAAAATAAGCTTTCGTGTGTAGAAAACATTTTGAAATAGTCCTTATAATATATGCTGCTCTCAAGTTCTAATGGACTGACACAAAAACATGCATAATTATTTCACTAAACTGTTGGTTTCCCTAACAAACCCACAGCATAAACTGTGGGAGGGGAAAAAAGGAATAAAATCCAAACTAAATGAAACAAGTCTGAAATGGCAGCATCTGAAAAAGTCTCAACCACAGAAACTGATGTCAACTTTTTTCCTAAAAAGGCAAAAACTGGCTAGGAAATAAAATCTTTCCGGCCACTATTCAACACATGACTAACTAAAATACCTTCTGGTTTTACACTATTCTTTGGTGGAAAGACAGAGTACAGTATGATTTCTTTAAGTGAAGAAGTAAAGGGCTAAAATTCCTACTGTTTCACTTATCTATCTTTTTTTTTTTTTTTGAGACAAGTCTCGCTCTCTTGCCCAGGCTGCAGTGCAGTGGCACGATCTTGGCTCACTGCAACCTCTGCCTCCTGGGTCCAAGTGAGCACCTGGCTAATTTTTGTATTTTTAGCAGAGACAGGGTTTCACCATGTTAGCCAGGCAGGTCTCGAACTCCTGACTTAAAGTGATCTGCCCGCCTCAGCCTCCCAAAGTGCTGGGATTGTAAGCGTGAGGCACCACGCCCGGCCTTATCTATCTTTTGGCACAAATAATTTACATTGCAGGTGGGATGCCATGGTTCACACCTGTAATCCCTGCACTTTGGGAGGCTGAGGCAGGCAGGGGAATCACTTGAGGCTAGGAGTTCCAGACCAAGCTGGGCAAGCATAGTGAGACCCCATCACTACCAAAAAAAAAAAAAAAAAAAAGTTGACAAATGAGATCACATAGGAAGGCCATAGTTGTTTACAGAAAAACAGAATAACCCTTAAATGAATTTTGTGATTCTATTATGTTTAAAAGCAGTCCAAGGATTGAATCCCAAACAGAAGTGAGTTTAGGGCCATGCATAATAGAAAGCACTGTAGACTATGTTCAGGAAATTAGTTAATGTAGACTATGTTCAGGAAGTTAGTTACTAAAATAGACAGGTAAGTTGGTAAAGGAATAGGGTATGGATTTAAATGTCCACAAAATTAAGTCTAAAGGAAGGTATCTCATCTTATAGAACGCATACAATAGTTAATGCTACAAATATTTTTAAAAGGAATCAAATATCACATCAAATTGATCTAATTATCAACAGATCTACTGGGTCTTGAAGAGCAAACCCTAGACTCACACTACTGTAAACTATACTGTAGTTAGTCAATTATAACAACTGACATTCTGTCAACCTATCTCTATTAACCAGGACTCTTATTTTTAAGTTGAAAAATAATTTGTGCTCAGTACGAAGCAATGACAGGTCTTAGATGCTCTTCTGCAAGGCAATGATTGGAGTATGTACAGTAAAATTTTGGGGTAATAAACAGTATTCTTAGAAAAAGTGCTAATTTGTGTGTGAGAAAAGTTGGTCCAGTTAGTAACTATCTATATCCCAGTGCATCCTGTCTACAGTGATTAGGTTTTTTAGAATATTCTCTGAAACACAAAATTGCAATATATGACCAGTAATATCAACTGTAGATCTTTTAGCTCATCTCAAACAAGAGCTGTCTGATAACTCAGTAACTGCCAATTTCATTACTGAAAAATAAGTGTTAAAAAACTGAGTGATGCTTCAATGATACCTACTCTGTAAACTCCAACCTGTCACTACATCTTTAAGCGATTCTAAAATATTAACAAACAGGGTTCTGGACAAAGTTGTGTGTTATAGAAAAAAAATTTAAATAAAGAAAAAAATTATGAAAAATTTGTAAGATAAAACAAACGGGCTCCTTTTTTGGGATCACTAATAAAGCAAGTCAATTCTTCATTATGTACACAACTGTAAGTTACTTATGAGAATCTGCAAGTTCACCCTCTATATATATAAGTGGGCATTTTTATTTATCACTTTTTTTGTAGAGATGGGTTTCTCTATGTTGCCCAGGCTGGTCTCCTGCCTCAAGCAATCTTCCCGCCCTGGCCTCCCAAAGCAATGGGATGACAGACGTGAGCCACCACACTTGGCCCAATAAGTGAGCATTTAAAAAATGTTACCACCAGCCTGGGCAACATAGCAAGACCCCATCTCTGCAAACCAAAAAACTAAAAAAATTAGCTGGGCATGCTGGCATATGACTATAGTCCTAGCGTACTTGGGAGGTTGAGGTGGGAGTACTGCCTGAGCCCAGGAGTTCAAGGTTACAGTTAGCTGTGATCATACCACTGCACCCCAGCCTGGGCGATAGTGAGACCTTGTCTCTTAAAAACAAAACAAAACAAAACAAAAAGTTAATTATCATCAATGGACATTTTCAAGTGCATACCCCTTGCTTCATTTTATCTGTAAGCCCTGTGAATTTTACTACATGATTTTGTATAACATAACATTCTTAGAAACATATAATGTCTCATTATAGTAAAACTGACTGCCTATTTTCTAGCTGGGATTAGAAATAGAACCAAAGTTTTGCTCAAGCTCCCCATTACACTACTTCCTTACAAATCATAAGGCCACCTAGAGATACACTAAGATAAAAATGGCTGATGAGTACTTTTCTCCACAGCACTGCTATCCAACAGAAATATAATACAAGCCACGTAAGTATTTAAAAATTTTCTAGTAGCCAAATAAAAAAGTAAAAAGAAACAAGTAAAATTAATTTTAATATATTTTATCTAAAAATGTATTCAAAATATTATTTCAACATGAAATCAGTATGAAATTAATGATGTATTTTATCTTTTATCATAGCCTTCAATGCCCACTGTGCAAATTACACTTGTAGCACATGTTAATTTAAACTAGTCATATTTCAACTACTCAACAGCCACATGGAATGATTAGTGGCTCCCAAATTAGTCTGGAGAGTGAAACACAAGACAATCATGTTATAATGTTACTGCCTGGTCATTATGAATAATTTAATTTATTTCATATAATAGGTAAAATTTTGTACAGAAACTTTAAAGCATCACTATTTTCCCCTCAAAAAATTCTATACAAAAAGTAATGTCAGGCCGGGCGTGGTGTCTCATGCCTATAATCCCAGCACTTTGGGAGGCCGAGGCGGGCAGATCACCTGAGGTCAGGAGTTCGAGACCAACATGGAGAAACCCTGTCTCTACTAAAAATATAAAATTAGCCAGGCCTCGTGCTGCATGCCTGTAATCCCAGCTACTCGGGAGGCTGAGGCAGGAGAATCACTTGAACCTGGGAGACGGAGGTTGCAGTGAGCCGAGATCGTGCCACTGCACTTCAGCCTGGGCAACAAGAGTGAAACTCCGTCTCAAAAAAAAAAAAAAGTAATGTCAGAACATTTGACATCACTAATAACAGAAATGCATGTAACAACAGTTGCTGTTTGCTACACTCACAAGATTGTGTTTGAAAAAAATTTATGGCAATTTCAAAACACATTAAATGAACAAAAATTAATTCAAACAAGCTAACTGAATGATGAAGTAAAGAGTTCACTGAGGAACTATTTTAATTTTTACAGTACACACTACCCCCTAGTGGACATAAGACATCATCTACTTATTTCACCACCTTTCCTTTGCAAATGAAAAAACTGATGCTCTTAAAAGTTACTGTACCCAAGTTTGCTAAGCTTTTTAAACTTACATTATATGATCACTCCTTGCTTTGGTAAAACCAAACCAAAGTTAGCACCTACCTAAACACGTCCTTGAAAAAGACCTATAGATTCCAACAGTAAATAAAATGAAAATAGCTTAAGAAAACTAATAAAAGCAAACCAAGCAAAGCTAAGACAATTTTGTATTCCCTTTCTGCTTTCACCTCTTGTGCCTATCTTGCTCCTAACCACTTAGACTCCCCCAGATAAGCTAACTGGGTCCATGAGAATTTCCTGAAAATGCCTATCCTAAAGTCAAATGGAGAATAATGATTCTCAAGACACACCCCTCCCTTGTTCTTTCTTTTCCCTTCTACTCCCACATATTTAAATCTCAAAATTTCTTAGGTGGCAGATTCAGAGAAGGAAAAACGGAAGAAAAATCTATTTCTAAGATTCTGCGTACCAAAGACTAAATCTCAGAGTACTTTAGACCAGAGTATTCCTTTTTTGGGAAAAGCTTTATTTATGGGTTGATAGGTAACAAATAGGTAAGTACTCTCTATTCCACTTGAAGTAATAATGAACAGATGGGGCCAGATGACTTGGGCTAGAAATCTCTACATCCTAATTTTTTCCCTCAAACCTAGACCAGATCAATATTTCTGTGAAGCTCAGTGAAAAGGAATGGAGACTTGGGAGCTGGAGGGACTTCTGAAAGTCAAAGTATATATAATCTGAGATACATCAGAATGTATCTCAGGTCTGAATTAGTCTAAAAGTTTCTCCCTTGTACTTCCAGTTTCCTGTTCATTACCACCTCTCCACTTACTGTAACTACGCACAATAACTGCTGGTTTACTTCTCAGACCCTAAACTATTTGAAGAGAGGAACCCCAGCTAGTAAATGGTGGTAAATTCTAAATAAATGCTTGCTTGGTGAACGAACATCTGCAATGCTTAGGTACCACCCAGAGCTGATGAGGAATACTGTATCTGCTGTGTTCATTGGTAAATTCCATCTCAGGAACAGCATTTAAGATTATTCCAATCACTGACAATGACAATGGACAAAAATCAGAATAATCCTACTAACAAATTGTCCCACCAAGAAGAAAAACTGTTAAGCTGAATTCCTTTATTTCTTGTCTATCTTGCCTCCCCAATTCTTCTGCCCACTAAACACATCAGGTTGTATTATAGTCTGTGTATATTTTCCTCCCCACCAGTCTGTAAGCCCCATAAAAGCAGGGACCACATGCAATTATCAAGCACTGTCCCAGATATACAGAGAATCAATAAAAGAAAATCTCGGGTAACAGTTAAGAACAAACTATGCCAAATACTGACTTAAGTGCTACATATGTATTAGCTCATTTAATCCTCATACTCATTTTACAACTGAGAAACAAAGAGTAATCGACCAAAGCTAGTGAATGACAGAGTGAAGATTCAAATCCAAGCTGCTGGGCTCTATTCAGTCTGGTTTCAGGATGTGTTTCTTAATCTTTTTCTTTCTTTTTTTTTTGGGGGGGCTGGGGGGACAGATTCTCACTCTGTCACCCAGGCTGGAGTGCAGTGATACAATCTCAGCTCACTGCAAGCTCCACCTCCCGGGTTCACACCATTCTCCTGCCTCAGCCTCCAGAGTAGCTGGGACTACAGGCACCCACCACCTCGCCCAGCTAAATTTTTTGTATTTTTAGTAGAGACGGAGTTTCACCGTGTTAGCCAGGATGGTCTCGATCTCCTGACCTCGTGATCTGCCGGGCCCGGCCCATGTTTCCTAATCTTGATGGTATACAATAAAGACAATTAACTACATAAGCAGTAAATGTCTAATGTTTGGCAGGGACAGTAAACAGCACGGGAGTTAAAAGGGCTATTTTCAACCCTTCATAATCGTGAAGTGGTGCTTCATGAAAAAGGTAAATTTAAGCCATAATGTCATAAATTTTTTTTTCTTTTTGAACTGGTAACCAGAAAAGTATAGTCTTATTAAGATAAAAATAGGAAAAAAACTGATTTGATTGAAAAATTGGTATATACTATTTTGACTTGGAATTATCAGATGGTAAACCATTTTGCCTATCTTTGATAGTGCATGAGATCAACATGCTCTAAAATGTTTCGTGACTTTGAAATATAAATTTACTTACAAATGTTTACTCATTGCTATTTTGTTCATGGCATTGTGGTATTAAATAACTGGAAGGAAGAGTAAAACTTCTTGGCATCCAGCAGTTTATTTCATTGTGAGTAGTCAAGGTCTTAAGGTACAGGAGGTGTGAGTTAGGATACTATTAATATATGAAGAGCAGAACCAGATTACAGGGCTATTATGTTCTTGTTTATTTCTAAAGACATTTTTAAAGTTTTCTGGAAAGATTAAAAACCTCGTCTCCATCTTTTTTCCCTCTTTGTTTTTTCAAAGATTTCCAAATATTGGCATCACAGCTAAAGATGGTGTCAACTATTCCTTCATAAAACACTCATGAAGTTCTTGGTGGTAAAAATGTCCTTTGAATATTCAGCACTATAATTAGTAGACTCGTGGCAGTCAAGCATCTCCATTTTCTATGGTTCCTGATTTGATGAATGACATAACACTTCATTGCCTGAACTTTTCTTAGCACCAGCTCAAAAAATAAAAATAAGACTTTAGTGATTTAAATAATGTAGCTGTCTATCTTAATGAACTCTGTTATCTCAGGAATGATTTGACAGAGATGTCTCAGAATGCTGAATGAAAAGAAAGGACCTAGCTTAGTAACACAGTTCATTGGGACTGCTGTGTGCCATGGTCCTCGAGGCACTATTAACAAACCTATTGCATATTTTAGGTTCTGGGAGTGGGTATATAACTTAGTAGGTGAGGTAGGAAATGTTCTTCTGTATTCATCTTGAATTAAAATTAGGGAAATTTTTTAAAAGCCTGTTTTATGTGGTGAACACTAAAATAATAAGATTTATTAGCAAAAACCAGTGAACTTGGTTTTTTTCTTTGATCCAGCTTTTATGTAAAAAATGATGTAGATTGTGGGTTTTTTCTTTCATAAAATTTTACTTGTTTTTTTCAAGTTGGTAATTCATTTCAGGCCCTTATGTGTAATTTTAGTCATTTGTCTATGTTAACTATTAAACAATGTTAAAAATTCCCCCACTCATTCATATGTTCCTTTAGCTCCCACTCTTTAGTATAATGTTGGAGCTGGGAGATAAGAAAATTGTAAAAATTTTAAGTAACTTGTAGAAAAAGAAAAACTTACCCGTGGTCACACAAAAGGACTGCCTGGAAGCATTTAGGGCAAAATGAGGTTGGTAGTATGCATCCAGCACTTCTTGCGCATCACAAGCAAAGAAATAACCCATTCTGGAGAGAACTGCAGTAGTTACCACTAAGACAGCAGCAGAGTTCTAGTGGTAGCATTCTGCGCTTGACATCAATAATCACACCGCACACACTGTAGAATGTGTTGCACACAGTGTGAGCACTGAAATCATCGTGATGTGATTCTGAAGTTTGTTCCTGGCTCCCTCTTTTCTTTGGCCCTCCTGAAGAATGTGTGAGGTAACTAATAACTCTTAATATCATTTCTGCTTAAACTAGCCAAAGCTGGCTTCTGTTGGTTGCTAAAATGAAGTCTAAACTCAATAGGAAAGGAAGTGAAGAAAAGGTTAAGAGTTAGCAGACCAAGGCAGGAGGGGGTTGGGGGCTGGTAAATACGTTAAGAAGCTAAATAACTCTTTGGGATTAAATGAAGTCAAAAGAGGAGAGCATACAAGTCAACCAATCTCTTTATCAAAGAACTTCTACTTAAAACCTTTTAGAGGAGGAGCTAATTTCACATTAGACAGTTAAATTCAACTAAGCAGCCTGGTGTACCTAGCGTGGGGAGGGGGAAGAGGCTCAAGAGTTAGCACATCTGAATTTAATTCCAATTTTAATTGTACCAATGTGATATGTGACCACAGACAAATCATTTACCTCTCCAGCCTTCTAAAATGTCCCTTGAACATTTAAAAGGTTCTCTATAGCACCAAAATTGTCTGAATACTTTATTATTATTAGAATGAGTTGAATCTTATTGCTATATGCTTCTTTCTACTGGAAGGTCCCCTTTTGTAATAACATTCTTTAGGCCTATAATTACTGTTTTAGTCTTCCCTGCTGAAGGAGAAGGATATTATGAACTGTCATCCTGGTATTTATGCCAACGTTCAATATCTAAATAAAGAGAAAATTTGTTGCTAAGGGCACCTGCTTTTTTCCCAAGTTTTTTTCACTTGCTCATTAAAGAAATACATAAAATTAATCTAAATAAAATTAGCCATTCTCCTAATAACCAAAATCCAATTAACATTCTAGAATGTTTTTTGTTGTTGTTGTTCTGATAAAGACAAAAGCCCTTAAAAACAGTTTAATATGTTTACATTTTTTCACTCCTGTGTCACTGCAGCCACTTTCCTCAAGGCTAGTTGATTTACAGACAAATCAATATTCTTTAAAAACCATACGGCATAAACAGGTACTTTTCCTGGCCTACAAGCTAGTGACTATACTAGTATAGCTACCATGTATTTACTTACTCGACCCTTTTTCTTCAGGTTACTTCTGGTTTCAAATGCAGCAATCACAACAAAATTTAATGCCTGAGGACTCCATAATAGGTAAGGCAAGACAAGAACAGATGGAAGCAGAGCAGTTGAACTTTTCAGCGAAGCAAACAAAAAAACAAGTTACATTTCGCTCAGATTTGCATTCTCAATCCAATTGTACCAGTAACACAATTTTGTATAAAATCCAAACCATCAGGAAAGAAAAATTAAAACAGTCTTTCACACTCTGCATACTAACTCTGAGATAAATTAGGAAACATGAAAGCATGCAGATATTGGAGGGTTGTCTCCCACACAGTAAGCATCCTCTCTCAGGGCTAACCATACCGCACAGCTTCAGGAGAGGACCATTCGTATGACAGTCTGCATAAATGGCGCCTCTTGAAGTTATACAGTGAAATACTTTGGATTAAAAAATAAAACTTCAATTTAGCAGTTGCAAAGATCAACTTTATTATTACCTAACCCATGGAAAATGGATTACACATATGATAATTTTAATGAAATCAAAATGTTATTTACCCAAAACATCCCATTTTGCTATCCACTGTCGGTAAATGAGCATTCATTGTGCTTTCACAAAATCTATGCCTCACTTCAGAGAGTTATATTTAATGTTATCTATTTTGTGAAACAAATACATAAATGAACTTTGTTTCGTTTATGAAACGAACAAACCATTTTCCCACACACTAGGAAGACATTCAATCTTTTTATGTTTATGGTGAAGCAGCATCTTTGCAAAGTCAGAAAACAGTAATAACCAACACTACATAAGGCTCAGTATTACGTTAGGGTCTGTTCTTTACATTCTAATCCTTCCAATTACCATAGAGCTAGATTAGTATATTAAGCAGATAAAGAAGCAGAGAGGTCAAATGAGGTTGCCCAAGCTAATATTTGGCAGAGCTAGAAATCAAACTCAAGAGTCTGGCCTCAGATTCTTTGTTCCTGCCATACATAAACATACATTTCATATTCCCTAAATCAGTGTTTTGCTCTAGAGAATTAGGAAGTAAGGCTCTCTGAGCCATAAAACATTATTTTAGTCATGAAAAGCAGCATTTCTACCATCTTGAAAGTCAATTGTCAATTAAGAGGTCAGCAAAAGACTACAGTAGGAATGAACCTTCTGTAAGCCATCCCTTACACACTTTGCTACCTTACTGTCTCTCCAACTAAACTAGTTCCTAGAGATCAAGGCCTGTGTCTAACATTTGCAGACCCAATGTTGGACACCAGTGTGTCTTGCATTTCTTACTGGTTAATGAACAGATCAACTGCAGAACTACCTGAGACCAACCCCACAGAGTAAGGAAAACCACTGACTGGGTTAAAAGGAAATTCAAGAACTTCCAAAAATAGTAGGCCTAGCCAAGCAGTGACTGCAAAGAGCAGGAGTATGCAGAAAAAAAGACTTGCAAGACTCCAAACCGAATCTTTACAAACTATTTCACACGTCTGTCCAAAAGCCTTAGCTTTGACACTATTCCTACAGGTCATACACTTAAATGGACCAATTACGAAGCACCAGAGATACCAGCCTTATCACTTCTTTTGCCCCTCTAGGCAGCTTCAACAATCTAATAAGCATTTTCCTCAATTTAAAAAAGTGATCATTGCCTCAATAATCACGAGTTGACATATTAAAGATGATTCTTTCCCCTACCTCAAGGTTTTGGGAAGAATCTGAAATGAAACAGCTTGGTTAGGGACTTTAATATTTCACAGATTATCAATTAGGTCTGAAATTTGAACAGTCTTAAGAGATCCAGCTGGAGTAAATAACTCAGCAGATTTTTTACTCTTCTGTGATTTCAGATTATCTCGTCCTGCACTACTAAGCCAGAAGAGGAAATGATCCAGACAACTCAGATTTTAATGTAACTGAAATAAGCACAAACTTACACACTAGGGCTGATGTATTACAATAGAGTACGATGGACAATAATACTGGGTCAAATTCATCCACTTCATGTGGACAGCTTGAGTCTCCGAAAGAATGCGACAATACATTCAAAGAACATAAATGCTGGAATCAGTTCTTGCTAGCAACACGAGCCAGCAATGTTATTATGTGAAACTGCATCCAAAAAAAAAAAAAAAAAAGCTACAAAGTCATAAAAATAGCCCTGAGAATAACTAATTTGAATAGTGTAAGTAAACAGTTTTCTTGAGGAAGGAAATCGGGTGGCTGGAACACAGGTAGGAGACACCCTGCAAGTCAAACAAGCTTAATCAAAACAAGAGCTAAAAAAACCCTATAAAACCCCTAATCTGACAAGTCTGAAGTCAAGCCACATACTGCCACATCTCAAGGGCTTCTTACCCATCCCTATCTATCCTGGGCTGGGCCAGGCCAGGCAGTTTTCTAAAAAATCTCTGCCTTAGGAAACTAGTAAGTCAGATATAAAGTCAATCAATGTCTCTCACTTTCCTTCTACACTTTTGTGATTCTGGAGGTAGGACTCTGCCAGGGGCTCCTAGTTTAAGTCTGCAGATAAGGGAGTGTTAAGGGAAAACTGCGAGAGACGACAGTGCTGTCTCCCCTCTCATGGGTGCATCAGCAGATTTTTTTTTTTTTAAGCTCATCGGCTATCATTAGTGTTAGTGTATTTTATGTGTGGCCTAAGACAATTCTTTTTTTTTTTCTTTTGTCGCCCAGACTGGAGTGCAGTGGCACGATCTCGGCTCACTGCAGCCTCTGCTTCCCAGGTTGAAGCAATTCTCCCACCTCAGCCTCCCAAGTAGCTGGGATTACAGGCGTGTGCCACCACACCCAGCTAATTTTTGTATTTTTAGTAGAGACAGGGTTTCACCATGTTGGCCAGGCTGGTCTCGAGCTCCTGACCTCAAGGGATTGGCCCGCCTCAGCCTCCCAAAGGGCTGGGATTACAGGCGTGAGCCACCATGCCCAGCCATGAGACAATTCTTATTCCACTGTGGCCCAGGGAAGCCAAAAGGTTGGAAATCCCTGTTCTAAAGCAATGCAGGCTTCACATGTGACTAGTTTTATGAGAGCCAATACAGATTACCTATCTCCTAAAAATTCTACCTTGCTTCCCTTCAGCACTATCACTTTTTAAAAGGTTTTATTTAGAAAACACTTCAGGTAAAATATTTACAAAGGAATGAAGTACTAATACATGCTACAATATACATGAACCTTGAAAACATGCTAAATGAAAGAAGCCAGAAAGAAAAGGCCACATATTGTATAATTCCATTTATATGAAGTGTGTACAATAGGAAAATCCATAGAATTGGAAAGCAGATAAATGGTTGCCAGGGGTTGAAGGTAGAGTGACTGCTAATGAGCACAGGGTTTTTCTTTTTGGGGTGACAAAAATCTTCTGGAATTAGCAAGTGATGATGTTGTACTACTTTGTGAATACATGAAAAAACCACTAAACTGTACACTTTGAGTGGGTGAATTTTATGGTATGAGAATTATACCTCAAAAAAATAAATGAAGCATTTGAGTTTTCCTTCAATATTCAGTGAGATTTTGGAATCTTACCGATGAATTAGAGATTGGAATAGTAAAAGTAAGTGAAGGGAAAATAAATATCTATTACTTGACTATTTAGTATATAACATATTCACAGCATGTTAACAGAGTTTTCAGTTTTTTGAGATAGGATCTTGCTCTGTCGCCCAGGCTAGAGTATAGTGACACAATCTTGGCTCACTGCCGCCTCAACCTCCCAGGCTCAAGTGATCCTCCCATTTCACCCTCCCAACTAGTAGCTGGGACTACAGACATGTGCCACCACACCTGGCTAATTTTTGTATTTTTTTGTAGACATGGGGCTTCTTCATGTTGCCCAGGCTTTTCTCAAATTCTTGGGCTCAAGCAATCTACTTGCTTCAGCCTCCCAAAGTGCTGGGATCACAGACATGAGCCACCGCACCCAGCCAACAGAAATTTTAGTAATGAATATATATTCATGGACTACACTTCTGAAGAAAAGAAACTTCAAGTTAAAAGATTACTTTTGAAGCTAAGTATCTGTGATCCAAGCATAGACATGCTGACTCAAGTTACACAGTCTTAGTTCAAATATCTCCTGGGTCTGGTATGTCGACATTCTACTCCCCCTTTTCTACTTATGCTTCAAAATTCAGCTCAAATATCATCCTCTAAAAACCTTTCCCTAAACCAACCTTGAGGGTTTTCCAGGCCAGTCTGTCACTTCTTTGGTGTTCCCATTGATGCCTTTGTATTCAATATACAAAGCAGTGCTAGCTGTATGATTTTACTTTTGTCTCCCATTCTACCCATCTTTGCATTGAAGCCAAGCACACATATGACCAGTGTTTCTGCAAAGTGTACACTAAAATCATAAGCAGCTCTTAAAACAACAAAAATATGTTGGGCTGGCAATGTTAAATTTACAAACTTCCCCAGATAATTCCAATGTATAACCATGAACTAAGTACTCAGACTAGAAACAAGTGTTCAGAGAAAATAGCCCATAGATTCTTGTCTTGGCATCCTTGCCAATACATCAGCAGCCCTGCCAATTAAACTAGGAGAAGAAATAGGCAAGGTCTGGCCAAGTACTTCTCTAAGCACAGTCAGTGCTGGCCCCTGAACAGAACTTGCAGCACTTTTAGTTTAACCCTTACCTGAACCACAACAATAAAGACAGGGTCCTGGACAGTGCACTTTATTTGAAAAAGTGTAGGCCAGGCGCGGTGGCTCATGCCTGTAATCCCAGCACTTTTGGAGGCTGAGGCGGGCGGATCACGAGGTCAGGAGTTCAAGATCAGCCTGACCAACATGGTGAAACCCCGTCTCTACTAAAAATACCAAAATTAGCTGGGTGTGGTGGTGCACGCCTGTAGTCCCAGCTACTCAGGAGGCTGAGGAAGTAGAGCTGCTTGAACCCAGGAGGCGGAGGTTGCAGTGAGCCAAGATCACACCATTGCACTCCAGCCTGGGCGACAGAGGGAGACTCTGTCTCAAAAAAAAAAAAAGAAAGAAAGAAAACACAAAACTCAACTTGATATATAAATGAATGCAAGATAACTCTAACATATTTTTAGACTTACTGAGAAAAAAAATTCTCGTTTAAAATTAGTCTGATTCAGTGGTACTTTAAATACAGTCATGCGCTGTATGAGTTTCAGTCAATGATCAACTGCACAAAAGACAGTGGTCCCACAACATTATAATGGAACTGAAAAATTCCTATTGCCTAGTATTTACTATACTATACTTTTATTGATTATTTTAGAGTGTATTCCTTCTGCTTGTTAAAAAAAAAAAAAAAAGTTGACTGTAAAACAGGTTCAGGCAGGTCCTTCAGGAGGTATTCCAGAAGGCACTGTTGTCACAGGAGATGACAGCTCCATGTGTGTTACTGCCCCTGAAGACCTTCGAGTAGGACAAGAGGAGCTGGAAGACAGTGATACTGCTGATCCTGAATAGGCCTAATATGTGTGTGTATGTCTTAGTTTTTCACAAAAAAGTTTTTTTAAAAAAGATTGTAAGAGAAAAAAGCTTATAGGATATAAAGAAAATATATTTTTGCACAGCTGTATGATGTGTGTTTTAAGCTAAATGTTAATACAAAAAAATCAAAAGTTTAAAAATATAAGTTTATAAAATAAAAAAGTTACAGTAAGCCAAGGCTTATTATTGAAGAAACATTTTAAAAAATTTTTTGGTGTAGCCTAAGTGTACAATGCTTATAAAGTCTATCGTAGTGTACAGTAATGTCCTAGCCCTTCAAATCCACTCACCACTCACTCACCCAGGGCAACTTCCAGTCCTGCAAGCTTCCTTCATGGTTAAGTGCCCTATACAGGTATACCATTTTTTATCTTTTATACCAGATTTTTACTGTACCTTTCCTATTTTGATACACACATACTTACCACTGCATTACAACTGCCTACAGTATTAAGTACAGTAACATATTAAACAGGTTTGTAGCCTAGGATCAACAGACTATACAACATAGCCTAGGTGTGTAGCATGCTACACTATCTAGGTTTGTATAAATATACTCTATGATGTTCACACAATGATGAAATTGCCTATGGTGCATTTCTCAGAAAGTAACTCCATCGTTAAGTGATTCAAGACTGTATATTTTGCCGGTAAGAAAGAGCAGCAAAGAGTCCCTTCTCACCAGAACCACAAAATTCCTCAAATCCAGGACTGGCTGGGTGGGGAGGGGGAGGAAAAGAATATGCCATCCAGACCAGAGGCATTC
This sequence comes from Homo sapiens, assembly GCF_000001405.40. NCBI lineage: Eukaryota > Metazoa > Chordata > Mammalia > Primates > Hominidae > Homo > Homo sapiens. The sequence continues at coordinate 93,430,527 of NC_000012.12, forward strand.
CATCTTAAAGTGAACTATGTTACTAAACAGGGTCTCATGTTTGTAGGAAAGCCTCTAATTAAATTACAATAAAGAGACTTCTGATTAAAAAAAACCAAGAAAAGCGGCAGGCTCAGTGGCTCACGCCTGTAATCCCAACACTGTGGGAGGCTGAGACAGGAGGATCACTTGAGCCCAGGAGTTCAAAACCAGCCTGAGCAACATAGGGAGACCCTGTCTCTATGTAATATATATTATATATGTATATATATTTTATATTGTACATAATATATATTTTATATATATATAAAAAATTTTTTTAAATTAGTTGGGGATGGTAGTGCATGCCTGTGATCCCAGCTACTCGGGATGCTGAGGCTGCAGTGAGCCATGATCATGCCTGGGCAACACAGTGAGACCCTATCTTAAAAAAAAAAACACAGCCAAGCGCAGTGGCTCATGCCTGTAATCCCAGCACTTTGGGAGGCCAAGGCGGGCGAATCACAAGGTCAGGAGTTCGAGACCAGCCTGGCCAACATGGTGAAACCCCGTCTCTACTAAAAATACAAAAATTAGCCGGGTGTGGTGGCGGGCACCTGTAATCCCAGCTACTCGGAAGGCTGAGGCAGGAGAATCGCTTGAACCTGGGAGGCAGAGATTGCAGTGAGCCGAGATCGTGCCATTGCACTCCCAGCCTGGGCAACAAGAGCAAAACTCCGTCTCAAAAAAAGCCAACCAACCAACCAAACAAACAAAACACAACCCAAAACAAGTAAGCTAAGCACTTAGATCCTGTTCTTAAACATGTTTCCACTTCATGTGTCCAAATGATACAGTATAAAAATACATGCACTGCCAGTTATTATCTAGGAATAGACATGTTCTTCAGTATCCACAGTCTACAGAATCAGACCACCTGGGTTCAAATCATAGCTCTAGAAACTAATAAGTCCCTCTGTGCAGGTTCCCATAGCTATAAAATAGGAATGATACTAATATCCACACATCATAAAACTGCAATTAGAATTAAGTAAATTAATGCACGTAACATGCTTAGAACAGTGCCTGGTACACGATGCCAATGAAAGATGTCTATTTTTACATAATAAAAACTATATGACCAACCTCACTTCAGGAACAGCTGCCACACTGCATGCTAGTGAATAGTTCACAGACTAAATATGAATTTCATAATTAGAAACACTTTGTTTGCCTAACAATTCTTGATGCCAACTCTTTGAACACAGTCATTAAACAGTAATAATTATTTTTGATGAGACCCTGATTCTATTATCCATCACATACTATATTTCTAGATGATGCCATGCTTTCTGTCTCTCCTTCCAGCTTTCATATCTGCTGCCCCATGTGCCAAAAACTCACTCACACTCCCTCCTTCTCTTGGCCCAGCAAACTCTTACTCTTCAAGTTTAAAAACACTTCCTCGGCTGGGCGCGGTGGCTCCTGCCTGTAATCCCAGCACTCTGGGAGGCTGAGGCGGGCGGATCACGAGGTCAGGAGTTTGAGACCAGCCTGACCAACATGGTGAAACCCTGTCTCTACTAAAAATACCAAAATTAGCCGGGTGTGGTGGCGTGCACCTGTAATCCCAGCTACTCAGGAGGCTGAGGCAGGAGAATTGCTTGAACCCGGGAGGCAGAGGTTGCAGTGAGCCAAGTCACGTCACTGCATTCCAGCCTGGGCCACAGAAATTTGTTTCATGACTGTGTTTTCCATTACACAGGGATGCCTTTCTTGTTCACCTGGCTTACTGGTAAATGCATATTATGCATTCAATGAATGTCCAATTAATTGAACTGAAAAAAAATCTCATGAATGGATAATAAAGAGACACGCAAATCACAAGGTTACAGAAAACTGAAATTTGGCCTTGGGATCGGCCTATGTTACTAAAACCACTTTGTCCCTGCCTCATAGTAAGATGGTAATCTAGTTGTCTTTAAGAGTCACAAAAAAAAAAAAACAAAACAAAACAGCTACTTACTAACATTTTCCCGAGTATAAGCTATAATCTTAAGAAAGTTACAGAGCAATAAAAAAATCACCAATGGTTTCATGATATAAATTTGTTAGTTCTTTCTAGTGTTTCCTTAACTACAATGCCTTCAATCCCTAGAACTGTAAAGACTTTCAAAATATAAATTCATTTGCCCAAAATTAACCAAACTGACAGAGACATAATGTGAAGGTATTGAAAACTAAAAAAAAAATTGAAAATCTAAAGACAACATAGCCAGTTGTTTTAATGCAAAATATGTCAACCTTAGATTCTGAAACCAGTATCTAAAATTACTTTAAATTACAGTAGAATCCTAATTATTCAGAAGCATCTCAGTTACTGGCCAATTCAAAACCAAAAATGTCTGTGCCTAAGTACTCAAGAAATTTTAGAATAGCTTCATTCAGGTTTTTTTTTTTTTTTGAGACGGAGTCTTGCTCTGTTGCCCAGGCTGGAGTGCAGTGGGGTGATCTCCGCTCACTGCAAGCTCTGCTGCTCCCGGGTTCACACCATTCTCCTGCCTCAGCCTCCCGACTAGCTGGGACTACAGGCACCCACCACCACGCCCAGCTAATTTTTTTGTATTTTTAGTAGAGACGGGGTTTCACCATGTTAGCCAGGATGGTCTCGATCTCCTGACCTTGTGATCCTCCTGCCTCGGCCTCCCAAAGTGCTGGGATTACAGGCGTGAGCCACCGCGCCTGGCCAGGATTTTTAAAAAATATAAAATGCCCCCAATGGTGTCATGTAGCCCTTGAAAGAATGAATAATAATGAAGTATTTCTGTTGATTCTGAGGGCTCTTAACCAATTATCCAGTTCTTCCAACCACACAGTCATGTTTCTGCCACAAAAGACCCTAGGGCCATCAATCACTTCACTTGGGAAGAAATTTTAAAAGCTGCTAAGATTTTAGCTGAAGTTAAAAGATTCCCTATTATTTAATTGCCTAATTGGTATATCCACATTCATTCCTTCATATATTACATTTGCAAAGAAAATTTCAACTCTAATGAAACAACAGTCCAACTCGTTTTTCGCATACACACATAAGAATTCTTTTCCTTGATATAATATTATTACATAAACTATGCCTCTCATATTTATTTTGTTTTTAGAAAGCAGCACTGTATAAGATACGAATTTGGCACCTAAATCAGAACTCTGATTACTATAATTGTAATGTCAAAAGCCCCTGCTGGATGCTGCTGTCCTCATTTCCTTGTTTCTAGTATTTATTTCTATAGCACATATGCATCCATAGTTCATTATAACAGAAAACATAATGTGTGTTCAGAATCCATACAACTTGAATCTGTAGCATATTTTCTTCTTAAATCCATTTACACAGGTAAACTATCCTATAAGGTATAGGGAAAAAAGAAGAAGAACCGAATTGTACATCAGGAATCTGGTCATCCAACTTCTTTGGCCTACAAATTCCTCACCAGAGAAAGAAAAGGATAGAACAGATGTTCTCTAATGTGTAAAACTCTGGTGGCTCACTCCCGTAGTCCCAGCACTTTAGGAGGCCGAGGTGGGTGGATCACGAGGTCAGGAGATTGAAACCATCCTGGCCAACATGGTGAAACCCGTCTCTACTAAAAATAAAAAAAAATTAGCTGGGTGTGGTGGCGCGTGCCTGTAATTCCAGCTACTCGGGAGGCTGAGGCAGGAGAATCGCTTGAACCTGGGAGGTGGAGATTGCAGTTAGCCGAGTTCGTGCCACTGCACTCCAGCCTGGCGACAGAGCGAGACTCCGTCTCAACAAAAAAAAACTCTGGTTTTAAGAGTGGTCATTAACACGTGTGGAAAAAATTCCAAACTTGAGCAAAGCAAATGCATAACATTTCCAGTCACAGTCATTTAGCACAGTGAATACTAAAGTACTTGATAATTTGACAAAACTTAATTTCACTTGTGCAGGAGTTGATCAATCTGGACTAAAGGAACTGCTTGACACAGAGGAGCTTAAAAAAGAATACTGAACTGACTGCTATTTTTAACTTACTTTCAGTTATGCTCACATTTCATAATCAAAACATTAGATAGTATATTAAAACAGTATCTTTAGAGCCTGAAAGTTTAATCACTATCAAAAGCAGTTCAAGGATTCTTAACATGGAGCACATGGAGACCTAGGGAATCCACAAATAAACTTGGCAAGAATCTGAATCCCCAGAAGTCATACGTTAAAAAAAATAGCTTTTTTTCCTAGGAAGAGGTCAGAAAATTCTTAAGTGAGACAACTGAAAGAACTAAAGAACCACTGTTCCTAGTCAAATTTTTTACAAGTTTTTTCTTAAATTCCAAAGGTGATTTTAATTACAACTTATAACAAATCTGTCTTCATCATAATGAGTTTGTATTTATTTATTTATTTATTTATTTATTTAAGAGACAGGGTCTTGCCTCTATTACCCAGGCTGGGGTGCAGTGGTGCCACTAATAGCTCACTGCAGCCCCGGCCTCCTGGATTCAAGGGATCTTCCTGCCTCAGTCTTCTGTTAGGATTACTGCATGAACCACCATACCTGGCTAAGTTTCCCTGCCCCCACCTGGAGGTACATATATTTCTGAAACATCATGGTAACTTTTCCATGCCTTTTTTTAATTGGAAGAAAACATTATCAGACAAGTATTTTCAGAGCTTAAAACAACAGATAGGACAGGCGCGGTGACTCACACCTGTAGTTCCAGCACTTTGGGAGGCCGAGGTGGGCAGATCACCAAAGGTCAGGAGTTCGAGACCAGCCTGACCAACATGGTGAAACCCTGCCTCTACTAAAAATACAAAAATCAGCTGGGCGTGGTGGCATACACCTGTAATCCCAGCTACTAGGGAGGCTGAGGCAGGAGAATTGCTTGAACCCAGGGGGCAGAGGTTGCAGTTAGCCGAGATCACGCCATTGCACTCCAGCCTGGGCAACAAAAGCAAAACTTCATCTCAAAATAAGAAAAAAAAAATGTTCAAGGCAGAGAGTAAAGCTACTCCAGTGGCTGAGGCAGGAGAACTGCTTGAACCTGGGAGGCAGAGGTTGTAGTAAGCCGAGATTGTGCCATTGCACTCCAGGCTGGGCAACAAAGCAAGACTCCCGTCTCAAATAAATAAAAGGTGAGTTTTCTAAATCACTTTTCTTACAAAAAAAAATACCTTATGCACTAGAATACCTATCAAATGAGTGGCTTTTAAACAGTAACAGGAAAAAATGTGTGTACTTCAAAAAATCCTATTAAAAAAGTAAACTCAAGTCTCAATGTAAAATCAGACTGTATCTGATTTTTAAGAATTTGAGGCTAAATCACACCAAATAGAAGAGTAAATTTTTCCACTGCACTTCAGCCTGGGTGACAGAGACCCTGTTTCAAAAAATTAATTAAATGTATTTTCTTAAGTAAATTTTTAAGCACCATAGACAAGGGACCAGTGGGGAAGGGAGACATAAAGTAAATTCTGCGAAAGACTGGTAAAATTCTAATTCCAGCAGGTTGACTCACTAGGTTTTAATCAAATAAGTCAACCCCTAGGGTAAGTTAACTACTTTTTCCCAAGACTGTATTTTATCATTTTCATTATTATCATTATTACTATTTTGAGACAGGGTTTCACTCTGTCGCCCAGGCTGGAGTGCAGTGGCGCGATCTAGGCTCACTGCAGCCTCAACTTCCTGGGCCAAACCAATCCTCCCACCTGTCTCCTGAGTAGCTGGGACTACAGATGTGTGCCACAACACCTGGCTAATTTTCATTTTATCTTTTTGTAGAGACAAGGTCTCATTATGTTGTACAGCCCAGTCTTGAAACCTTGGGCTCAGGGGATCCTCCCGCCTCAGCCTCCCAAAGTACTGAGATTATAGGCATGAGCCACAGTGCTCAGCCCTCATGATTAATTCTGAAAAGACCATTAAAGGAATGTCAGTCACTGTATCAACGTAACATGTAAAGCTGAAACAGATTTGGTTTTGACCAAGGCCATAACTATAGATCTCACTTATCGGTTCCCGAAAGTGATTCTCCTTTATGACAGGATTATGCAGAACCTCTCATTTGAGGGACATTTTAGGTACCTCCTAACCTTTATGACTTTAAGCTTTAACTGCTCACTTTTTTTTTTTTGGTGGAGATGGAGATCTCACTATGTTCCTCAGGCTGGTCTCAACTCCTGGCTTCAAGCAATCCTTGGGCCTCAGTCTCCCAAAGAGCTGTTATTACAGGTGTGAACCACCATGCCCAGCTTCAGTCACTTTTATTGGCTAAAAGAGCTTTGGTCCAGAAGATAAGGCAGAAAAACGAAACTAAAGATTCTAGCTTAAAACAGAACTACTAAGACTCAATATCACTCACACTTGTGCAAAATGCCATACATACAAAACTTCGTTACAGCATTTTTTATATAGCACAATTTAGGAAACATTCTGAAAGTTATGAATAAGCAATTAGTTACAATAAAGTCTAGGCCAGGCACGGTGGTTCATGCCTGTTAACCCTAGCACTTTGGGAGGCCGAGGTGGAAGAATCACTTGAGCCTAGGAGCTCGAGAACAGCCTAGGCAACATGGCAAGACCCCATCTCTACTGAAAAAGTATTAAATTTCCAATATTTGAAAAAATAAAATAAAGTCTAACCATAAGGTTCCATTAAACAGCCCTTTGAGAAAAAAAAAAGAGCCAAAGCAGAACACTATGATGCATGTCTGTAATCCCAGATACTGGAGGCTGAAGGTAGAGATCACCTGATATTAGGAATTCGAGGCTGTATGTATATAGTGTACTATGATCACGCCTGTGAAAAGCCACTGCACTCCAGCCTGGGCAACAAAGCAGCAGTCTGTCTCTTAAAAAAAAAAAAAAGTCAACTTGAAGATACATAGGTGGTTAGAGGGGAAGAGAAGGGAATCAAGGTATTTGCATGAGAAGGAGAAGACGCCTAACTTATAGCAGAAAGTTGCTCTGGTCTTCTTGTAAGGATACACAATAAAAATAGTGGTTGAAGTCGGGTGCAGTGGCTCACACCTGTAATCCTAGCACTTTGGGAGGCTGAGGCAGGTGGATCACTTGAGAAGAGGAGTTTGAGACCAGCATGGCCAACATGGTGAAACCCCATCTCTACTAAAAATTAGCCAGGTGTGGTGGCACATGCCTGCAGTCTCAGCTACTTAAGAGACTGAGGCAGGAGAATCACTTGAACCTGGGAGGTGGAGTTTGCAGTGAGCCAAAATTGCACCACTGCACTCCAGCCTGGGCAACAGGGGGAGACTCCGTCTCAACAAACAAACAAACAAACAAAAACAGTGGTTTTCTAAGCAGGGGAACTGGAATGCTGAAGGACAGATGAGGGATTCTCTACGTATCCTTCAGAGCCTTTCAAATGTGCTCTATGTGTGCATTTCCTAGTTAATAAAAAAAGATACATAAGCAGAGTAGGCACACAAAAAAGAAATAATGTAAAAGATTGATGTCCTTTTTAAGTGAGCTTATGGGTGGAAAACGAGACTAGCTTTAACTTTTAGCTCAGACATTGGTTCAGACAGAATATACCAAGGAGTAACAATGTCAAATTATTGCTCATTGAGATTAAGGCTCATCTATTCAGTTAGTCTATTAATATTTCAGTATCTACTATGTGCCAAGGATTGGTCTAGGCACGAATGAGCAATGCCCGGGATATCCAAGAGTCCCTAACTTCATGAAGGTTTAATGGGGAATAGAGAGAAATAAACAGTAAATAACATAACTTCGAACAGTAATAAGCACTTATACAGAAGAAAGGGAGATAGGAGGATAAAATTGTGGGGGAGGAAAAAGGGAAACTGGTTTATACGGGACAGGTTAGGTAGAGGGTATGACATATGAGCTAAGAACGGAACAACTGGACAAAGCAAGCAATGCAACAAACTGGAGGAAAGTCCTGTGACTGGAATAAGCTCAACCACTTATTGTTCAGGGTACAGCAAAGCAACAGTGTGGCTACAGTGGAGTGACCCAGAGAGAGAAGTGCAGATGCGCTCAGAAGTAGGCATCCCAAATGAATGCAGGGCCTTATAGCTAAGGGGTGGGGGGGAAGGCAAGATTCTAATGTAAGTGTGATGGAGAACCTCTACAGTTTTTAGCAGGGGAGTAACATGGTCTATATTTTAAGAAGATAACACTAGCTGCTGCTCCAAAGTAGGCTAATACAGGAGGCCAGGCAGTAAATGATGGAAGTGAACAGAGGTTTGAAAGACAGGGGGGAAAGTGTCTGATTTAGTACATATATTGAAAGCAGAACCTACAGAATTTGCTACTGGATTAGATACAGGAATCTAAATGAGATAGCAACTGGGTGAATAGTAGTCCAGAAAATCATCTTGTATTTGTAGTTAGTCATTTTACAGTAACAAGAGACAGGGGAATGTTACACTAATCAAGATCCAAATTCTGCCTCTTACCAGCTTTACCTTAGGAAAGTCATTTAAGTCAGTTTCTAGACTGCAAAATATATTGTCTAGTTCACAAAAATGTCTGTAAGAATCAAATGGTTAAGAAATCTACAAATGTAAATAGTGATCATTATAAGTTAGAAAGCATCATATTAACAGTCATGCAAATCAAGCCACCTTATTTTAACATTTTCATTAGATGAGAATGCTAACACTGATGTTATATCAACACTAAATTTCATCCTTTGAAAGTCAAAGGTCAGGCGGGGCACAGTGGCTCACGCCTGTGATCCCAGCACTGTGGGAGGCTGAAATGGGTGGATTGTGTGAGGTCAAGAGTTTGAGACCAGCCTGGGCAACATGGCGAAACCCCGTCCCTACAAAAATTAGCTGGGTGTGGTGGCATGCACCTTGCAGTCCCAGCTATTGAAGAGGCTTAAGTGGGAGGATCATCTAAGACCAGGAGATCAAGGCTGTGGTAAGCCATGATCCTGCCACTGCACTGCAGCCTGGGAGCGGAGTGAGACGAGTCTCAAGAAAAGAAAACAGAAAGAAAAGAAGAAAGTCAAAGATCACCCAGAAATAAAACAAATTAACAGTCCAATCAACAAAGTCATGTCCCTATTGCCTCAGGACAATACCGTTACCCCCATCCACCACACAGAAGTTTGTATAGTGATTGACAGAAAAGAGGCAACTTTTAAAAATAAATTCTGATTTTTTTTAAAGCATTGTCACTGATTATGGAACAACCTACATAACACAAGCATGGACACTTTTAAAAATCTAGTCTTTTAGTCTTCTGTTTAAGGATTAGAGAAAACCATCCTTTTAAGCTATAAATGACACTAAACTAGTAAGATAAAACCCAAATCAAGGTGTCATTCATTAGATAGATGTTGTCAACAAGATACCGTAAAATTAAGATTATATATCACAGTATGAGTTACTGTCTTAGTTTCAACAGCAAAATGTAAATGCCCAGTGTAAATTACTGTGTGCCAAATGGATTGAATCATGAGGACTTCAACTTATTGCCTTAAACCATTTCTGTAAATTTATAAACAAGGTTCCACAGAATTTATTTTTTCATCCAAGGCTTTCATATTACTGGGCATATCTTCATAATCAAAAATAGAAAAATGCGTGTTAAATGTTTAGTTCACTATGTATTTCAGAGAATTATCATGAATGTCAACTTGCATTATGTACTTAGTCAATAACCTAAGTAACAACGAAAACAAGGATATTTGATGTATGGCTCTATCACTCCCTATTCATTTTTCAACTGGGGCCTCAATAAACATGACCTTTGGGGACCATGTGACTGCATTATAACTAAAACCACGTTGTACGGACCTGCCAATACATATGACAATTAAAACTCCTTGGACAGAATCCTAGATAAATCCACACACAACAAATTTCGGACTATGAAGATTCACATTATTAGACTCCAGTGCTCCCTGACAATCTGTTCTACTTCTCTCATTTCTAAGAATTTCTACCATACAAAAACGTCTTATTTCTCTACATCAGCACCCTTAGGTCAGTGACATCTCCCTCATCTCAGATATATTTAAATGCAATTGGATGAAGCAGTATACAGTACATCATCCTCGAAGCCTAACAGGTCTTCCACTTAGTATGCATCTCCCCACAGATTTCACAAGAATGAGCAAGATTAACATACACGTTCACCAGGTTATATCAAGCAAAATGATGCTGCAATTGAGTCACTTTAACTGGCGCATTTAGTCACATAAATGTGCAACTAATTTCCTTCATAAAAACCGACACAAAAATTTAAGGTTTAGTTGTTGTGATGACAAGGAATATCTCACGTCTGAAGACTTGTCGATATTTCCTTAAGACTTTACAAAATCAAAGAATCGAAAATGTCATGGTTCCATACATACTTGTCAAAACACAGTATTCATAAACAGCCAATTAATAATTAAAACGCACAAAATTGAGGGGCAAAAGATTTCACGAGATCCCCCACAGAGGCCAAGGTAGGAAGATCTCTGAAGCCAGGAGTTTTGGAAGCCGCCTGGGCACTATAGCGAGGCCTCATATCTACGAAAAAGAGAGGAGAGGAGAGAAGAGGAGAGAGAAAGAGAATCCCCCATAACTGCGGCCCTCCCCCAGCCTTGTGTTAAAACTATTTCCTCGGAACAGCTCTGAAAGAGTTTGCCAACCAGAGTAAAATCACTTCGCAGAGATAAACGAGCGGAAACGTATTCAGAAGAGAGAGATCGCGGAAGCAAGGGCAGCGGGGCGCGGGGCCCCCACGTCCCGGGACCCAGGCAGCCGCGGCAACCAGGGGCGAGCATGTGCTGACCGCGGCAGGACGCGCGGGCCTCCCAGAGCCACTTCCCGGGGCGCAGGGCCCCGCCCGGCCTGACCCTCCCGGTTCATTCATTCTGCACCCGCGGTTGCCGCACCTCCGCGGCCCCGTCGGGGCGGAGAAGAGGGGCTTGGCTGCCGAGGGACCTTGTCGGGCCACAATCCCCACCAGGCGCCCGAGCCCCGCCGCGATTCCCGCGCGCCCGCGGCCTCCGGCGGGGGGGTGGTCTCAGAAGCTATGGAGGCCCGCGCCCAAGCCCAGAGACCCCCAGCCTTGCCGCCCCACCCTCCGCCGGGGCGTGGGACAGCACTCCCTGGCCCGCCGGGCAGCCGCCTGGAAGCCCCGGGTCCCCGCTGTCCGGCTGCCCCGCCGCGGCCGGAAGTCTCCCCGGCGCCCCCTCCTCAGCACCCGACTTCCCTCGCCGCCGCGGCCAACCCCTCTCCGCGCCGCCTCGGGCCTCCCAGAGCGGGCCGCGGGCCGAAGGAGGCGAGAGGCCGCGCTGCCTGCCCAGCTGAGCCGACGAGAGCAGAGCGAAGAGCTGGAGGCCGGCCTGGGCGGTTACCTTGATGATCCTGCGGGGCAGCCCGGCCATCTTGTCAGAACCCGAGTTCGGCCTCTGGTCTCGTCTCCGGCTCCTCTCGCCTCACGCACGAGTGGAAGTCCCGGGCTCCACTTCCGGGGGACGTTGCCGCGCCCGTCGCCGCAGCCGCCGCCGAGGCCCCTCGGGAAATGTAGTCCCTGCTCGGGCGCGGGCTCGGGCACGGGCGGGCTTCCCTCCGACCTGGCCCCCTCCCCCGTGCGCCCCGCCCCAACCGCTGCCGGGGATGGCGGAAGTGACGCTCTGTTGCGGGGCAGGGACTTGGGACAGGCCGCGAGGGGAGGCGCGGGGCTCTGGCGCTCGTGGCCGAGCCTGCCCGCGACGGTGGTACGGCACGACCCGCGCGCGACTGCGCGCGCGTCTCTCTTAACCGTGGCCACGCCCGCGCCGGTGGACGACGTAACAGAGGCCTGGCCTACGACGTATCCCATTCATTCATTCACGCGTTCGTTCTTTCAGCTCACGCGTTCGTTCTTTCAGCTCAGCCTGCATTGCGCGCGTTCCCTGCTGGCTCTGCAGTGAACGACTGAGGTGGGGCTCATCGTCTTGCTCCTTCCTCAAAGGGAGGGCAAGACCGAAACTCGGTGGCAAAGCTCTGACTGGGGGTCTCTCCAGTTACTCACACGCTGTTGGGGGAGTTTTGATGTTTAAATTGTATAAATCGGACCTCTGACACGCCCCTAGGCCCAGGGTAGGCTGAAGGAAAAGGGTTTGGAGCGAGTTGGAGGCGGGAAGAATGGTTCTGAACGCCTAGACCTAAAGGTTGAGACTCAGAATTGTTAACAGGACGAATGACCAAGGAGAGGTTTAAAGAACCCAGAGTAATCCGTAAAGCAGAGATTACCTATAGAGTGCGAGGTCCTATGAGAGAATTAGAGTGGGGGTGCCCGAAAATTGAATTGTTGGGGAAGCGTTTTATCCTGATGACGGATGGTTTGCTGTGTGATGGACTGTTTGCAAGCACTTTACTTCATCTTCACAGCAATCGTGAGGAGGTGTTGTTTCCATTTTACAAATGAGGCTTAGATAGTTAACCTTTTCCAAGGAGCTGTTTTGTCCCCAGGCAGATCCGCCAAGACCTGGCCCTTAACTACTTAACCACAGTGTTTCCTAGCACACTAACAGACAGTAGATGGTGAATAAATGAAGACAAGACTGACCGTGCCTTCCAGGAACTTAGATTCCAATGGAGAAGAGAGACCAGTAAACAATTAGTTACAATCCAATGTGTTAAGGGCTGTCTGTAATACAGGTTCCTCCAAGGTGCTATTTTAGCAGAGAGGCATTAACTGCTTGAGAACTCAGGGAAGCCTTCTTAAATAAGTGAAGTCCTCAATGATGAGTAAGAACCTACCTGACCTTGTAGGGAAGAGTATGCCAAGCATAGGAAATGGCCTGTGAAATGGCATTGAGCTATGAGAGAGAAAAAATAGTGCACTAAAGAAACTGGAACTCTGAATACAAGAAACCTACTAAGAACAATAAGAAATATTTTGTGCTGGCACGATGCTAAATGGTTAATAAATTTAATACATCATTCAATTATGAAACAGATGAAGTAGTCTCTATTATTAACAGAACGTTTTAGATGAGAAGCCAAGGTTCAGAGGTAATAATGAGAATTTCAAATAACCAGAAGTCTGCAATAGGTGGTTCTGTGACTAGAAGAATCTGCAAAAGTAAATGAAACTGGACAAAGATACTTTTCAGAATATTTTATAGAGGACCCAGGATAATTCATGCTGGTAGGCAGAAAGGCAGAGTGCTATTGTGTTGGGAGTGTGTAGGTCTGCAGTCTGGGCAGGGCTTGGCAGGAAGGCACACTCTGCTTGTGCTGCATCAGCCTGTGCAACCAGAAGATTGGCTTCCATGATGGTTCACAAGGCGGGCAAGTTGGTGCTGGCTGTTAGTTTCACTCCAAGTGGGCCTCTCCCTGGGGCATCTTGGGCTTCCCCATTGCATGGTGGCTGGGCTCCAAGAGTAAGTGTTCTAGCAAGCTGAAATGGACACTAAATCGCCTTTTTTGACCCAGCCGTGGAAATCACATGGCCTCGTGGAAGTCAAATGGCATCACAATAACCATAATCCATCAGTCAATCAGCCACAAAACTCACCCTGTCTCAAGGGGCAGGGAACATGGACACCACCTCTTGAAAGGGGAGCTGCAAGACTCTAGGAACTAGCAGCATATATGTGATGGAAAGTATGGTTGTGGCCAATTTTGGGAAAGAAACTGCCACATGTACAATATTTGTCAGAGTATGCTTACCAGCCACCCGCCTTGGAATCATCTAGGGCACTGTTTTTTGTTTTGTTTTGTTTTGTTTTAAAAAAAGCATTCCTGCAGCTGGAGCCCTTCCCCCAGGGATTCTAATTCTCTAGGTCAGTGCTGAGACCTGGGAATCTGCATTTAAACATCAGGGGTAATTTTGATGGATACTAACACTTGAAGACAAAAAATTCTGAACAAACGAGAACAAAAAAAACAATAAGCAAAACAAAAAGAGGTGCCAGGTGCTTTTTTTTTTTATGTTTTTGAGACAGAGTCTCTCACTGTCACCCAAGCTGGAGTGCAGTGACATGATCTCGGCTCACTGCAACCTCTCCCTCTGAGATTCAAGCAGTTCTTCTGCCTCAGCCTCCAGAGTAGCTGAGATTACAGGCGTGTGCCACTGCCCCCTGCTAATTTTTGTATTTTTAGTAGAGATGGAGTTTCACCATGTTGGCTAAGCTGGTCTTCAATTCCTGGCCTCAAGTGATCCTCCTGCCTCGGCCTTCCAAAATTCTGGGATTACAGGTGTGAGTCACTCCACCTGGCCTCCTTTTGTCTATCTTCTATTAGAACAGACAATAAGTATCATTTAGGTTAAGAGTGAGAGCTCTGGAGCCCCCAGTCGGGGTTTGAAAACACACTTTGCTTAATTTCTCTGTCCTTTGTTTTCTTCACCTATTAAATATACTTACCTTCATGTGGTTGTTGGGAAGTTTAAATGATGTAATTTGTATAAGGTACTTAGAACAGTACACAGCACTTAGCAATCACTTATTTTTTGTAATTTGATAGAACCATGTGTAGTTTTCTTTAGGAAACCAGATTTTTAAAACTTGATAGTATAACCTTGTTTGGTAGAGATTGCTTTGATGGCATAAAATTCTCTGAGAGTATTAACACTTTAACATATACATTTTTCCTGTCTCTCCAAATTGTTTTTTCTGTTTTCTTCCCCTCTTGAGGACAGCTCGCACTAAACTCATCTGGAAACGAAAATCTGAACTTCCGATTCATATAAATCCTGTGGAACAGGATATACTCTAGAAGAACAGGTTGTCACAGGGCTGAGATACGGTTCTCAAATTAGAGGGCTAGTTAAGAATCCTATTTACTCTAATACAGAGATAGACAACAAAACAGTGGTTACCTGGAGCAGGTTGTGGGGTGGAGTGATGGAGAATCAGAGATGTAGATCAGAGGGTACAAAGTAGCAGATATTTAGGACAAGTCTAGAGAGTTAATGTACATGAGAACAAGCCTAGAGAGCTAATGTATATGAGAGCTATAGGTAATAAGTTTACGCTATGTATGAGATTCATGCTAAATAAGTAGATTTTAGCTACTGTTGTCACAAAAACATAGGTAACTATGTGAGACGATGGATATGTTAATTTGCTTCACAATAGTAACCTATTTACTATTGATACGACATATTCCATAACATCATGTTGTATACCTTCAATATAAACAATAAAATAATTTTATTTGGCCACGCACAGTAGCTCACCCCTATAACTCCAGCACTTTGGGAGGCTGAGGCAGGTGGATCACTCAAGGTCAGGAGTTGGAGACCAGCCTGACCAACACGGTGAAACCCTGTCTCTACTAAAAATACAAAATTAGCTGGGTGTGGTGGTGCATGCATGTAATCTCAGCTACTTGGGAGACTGAGACAGGAGAATCGCTTAAACCTGGGAGGCAGAGTTTGCAGTTAGCCGAGATGGCACCATTGCACTCCAGCCTGGACAACAAGAGCTAAACTAGGCCTCAAAAAATAAATAAAATAAAATAAAATGTTTTGAGGCAAGGTCTCACTTGTTGCCCAGTCTGGAGTGCAGTGGTGCAAACATGGCTTACTGCAGCCTCAGCCTCAACCTCCTGGGCTCAAGTGGGCCTCAGCCTCCTGAGAAGCTGGGACTACAGATGCACACCACCATGCCCGGCTAATTTTTAAATTTTTTAGAAACAGGGTTTCACCATGTTGCCTAGGATGGTCTCGAACTCCTGGGCTTAAGCGACCCCTCCCACCTCAGCCTCCTGAAGTGCTGGATTACAAGCATGAGCCACCATTCCTGGCCAAAACTTATTTTTAAAAATCCTACTTACTATACCCATAAAATATGGATAAAATAGGATATCTAAAAAACTGACTGATCATGTACCTCATAAATATATATACCTACTATGTACCCACAAAACATTTTTTTAACAAACTAACTGGATTCCTTCAGAGGTGGGATATTGAGCAGCTAGAGAACAAATGTAAAAGGGAGGCTTTTTACTGTGTACTCTTATACTTTTTGAATTACGAACCACGTGAATGTTTTACCTATTCAAAATGTGAAATATGTATTCAGTTCACAAATTTCAATAGACTGCTCAAGAGGTATTCAAAGCTCTAACAGTGCTGATCAGGAATTATATAATACACTCAAAACTCAGCAAAAAGATGCTGGTCCAGGTCCATGGTACTGAATAAATGATGACAGTGGCCAGATAGCTTCACTAAGCTGAGCAGTGCTAGCCATAACTCTTTTTTTTTTTTTTTTTTAAGAGACAGGGTCTTGCTCTGTTGCCCCAGACTGAAGTGCAGTGGTGCAATCATAATTCAATGTAGTTTCCAACTTCTCCCCACTCAGCCTCCACCATGCCTGGGTAATTTTTAATTTTTTTGTAGAGACTGGGTCTGGCTATGTTGTGCAGGCTGGTCTCAAGCTCGTGGCCTCGAGAAATTCTCCTGCCTCTGCCTCCCAAAATGCTGGACTTACAGGTGTGAGCCACCATGTCTGGCCCAGAACTCTTTTTTCTTTCCTTTTTTCTTTTTTTTTCTTTTTTGAGACAGAGTCTCTCGCTTTGTTGCCCAGGCTGGAGTGCAGTGGTGCGATCACAGCTCACTGCAAGCTCCGCCTCTCGGGTTCAAGCAATTCTCCTGCCTCAGCCTTCTGAGTAGCTGGGACTACAGGCGCTCATCACCACACTCGGCTAATTTTTGTATTTTTTAGTATAGACGGGATTTCACCATGTTGGTCAGGCTGGTCTCGAACTCATGACCTCAGGTGATCCACCCACCTCAGCCTCCCAAAATGCTGAGATTACAGACATGAGCCACCACGCCCAGACCAGAACTCTTAGCTAATTAGTCTTTTTTTGGTTCTTTGTCAGGCCGCACTCTTCTCCTTGTTTTTTTCCAGTCTCTGCTCCTTCTGGGACTCAAAGTGCAAGTGCCTTTGCATTATCTTACAGGGGACAAGCAAATAAGAATGAATGCTATGTTGGAGGCATTAGAGGAGTCCCATTGTATGAGAAACTCTTACTCCCCCAAACAATATTTTACTGCCCCTTGCTGCTTCCTCATTACCCACCCCCAAATATTCCAGGTTTTCTACTTTGGTCTTGTAATGGCAGAGACCTAAGTACTATTTACCCTATAGGCAATAACTTAGGACATATGTGCCTGATCTTCTCAGAGTCAGGGATCTTCTCTGTCTTGGTTACCTCTGTATCCTGGGCCCAAGTGCAGGGACTGCTACATATATGCTCTCAAAAAATACTTGTCAAGGGAATAAATCAGTCGGTGCAGGCTGAATATAAACACCTGTTTGAGAATGGTTGCCATAGATTCATGATCCGTAAGTGAACACTTAGAGAAAGCACAGGATGTTTATGTCAATCTCTAAACCTTTCAACTTGACTTTCTGGAGAGCAACAGAGTTTTTCTACAAACTAATGCTTTGCAGAAAAAGAATAGAGTAGTTCAGTTTGGAAAATGGTATATCAGTCACCTTTAATAGAGGTCCTATTTCAATTCATATACAATTGTCATCAGGCAGAAGTATTTGTTTGCAAGTTCCCTTATTGTTTCTTGCAGCGTAGGGAAACTGTTTCGTGGGTGATCAAGACAGTAGAATCTGTGAGAGGAAGGTTCATGAACACTGACTCAAACAGGCAGTAGGTGGGGTGGGGGTGTGGGAAGAAAAGACTGCTCACTGATTTTAAAAAAGGAAGAAAAATTGCATGGTGGCTTATATTCATGCCTTCATCATAAGACATTGAGCACTTACAAACTCTTAACCAGCACAAGACCAGCCTGTAAGAAGGACCTAAGTGGGATCTTCCAGGGTCATAGGCAGTCCCTAAGGAGTGCTGTCTCACATGGAAGACCCTGGGAAACATGAGACCCAGGAGAATCAGAGTAATACACCTTTGCTTTGTTTAGTGTTTTATGCTTTACAAAGTGTTTGTGAATGTTATCTCACCTAGTGACAGCTTTAAGTACCTTTAAGTGCATGCACCACTAGAGTGATTTTGTAGGATCCATCATTGATTCTGCAATGTTCCTATAAAAGTAAATGGAGCCGGGTGAGGTGGCTCATGGCTGTAATCCCAGCACTTTGGAGGCCGAGGTGGGCGGATCACTTGAGGTCAGGAGTTCGAGACCAGCCTGGTCAACATGGTGAACCCCATGTGTACTAAAAATACAAAAAAAAAAAAAAATTAGCTGGGCATAGTAAGTAGTACGTGCCTGTAATCCCAGCTACTTGGGAGGCTGAGGCAGGAGAATCGCTTGAACCCAGGAGGTGGAGGTTGCAGTGAGCCGAGATTGTGCCATTGCACTCCAGCCTAGGTGACAGAGCAAGACTCTGTCTCAAATAAATAAATAAATAAATAAAAGTGGATGGAGGAGGGTGTTCCACACGTATATTCGTCTCCTTTGTCTGGGCCAGTTCCCAGTGGAAACAGGACTCCAGAGGTTGGTAACTCAAGACATTTGGCCAGAAGCCTGGCTGGAACAGGAACTCTGCAAAGCAGGGCTCACTTCTCCGCCTGTGTGTCACCCTTTCAGGTTCCCAGGAGAACTGTTTGCTTTCCACGTCCCTGGGCTTCAGTCACTTCGTAACTCTGCCAGTGATTGCATACTCAGCCCCTACCCAGCCTAAACTGTTCTCCCACTTCCTCCCACCTGGTGTGCCCCACCCAAGTTTCTTTTTAATTCACTCCCATCACCTTTCTTCCTCCTTCACCATCACCTGTCTGTCTCAAGTCTGATTGATTTCTCCCATGTTTCTCTATTATGTCACTTGCTATCTGCAAAAAAAAAAAAAAAAAAAAAAAAAATTCATCTGCTTCTAGTATGATTAGAAATGTTTTTGAAATTGTTATTTTTCTTCTAAGTGCATTGATTTGGGATCCGATATACCCTGGAACAGATGTTTTCAAACTTTAGACTGCTTGCTCACCTCAGAGACTAGTTGAACATACTAGTGAAGGGGCCCTGCCCAAGGTCTTCTGAGTTCAAGTCATAGTCCCCATGTCTCTGTGGTTTTAACAAGCTCCCTAGGGGCTACTGAAGAGTCTGAAGCTTGAGAGTCAATGTCATATAATGTGATCTTTTCAAGAAAAGCAAAACAGTTGCAACAGGAACCTTGACTTATAATTTACTTACTCCTGCTTTTCTAAACTCTTCTGACCCAATACCTATATCTTTCCTCCTGCCTGTTCAAATTCTTTTGGTCCAAGTGTGAGATATTTCAGATGGTTGAATTTTAAGTTGGCCCCAGGTGTTCAGTATTCCAGATTGTTGGGTTTTGGGTGTTCAGTATTGTTCACCTCTTTCCACTCCTGAATTTTTTTTTTCTTTTGAGACAGAGTCTCGCTCTGTCGCCCAGGCTGGAGTGCATTGGTGCGATCTCAGCTCACTGCACCCTCCACCTCCCCAGTTCAAGCAATTCTCCTGCCTCAGCCTCCCGAGTAGCTGGGACTACAGGTGCGCACCACCACGCCCAGCTAATTTTTGTATTTTCAGTAGAGACGGGGTTTCACCATGTTGGCCAAGATGGTCTTGATCTCCTGACCTCGTGATCTGCCCACCTTGGCCTCCCAAAGTGCTGGGATTACAGGCGTGAGCCACCATACCTGGCTTTCCACTCCTGAAATTATAACCAGTTGAAAAACACAACAGACAGAAATTAAAATATTGCTTTCATTATTAGTAAATCTGATTGGAGAATATAGCTCTAAATCAGCAGTCAGTTGGGCTTACTAATGTTCCCCCACTAGCCCCATAATTGCAATTATAGCTACGTAGTCACTTAGCACAGCTAGACAACTGCAAGCTCCTTAACCCAAGACAGCAAATGGGAATGCATGAGGCCAGAGGCAGGGACAAAAAAAAAAAAAAAATAGGAGAGAGAAAAAATGGGAGGAGGGAAAGATAAAAGGCTGAGCAGACTGAGTTCATTAGTATGAAATTCACCAATCAGAAAACTTATTCCTCTTGTAATCACAAAATCACAAAACCACTTGACTTTTTCTTTTTTTTTTTTTTTTTTTTTTTTTTGGAGAAGGAGTCTCGCTCTGTCTCCCAGGCTGGAGTGCAGTGGCGCAGTCTCAGCTCACTGCAAGCTCCGCCTCCCGGGGTCACGCCATTCTCCTGCCTCAGCCTCCCGAGTAGCTGGGACTGCAGGCGCCCGCCACCACGCCTGGCTAATTTTTTGTATTTTTAGTAGAGATGGGGTTTCACCATGTTAGCCAGCATGGTCTTGACCTCCTAACCTCCTGATCCGCCCGTCTCAGCCTCCCAAAGTGCTGGGATTACAGGCGTGAGCCACTGCGCCCGGCCCCGACTTTTTCTTATGCTTCTGCTTACTTCTTGTTGTTGTTGTTGTTAATAGAGATGCTGTTGTAACATCCCTATTAACAACAACAACAAAAAGTAAGCAGTAGCATAAGAAAGATGTTATGTGTTCAAGACCAGGCTAGACAACATGTTGTTAATAGAGAACATGTTGCCTCACCTGGTCTTGAACTCCTGGCCTTAAGTGATCCTCCCGCCTCTGCCACCCAAAGTGCTGGAATTATAGGCATGAGCCACCACGCCAGGCCCCGACTGCTTACTTTCTATGACAACTCCCTGAAAGCAACCCCAGATCACAACCTGGGCAATCTCTTCATTGTTTTGAACGTCCTATAATGGGTCATACTTGCACTCCCTCTAACACCATAATTTTCACATCTGGTTGCCTTTTCACAAGTGGTTCTCCACCCCATCTGCCTGATGGTTTCTTGCCCTCCTCCATGAATGTTATATGTAAAATGTTTATTTAAAAACAGAATGCTTGTTCCTTGGTACCACAAGGAAAAATTAGCATTCAGACAAAAATTCTCTCAACGAGGCAATTTTACTTTCTGCAGAAAGGGTGCTCCTCGCAGATGGAACAATGGTGACAGCACATCTGAACAAAGGAGGGAAGCAATTTTTATTCCTTATGCAGCTTGTCCTTGCTACTGTGTCCTGTCTCCATTGGCTGGAGCCAGACCTCACAGTCTAAACTGCACCCGATTGGTAACAGCTTAAAAACTTTTAAAAATAGGTAAAAGCAATGGAGAACAGAGGAAAAGAGGAAGTTGCTTACCAAAGGACTTAGAAAAGTAATAATATTCCCAAATAAGGAAGGGGCATAGGCTGCGAGCTGGGACATGCCTGTGAGCACGTCCAGCACAAATATCTTGGTTAAAGTACAAGGACATAGAAAGTACTATGTGCCTGTGAGCATGTCTAACAGCTACATAGGATAGGGCTTAACAGAGAGTTATTTGCACAAAGCAAGGAGGCTTAAAGGAAGTTAGTCTTTAAAAGAAATTATTATTTCTAACACTTATGATTTATTCTTTAACAAGAAGGGAAACTTTGAAGAGGAAACTTTTTACTTTCTACAGTGAAGTTTTCTCCATGTTCTCCAAAACACCTTGTTCATCATGTTCTAACAACAGTCACTTGTAATAATCTGTTTACCTGTCTCCTTCACCACATTGTGCACCCCTTTAAGGCAGGGAACACCATATTCTTCTTTGTTATGTGTTCAGCAGTAACATAATGGCTGCACACATTCTCTCCTTCCTGCCTTCACTCATTCTCTGCCTATGATGTATTATACTAGACCATCTATAGGAACTTTTTTTTTTTTTTTTTTTGAGACAGGGTCTCACTCTGCTGCCCAGGCTGGAGCGCAGTGGTGTCATCATGGTTCACTGCAACCCCGACTTCCTGGGTTCAAACTATCCTCCCATCTGAGCCTCCTGAATAGCTGAAACCATAGGCACATACCACCATGACTGGCTAATTTTTGTATTTTTTTTTTTTTTTTGAGCCACCAGCCACCACACCTGGTTTAGGAACTAAATTTTTTTTAAATTTTTTTTTTAAAGATAGAGATGGGGTCTTGCTTTGTTGCCCAGGCTGGTCTCGAACTCCTAAGCTCAAGCGATCCTCTGGCCTTGGCCTCCCAAAGTGCTGGGTTCACAGGCATAAGCCACCATGCCTGGTCTAGGAAGTAAATTTTTTTTTAATGAACAAGGTAGGAAAGGTAGGATCTCTGATCTTGAATTTGCATTTTTTTTTCTTTTTTTTTTTGAGATGGAGTTTTGCTTTTGTTGCCCAGGCTGGAGTGCGATAGTGCGATCGCGGCTCACTGCAACCTCCGCCTCCCAGGCTCAAGCAATTCTCCTGCCTTAGCCTCCCAAGTAGCTGGGATTATAGGCATGTGCCACCACACCTGGCTAATTTTGTATTTTTAGTAGAGATGGGGTTGCACCATGTTGGTCAGGCTGGTCTGAAACTCCTGACCTCAGGTGATCCACTCACCTCAGCCTCCCAAAGTGCTGGGATTACAGGCATGAGCCACCACACCTGGCTTGAGCTTACATTCTAATAGGGGAAACAGACATTAAAAACTAATACAATTTGATGTGACAAGTTTTTAAACTGAGATATAGAAGATGCAATGAGGAGTATATAGAAGACAGAGAGAAGGCTTCTTCATCCATCCAACATTTATCCCAGGCTCGGTGGCTCACACCTGTAACCCCAGCACTTTGGGAGGCCAAGGCAGGTGGATCACCTAAGTTCAGGAGTTCGAGACCAGCCTGACCAACATAGTGAAACCCCATTTCTACTAAAAATACAAAAATTAGTCAGGCGTGGTGGCAGGCATCTGTAATCCCAGCTACTCAGGAGGCTGAGACAGGAGAATTGCTTGACTCCAGGAGGGGGAGGTTGCAGTAAGCTGAGATCATGCCATTGTACTCTGGCTTAGGTGACAGAGTGAGACTCTGTCTCAAAAAAACAAAACAAAACAAAAACATTTATTTGGTTAGCGCCCACTAAGTGCCAGACACTATATTAGACTCTGCAAGTAAAATTATGAGCAAAATCAGATGAAGAACTACTCTTATGGGGCCAGGCACGGTGGCTCACACCTGTAATCCCAGCACCTTGGGAGGCCGAGACGGGTGAATTACTTTAAGTCAGGAGTTCAAGACCAGTCTGGCCAACAGAGTGAAACCCCATCTCTACTTAAAATACAAAAACGAGCTGGCCACGTCCCTGTAATCCCAGCTACTCAGGAGGCTGAGGCACGAGAATCGCTTGAACCCGGGAGGCAGAGGTTGCAGGAAAAAAAACTACCCTTATGGGCTTACGGGGAATGGAAACATAATGTTAATAGAATTGTCACCGAGTAAGTGCAAAATATTATGTTAGTCAGGGTTCTTGGTTACAGGCATGGAAACTGACTCAGGCTGACTTAAACAGAAAAGGAATTCACTGGGAGGACATGGGGTGGTTCACACGATCACAGGAAAGGCTGCAGACCAGGCTCAAAAAACTTACCGGCATTCCTCCTCCCAAGTTTTCTTTTTTCTTTTTTTCCTTTGTTTGGAGACAGGTTCTTGCTCTGTCACCCAGGCTGGAATGCAGTGGTAAGATCATAGCTCATTGAACCCTCAAGCTCCTGGGCTTAAGCAATCCTGCAACCTCAGCTTCAGCCTCCTGAGTAGCTGGGACTACAGATGCACCACCACAGCCGGCTAATTTTTCTTTTTCTTTTTGTACAGATGGCACCTCGCTATGCTACCCAGGCTAGTATCTAACTCCTGGCCTCAAACAATCCTCTCGCTTGGACCTCCAAAGTGTTGGTATTACAGGCATGAACCACCATCCCAGCCACCTCCCCAGTTTTCCATTGGACTCTTCTCCTCTGCCCTCTTCTAGGTATAACTTTCCTAAATCCAGAATCTTTGGGATTTGTATTTCCATTTCCAACTGGGGTAGGCTGTTAGATATGGGAGTCTGAGGTCTAATTGTGCTTTATGCTGATTTTCAAATATTCCATCACTTTTCAGCCCCCTCATCCCTCCTGCCTTCCTAAATACTTGATGCCACCAATTCCTGAGCCTTGGTGCAACTTGCATGCTTGACTTTGCTCTACCAAGTCAGGTATTCCAGTTTCTGTCGGCTTCCATTTTTGTTCTCATTGTTGTTTGGATGTGATTTTTGAGAGATGAGGGCAAAAACAACTTTGAGTTGATGTATTTTGTTGTCTTTGAGGCACAAGATTATTCACATAATTTTTTTTTTGAGATGGGGGTCTCACTCTGTCACCCAGGCTGGAGTGCAGTGGCACAGTCTCGGCTCACTGCAACCTCTGCCTCCCAGGTTCCCAGTTTGAAACGATTCTCCTGCCTCAGCCTCCTGACTAGCTGGGATTACAGGCACCTGCCACCATGCCAGGCTGATTTTTGTATTTTTTAGTAGAGATGGGGTTTCACCATGTTGGCCAGGCTGGTCTGGAACTCCCAACCTCAAATGATCCACCTCCCTTGGCCTCCCAAAGTGCTGGGATTATAGGCATGAGCCACTGTGCCTGCTCTAATTTTTATATTTTTAGTAGAGATGGGGTTTCACCATGTTGGCCAGGCTGGTCTTGAACTTTTGACCTCAGGTGATCTGCCTGCCTCGGCCTCCCAAAGTGCTGGGATTACAGGTGTGAGCCACCATGCCTGGTCATTTACAGATTTTTAAAAAATTAACATTAAATTGATTGAAGTAACAGTAAAGTGTAGTTTTTCCTCAAGTCTTCAAGTTTGATTTATAGTTCTTATTATTCTTTTTTTTTTTTAATTTAAGTTCTGGTATATATGTGTAGAACGCGCAGGTTTGTTACATAGGAATACATGTGCCGTGGTGGTTTGCAGCACCTATCAACTGGTCATCTGGGTTTTAAACCCCACATGCATTAGGTATTTTTCCTAATGCTCTCCCTCCCCTTGCCCCCCACCCCCGACAGGCCCCGGTGTGTGATGTTCCCCTCTCTGTGTCCATGTGTTCTCAATGTCCAGCTCCCACTTATGAGTGAGAACATGAGGTGTTTGGTTTTCTGTTCCTGTGTTAGTTTGCTGAGAATGATGGCTTCCAGCTTCATCTATGTACCTGCAAAGGACATGAACTCATTCTTTTTGATGACTGCAATAGTTCTTATTATTCTATTTATAGACTAGCAGCTAAAATAATACTTGAGTAAGTTAAATACATTTAAATATTAATTTTTTTTCTTTTTTCTAAGACAGGGTCTCACCATGTTGCCTAGGCTGGTCATGAACTCCTGGGCTCAAGTGATCCTCCTGTGTCAGCCTCCCAATATGCTGGGATTATAGGCATGAGTCACCATGCCTGGCCATTTAAACATTTAAAATTGCACTCATAAATCTAGCGTATATGATTTTCTTTTCCAGCCCTTCAATTTTCTGACTGATAAATATTCTCAAGTACTAAAATAATTCTCATAAATTAAAAAAATCTAAATATGGCAACTCACCTATGAAATACTCTAATAGTGCTTCCAAACCTAATACAATTTTTTACACCCTCCAACATAGACTTATAAGTCTAAATTGGCTACCTAAAGATAAATTTTTAAAATTTATTTAAAATTTAATTTAGTTTTAGATTCAAGGAGTACATGTGTATGCCTGCTACATGACTGTATTTCACACTGGTGGGGATGGATTGGGGTTCTAGTGTATCCCTTATCCAAATAGTGAACATCGTACCTGATAGGTAATTTTTCAACCCTAGTCCCCCTGCAAACTTCCTCCCTTTGGGTGTCTATTATTTCCATCTTTATGTCCATGTATGCCATTGTCAAGCTACCACTTCTAAGTGAGAGCACATGGTATTTGATTTCCTGTTTCTGAATTAGATCACTTAGAATAATAGCCTCCAGCCCTATCCACGTTGCTGCAAAGGACATGATTTCATTCTTTTTTATGGCTGCATAGTGTTCCATGAGATATCTATCTATCTATCTATCTATCTATCTATCTATCTACCTATCTCACATTTTCTTTATGCAGCCAACTGTTGGTGGGCACTTAGGTTGGTTTCATGACTTTGCTATTGTGACTAGTGCTGTGATAAACGTATGAGTGCAATTGTCCTTTTTAATATAATGATTTCTAAGGAAATCATTTTTTTGAAAAATTGGGATCACAAATTACAGAAGACACAAAGGACCTGGGAACATGTTAAAGTTTGCCCCAAGGATGCACTCAGCAAAGTCCAGACTGTGAGAATCTTTTCAGGGCAAACAACCCGGTTTATTTGACAAATAAATGCAAGGAAAAAAAAAAGAGAGAGAGAGAGGAATTGAGGAGGAACGTGTAAATTAAAGAAACTTAAAAGTGATCTCAAACAGTTAAAATGCATGCATCTAATTTGGATTCTGATTCAAACAAGCAAAGCAAATTCAAAATATGACATTTATGAACCATCTGGAAAGCTGTATATTCACTGGATATTCGAGAATGTTAAATAATCCTTGTCAATTTTTAAAAATTGTATAATGACATATGGTTATGTTAGAAGAAAGGAGTTCTTACCTATTAGTGTTTCTTACTAAGATAGTTATAGATGAAATTGCAGGCTACGTGTGATTCGCTTCAAAATAATATAGGAGAAGGTACAATGTGGGAGTACAGATGAAATAAAATTGGCCATGAGTTATCATTGTTGAAGCTGAATGAGAGGTACCTAGTGGTTTATTGTACTATTCTTTCTAATTTTTTATATGTTTGAAATTTTCTGTAATAAGAAGTCTTTAAAAATTAGAATCATAGGTCAGGCACGGTGGCTCATACCTGTACTTTCAGCATTTGAGGAGAATAAGGTGGGAGGATGGCTTGAGCCCAGGAGTTTGAGACAAGCCTGAGCAACATGGTGAGACCCCCCCATCTCTACATTAAAAAAAAAATAGCTGGGCATGGTGGCACACCTGTAGTTCCAGCTACTTGGGAGGCTGAGGTGGGGGGATCACTTGAGTCCAGGATGTCAAGGCTGCAGTGAGCCGTGATAGTACTACTGCCCTCCAGCCTGGGTGACAGAGTGAGACCCCATGTAAGAAAAAAATTAGAATTACAAAGATAAACTAATAGGCCACAAGGTGAATATAATACATTCTAAGGACTTACATATAGAATACATGCACACAAATCACATATATAGTAATATATGATGTGTATATATGTACATACCATATATATGATGTGTACACACATATACACACACAGACAAATATACACACATATATATATCTGTAATGAAATAAACCAGATCCACCTACAGTGCTATTTTCCAGTATACACACACACCATACACACACACACACACACACACACATACACGCATGTCTACATCACAGATTGGCATCTGCAGGGGTAGAGGGCAGTCTTGTGTCTTATGAGACTGGGCCCTTAACCCATGGGAGGTGGGAAGAATGGAGAGGTCAGGGTAATTATTACTCTGGGTTACTCCTTCAAGGTCACCTCAGGCTGGCTATGCCCTTCAGTTGAAGGTTACTTCCCCTCTCAAGGTAGCTGCTGCAGGACTCTCTTTTTCTGGGCTCTGATAACTGCTCCCTCTCTTTGTACCTTCAGGCCTGGAGGGGCATGAAGGAACAGCCAGTTTTACTAAGCCCAAATTCTTCTTCTACTACTACTACTGCTACTACTATTACTACTACTACCTGTGATTCTGTGATTCCCTACATACAACTCACACTTCTGTGAAGATACTTTCTGTAAACAAACCCTCCTGAAACCATCCCGATTTGAGTAAGTCATCTGTTCTCTTCTGGGACCCTAACAGATATACCAACCTTTTTGTTTTTATTTTTGTTTAGACAGAGTCTCCCTCTATTGCCCAGGCTGGAGTGCAGTGGCATGATCTTGGCTCATTGCAACCTCCACTTCCTGGATTCAAGTGATTCTTCTGCTTCAGCCTCCCAAGTAGCTGGGACTACAGGTGTGTGCCACCACACCCAGCTAATTTTTGTATTTTTAGTAGAGATGGGATTTTGCCATGTTGGCCAGGCTGGTCTCGAACTCCTGATCTCAGGTGATCTACCCACCTCAGCCTCCCAAAGTGCTGAAATTACAGGCATGAGCCACTGCGCCTGGCCATTATTGTTCATTTTAGACCAGATTTATTTTTTCATTTTTAGTTACATTTATTAGATTATTCCTGGTAGTCAAAAGGGATGGCTTTTATTTCTTTTCTTAATGCCTAAGAAATAAGTTATCTCCTTGGTATAGATTTTCACAAATAATTATTAGACAAGATTTTGTTAAGCATCTATAAGATATGATTATGGTTAGCATTGATTGAGTGCTTACTACCTGCGAGGTACTTTGCTAAGCTTTTTGCTCACTTTCTGTTATTTATTCCACTCAACAATTCTATAGATTACAGGTGTGAGCCACCGCACCCAGCCAGAAAACATATTATCTTACTTTTACAAAGGATAAACTGAGACTCAAAAATATTAAGTAGTTAAATTACCCCAAATAACATAGTTAAGAAGCAAGGGGAGATTCAAATTTAGGCAGCTAGATTCTCAGACTCCATTTCTTAACCTCTACACTCTACTGCCTACCTAACATTATGCTGGACCTCCAGGAGCTATAAAGAAATAATTAAGATGGTCCTGGCTAGGCACAGTGACTCATGCCTGTAATCCAAGCACTTTGAGAGGCTGAGGTGGGTGGATCACTTGAGGCCAGGAGTTCGAGACCAGCCTGGGCAACATGACGAAACTCAGTCTTTACAAAAAATAACAAAAAATTAGCCGGGGGTAGTGGTTTGTGCCTGTAGTCCCAGTCACTAGGGAGGCTGAGGCGGGAGGATTGCTTAAGCATGGGAAGCAGAGGTTGCAGCGAGCTGAGATCACACCAATGCATTCCAGCCTGGGTGACAGCACAGGACCCTGTCTCGAAAATGAAAATAAATAAATAAATAAATAAATAAATAAATAAATAAATTTCTATTTAAAAAAAGAAATAAGATGGTCCTACACATGGGGAGCCCTTTAAGATGTTAAGGATAGAGAAGATATTAAGTGTAAAACTCATTTTGAATGGTCATAAGAAAACTTTTGAAGGAAAAGCAGTTTATAACTCGTGATCTGTATTGTACTCAGTAGAATAGAGGACCTTATATTTTTATCAGTACTAATCCTTTATAGATATTTTTCTTGAATTATTTCTGATTTGAATTATTTTGATTCTGTCATTTCAGATAGGATTAGTTTCCACTGTTAGTAAAAGACAAAGTATTAGGTTGTTGCACAGCAGCCTAATACTTTGTCTTTTACTAACAGAGCAGCAGTTTGTCTTCACAGATTATATGGCAAATTCAATTCACTTCCTCAGGAAAGCCTCTCCTGTCCTGAGTACACTAGTCAGATGTTCCTGATATGTGCTCCATGACATCCCTTTCCTCTGAGACACTCAACATAATTGTCATAAAATAATTAATCCCATCATTATATATTTAATATCTGTCACGCTCTGACTATATAATCTGTGAAGACTGCTGCTCTGGTGTCTGGCAAAAATTGGTGCAATTACTTTTGCACTAACTTTTGCCATTACTGTAAATGGCAAAAACTGCAATTACTATAACAGCAGATTAAACAAGATAAAAGTCTACTTCTCTCTTTTGTAAAAATCTGTAGTAGGAAGTCTCAGGAACCTTGTCTACAAAGCCATCAAAAATCCAGACTCTTTCCAGCTGACTGCTCCGTCATTCCAAGGTCAAGGCCATCCTGGGATTCTACAATAATGATCATTAAATCCACATGCCAAGAGGAAGGATGAAGTAGGGAGCAAAGAGGGTGCATACTAGTTGGCTTTAAGGAAGTCACATGACCACACCTAGGATTGCAAGGGAAGCTGAAAAATGTAAATTTTTTTTTTTTTTTTTTTGAGACAGGCTCTCGGTCTGTCATCTGGGCTGGAGTGCAGTGGCACAATCTTGGCTCACTGCAACGTCTGCCTCGCAGGTTCAGGTGGTTCTCGTGCCTCAGCCTCCTGAGTAGCTGGGATTACAGGCACATGCCACCGTGCCAGGCTAGTTTTTTGTAAAAAAAAAAAAAAAAAGTGTGAATTTTATAATTGTGAGTAACCATATACCCCTGAATTAGGGGTTCTGTTAATACAGAGAAAGAGGAGAAACCTCTGTTAGAGGATAGCTTGCAGTTTCTGCTATAGATTTCTCAGTTTCTGGTGGGAACATTTATCCCTATGATTTAAGGTATAACATTTATCTTAACAAGGCAAAGCAAACACTTCTTAAAGAGAATACTTAGTGTTTACTAGAAAAACAGGGTCTTGAATTTTGGTTAAGTTTGAAATAATGTGGTCTCCTAGAAAGCTTTATTTGTTAATTTTTTTTTAGGCCAGTCAAGTGAAGCAGCGGGAGTGGAGAAGGAACAAAGAAATCTGTAACTGGTTATGATCAATGAGTTGTAAACACCGCTGCACTTGAACCAGCCAGTTTTTGGCTGTCAGGAATAACATTAAAATAAATCTGCCTTTGCCATCAGCCTCATTGCTTTTGCTAGCACCCTATATTCTAGTCACACAGGCCTCATTTATTTATTTATTTAGAGACAGGGTCTTGCTATGCTTCCCAGGCTGGTCTCGAACTCCTGGCCTCAAGTGATCCTCCTGCCTCACCACGCCCCCAGCCCTACCACCAGTTGCTGGGATTATAGGCTGAGCTACTACACCGTCTCTTTTGTTTCTTAAAAGAATCATACTACTTCCTATTTTAGCGCCTTCACACTGGCTGTTCCCTCCGGCCCTCTTCCTCTACCTAACTTCTACTCTTCCTTCACGTTTCTGCTTAAATTCGCTTCCTCAGGAAAGCCTTTCCTGTCCTGAGCACACTAGTCAGATGTTCCTGGTATGTGCTCCATGACATCCCTTTCCTCTGAGAAACAGTCATACAATAATTAATCCCATCAGTATATATTTAGTATCTGTCACCCTCTCATGATATAATCTGTGAAGACAAACTGCTGCTCTGGTGTCTGGTACATATAATAGGTCCTCAATAAATATTTATTAGATAAGTAAATGAATTAGAATAAATTAAAAATCTAGGAGTTGCAGGAAAGCACCTAATAATGAATTAACTTTAAAATGAAAAATATCATCTTGAGAGGCTGAGGAAGGAGAATCGCTTGAGCCCAGGAGTTTGAGTCCAGGCTGGACAAAACAACAAGATCCCATCTCAGAAAAAAAGATGAAAGCTATATTGTAAGGATTTCTCTCTCTCTCTTTTTTTTTCTCTTTCTTTTTTTGAGACAGGGTCTTGCTATGTCACCCAAGCTGGAGTGCAGTGGCGCAACCATGACTCACTGCAGCTTCAACCTTCTGGGCTCAAGTGATCCTCCCACGTCAGCCTCCTGAGTAGGTGGGACTAGAGGCATATGCCATCACACCTGGCTAATTTTTTTAATTTTTGTAGAAACAGGGGCCTCACTATGTCACCCAGGCTGGTCTCAAACTCCTGGGCTCAAGTAATTCTCCTGCCTTGGCCTCCCAAAGTGCTGGGATTACAGGTGTGAGCCACCATGCCCAGACTTCATTTTTTTTTTTTTGAGACGGAGTCTCACCCTGTTGCCCAGGCTGGAGTGCAATGGCACAATCTCGGCTCACTGCAACCTCCACCTCCCGGCTTCAAATGATTCTCCTGCCTCAGCCTCCCGAGGAGCTGGGATTACAGGCACCGACCACCACGCCCAGCTAATTTTGTATTTTTAGTAGAGACGGGGTTTCACCATGTTGGCCAGTCTGGTCTTGAACTCCTGACCTCATGATCTGCCTGCCTTGGGCTCCCAAAGTGCTGGGATTACAGGCATGAGCCACTGCACCTGGCCCCAGACTTCATTTTTAAAAAGCAAAATTAAAAATTTTTTGTACAGATGGGGTCTCACTATGTGGCCTAGGCTGGTCTTAAACTCCTGGGCTCAATATATCCTCCTGCCTTGGCCTCTGATAGTGCTGGGATTACAGGCATGAGCCACCATACCCAATGTAAAGATCTTTAATAATCAAAATAACCCTTTAAGTCCTGATGATCTCTAGGAGGCTTGTGGTTCTACACTGACAATTTTAGGGTGTTCACAGGAAAAAATATGTGCATACGTGTATATGTATATTTATATATGCATATTAACAGTAATAGGAGAAAACCTAAAAATAATGTGTTTGTGTGAAAGAAAGGGAGATTGAAGGAGAATCGGGCTATCTAGTTCCTATCTCAGCTCCACTTGCCATAGAACTTTAGAATAGTACACATAATGTGCTCAATAAATGCTAGCTATTATCATAATATAGATATAAGAAGAGAGCTGGGTGCTGTGGCTCAAGCCTGTAATCCCAATTACTCAGGAGGATGAGGCAGAAGGATTGCCTGAGGCCAGGAGTTTGAGACCAACCTGGGCACTATAGCAAGACCCTGTCTCAAAGAAAAAAAAGAAAAGAAATGTAAAGTGAAAAGTTATATATCAAAATGTTAGCAGTGATTATCTCTTGGGTTTTGTTTTTAAAATCTGCATTCATTTTTTTAAAATATGTTTTATTTGTTGTTGAGATGGGATCTTGCTGTGTTGCTCAGGCTGGTTTTGAACTCATTGGCTCAGTCAATCCTCCTCACTCAGTCTCTTGAGTAGCCGGGATTACAGGTGCACTCCACAGCACCTAGTCTAATCTATATTTTGTATTTTGAAATAAGCATGGCTCAGCCTAGCACAGTGGTTAAGTTCACGAGCACTGGTAATAGTAGTTCCTGGGTTCAAAGCACAGTAACTTGTGTGACTTTGAACAAGTTGTTCAAACCTCTCTGTGCCTCTGTTACTTCTGTTTGTAAAATGACAGTAACAATAATTGTTTAAGTGTTTAGAAAGTTCATTCCTTTTTTTTTTTTTTTTCTTGAGACAGAGTTTTACTCTGTCGCCCAGGCTGGAGTGCAGTGGTGTGATCTCGGTTCACTGCAACCTCTGCCTCCCAGGTACAAGTGATTCTTCTGCCTCAGCCTACTGAGTAGCTGGAATTACAGGCGTGTGCCACCACGCCCGGCTAATTTTTGTATTTTTAGTAGAGACGGGGTTTCACCATGTTGGTCAGGCTGGTCTGGAACTCCTGACCTTGTGATCCGCCTGCCTTGGCCTCCCAAAGTGTTGAGATTATAGGTGTGAGCCACTGTGCCCAGCCAGAAAGATCATTCCTAATAGTTTGGTCATAAGATTGCTCTGGAGTCTTTGCTCTCTGATTGATACAAAGAATGACTTTTTTTTCTGGGAAGTTACAGAAGAAAAGGCAATCCTCTTTTAAATGGAAGCCATTTGATGCCAATTCCAAAGTTCTAGAATTTTGTCTGTTTGTCATTTTACTAGCATGAATTTAAAGCATTTGTAGCTGAGCACAGTGGCTCATGCCTATAATCCCAGCACTTTGGGAGGGTGAAGTGTGCGGATCACTTGAGGTGGGCGGATCACTTGAGGTCAGGAGATCGAGACCAGTCTGGCCAACATGGTGAAACTCCGTCTCTACTAAAAATACAAAAATTAGCTGCGCATTGTGGTGGGCACCTGTAATCCCAGCTACTCAGGAGGCTGAGGCAGGAGAATCACTCGTACCCAGGAGGTGGAGGTTGCAGTGAGCCGAGATCACATCACTGTACTCCAGCCTGGGTGACAGAGCAAGACTCCGTCTTAAAAAAATAAATAAATAAAATAAAATAAAGCACTTTTATGTAGGCCAATATAAGTTATTTGCTGGTATTTCAAGTTTGTATTTTTGGAAATTATACTTTTTAAGTTGCTAGCACTGACCTCTTAAGTTAGGAACACTTTGTGACATGGCCTCTCTTAACTACTCTTACATCACAGTATTTGTTTTCCTTCTACCTTTCTCACTGCCACTCCTGGGAGGCCCTTGCTAAAGGTTATCCTCCTCCATCTGATTTCTAAGCCTTCGAATTCCCTGGGGCCAGCTTCTAGGCCCTTTATCTTTTTTTTTCTATACCTAGTC
This sequence comes from Homo sapiens, assembly GCF_000001405.40. Lineage (NCBI taxonomy): Eukaryota > Metazoa > Chordata > Mammalia > Primates > Hominidae > Homo > Homo sapiens. Next base: position 93,464,374 of record NC_000012.12, read on the forward strand.
CAACCTCTACTCTCCAAACACACCTCTTCAAGTACCTGCCTTTTGTTTTTTGTTTTTTTGGAGATGGGGCTCTCACTCTGTTACTCAGGCTGGAGTGCAGTGGCATGACCATAGCTCACTGCAGCCTCAACCTCCAGGGCTCAAACGATCCTCCTACCTCAGCCTCCTTAGTAGCTGGGATCACAGGTGTGCATCATCAACCTTACTAATTCTGTTTATTTTTTGTAGAGACAAGGCCTCACTCACTATATTGCCCAGGCTGCTGACTTGTTTTGTATCTCCACTGGAGTGTCTCAGAGCCATCTCAAACTCAACAACTCCCAAACGGAAGTATGCATTTCCACCATCATCAGACTCCCCAAACCTGTTCCTCTTTCAGTCTTCCTTGTCTTATGAAGGGCACCACTGTCAACTAGTCATCAAAGCATCACCTGAAGTATCTTCCTCCCTCTCAATCAATCCATCAGCAAGTTAAGTCATCACTTCCAATTTCAAAATACATCTGGACTCTTCCTGTCTCTCCATCTCCACTGCCACCACCCTCCATCACATGATTTCTTGACTGCAGTACTGCAGTAGCTTCCTTGCTAGACTTGCCTGCGGTCTTGCCACTCTCCAAACCACTCCTCCCAGGGCAGCCAGAGTAACCTTTTAAAAATGGAAATCAAATTATGTCACTTCTTTCATGTAAAAATCTCAAGAGACAGGGCTCACTCTGTCACCCAGGCTGGAGTGCACGGCACGATCATAGCTTACTACCGCCTTGACCTCCTGGGCTCAAGCAATCCTCCCACTTCAGCCTCCCATTCCCAGGGTAACTAGGACTACAGGCACACAGCACCACCTACTCTATTTAATCTCTACATATGTCCTGTGTCCTAACTCCATGTTAACCCCTCCAAGGCTTATGAAGCCCAACATGACCTGGCTCCAAATCTCATCTCCTGCCGCTCTCATCCACACTATCCACCCTACTCCAGTATATGGTAAGCTATTTCCACCACATTAAACCTTTGTGTAAGTTGTTCCCTCACTCAGCCTAAACCTGTCTCTCCCCTCTCTTCCCCCAAAAATGTTGGTTTCTTTTCTGGTCTCAGCTTTGTGAGACCTTCCTTGGTCCCACTAAGTGAGTCTCCCTGTTGGGGACTGGTCCCACTCTGCTCACAGCCATCAAGACTTGACCTCTGGAATTATCTTTGATCCATTCTTCTTACACTTTACGCAGGGAATGTTCAACCAGTCCAGTTGACTGCTCATTCAAATCTGTTTCTCCTCTCTGTCCCTTCCTATTGCACAGTCCAGAAAGACATCATGGGTGGCTTTGGAGGATGGACACGACTGGAAAGGACACAGATGGGCCCTCTGTGGGCTTCTATAAGAGCAAAGATTAGCCTCCTGATATTCCGTGGGAAATGAGGAGACACACTACACAGCCCGTATTTAGTTTTCTTTACTATGTGATGTGTGTTCACTTACTTTCAATACTAGTCACTTCAGGAATATGGTTCTTAACTTGTTGAGGGGTTTATCAATTCCCTGGAATACATAATAAAAGCTATAGATTATTTCTTAGAAAAATATACAAAAGCAAAATTTTGCAAATCATGGGAGAAGGGAATTTCCAGGCGACCGCTTCTGCTTTACCAGCCAATCATCTACTGTCTTGGATACTTGCAGCGTTATCTAGTCTTTTCATTCATTCAGCAAACACTTCCTGGAGACCTATAATGAGACCAAGCACAGTCTGAGATGCTGGGTTTGCATACAGTGAAGAACAAGATAGACATATGTCTCTGTCTTCAAGGAGCTTACATTATCCAGCATAAGAGACATTAAACGAGGTTGGGTGTGGTGGCTCACGCCTGTAATCCAGCCCTTTGAGAGGCCGAGGTGGGCATATCACCTGAGGTAAGGAGTTCGAGATCAGCCGGGCAAACATGGCGAAACCCCATCTCTACTAAAAATACAGAAATTAGCTGGGCGTGGTGGTGGCCACCTGTAATCCCAGCTAATTAGGAAGCTGAGGCAGGAGAATCGCTTGAAGCTGAGAGGCGGAGGTTGCAGTGAGCTGAGATCATGCCACTGCACTCCGGCCTGGGCGATAGAGCAAGACTCCGTCTCAAAAAAAAAAAAAAAAAGAAAGAGACATTCAACGAGCAAACAAATAATCAATATAAAGTCAGGTAATGGTAAATATTCTGAAGGAAAATAAAGCGGGGCATGGAATAAGGGTGGGTGAGGCTATTTTAATGGTGTGGTCCTTTCTAAGATGATATTTGAGAAAGACCTGTAAGGTCATGAGAAGAGGTCAGAGAAGCACATTGCTGGCAATGGGAACAGAGAGTGCAAAGGCCCAGAGGTCTTTCCTTCCTCCTAAGATGGAAAGCGAGGTCCAAGATTCTGCATATTTACTTCCTCCCATAATAGGTAGCCAGCACAGTTCTGAGGGCACAGTGCCAGGTTTTCAGAGTGGAGGTTCTCTTCAGGTTCTGATTTCAAACGTCCAAATCCTAGCCTCCACATTTCAGGGCTTCTCTGGAATGTCTCTTCCCCTGGGAAACTTTAACTCATCTACTAAAGAGCAATCTACGATTTCTCTGAATATTAACATAATTTTTTTAAAAAGTACTTATAGGTTTGCATGGTGGCTCATGCCTGTAATTCCAGCACTTTGGGACGCCGAGGCAGGAGGATTGCTTGAGACAAGCCTGGGCAACATACCGAGACCTCGTCTCTACAAAAATATTAAAAAATTAGCTGGGTGTGGTGGTGTGCGCCTGTAGTACCAGCTACTCAGGAGGCTGAGGTGGGAGGCTCTCTTGGGCCCAGGAGGTAGAGGCTGCAGTGAGCCGTGAGGGAGCCATTGCACTCCAGTCTGGGTGACAGAATGAGACTGCCTCACAAAAAAAAAAAAAAAAAAAAGCTTGTTACTTTCTAAGGGTATGTGTTTGGGGCAGTGATTTTGTTTTTCTGGGCACCTTAGTAACACTGCGGCCACGCTTCCCCAACTAAAGGTAAAAGTCCATAGCAACAATCCTCCCTTTCTCTCTGCACCCGGGCCGCTTTCCCGCGGAGACTACATTTCCCAGAATGCCCCGCGGGCTGGGACGGCGCGCGCAGCGCTGTTTCGTGGGACCAGGATTGAAACAAGATGGCGGGTTCGTGGTGAGAAGCCGTCAAGGTAACCGCTTCCCTCTACTCCTCCTGTCGAGGACTTCCTCGAAACTGGGCAGTCCCACAGTGTTGGTCGGCAGTTGTAGAGGTCTCCCGCCTGTCGTTCCCGGCAGGGCGAGGTTGCCTGCATCCCCAGCCTTTGTCCTTCCTGCAGAAGAGCCGGCATGTGGCTGCGCGTTTCTTATAGCGCCCCCTTTGTTCCCTGGCGGACGCCCGTGGGGAGGTGATGCAGCTTGTGGCTCTAGGGACTCCTTTAGGTCGAAGAGTTCTGGTGCTCTTGGTAGCCTGTTCCTCAAACCTCTGACCCTCAGAGGCTCTGTAGCTTTTGTTTTGGGGTTGAATTCCGGGCTGAGGGACTTGATCTCTGAAATGATCTTCCTGGGGTGAATAATCTGACTCCCAGCAGGGCGTGCTTTTCTCTGGGCTTCGGACAGAGGGGACCTAATTTCCCCCAAGATGTTTTATTCGTGGTCAGAAGTCATGGGTTTACGTCCCACGCATGTATTAAGCAGCGATATACTGAGCAAGTAATCGATTGACCTCTCTGAGCCTTTGTTCTTAATCTGAAATGGAGATGCTGCTTCACACACTTGTGAAAGTCAGAGCACATATTGTATATGAAAGTGGGTTGTAAACTAAAAAGCACACCTATGAGCTCAGGGTTAACGGTGTTAATGTACTGGCAGTGCAAGGTATCAGTGTGAGTGGTTTAGACTAGCAAATAAGAGGGCCTGTGTCCTAATTCTCTTTTATCACTATTGGGGGGAAGGGCACGGATACTCATTGAAGACTATTAAAAACAAGATTTAACAATGGTTATTTGTCATTTATTCACAACAGGCCATGAAGATTGTGGTTTTCCCCATTTTGTCATTGGAGAAACTGAGGATCGTTTAGTTAATGACTTGTTTAAAGTTTCCCAATTTGGCAGTGACTGACTCTAAAGTCCTTGGAAGCAAGACGTTTAAATTTTGTACTTTAGTTTCTTCATGAATCAGAATAAAGATACCTCACATGATTAATACGAGAGCAAAATGAAATGGTGGTGAAAGTACGTTGGAAAGTTAAAGACTTTGTACACATATAAGATGGTGAAATTTTATCTGGGACTTGAGGGCATTTATGAGTTCCTCCAATTGAGTAATAGGCTAAGGATAGGCCTTGTTTGATATTTCTTTATTATTATTATTATTATTAATGGCTCAGGGCAGACAACTATTTCATTTAATCAGAAACAGGATAGTACTGTAAATGATGTAGTATCTTGTGTATGGAACCTTGGAGGGTGTACACAGCCACACTAGCATTAAAAGAATGAATACTCTGTGTACCATTTGTGAGTGACTGTTTCAAGAGTAATTACACATTTACTGAGTATTCATTAAGTGGAAGGAGCTGCACTGGGTCCTGCAGAGAAGTTTGTATCTAAGATAAATAGTAATGGACATAGTTCCAGTGGTTCTGATCTTATATTCTGTCCATGTCGCTCTTCGTCCTGTTGTTCAATCATGTGGAATTGCCAAGTTGTTTAAAAGCATTGCTTCAGTTGACTTCTAGGCAGTGATTCTTACCTTGTTCTTGTGGTGTTTAATATAACTTAAATTTACCATAGGTAGCACTGATTTTTCTTTATCTCTTCAGCAGGAGTAGAAATTGGTATGCTTAGAAGCAGATTCTAAAAGCAGTTTCTCTTCAGAACATCTTTTTTCATACCACTTGATAAGCATCTTGAAACACCATGGCTGTAGCTGCAGTAAAATGGGTGATGTCAAAGAGAACTATCTTGAAACATTTATTTCCAGTCCAAAGTAAGTGAAATTTTTTTTAATGTTTAAAAACTTTTAAACTTTTAAGAATTAAGAAAATTTAAAGCATTTAGTTATTGTATATGCCTGTAATTTGCAGGAGTGTTTGCAGCAATGGAAAGTGGGAGAAAACCTAAATGTCAGTCAGAAGGGGAATGGATAGGTCAGATGTGGTGTCTCATGCCTGTAATCCCAGCACTTTGGGAGGCTGAGGTGGGAGGATTGCTTGAGGCCAGGGGTTTGAGACCAGCCTGGGCAACATAGCAAGACCCCCACCTCTAAAAAAAAATGTGGGTTGGGGAGGGGAATGGATAAATTATGGTACATCTGAACTGTGACTGTCATGTAGCTGTTACTGACATGGAAAGATCTCCAAATAGAAACAAAAAAAGCATGTCAGAACCACATCTATATATATCTATCATATGATCTTATTTGTATGTTTAAAAGATGATCCATCATATGCATGTGTGCATATGCATAAATGCAGAGGTAAAAGGTCTGGACCAAACAGTGGTTATCTGTGTAGCCCACTCTTGGGATTTGGCTGAGGGCAGGAGTAAGGGACTGGTCAAGGGTAACTTTCTCTTGTTCGATTACATGTATTACTTTTTTAGTATTTCTCTCTTTTTTTTTTTTTTAACGGAGTCTGGCTCTGTCGCCCAGGCTGGAGTGCAGTGGCGTGATTACTTTTTTAGTATTTCTTAAAATGTGCGAATAAAGGGTAAATTCACAGTCCCATCTTCCAAAGATAATCATTGTTAATATTTTGGTGGATTGTCATTGTGTTTTTTCTATGTACCTAGCCATTTTTAAAAAAATGAAATGTAATTTCTGCCTTTCTTTTCTAAAGAACTGTATATAGTTAGTATTTTCTCGAAAGCTTGTTAATACATGTTTGACAGTCAAAGCATGGACCCAAATAAGTAAATAGAGTATTAAAGTCTTTTTTCTCAGCCAACTGTGCTTTCTTTTTCCTTTTCCTGTCTGTAAACAGAGTTTATAGCTCTTATAAACAGCTCTTATAGGAAGCTTTCCATTTCTAAAGTAGACATGTATAGAAGGCAACAGTAGGTTTGCCTTTTTATATTAAACTATGTGAGCCAACTTTTTATTTTTATTTTTTATTTTAGATTCGGGCGTACATGTGCAGGTTTGTTACGTGGATGTATTACATATACTGAGGTTTGGGCTTCAACTGAACCCGTCACCCAAATAGTGAACATAGTACCCAATAGGTAGTTTTTCAACTCTTCCCTCCATCCCTCCATTCTGTTTTGAGTCCCCAGTGTTTATTGTTCCCATCTTTGTGTCCATATGTACCCAATGTTTACCTCCTACTTGTAAGTTAGAACATGTAGTATTTGGCTGTTTTTGCATTAATTCACTTAGGATAATGGCCTCCAGCTGCATCTGTGTTGCTGTAAAGGACATGATTTTATTTGTTTTAATGTCTGTGTAATAATCCATGGTATGCATATACACCACATATTCTTCCAGTCCACCATTGATGGGCTTGTTTCCATGTCTTCGCTATTGTGAATAGTGCTCTGATAAACATGCAAGTGCAGCTGACTTTTTAAATACAACTCTGCTTGACCTTGACCTTTGTCTCTTCTTTCTTATTTCCTATTTACCACCATTTGTAATTGAAAGTTTGCTTATTGAATTAGGGAGAAAAGAGCTATTTGAAGAATGGAGTATAAGTAAAGTAATAAATAGGCAATTTGTTATGCTTGAGACGAGGAAAATATTTTACTCAGTAAACACCTTTGTTGAATAGAATGCTCAAAAGTTTGCCAGATCCTACTCTATTTTATTTTATTTTATTTTTTGAGACTGGATCTTGCTCCCAGGCTGGAGTGCAGAGGCATGATCTTGGCACACTGCAACTTCTGCCTCCCAGGTTCAAGTGATTCTCCTGCCTCAGCCTCCCGAGTAGCTGGGATTATAGGCACCTACCACCAGGCCTGGTTAATATTTGTATTTTTAGTAGAGGTAAAGTTTCACCATGTTGGCCAGGCTGGTCTCGAACTCCCAACCTTAAATGATCCTCCTGCCTTGGCCTCCCGAAGTGCTGAGATTACAGGTGTGAGCCATTGCGCCTGGCCTAATTTTTGTATTTTTAGCAGGGGAGGGGTTTCACCATGTTGGCCAAAACTGGTCTCAAACTCCTGACCTCAAGTGATCTGCCCACCTCAGCCTCCGAGAGTGCTGGGATTATAGGCATGAGCCACCGCACCTGGCCACCAAATCCTGCTCTTATAGGAAGCTTTCCATCCCTGCTTCCTTGCTTGCCCCACTCTCCCATTTTTTAGGGCCCTAAACATAGAAACATTTATTACATTATATTCAAAGTAAAATCAACTTAGAATTCAGTAAATAGAACAGGACATTGCTTAAGAGACTTTGGATATAAACCAAAATAAGTCACAACAAAACTGCAATCAGCTTTTGATTATCTAGGAGCATTTTTGTTGTTGAGAATTGGGAGAAAGACCCTTACTCTTACTTCTTAGATTCCTCTTTGCCTTGCAGGAACCCAGCTCCTAGGCTAATGAGAAGTCACATCCAATCAGTTTTTACATAGACTATGTTTTGAAACAATTAGTCCTCACACAGGCCCATCAGAAAACCAGTTAATGTGTCCCTGAATAATTGAAAATTATTTATATATCTTTTTCCCCACTGGATTTCCCACTAAGTTTGTACTGGATCTAATTCATTTTGGTGTCCCTGGGGCCTCTCATTCATGATAGGAGATCTATCAGTGTTTGTTCAAGTAATCTGAATGGTTTAGAGTTAACTCTCAAAATATCTAGTTAACTAAGAATTAGGTTACCCTAGAAAATCATTCCATTATCAGTTATCCTAATACTCAGTGACCTAACTTCTTATATCCGAAAAGTCCCTTATACTGCAAAGTTCCTGTTGCTACTATTATTGAAAGTAAAGGGCTGGGCAGGGTGGCTCACACCTGTAATACCAGCACTTTGGCAGGCTGAAGCAGGCTCTGAAGTTTGAGACCAGGCTGGGCAACATAGGAAACCTCATTTCTACAAAAGTTACAAAAATTAGCTGGGCGAGGTGGTACACGCCTGTGGTCCCAGGAGGGAGCCAGCTTACTCAGGAGGCTGAGGTAGGAAGATTGCTTGAGCCCAGGAGTTCGAGGCTGTGATTGTGCCATTGTACTCCAGCCTGGGAGACAGAGTGAGACCCTGTCTCAAAAATAAAAAATTAAAATTAAAGAAAGTTTCATTACTGTTATTATTGATGTTTAATAAAAAAGGGAAGGACAGTAAGATTGGAGGCAAAGCGAAATCATGATTAAGGAAGAAAGTTCAGTGAGCAAAAATAAAAAGCCTTCCTTATATTCTAGAAGGAATATTTTAAAATTTCCCAAATGGTCAGTCAGCCCGGGAGTGTAGAACACTTCACAGTTTTCAAAGCATGTTAAGCCATTTGATCCTTATAACAGCTTTGATTTTGGTAGCCCATGTAGTATTATCCTCTTTATGAAGGTAAAGAAACTTGAGTTCTGTGGCCCTCATAAGTTCACCCAGGGTCACATATTTGGTAAACAAAAACTGTGACCAAAATCTGGATCTCCCACCTTACTTTGTCCTGTATACTTTCTACTGTACTTCCTTTTCTGTAGCAAGGTAAAATACTGAGCATTTGAAGATGGGACAACTTTTAGCTTTCATAGCTCTTTCAAAATGCAATTAAATATATATATGTAACAAGAATAACTCATAAATTACAGAAATTATTGTTAATTGAAATTCTTTTGGCACATTGAGCTTAATTGCTGTTAACTTTGGCATTGGTCCTAATTATATATTTAGAGCTTCTGCTACTTCTATATCCAGAATTACTTCCATTGGTAAAATATCAGGTAATGAATGTTTCCTTATTTTTTTTTCAAGGTGAAGTCTCACTCTGTTGCCCAGGCTGGAGTGCAGTGGTGCAGTCTTGGCCCACTGCAGCTTCGACCTCCCTGGGCTCAGGTGATCCTGCTATCTCAGTCTCCCAAGTAAGCAAGACTACAGATGTGTACTACCATGTCTGGTTATTTATTTATTTATTTATTTTTGAGATGGAGTTTCACTCTTGTTGCCCAGGCTGGAGTGCAATGGCATGATCTTGGCCCACTGCAACCTCCGCCTCCCAGATTCAAGTGATTTTCCTGCCTCAGCCTCCCAAGTAGCTGGGATTATAGGCATGTACCACCATGCCCGGCTAATTTTGTATTTTTAGTAGAGATGGGGTTCCACCATGTTGATCAGGCTGGTCTCGATCTCCTGACCTCAGGTGATCTACCCACCTCAGCCTCCCAAAGTGCTGGGATTACAGACGTGAGCCACTACGCTTGGCCTATGTTTTGTATTTCTTTGTAGAGATGGAGTTTTGCCATGTTGCCCAGGCTGGTCTTGAACTCCTGGGTTCAAGTGATCCACCTGCCTCAGCCTCCCAAAGTTCTGGTATTACAGGCGTGAGCCACCATGCCCAGTCCTTATGAATTTTTCAAACATCAGTTATGCAGAAACATTTGAGAGGCAGTTCGGCAATCACTTTTTAATGTGTAGGCACTATAGGGGACACAGTAATGAACAAGGTACAGTTCCTGGCCTTAAGGAACTTATTTAGACTTGTAGGTGAAACAGACATCTAGCAACACTAAGAATGCCCAGAATATGAGGCAGAATGTGATAAGTGTGTCATGAGGGCACAAACAAATGTCTGTGTAAACACAGAGTAGAAATTTTACTGAGTTTCTTGTTAACTAAAATACTGTTGTCTTGAGTTTTCTTGTCTGCATATTTCAGAACACTTAATTCTGTCACCCAGTCATGTTTCTTTCAGTGAAAATGTATATCATCTAGTTGGTTTATATTCAGAGATACAAAATTGTTTTTTTTTAATTTATATTTTTTATTATTAATTTTTTTTTAATAGAGATGGGGTCTCACTATATGACCCAACTATGTTGCCCAGGCTGGTCTTGAACTGCTGGATCAAGCGATCCTGCTGCCTTGGCCTCGCAAAGCGCTGAGATTACAGGAGTGAGCCACCACACCCCACCAGTTTTAATTTTTTTAGAAACGATTTTGCTCTGTTGCCCAGGCTAGAATTCAGTGGCACAATCATAGTTCATTGCAGCCTCACCCTCCTAGGTTCAAGTGATCCTTCAGCTTCAGCCACCTGAGTAGCTGGGATTATAGGTGCATGCCACCATGCCCAGTTAATTTTTAAAAATAGTTTTTAAAGATAATATCTCACTGTGTTGCCCAGGCTGGTCTCAAACTCCTGGCCTTGAGCAGTGTTGGCCTCCCAAAGTGTTGAGATTACAGGCGTGAGCTACCATGCCTAGCTTTATAAACTTCTTTTAATATTAACCCAATCCATGCATAATTAGGAAGGTCCCAGTGATGTCAAACAAGAAAATAAAATATGGCCAGGTGCAGTGGCTCACACTGGTAATCCCAGCACTTTGGGAGGCCAAGGCGGGCTGGGCTGATCACCCAAGGTCAGGAGTTCAGGACCAGCCTGGCCAATATAGTGAAACCCTGTCTCTACCAAAAATACAAAAATTAGCCGGACATGGTGGGCGCCTGTAATCTCAGCTACTCGAGGGACTGAGGTAGGAGAATTGCTTGAACATGGGAGGCGGAGGTTGCAATGAGCTGAGATAGACAACTCTTTCTTCTGTGAAGAACCTTGGGGGCAGGGAGAGTAAAAAGGATTTCATGGAAGAAGAGTGTTTGACCTTTTTTTTTTTGAGATGAAGTCTCACTCTCGCCCAGGCTGGAGTGCAATGGCACGATCTTGTCTCACGGCAACTTCTGCCTCCCGGGTTCAAGTGATTCTCCTGTCTTAGCCTCCCGAGTAGCTGGGATTACAGGCATGCACCACCACACCCGGCTAATTTTTTGTATTTTTAATAGAGAGGGGGTTTCACCATGTTGGCCAGGCTGGTCTTGAACTCCTGACCTCAAGTGATCCACCTGCCCTGGCCTCCCAAAGTGCTGGGATTACAGGCATGAGCCACTGCGCCTGGCGAATATTTGACTTTTAAGGATGAGGGGTATTTGAACAAAATGGGGCTGGAATTCCATACTGAGGACATGGTAAAGGCATGGAGATAGGGAAGGCAGGATAGGTTACAGTTCTATATCACAGGAACAAGAGGCTCTGTTGAGACTTTGATTCTTGGCATTGACCAAGGTGCATTCAAAACTTGCTTTTAACTATATTGAGCTACTTTTAAATTTTTTTCTTTATATTAAAAGAATACCCTTTTTTGAACATAGGAGAATCTTTCACAAGCTTTTAAAAAAGCAGTTTATAGCTGAGCACGGTGGCTCACACCTGTAATCCCAGCACTTTGGGAGGCCGAGGCAGGTGGATCACGAGGTCAGGAGATCGAGACCATCCTGGCTAACACGGCGAACCCCGTCTCTACTAAAAATACAAAAAAATTAGCCAGGCGTGGTGGGGGCCTGTAGTCCCAGCTACTTGGGAGGCTGAGGCAGGAGAATGGCGTGAACCTGGGAGGCGGAGCTTGCAGTGAGCAGAGATCGCACCACTGCACTCCAGCCTGGGAGACAGAGCAAGACTCCGTCTCAAAAACAAAACAAAACAACAACAACAAAAAAAGAAAAACAATTTTGGCTCTTGAATTTGCAGGTATTCTAAAAAAGGAAAATATGCTTTAAAATGTAAGCATTTTGATTAAGAAAAGTTAATTTTAAACAAATCATTTCATATTTCATCACTTCACCACCACCACCCCCCCTTTATAAACTATGCACCTTGGAAAACCCAAATACTTTATTTTTATTTATTTTTTTGAGACAGAGTTTCGCTCTTGCACAGGCTGGAGTGCAATAGCATGATCTCAGCTCACTGCAAACTCCGCCTCCTGGGTTCGAGCAATTCTCCTGCCTCAGTCTCCCGAGTAGCTGACCACGCCTGGCTAATTTTGTATTTTTAGTAGAGACAAAGTTTCACCATGTTAGTCAGGCTGGTCTCGAACTCCTTGACCTCAGGTGATCTGCCCACCTTGGCCTCCCAAAGTGTTGGGATTACAGGCGTGAGCCACTGTGCCTGGCCCCAGATACTTCAAGTTCTTTCTTGGAAAGGCTGGAGTACCCAAACACTTTTATTTTTTTTCTTACCTGGAGTCCTTGCGCCTTTTACTCACTCTGCTAGAAACATTGTTTTCATCTCTTATCAATCCTTACTTATTTTCTCATTCTTCAGAGCACCTTGGACATCATCTCCACTGAAAAGGCTTTCTTGAACCTGCACAATTTGTTTGGTAGCCTTTCTGTGTGGCCCATCTTTGCCAATGTTTACCATTCCTAACAGTGCTTATCCTCTATGTTGTAATTGTTTGTCTGTCTCTCTCACAAGCAGACTATACCCTTTTGAGGGTAGGGACTGAGTCTTGTTTGTTGTTGAATCCCTAGCCCCTAGCACAGGCCTGTTTCATACTAAACAGTAATGTTGGTTGAATGAGTAAAACTAGCTTTAAATTTATGGAGAAAATATGCTCAAATTAACCAAATCTGTTTTACTGTTTGGGGTTTTTGCAGATGGAGCTTTATATTGTGTTTGTCATAAATCTACGTATTCTCCTCTACCAGATGACTATAATTGGTATGTATTAAAATTCAATTGAAGAAATAATAGTCTTAGCTATAGCTGAAATGATTTAATTTTATTTCTTGTTTTGATGTCTGATGCTTTCTTTTCTCATTATTCTTTCCTTAATTTTGTTTTTAAAAATTATTTTAATGATTTTATTTACCCAGTATCTGGGCTTATAAACATTTTAAATAAAAATCATTGTCATTGTGTTTCATTGAATATTTAATTTGTTATAAGACAGACATGCTGTTTAGAACTGCTATCTTTTCTTCCTGAAGCATGCTTTAGCTTTTTGGAAAAGTTAATTAGTTTTTATAGGGTTCATATCTATTAGCTTAAGCCATTATTATCTTTTCTTTTGTTTGATATTGAATAATCCTAAATTATACATACTTAATTTAGCCACCATTTATTTGGTACTTATTCAATTTAGTCACTATGATAAGAACTAGGAATAACATATGACATTGTCTTTTTTCTCTGCAGCAGAGTCTGATATGCAGAAACTGCAACCTATTTTCTTAATCTATGTTGTTTTTATTACAAATTATAATAAAAATATTTTTTCTTCTCTCTTGACACTAGTTTTATTTTTATTTTGTTTTCGAGATGGGGTCTTGTTCTCTCGCTCAGGCTGGAGAGCAGTGGTGTGATCTTGGCTCACTGCAACCTGAGATGGGGTCTTGTTCTGTCACCCAGGCTGGAGAGCAGTGGTGTGATCTTGGCTCACTGCAACCTCCACCTCCTGTGTTCAGGAGATTCTCCAGCCTCAGCCTCCTGAGTAGCTGAGACTACAGGCGCATGCCACCATGCCTGGCTAATTTTTGTATTTTTAGTAGAGATGGGGTTTCACCATGTTAGCCAGGCTGGTCTCAAACTCCTGACCTCAGGTAATCTGCCCACCTGGGCCTCCCAAAATGCTGGAATTACAGGCATGAGGCACTGCACCTGACCTTTTATTTTTGTGAGACAGAGACTCACTTTGTCACCCAGGCTGGAATGCAGTGGCACAATCTCAGCTCACTGCAGCCTCAACTTCTGAGGTTCAAGTAATCCTCTTGCCTCAGCCCCCCAAGTAGCTGGGACTATAGGTGTGTGCCACCACACCCAGCTAATTGTGTATTTTTTGTAGAAACGGGGTTTCACCATGTTGCCCAGGCTGGTCTTAAACTCCTGAGCTCAAGCAATCTGCCTCCCTCGGCCTCCCAGCGTACAAGGATTACAGGTGTGAGCCATCATGGTTGGCCTTTTATTTTTGAGACAGGGTCTCGCTTTGTCACCCAGACTGGAGTGCAGTGGCGCTATGTCAGCTCATTGCAGCCTCAACCTCCCAGGTTCAAGCTGTCCTCCTGCCTCAGTCTGCCCAAGTAACTGGAACTACAGGTGTGTGCCACCACACCTGGCTAATTTTTTTTTATTTTTTGTAGAGACAGGATTTTTCCATGTTACCCAGGCTGGTCTCAAACTCCTGAGCTCAAGTGATCCGCCTTGGCCTCCCAAAGTATAAGGATTACAGATGTGAGCTACCACGCCTGGCCTTGATACTAGTTTTAATTGTACATCTAATGAGTACTATAATAGCGATGAAATTGGAATAGGTAACAGTTTTTGAACCTGGAAAGACTGAGTCATATAAGTGTTTTGCATTATATAAAACTATCTTCTCGTGAAGAAATCGTTTGACAGATTAAATGTTCATTGTAGCCATGTTATGGTATTCAATCTTGAAACCACGGTGAAACAATCTAATGCCTATTCTTTGTTAGCTACAAATGTATTTTGTTGTGGTATTTAAGCTGACATATTCTGTGGGATGGTCTTCATTTGTGTCCTGTGTTATGGGTACCAGGTTTGCCAATCCAGTGATGTAGTATCTTCAGCAATTTGTGATTAATTTTAGCTTTTATTTATTTATTTATTTATTTATTTATTTATTTTTTTGAGATGGAGTCTCATTCTTTTGCCCAGGCTGGAGTGCAGTGGCGTGATCTTGACTTCCTTCAGCCTCTGCCTCCTGGGTTCAAGTGATTCTCCTGCCTCAGCCTCCTGAGTAGCTGGGACTACAGGTGTGTGCCACCACACCTGGCTAATATTTGTATTTTTAGTAGAGACGGGGTTTTGCCAGGCTGGTCTTGAACTCCTGACCTCAAGCAATCTGCCCACCTTGGCCTTACAAAGTGCTGGGATTACAGGCATGAGCCACCACGCTGGGCCCAGAATGATTATTAGGCCGGGCACTAATTTTAGCTTTAGGCTGGAGTGCCCACTGCACTCCAGCCTGGGTGACATAGTGAGAGTCCATCTCAAAAAAAAAAAAAAAGGTAATCATTTTGCCTTGAATACAGTATAACTTTATTTCTAAAACATTCTTTTTTTTAGCAACGTAGAGCTTGCTCTGACTTCTGATGGCAGGACAATAGTATGCTACCACCCTTCTGTGGACATTCCATATGAACACACAAAAGTATGTATGAGAAAATTTCTTGCAGTTTTTAATTTGCTGTTAGAAATGTTTGCACTTCTTTATAGTATCCAAAAAGAAGGGAGTCATCTGATTTTCTTTGTTTTAGATTTTCTTTTGGCTTTTTAATTTTACTATTTTGATTTTTCTCTTATTTATTTTTCATCTGCTTTCTTTACAGTCTTTTTTCAGAATACAAAATGAACCATTTAAACACAATTATGGCATCAGTTTTCTGGTCTAAAAAATTTGGTAGATTTCTGGTTAAGGATCAAATACATCTAGTATAAAATTATAAAATGCATTATCCCATGCTACCCCATATTATAATCTAGACAATTATGAGAAAGTTGTATTTTAGAGTGCTGGGATTACAGCTACTTTTTTACTATTGGTTCTGACAGTTTTTTTTTTTTTTTAACATTTGGTGAATTTCTTTATTTTTATGTTTTAATGGGCCAACATAGGTATATATTTTGAATGGCCCAGTTAGATTTTTTTCCCTATTTTTTAAAAAGCCAAGTACTAGATAGAAGAGGATTTTGTATTGTTTTTAATATAATTTATTTTTAGTTTGACCCAAGTCTTTTTATTGTTTTGTATTTGAAATGCTTTTTCCTATTTCTTTAAGCCTCCTTCTACTAGGTAATGTTTGATTTGCTTTTTTTTTGAGACAGGGTCTCACTCTGTCACCCAGGCAGGAGTGCAGTGGCGTGATCCGGCTCACTGCAGCCTCCACCTCCTGGGTTCAAGCTATTCTCCTGTCTCAGCCTCCCGAGTACCTGGGACTACAGGCACCTGCCACCACGCCCGGCTAATTTTTGTATTTTTAGTAGAGACGGTGTTTCACCATGTTGCCCAGGCTGATCTCGAACTCCTAAGCTTAGGTGATCCGCCTGCCTCGGCCTCCCAAAGCGCTGGGATTACAGGCATGAGCCACCGTGCCCGGCCTTGATTTGCTTTTTGAGGAGAAAATTAGATGGTTTAAGTCATCACATGATGTATTTAGTGGTACTTATTTTGAAAAATCATCATTAGGGTCAGGGTGCCGGTTGATTTGACAAATAATTTCTTTTCTTTTTTTTTTTTTGAGACTGAGTCTCACTCTGTTGCCCAGGCTGGAGTGCAATGGCGCGATCTCGGCTCACAGCAGCCTCTGCCTCCTGGGTTCAAGCGATTCTCCTGTCTCAGCCTCCCAAGTAGCTGGGACTACAGGCGTGCACTACCACACCCGGCTAATTTTTGTATTTTTAGTAGAGACAGGGTTTCACCATGTTGGGCAGTATGGTCTCGATCTCTTGACCTCATGATCCGCCTGCCTCAGCCTCCCAAAGCGCTGGGATTACAGGTATGAGCCACCGCGCCCGACAAATAATTTCTGTATTCCTTTTTAAACTCACCATTTTGTCTCCCTGCTTTGTTAGGAAACAAAAGCCAGGTATCATAGGTACTAATTCAGTGCCTCTTTTTTATCACTTATTTGGGCAACGTTTAGAAAAATAGGCCTACATCACTGAGTTTTGGCCTATAAACCCTCCAGGTCACACTATGTTGTGCCTTTGTCCATTGTTATTTTGTTAAATATCTTCGGTTTATTTGCTGTGTTTTAGCAATTATACTAAGAATGCCAGGTCATTTCATAGCATCCAGACTCTTATCCCCAAATGGCTCTTTATATCTCTGAATCTGACCCTCCTCAACTGTCAAAACTTTCCCACTGTACTTGTAGAACTTACTACCCTTGGCAAAATCTCTTACAATCTTAGCCTATTCCAGAATGTTGCCTTCACCTTTTGACTCTAATAGAAACCTGCCTGTACCCTGGAGACGTTACTTCCCCAGCAGTTCTTTTAAGTAGTTGCTGTTTTCTCTCGCATACTCTTTTACCACTGGGTCTAAAGATGGGGAAGGTATCTCTGTAGCTCTTCACTGTCAAATCTAGATCATTTCTCTTCCTTCCTAACAATTTCTAGCTTTGTAGCTTGTATCATTAAACTGCATCATTTACTATCTTTTTTTGTTGCTGTTATCTACCAACTGCCAGGTTATTTCTCCTCCTCCACCACTCTGCACTTCCTTGAATATTCTAAGCTTGCTGTCACACTTTCTCCAATACTGTTTTACCCTCATTCTTTTACTTCAATATCCATGTAGGTGATCTAATACCATGGTGTCTCACTTCTTGATCTCTCTCTACATCAGCTACCCACTTCCATGGGAGGATTCCCTATGATTCCCTAGAGATATTCTAATTACCAGTAATTGCTACTCCTCCTTCCCAGTCTAAATTTTAAGAAATCCAATAGTTAACTACCAGTCCCTCTTGGTCTCCCAGCTCCAAGAATTATTCATTCCCTCTTTGTAACCTACATCGATTGATCCAACCACTTTTTCACAGTCCCTCATGTATCTCACACATTCTCACTCCCTACTTAACCCAGCACAGACTGATATCATGGTTTATCATTATCATCATTCCTCTGTACACATGACCACCTCCCCTGCATCCTCTTTCTTTGTTGTGTTTCCTTTGTTTTGACAATTATCTTCTCTGCCACATCATCAATATTCATCTCTCTAGTTTAGGTAAGTAATCACTCCTACAAGTTTTCAAGTAATCACCCCACTGCCACCATACTGACCACAACTCCAGCTGTTCTTCAGCTGTATTAGGTGAGCTCTCCACTCAGAGCTTTTGTATTTCCTGCTTCCGTTGCCTGGAATGCTTTTACTTCATAGTTTACTCTCTTTCCTTAAGGTCTTTTTCCTTATTTGTTATCTTGTGTGGCCTTCCTTGGCTACTGCATTTAAAGTTGTACCTCTGCTCCTGCACTCCTTGTTGTCCTTTGATTTACTTTTCTCAACAGCATTTATCATTTCTAGCATACTGGATGTTTTCTGGCTATCTCCCATCACTAAAATGTAAGCTTGATGAGGACAGGGCCTTGTGTGTTTTTTTCCCCTGCTTGGTCTTCAGCACCTGGAATAACGCTTTGAACTTGGTAGGTGCACAATAAATATTTTTCTATTAAGTGAATGAAGTTGTTCCTTCCTCTTCATGCTTAAGGGTTTTTTGTTTTAGGGCTAAGAGACATTCACATCAGAAAGCATGGAAAGTTTTTGTTTGTCAAGCAATAAATTGTAGATTGGGCTGCAAAATAAGAAACACTCTTGAGAACATGTTACTATTAGTAGAATAATAGTAACATGGGCTCAAGCAATCCTCCCACTTTAGCCTCATGAGTAGCTTGGACTATAGGCACACACCACCATGCCCAGCTAATTTTTTAAATTTTTGTAGAGACAGGGTCTCACTATGTTGTCCAAACTGATCTTGAATTCCTGGACTCAAGCAGTCCTCTCACCTTGGCTTCCCAAAGTGCCGGGCTTACAAGCATGAGCCACTGTACCTTGCCCAATCTGGTTCTTTTTTTTTTTTTGAGACAGAGTCTCACTCTGTCAACCAGGCTAGAATGCAGTGGTGTGATCTTGTCTCATTGCAACCTCCATGCCTCCCCAGGTTCAAGCGATTCTTATGCCTCAGCCACCCAAATAGCTGGGATTACAGGCACTCGTGACCACGCCTGGCTAATTTTTGTATTTTCAGTGGAGAGGGGGTTTCGCCATGTTGGCCAGGCTGGTCTCTAACTCCTGGCCTCAAGTGATCTGCCTGCCTTGGCCTCCCAAAGTGCTGGGATTACCAGGCATGAGCCACCACACCTGGCCCCATTCTGGTTTTTGTGACAAGGATCTGGCTTGTCTCCCTTTCTACTTTTCACTGATATCTTTGTTACTTTGCATTTCTGTAGTACAGTCATGCATTGCTTACTGATGGGGATATGTTCTGAGAAATGCATTGTTAGGCAATTTCATTGTTACGTGAACATCATAGAGTGTCACTTACGCAAACCTAGATGGTGTAGCCTACTACACACCCAGACTTTATGGTATAGCCTATTGCTCCCAGGCTGCAAACGTATACAGCATATTACTGTAGTGAATACTATAGGCAATTGTAACACAATGGTCAATATTTATGTATCTAAACGTATTTAAACATAGAAAAGGCACAATAAAAATGTGCTATAAAAGATAAAATGTAATATACCTGTATAGGGTACTTAACCAAAAATGGAGCTTATAGGACTGGAAGTTGCCCTGGGTGAGTCAGTGAGTGTAAAGGCCTAGTACATTACTGTACACTGCTGTATACTTTATAAACAAACACTGTATGCTTAGGCTACACCAAATTTTTAAAAAAATATTTTTCTTTCTTTAATAATAAATTAACCTTAGGTTACTGTCACTTTTAAACTTAATAAACTTAAAAAAAATTTAATACTTTTTTACTCTTTTGTAATAACACTTAGCTTAAAATATCGTGTACAGCTATACAAAAATATTTTCTTTATATCCTTATTCTATAAGCTTTTTTGTATTAAAATTTTTGTTTGCACTTTTTAAACTTTTTTTGTGAGAACTAAGACACAAACACAGTCTAGGCCCACACAGGGTCAGGATGATCAATATTACTGTCTTCTACCTCCACATTTTGTCCCACTGGAAGGTCTTCAGGTACAGTAACATGCCTGGAGCTGTCATCTCCTATGATAACAGTGTCTTCTTCTGGAATACCTCCTGAGGGGCTTGCCTGAGGCTGTTTTACAATTGACTTTTTTTTAACAAGTAGGAGTACGCTCTAAAATAATGATAAAAAGTATATAGTATAGTAAATGCATAAACCAGTTGCCTAGTCATTTATTATTATTTTTATTATTTAATTATTTTGGTTGAGACGGGGTCTCACTACATGTTACTCTGGCTGGTTTTGAACTCCTGAGCTCAAGCCTCACAAAGTGCTGGAATTACAGCCATGAGCCACTGTAGCCTGCCGTTATTTATTATTATTATCAAGTATTATGTGCTATACATAATTGTATGTGCTATACTTTTATACAGCTGGCAGTGCAGTTGGTTTGTTTACATTGGCACCACCACAAACATGTAAGCAATGCATTGCACTATGGCGTTCTGCACCATCACTAGGTGACAGGAATTTTTTTAGCTTCATGATAATCTTATGGTACCACTGTAGTATACACTGTCCTTCATCACTGTACATTGTTGACTAAAACATTGTTATTTCAGGCAGAATCTTGCCCTGTCACCCAGGGTGGAATGCGGTGGCATGATCTTGGCTCACTGAAACCTCTGCCTACTGGGTTCAAACGATTCTTCTGCCTCAGCCTCCCGAGTAGCTGAGGTTACAGGCATGCACCACAACACCTGGCTAATTTTTTGTATTTTCAGTAGAGACAGAGTTTCAACATGTTGGCCAGGCTGGTCATGAACTCTTGACCTCATGTGATCCGCTCACCATGGCCTCCCAAAGTGCTGGGATTACAGGCATGAGTCACTGCGCCCGGCCTCAAAACATTCTTATGCAGCCCATGACTTTACTTAATTGTGCCACCTCCATTGCTTTTTAAAAAACACACACACACACACACATATATATATATATATATATATATATATATATATATATATATATATATAAACAGAGATGGGGGGTCTTACCATGGTGCCTAGGCTGGTCTCAACCTCCTAGGCTCAAGCATTCCTTTGCCACTTTGACCTTCCTAAGTGCTGGGATTACAGGTGTGAGCCACTGCACGTGGCCCACATTGCCTTTTTTTTTTTTTTTAATTGACACAGGGTCTGTCTGTGTCACCAAGACTGGAATGCAGTGGCGTGATCTTGGCTCACTGCAGCCTCAGCTTCCCAGGCTTAAGTGATCCTCCCATTTCAGCCTCCTGAGTAGCCGGGACTGCAGGTGTGAGCTACCATGCCTGGCTAATTTTTTGTATTTTTTGTAGAGACAGCGTCTCCAACTCCTGAGCTCAAAGTGATCTGCCTGTCTCAGTCTCCCAAAGTGCTAGGATTAACACATGTGAGCCACCGCACCTGGCCACATTGCCTTTTAAAGAGGTCTTGTTTCATGTGCATAAACTAGATATAAATATATGCTATAATATTTAATACAGTGGTAGAATGTAGTTGTCACTAATAGCGTATGAATGTAAAGAAAATATGTTTGAATTGTTTCTTACTGGTTGTAAATTCAGATTTTCATTGTATTATAATACATACATATTGTTATTTTAAAGCAAGGCAGTGTTACAATCTTGTTACATATATATTATTATTGAATATGTTACTTTCATTATGATAGCGTTATATAGTATTGAATGTTACAATCTTTGTTACATACCTTAATATCACTTAATATTTAAAATATAGGTAACTTGACCCTCCAAGATAGTGATTCCTTTTGTTTTCCGTTTTGTTTTGTTTTGAGACAGGGTCTCACTCTTGCTCAGGCAGGAGGGTACTGTGCAGTCATGGCTCACTGCAGCCTTGAACTCCTGGGCTCAAAAGATCATCCTGCCTCAGACCCCAAGTAGCTGGGACTGCAGCCATGCACCACCACACCTGGCTAATTTATTTTTTGTTTTTAAATTTTTTGTAGAGATGAGGTTTTTAAATTTTTTGTAGAGATGTTGCCCAGGCTGGTCTCAAACTCCTGGGCTCAAGTGGTTCTGCCACCTTGACCTCTGAAAGTGCTGGGATTACAGATGTGAGCCACATAGCTGGCCAAGACACTGATTCTTAAAGTCTTTAGTGAGTCACTATTACTGGTGGAATATGTTGTATATCATTCATGTGTGTTGAGGAGATAAGATTTTTAGTAATCATTAACTTTGGGGGAAAGCTATTTAAATTACAATAAAGCACTGTTTGGTGGCATTTTAGTCACCTGAAATGAAAATGTTGAAAATTTTTCTGCTTCCATTGGATGTAAGAAATGTCATTTTCTTTCTTTTTTCTTTTTGAGACAGTCTTGCTCTTTCGCCCAGGCTGGAGTGCAATGGTGCAATCTTGGCTCACTGCAACCTCTGCCTCCTGGGCTACAGCGATTCTCCTTCCTCAGCCTCCTGAGTAGCTGGGATTACAGGTGTGCGCTACCGCACCAAGCTAATTTTTAAGTAGAGATGGGGTTTCACCATGTTGGCCAGGCTAGTCTTGAACTCCTGACCTCAGGTGATCCACCTGCCTTGGCCTCCCAAAGTGCTGGGATTACAGGCGTGAGCCACCGCACCCGGCCAAAAAATGTCATTTTCAATGAAAAGTTTTTAATTATTTCTCATCTTAATGATATAAAAGGTAAATGGTAAACTTTTAAGTTAAAAAATAATAATAGGCATAATTTATACCTTTGAGAAACAGAAACTAAAGTAATAAGTACTTTATTACTGCAGAAAATAAGAACATTAAATGAGGGCTTTCTTTTTTTCTTTTTTTTTTATTTGTAGTAGAGACACGGTCTCGCTGTGTTGCCCAGGCTGGTCTTGAACTCTTGAACTGAAGTGATCCTCCCACCTTGGCCTCCCAAAGTGCTGGAATTACAGGCATGAGCCACCACACCCGGCCTTTCTATTTTTCTTTCTCTTTTTTGAGACAGGGTTTCACTCTGTCACCCAGGCTGGAGCACAGTAGTGTGATCACAGGTAGCCTCGACCTCCTGGTCTCAAGTGATCCTCCCACTTCAGCCTCTTGAGTAGCTGGGACTGCAGGTGCATGCCATCACACCTAGATAGTTTTTAAATTTTTTTTGTCTGACCATGTTGTCCAAGCTGGTCCCATGCTTTGGAACTCCTGGGCTCAAGTGATTCTCCTGCCTTGGTTTCCCAAAGTGCTGGGATTACAGGCATGAGCCACTCACTGCACCTGGCCTAAATAAGAACTTTATTATTGGAAAAGAAACCTAAAATTTGCTGTGAGAAGAAAAATATTTCTGACTAATGAATAATGCACTAAGTGAAACTTTGTTTTGATAACTTATTTGCCCACCCTAAAGTACTATAGTGAATTACTGAATATGGTAATTGTTTTATTGTGATCTCAAACAAATGCTGGCTAACATTCCCACATCTTCATGATGTTTGTTACTGATTATTTTGTAGCCTATCCCTCGGCCAGATCCTGTGCATAATAATGAAGAAACACATGATCAAGTGCTGAAAACCAGATTGGAAGAAAAAGTTGAACACCTTGAGGAAGGACCTATGATAGAACAACTTAGCAAAATGTTCTTTACTACTAAGCACCGTTGGTATCCTCATGGACGGTAAGTTTTCTTTTCTTTTCTTCAATCCCTACTACATACAGTAAAGGAACACATGGATTTTCTTGCAATAACAAACTTCTGAAGTGGTGTTTTGCATGAGGAAATTAACCCTAAGTAGAATCACCTACTATGTTGTACTTTTTTTTTCTTTTCTGAGACAGGATCTCGCTCTGTCACCCAGGCTGGAGTGCAGTGCCACAATCTCAGCTCACTGCAGCCTCAACCTCCAGTGCTCAAGTGATCTTCGCACTTTAGCCTTCCGAGTAGCTAGTACTACAGGCATGTGCCACCACACCTGGCTAATTTTGTTCTTTTTTTTTTTTTTTGAGACAAAGAGTCTTGCTCTGTCACCCAGGCTGGAGTGCAGTGGCGAGATCTCGTTTCACTGCAACCTCCACCTCCCAGGTTCAAGCGATTCTCCTGCCTCAGCCTCCTGAGTAGCTGGGACTACAGGCGCATGCCACTATGCCCAGCTAATTTTTTGTATTTTCATTAGAGGCGGGGTTTTACCGTGTTAGCCAGGATGGTCTCGAACTCCTGACCTTGTGATCCACCCACCTTGGCCTCCCAAAGTGCTGGGATTACAGGCGTGAGCCACCGAGCCTGGCTCTTTTTTCTTCTTTTGTAGAGGCAAGGTCTCACTCACTGTGTTGCGCAGGCTGATTTTAAACTCCTGGACTCAAGTGATCCTCCTCCCTCAGCTGGGATTGTAAGAATGAGCCACTGCCACTGTACTTTTAAATTTACATATAATTTAGCTAAAATGAAATAGTACTTCTTTTTTTCTTTATTTTAATGGGGGAATTTAACCAGAGCTTTCAGTGAATTTTGTAAGAGTTCTTGAAAATTTTTACATTCTATGATGTATTCATTTAATATGTTGTTTTTGTTCATTTTCCTGTTAAGTAATTGATTGTGTCTTCAGCCCTTTATCAATTTCTTTATCATATTTTGAGTTATCGAAAAAAACATTGGGGTACAGAAAATGATTGGGCAGCGTATGTTGTTCTCAGTTCCCTTGGAAACTGTAATTGCCCTGATGTTTGCAAATACTCACATTTTCCATCGATTCTTACCTGCCATTTGACTCTGGCATTAATTAGTTTTCCTCTTTTTGATTTTTTTCTTTTGTATCTATCTTCTTCCATACCAAACTATAAGATGTTTTTGTTGTTTATATTTGAACAAACTTTTTTTTCTTTTTTTTTTTTGTGAGAAGGAGGTCTCATTATGTTACCCAGGCTGATCTTGAACTCGTGGGCTCAAGCAATCCTCCTTCCTCAGCCTCCTAAGTAGCTGGGATTACAGGCACACTCTGCCACGCCCAGCTAGTTTGAACAAAACTTTGTTCTTAGTTGTTTAACTCAGTAACTAGCACTGGCTGGCATATTTATGGCAGGGTACATTTATAGAATTAATGAATATACATTTATCAAGTGGCTCTAAGTGCTGGTTAGTGTAAAACATAATCCCCAGTTACAAATTGTTTATAGTCAAGGAGGGAAGATAGTAGAGTAAATAAACGGTTAAATCAAGTGTGATAGAGCCTTGAAGGAGGGTTAGGAGTTAACCCATGGAGAATGAGGGGTAAACTTCACAGATAGAGGAAACAGCATTTCGGATAAAGTGTGTGGGGGAAATTACTAATAGGTTGGGTTATGGCACCCAGAATATTAATTTATTATAACAAAACATAGCCCATCATTTCCTGTCTTAAGAAGCCCCTTTCTTAATAATCTCTATAATAAAAGTGATTTTTTTGTATCATTTTCCCAAGGAAAAATATTGATTTTTTGGGGGGGCAGGCAACATAGTCTTTCAATTCCTGCTTCTCTTTTGTATCTCCTTCCTTGATTTTTCCTTCTTATTTTATTTTATTTATTTATTTATTGAGACATAGTCTTGCTCTGTCACCTAGGCTGGAGTGCAGTGGTGTGATCTCAGCTCACTGCAACTTCCGCCTCCCAGGTTCGAGTGATTCTCCTGCCTCAGCCTCCCAAGTAACTGGGACTACAAGCATGTTGCCACCATACCTGGCTAATTTTTTGTATTTTTAGTAGAGACAAGGTTTCGCCATGTTGGCCAGGCTGGTCTCGAACTCCTGACCTCAGGTGATCTGCCCCACTTGGCCTCCCAAAGTGCTGGGATTACAGGCGTGAGCCACTGCTCCCGGCCTTCCTTCTTATTTAATACCCACTTTGTTTATGCATGCTATCTGGATTTTTCTCTATATTTTTAATTGTAAGGTTAGGATATGTGCAAACAAATTAGGAAACCATCTCATAGCCCTGTGCCTTAAATCATTAAATCTCATTATATTCTGAGATTTCTTTTTATGATTCTTAACATCTCAGGTTTATTTTTGATTTATATCACATTATCCAGGTATTTGAGTTCAAACCTTGTTTCAACTTCTTCTGTAATGGCTTTCAGTACCTGTTTCTTTCCTGCATGTTCCATATTGCTACAATCTGTTTTAAGCATTCATAACCAAATCACTCTAAAGGTATGTAACTTGACGGAGACAAGACTGAAGACAGGGAGACTAGGAGTCTTAAAACCGAGCATGTTGTCTTTAGACATTTGTGTCTAGTACCCTATGTTTAATCTTATTTACTTAATCTTACTGCTAATCAGCTTTTGACTGCTAGTTAATTTAATCTCCTGATATTTTTTCCCATCAAAATTACTAGGCGTTTTTTAATTGTAAAGTGACTTTAATTAGATTATCCCAATATATATCCTAATAAAGAGCTTGGCAGAGAAACCCCAGAGACTAGTTTATGTGTATAAAGAGAAATTTTATCTGTAGGCCTTGTCCTTGTAGATGTATCATCTTGCTGAATTTTAAATATGCCTATGTGTCATCACTTATCATTCAACACATATTTATTTGATATCTACATATGTATTTTGGATTAATGTGAGTCATTTTCAAGTGTTGGTTTCTGGATGTCAGTGGCCATTTCTTTCTTTTTGTCTGTCTATCTGTCCATCTGTCCATTCATCCATTGATTCATTCATTCATTCTCAGCTTGTTTTCCCTAGTCAGACCATTTCATTTTAAACCTCATTTAATATATAGAAGGATGATTTACTAAATATTTCACAGTTCTTAAGTTACAGCAGTCAAAAGAATGGGACTCATTATGAATTTAATAACTGGGGGTATATAACTTCTTCTTAAATAAGTTTTTATTAAAAGGTATAAAACACATTTTATTTTTATTTTTATTTTTTATTTTTCTGAGACAGAGTCTTGCTGTGTCGCCCAGGCTGGAGTGCAGTGGTGCCATCTCGGCTCACTGCAACCTCCGCCTCCCGGATTCAAGCGATTCTAGTGCCTCAGCCTCCCAAGTAACTGGGACTACAGGTGCACATCACCATGCCTGGCTGTTTTTTGTATTTTTAGTAGAGACGGGGTTTCACCATGTTGGCCAGGCTGGTCTCAAACTCCAGACTTCAAGTGATCCCACTGCCTTGGGCTCCCAAAGTGCTGGGATTACAGGTGTGAGCCACCATGCCTGGCCAAAACACACATTTTTAAAAAGTATTTTTAAACTATGCAGAAGTATTTAAAATATAAAATAGAAGTGTTCTCTATTTCTGTGTTCTCCATAGGGAATTGGGTATAATATGAGGTAGGACTATTCATAGAGGTAGAGGTTAACCTACCTAGATGTTGAACATCTTTTCATGTGCTTATTGGCCATTCATATGTTTGGGTTTTGGTTTTTGTTTGTTTTCAGTTAAGTATCTGTAGAAATATTTTGCCTATTTTTTAAAAAGCAAATTGGTTGTCTTATTAAGGTATAAAACTTAGAGACCAAAGTGCTATATGAGCTATATGCTTTGTAAATTTTTTTATCTAAGCTTGCCTTTCACTATGTATATATGTATGTATGTATTTTAATAGATGCTGTCTTAGATGTGGTTTCCTAGGAGACCCTAAGATAAGGATTTTTTTTTTGTTGTTTTATTTCAATTTTTAGCTTCAGAGGGTACACAAGGGTATATTGTGTGATGCTGAGGTTTGGAGTATGATTGAACCCATCACCCAGGCAGTGAGGTAGTGCCCAATAGGTAGTTCTTCAGCTTTCTCTCACCTCTTTCCCTCCTGTCTGTTGTCCCCAGTGTTTTTTGTTTCCATCTTTGTGTCCGTGTGTACCCAGTGTTTGGCTCCCACTTACACGTGAGAACGTGTGGTATTTGGTTTTCTGTTTCTGTGTTAATTCGCTTAGGATAATGGCTTCCAGCTGCATCTGTGCTGCTGCAAAGGACATGATTTTGTTCTTTTTTTATGTCTGTATAGTATTCCATGGTGTATGTGTACCACATTTTCTTTATCCAGTTCACCATTGACAGGCACCTGGATTGATTCCATGTCTTTGCTGTTGTGAGTAGTGCTACAGTGAACATACAATTACATGTGTCTTTTTGGTGGAACAGTTTCTATTCCTTTGGGTATTTACCTAGTAATGGGATTGGTGGGTCGAATGGGAGTTCTGTTTTTAGTTCTTTGAGAAATCTCCAAATTGCTTTCCACAGTGGCTGAACTAATTTACATTCCCACCAATAGTATGTAAGCATTTGCTTTTCTTTGCAGCCTTGCCAACATTTATTATTTTTATCTATTTTTAATAATAGCCATTCTAACTAGTATCAGCTGGTATCACACTGTGATTTTTTTAAATTTGCATTTCTCTGATGATTAGTGATGTTGAGCATTTTTTCATATGTTTGTTGGCTGCTTGTATGTCTTCTTTTGAGAAGTGTCTGTTCATGTTCCCTAGCCCACTTTTTAATGGAATTACTTATTTTTGCTTGTTGATTTAAGTTCCTTACAGATTCTGGTTCTAGAAGGGGTTTGGGAAGTCATTAACCTCTTGAAATTATTTGTAAAAATTTTGAATAGGTGTTTTTCTGGGCAGTGGATTCAAAACTTTTATCAGACTCTCAATGAAGTATGAGACCTTCAGAATGCTAAGAACTGTCCATTAAAAGTGTCATTCAGCATACACTGTTCAATTATATTTACTACTCAAGACTGAAAATGTTTGAGACTCTGATAGCCCTAAACTGAACAAAGTCAAGTTCTAAAATATGCTCAATAAATGTCAAATAGCATTTACACATATCTTATCATGCATGAATTTTAATGTGCACTACAATCACTAGCCAAAAGCAAGCACCTTAATTTTACGATGACCTTATTCTATCATCCAGATTGGGAACCTTGCAGACACTATTAATTAATACAAGAGTTAAATTGAGATTGCTCCTGGCAAACCAAGTTATATTGTTACACTTCTTAGATTACACAATGACTCAGTGACATCTGGAACACTGGTCTACAGCTCTTAACCCAGAAAACTTTACCTCCTGGTTCATACTAAGCTAGGTAATCAAATCTGTTTCCTACTGATGGAAGTAGCTAATTTTTGTTGTCTCCATGGGAAAATATTAAAGTAGTTTCTTAAATAAAGTGGTACTATTATTCATGCATTTGTAAGATTGCCCTATATTTCAGAAATTTAGAATTATTTTCTCCTGCCTGCCTGCCTGCCTGCCTCCCTCCCCCGACCCCCTCTCTTTTTCTCTCCTCCTTTCTTTCTTAGAGTCACGGTCTTGCTCTAACACCCAGGATGGAGTGTAATGACACAATCATAGCTCACTGCACCCTCAAGCTCCTGGGCTCAAGTGATCCTCCCATCTCAGTCTTCTGAGTAGGTAGGACTACAGGCATGCACCACCATGCCCAGCTAATTTTTAAAAATCGTGGGGGCTGGGCACAGTGGCTCATCCCTGTAATTCCAGCACTCTGGTAGGCCAAGGTGGGCAGATCAGTTGAGCCCAGGAGTTCGAGACCAGCCTGGGCAACATGGTGAAACCACATCTCTACAAAAAATTTAAAAAGTAGCCAGGCATGGTGGTATGCATCTGTAGTCCCAGCTACTCAGGAGGCTGAGGCAGGAGAATCTCTTGAACCTGGGAGGCGAAGGTTGTAGTGAGCCGAGATCAGGTCACTGCATTCCAGTTTGGGTGACAGGGCAAGACCCTGTCTCAAAAAAAAAAAAAAAAAAAAAAAAAGTTATTATGAGAATCAGAATCATTTATCCATTTTAAAATGTGTGAGCACCTACTATGTGTAGATCCTAATGATTCTGTAGTACACAAAACAAGATAAAAATCCCGACTTTCATGGATCTTACATTCCAATACAGGAGATAGGAAAATAAGATGAATAAGCTGGTCAGGGAAGCCTTCATTGAGTAAAAACCTGAAGGAAGTAAGAGAGCTAGCTTTACTGATACTGTGAGAAAGAGTGTTCTATGCAGACAAACAGCAAGTATAAAAGCCCTGAGATGGAAGGAAGGACATGTTCAAAAGCAAAAAAGAGGCCATGTAGCCAGAATACATGAACAAGGAAAAGACAGTAGGGCATGAGAGCAGAGAGGTAATGCAGGACCAAATCATGTAGGTAGTTGTAGGCCTAGAGTGTTTCTGAGTGAGATAGGAAGCTGTTTGAGGATTTTCAACAGAAAAATTACAAGAACCAAGGGAAGTGTTAACAGTAGGTTACTCTGGCTGCTACGCTACAAACAGACTGCAGCAAAGCAAAGGAAGCAGCTGGGAGACCAGTTAGGAAGTTATTTCAACAAAACAGGCAAGAATGATGATTTGGACTAGGATAGCGGCAGAGGGAATGGTGACAAATGGTCAAATCTAGATACATTTTGGAGATAGAGCTAACAAGATTCGCTAATAGACCAGATGTTGGGTATGAGACAGAGAGAGGAGTCAAGAGTGGTACCAAGGTTTTTGGCCCAAGCACCTAGAAGAATAGAACTGGCATTAACTGAGAGAGCAGGCTGCAGGAGAAGCTGGTTTGTGGAGGACCATCAGAAGCACAGTTAGACACATACCAAGTTAAGGATACCTACTACACATGTCAAGTAGGCAGTTGGATATGTAAGTCTAGAGGTCAAGGGACAGGTCTTGACCACAGATGGATTTGGAAGTCATCATCACACAGATGGTATTTAATGCCATGGGACTGGACGAGATTCCTGTCCTAGAGAATGGAACAGAAAAGTGGAGCAGTCCAAGGACTGATTCTTGGGGCACTCCAAAATCTAGAGACAAGGGAGATGAAAGGGAAGCACCAAGATAAATCAAGATAGTATATTAACTTTAGATATGTAAAAAGAATTTCAACCGTTACTAAGGTCGAATTAATGAGAAAAGTAACAGACACACCATCAGGAACTCTAGAGATATAGTGATACAGGGGTCCCCAGAGAAACTCCGACCAGCTTGTGCACTGGGAAAATGGGGTGGAGCTTCGTGAAGTTCACGCTGTTTGCAGGGAAAAGGAGCCTGGCCTCTGTGATCTGGTGTGGTAACCTGGGGATTCAATCTGTGAGATGTGGGCCTGTTAACAGGAACCTCTCTTGCTTTGCTGAGTTTTTTCCTTTTCACCCAATAAACCCTGTCCTTCCTCACCCTTCAAATTGTCTGTGAGCCTAATTTTTTGTGGTTGTGTGTCTTTAGCTGACCTAAGAAAAAAGTCCTACAATAATAATATTGCTCAAATGATGTGTTCTAGGAAGATTATATTAGAAGGAATACTTTATGACTTGATTTTTTTTCATGTCAACTAAGGAAGACTAAAGACTCAGCCTCCTAAGTAGCTGGGACTACAGAAGCATACTACCATACCTGGCTGATTTTTTTGTTGTTGTTTGTATTTTTTGGAGAGATAGGGTTTGCCATGTTGCCCATGCTGGTCTCCAACTGCTGGGCTCAAGCAATCTGTCCACCTTGGCCTCCCAAAGTGCTGGGATTACAAGCTTGTAATCCTGGCCCACACATTTAATAGTAAACACTTCAGATTTTCAGACATGAGATAATCTAATCAACGATACTTATTAGCCACTGGCCTATTCAGCATTGATTCTTTAGAGTCATACAACTTACACTCCCAGTTCACCCACCTTGGGTGAGGCCAATAATTAGACTCAGGTAGCTTCAAGACTGAATGAAGTGGGGCAACACTTCTGGATCATTAAGGATCTGCTGACCTTGATTAAGAATCTGATAATGAGGAACATCTTAACCCACCTGTGACCCACCTAGATAAAATGGATAAACCCATGTAACCTGGTAGCTGAACTCTGGAAATAAAACTTCCAAGAATCACTGGGAAATTTACCAGTGCATCCTCAAAACTTCCATAAAGTATGGTTTCAAAGAGGAACTGAACACCTTAAAGAAGCTGTGAAGACAATTAGGTGAGATAGTATTCCATCAGACAATCATTTAATACCCATACATTGTATTAAGGATACTGTGTTAGAATTATTGTGGAAAATTACACAACAGATGTTTGGGTTTTTTGTTTTTGTTTTTGTTTGACACGGAGTCTTGCTTTGTCACCTAGGCTGGAGCGCAGTTGCACAATCTCAGCTAACTGCAGCCACCACCTCCTGAGTTCAAGCAATTCTCCTGCCTCAGCCTCCCGAGTACCTGGGATTACAGGCAGTTACCACAACACCCGGCTAATTTTTGTATTTTTAGTAAAGGCAGGGTTTCGCCATGTTGGCCAGGCTGGTCTTGAACTCCTGACCTCAAGCGATCCACCCACCTCGGGCTCCCAAAGTGCTAAGATTACAAGCATGAGCCACCACGCCCAGACAACATCCTTAACAAAGAGAAAATACTCCAGAGAAGATTTAACCAAAAAAAGTCACCTAAAAATGTAAATATAACATTAATAGATACCTAATAAACTATAATTATATGCAGTTGTGCTAAGAGGGACAGTAGATATTCAAAGTGAATATAAAAAAGTAAAATGTCATGAAGAAAGTAAGATAAGAGCAAATAGCAGAGGAAGAGTAAAAGTGCTGAAAACTGAGGGATAAAGCATTTGAAATAGCTTGATGTTGAAATGAGATGGGGCACTGAGGTCAGATTAGGTAAAAAAAAAAAAAAAAAAAAAAGGCAAGCTCCAACTATATGCTGCCTATAAGAAATCCACTTTAAAAATAAAGACAGCCAGGTTAAAAGTAATACAGAAATGACAAAGGTGACATCACAACCAATCCCAGAGAAATACAACAGATTCTCAGAGACTATTTTTTTTGGGGGGGTTTGGGGGCGGGTGGGGACGGAGTTCTGCTCTTGTCCCCCAGCCTGGAGTGCAATGGCACAATCTAGGCTCACTGTAACCTCCGTCTCCCAGGTACAAGTGATTCCTCAGAGACTATTATTAGGAACACTTCAAGCACACAACTAGAAAATCTAGAGGCAATGGACAAATTCCTGAAAACATACAACCTCGCATGTTTGAATCAGGAAGAAACTGAAACCCTGAACAGATGAATAATGAATTCTGAAACTGAATCAGTAATAAAAAAACAACAACCAAAAAGCTCTGGACCAGACAGATCCACAGCTGAATTCTACCAGATGTGCAAAGAGCCAGTACCAATCCTACTGATACTATTCCCCCAACAACAACAACAAAAAATCGAGGAGGAAGGACTCCTCCCCAACTCATTCTACAAAAACGGCATCATCCTGATACCCAAATCTGACAGAGACATAACAGAAAAACAAAACTATGGGCCAGTATCCCTGATAAACATGGATGCTAAAATCCTCAACAAAATACGAGCAAACCAAATCTAGCAGCACATCAAAAAATTAATTCACCATGATCAAGCAGGCTTTCTGCCTGAGATGCAAGGCTGATTCAAGATACGCAAATAAATAAATGTGATACATCATATAAACAGAATTAAAAACAAAAAACATATGATCATTTCAGTAAACACAGAAAAAAACTTTCAATAAAATCCAACATCCTTTCATGATGAAAATCCTCAACAAACTAGGCATTGAGGGAACATACTCCAAAATAATAAGAGCCATTTATGACAAACCCACAGCCAACATACTGAACAAGCAAAAGCTGAGATCATTTCCTTTAAGAACAGAAACAAGACAAGGATGCCCACTCACACTACTCCTATTCAACATAGTACTGGGGAAGTCCTAGCCAGAGCAATCAGGCAAGAAAAAAAAAAAAGGCGTCCACTCAGGAAAAGAAAAAGTCAAATAATCTCTCTTCACTGGTTCTTGTAATTTTTCTGTTGAAAATCCTCAAACAGCTTCCTATCTCACTCAGAAACACTCTAGGCCTACAACTACCTACATGATTTGGTCCTGCATTACCTCTCTGCTCTCATGCCCTACTGTCTTTTCCTTGTTCATGTATTCTGGCTACATGGCCTCTTTTTTGCTTTTGAACATGTCCTTCCTTCCATCTCAGGGCTTTTATACTTGCTGTTTGTCTGCATAGAACACTCTTTCTCACAGTATCAGTAAAGCTAGCTCTCTTACTTCCTTCAGGTTTTTACTCAATGAAGGCTTCCCTGACCAGCTTATTCATCTTATTTTCCTATCTCCTGTATTGGAATGTAAGATCCATGAAAGTCGGGATTTTTATCTTGTTTTGTGTACTACAGAATCATTAGGATCTACACATAGTAGGTGCTCACACATTTTAAAATGGATAAATGATTCTGATTCTCATAATAACTTTTTTTTTTTTTTTTTTTTTTTTTGAGACAGGGTCTTGCCCTGTCACCCAAACTGGAATGCAGTGACCTGATCTCGGCTCACTACAACCTTCGCCTCCCAGGTTCAAGAGATTCTCCTGCCTCAGCCTCCTGAGTAGCTGGGACTACAGATGCATACCACCATGCCTGGCTACTTTTTAAATTTTTTGTAGAGATGTGGTTTCACCATGTTGCCCAGGCTGGTCTCGAACTCCTGGGCTCAACTGATCTGCCCACCTTGGCCTACCAGAGTGCTGGAATTACAGGGATGAGCCACTGTGCCCAGCCCCCACGATTTTTAAAAATTAGCTGGGCATGGTGGTGCATGCCTGTAGTCCTACCTACTCAGAAGACTGAGATGGGAGGATCACTTGAGCCCAGGAGCTTGAGGGTGCAGTGAGCTATGATTGTGTCATTACACTCCATCCTGGGTGTTAGAGCAAGACCGTGACTCTAAGAAAGAAAGGAGGAGAGAAAAAGAGAGGGGGTCGGGGGAGGGAGGCAGGCAGGCAGGCAGGCAGGAGAAAATAATTCTAAATTTCTGAAATATAGGGCAATCTTACAAATGCATGAATAATAGTACCACTTTATTTAAGAAACTACTTTAATATTTTCCCATGGAGACAACAAAAATTAGCTACTTCCATCAGTAGGAAACAGATTTGATTACCTAGCTTAGTATGAACCAGGAGGTAAAGTTTTCTGGGTTAAGAGCTGTAGACCAGTGTTCCAGATGTCACTGAGTCATTGTGTAATCTAAGAAGTGTAACAATATAACTTGGTTTGCCAGGAGCAATCTCAATTTAACTCTTGTATTAATTAATAGTGTCTGCAAGGTTCCCAATCTGGATGATAGAATAAGGTCATCGTAAAATTAAGGTGCTTGCTTTTGGCTAGTGATTGTAGTGCACATTAAAATTCATGCATGATAAGATATGTGTAAATGCTATTTGACATTTATTGAGCATATTTTAGAACTTGACTTTGTTCAATTTAGGGCTATCAGAGTCTCAAACATTTTCAGTCTTGAGTAGTAAATATAATTGAACAGTGTATGCTGAATGACACTTTTAATGGATAGTTCTTAGCATTCTGAAGGTCTCATACTTCATTGAGAGTCTGATAAAAGTTTTGAATCCACTGCCCAGAGAAACACCTATTCAAAATTTTTACAAATAATTTCAAGAGGTTAATGACTTCCCAAACTCCTTCTAGAACCACTATTCTGATGACCGTTCTCCCTGCTTTGAGAGAATGCCTTTCAGAGACACTATTGTACTAGTACAACCTTGATTATCTGGTATGTCAATGGAACCTTTTAGAAAAAAACAGAATTTTCTGTATGCCAACATAAGTACATGTAGAAATGTTTATGCAGATGGTATTTTACTGTGTGTATTTTTTGACAGCTTACTGTTCCATGTTAGTATAGACAGCTGTACTTCGTTCATTTCAACTTAATTCCTGTATTTTGCAAATTTTCAAAAATAAAATCAGTGTATCAGGAAGTTGCCCATATGAAACCTGAAGCAAAAAAATGCTTTAGATATCTTAATCACAACAACTAAAGATCACAGGGTACATGTCTTACCATTTATAGTATAAAACTGAATTTCCACATTAGCAAAAGATTGAAAACAAAAATTAACTTGTGACCAACTTGCCAAAATCTGACCTGAAGGAAATTTTTGAACGTAACTCATCACAAAAACACATGTACTCTGTGCAGAAATGTTTCTTAAATCAGTAAAGAAAATAAGGAAATGCAGAGGAGCAAAAAGAATTCTCCATGGTGAAATCACTCAAAAACTATCACTGCTGACAATGCATTTCATTTCTCTATATCTATACATAAGTTTTGTTAGTTTGCCTATTTTTACATGGTTATCATCATACTGTATATGTAAATTTTCTCCTGTGTTCTTCCTTAATATTTTAACTACTTTTTCTATATTCCTTTGGGACAGAGTGCTAGAAGAGGAATTACTAGGTCAAAAATTATGAATATTTCTTGATACATCTTATCATACTGCTTTTCAAAAGTATTTTGAAGTAAAAGTTTATACTTTTAACCAGTCGGGTCTCATACTGCTAATTTCACCACACCTGTGCTTGGATTGGGCATTATGATTTTTAACATGTTTGTGATCTCAAAAACAAAAGGTTCCTCACTGTTCTGATTTGCAGTCCCTCCATTTTGCATGACATTACACATTTTTCCACAGACATATTACTAGTTTTATTTTATATTAAAACATGATTTTGCATTTATAGAGACCTCCATTTAGAGGACAATAGCCCCTTGTAAATAAAACTTTTAACAGAACACGTTCATGTTCACGATGTGGTGTTTCTTTATGTTTTGGAAGCCTAAATCTCACCAGATGTGATATTTCTTCACTACTAAGACAAAAAACCATTAGTTTTTATCAGAATCAGTCATCTGGGTTACCATGTTGAAATTATCCTCAAGATATGAAAGAAAACTATTTCAAATGCTTAATTTAATTAATAGTCAACAACTTAGCCACGTGTGGTGGTGTGCCTGTAGTCCCAGCTACTAGGCAGGGTAAGGTAGGAGGAGCCCTTGTGCCAGGAGTTTGAGGCTGTAGTACACTATTATTGAGCTTATGAATAACCTCTGCACTTCAGCCTGGGCAATAAAGCAAGACCCAGTCTCTAGAAAAAAAAAATGATTAGGTAAAGAAAAGAAAACAAATTTTCACAATGGGAGAATGTGGCTTATTACTAAGAAATGGCTGATACGTAGTTTCATTGATTTTTTAAAAAAATAGTTCCAATAGCAAAATAATCATAGAAGTTAGATTTTTATCAGGAATAATTTTTATTAAAATCATCTTATTCCAAGTATTTTCTTCTTTTCAAGGTATCACAGATGTCGTAAGAATCTGAATCCTCCAAAAGACAGATGATGCGGAGGTTCCTGGGGGAATCAAAGAGAAATGTGCCTCATTTGCCATTTGAGAAAATGCAGTCTGGTGTATTCAGTAATATATAGTAAAGTAATAATGATAAAATATCTTTTCATATATTAGAATGTGTACTTTTATATAAAGTAATTCTGGATTTGACATTCTCATTTAGAGAAACCTATTTTCTTTTTTCTTTTTCTATTTTAGTGTTTCATTTATGTGCGGTCTCCAATTTAGGACTTTTCCATAGTGCCAAAGCCATACATATTCAGTAGAACATCAATAAATTACATCAGAAATTCAACACTTTATTATAAAACGGGCTTCGTGTTAGATAATTTTGCTAAACAGTAGGCTACTGTAAGTGTTCTGAGCATATTTAAGACAGGCTAGCATTTTCAATTTACAATATTTTCAACTGATAGTAGGTTTATTGGGATGTAACCCTATGATAAGTTGAGAAACATCTCTTTTTGTGTGTCTACTGTGATTTAAGTATTTTTAATCATCAGCCAAGCATTGTTAGTAGTATAAATATGATTAATAAAAATGTGCATGGCTTTCCTGAAGGAGATTTTTTAATTGCCTTTGAGAATAAACTCATAAGGTCTACCAAGAAAATAAATGTTATGATGTTTCAGTTGGCTTCTAGGAAATAATTAAATTAGTGATATTTTAATCAGGTTTTACTATCTGCTAGGCCCCTTCCATCAATTCTTATTAAATTCTCAAAATAATCCTTTGAAAAGGGAGTATAATTACATTTTACAGTGACTCGAACCTTACCCAAACAAGTGGGAGAGCCAGGAGCCAAACTATCAGGCTCCAAAGCTTTTTTTTAGTGCATCACAATGACAAAGGGGTGGTTTTCTTTCACCCAAGAATGTGCTTTCCTGGAAATTTTTCTAGATAGAATATTATGTAATTTGTTTTGAAGGTTTTTTTTCCTGACTGTCTTAAAGATTATGCTAGCTTTAGAACACATGCAAACAGCTGCAGCTCTGTGATTAAAATGTTAAGGTCACTAGAATAGTGTTAGGAAAATGTTAATAGATAATTCTGCTGCCTCTATTAGCTTATGTATGATCCTTAATAGCATTGCTTCCCCTTCAGTTTCTATTTAGGAGGTGAAGAATCTTTTAATAAGGTAGAAAGTTGCTTTATTTAAATTTGTACTGTAGAATGTTTGTGATACAGTATTTGTAAAATTGATATGAAAAATAATTTCTCAAAGTCTATTGTTTGATCTAGTTATTTTAATAAAGGAACTCTAGAAGTTTCAAGTGGCCAGTGAAGTGTGAGGAATAGAGAGTAAAGGAAATAATTAATAATGGTGACCCTCTGTTAAGTGGTTTACTTTTTCCATTAATATAAATTTCATTTGGAAAGATTAAAAAAACAAGTTTGATTGAACTTGATAAATCAGAAATATTTACCAGCTTTGTCGATGGTGTATTCTTGAAAAATGTTTGGTTTTCTTTCAGGTTGACTTATATCCAAAATTCTACAAATTCTTAGCTATGTTATAAATGTAGAAAGAAGTGAAAAATCAAAATATGATTATGAAGATTTTCTTCTCTTCCGAGTACAAAGCTCTGCTAAATAAGGATTTACCCAAGATGCCCACATCCACATACTTATGTGTCAGTGCTTTGGAGAATTAACTTTGACTTTATTCTACTGGAAGTATAGATTAACACTGTGCTTTCTGGGATTTTGCTTTTCATGGGTTGCTGATTTTTAATTTTGCTAAATAAGCACATAGTCCGTGATCACCAGCATCACCTGCCCTCTGTTCCTCCCCCGTCCCCCAGGGATAAGAACCTGTTATCCACCATCAGTAACATTTTATGAAAGATCTACTTATTTGTCTGTTTTGCAGACATTTTAAAATTCGTAAAGTGGGATGCTTCTTTAATTTAAATACATTTAGCTTCATGAAAAACTCACTACACAGTTCTTGTTCAAGCATTATTGGGAAACCACCAGAGGGCACTCTCACCCAGGGCTTAATTTGAACATCTCGCCCAAAAGTGACTTTTAAAAGCACTTAATTAGCAGAGAATTTGGATGTTCATTAGTTGAGAATGACTAGTAGAATAAATGGTAATAGTGAAATTAAGTGCTGGAATATTCTGAGTAGACCAATAGCAAAAACTGATTTTTTTTTTTTTTTAAAGAAAAGGTCTTGCTGTGTCGCCCAGGATGGAGTGCAGTGGCACAATCACATTGCACTGCAACCTCAATATCCTGGGCTCAAGCAATCCTCCCACCGCAGCCTCCCGAATTGCTGAGACTACACATGTGTGCTACCATGCCTGGCTAATTGTTTTAATTTTTTTTATAGAGACGGGGTTTCGCCATGTTGCCCAGGCTGGTCTTGAACTCCTGGGCTCAAAGCGATCCACCCACCTTGGCCTCCAAAAGTATGGGATTACAGGTGTGAGCCACTGTGCCCAGCCTTATTTTTTTTTTTTAAGATAATATTGTTAACATTTTGTATTTCTCTGCATAAATATATTTCAAAAATAAAAATAGAGCTCATAATATATGCTGTTTTGTAATGCTTTTTTCACTTAATAGGAATTTTTTCCGTATCATTAAGTACTCTGATTTAATGGGTGCATATTATTCTATAATCTGGCTTGTCATAATTTAATTAACTCCCTGCTGTTAGACAAAATCATTGTTTCTGTTCCATCTTGTGAATAATGCTGTTATTAACATCCTGGTGGATTATTACCATTTTCTTTTTTTATTTTTTTTTTAAATTTATTTCTTCTTTTTTTTTTCTTATAATCTCATCAGAAGCTGGCAAGATCATTACTGTTTTCTTAGATTTGTTTCTGTAAGTGCAATCGTTGAATCACCATGTCCGGCATCCATGTTTATGTACATTTTTAAAGTCAGTGGTTTAAACTGTATACTTTTTGGGTTTTGGAGATGGAGGTTTGCTCTGCCCAAGCTGGAATGCAATGGCGCGATCTTGGCTCACTGCAGCCTCCACCTCCCGGGTTCAAGTGATTCTCCTGCCTCAGCCTCCTTAAGTAGTTGGGATTACAAGTGTGCACCACCATACTCAGGTAATTTTGCATTTTTAGTAGAGACAGGGTTTCACCATGTTGGTCAGGCTGGTCTCGAACTCCTGACCTCAAGTGTCCACACACCTTGGCCTCCCAAAGTGCTGGGTGGGATTATAGGTGTGAGCCTCCATGCCTGGCCTAAACTGCATACTCCTAACATCAGTATATAGAAATATTTTCTCTTTAGTTCTATTAAAATTTTAAAAAATCTTTATCAATTTAGTAGGCAAAGACTGGAAAATGTTTTAATTTGATCAGCCACTTTAATGTATGTCTCATTTCAAAGCATATAAAGTATACAAGTTTCAGGTCCTAGCTTAAACCTATAAGAGGCCTTATTATGGGCTTATTTCCTTTGCAGCCCTTTACCATAATGTGTTTCTTCTACCTCCCCTGCACAACATTGTTTATATGCCCCCTAAAATGTAACTTCTTTAGATTCTGTTGTTACGTGCAACACTGTATATCTCTCCATAGCACTTAATCAGAGTTTGTAATTAGGCATCTTTTTGTGTGATTATTTGGTAAATGTCCATATCCCCTACTAGCCTATAAGCTCCATGACTTCTAGGTACCCTGTCTGACTACGTGTATCACTGTTTCTACCGCCTAACATTGCCTAGCACATTCATTGCTTCACAGGCATCTGAATATGGTTTTATAAAATACATTGCTCTAGTGCACAGGATTTTAAGCTAAGGATTTCATGAATGGGATTTGGGGTAGGGGCATCTATGAAATTCCTGAAATTGTGTAGAATTTTGAGAATATGTGTTTTCCTGGGGATAGAGTATGTAGTTTCTCAGCAACTCATTACAGTCTGTCACATCATGCCCTAATTCTACTTGCCTGTAGCTAAACACCTAATAACATTAGAACTGAAATGATAGTGATATGCAAGATAGCACGTGTGGTTTCCACATATTCTAAGAGGCATCTTCAATTAGATTCCAAAAATTTTTAAGAAAAAAAGATATAATGTGCCATCATTTTGGATGGTTCTGGGCACTTCAGGTAAACCCTTACTCAAAGAATACTTTTTCAGTTTCAATGTGTATTTTTAAAATTTCCAGAAGATGAGTTGAATATCAGCCCACAAACACTGGTAGTAAGCAAACTATTTTATTTGCTAAAGGCATAAATAAATGTCTCCTTTGCTTTTAGGCAAAGGGAATGCTTCTTCAGATTTTTTTTTTTCCCCAGAAGTTCAAAATAACTTGCTCATAGTCTTCCCAAAATAATTTTCAAACATTCTAACACCAAAGAAAGATACTCCCAATTGAGCTCAGCCATCAGCCTCCTACTATTTTTTAATGTGCTGTTTAACCTTGTGAATGTGAGAATATTTTGAATGCACTGGGAAGGAATACTCAGGAACAATATGTAATGTGCTTTCTAGTTTTGCACAAAGGCATTCATTTTGATTTAGTAACAACCTCATACTTACATAGCATATCCTTCTGCAGAAATGCTTCACAGCCATGACTGCTTGAATTCTTGTCATGTTGCTTGTAAATGAGCTCCTGTTTTTAGATGGAGAAATGGAGGCAGAGTCTCACAATTACATGTGAGAATAGCAAGTAGAACCTTATGATTACTTCTGAGTCTTTTTTTTTTTTTTTTTTTTGAGATGGAGTTTCACTTTTGTCACCCAGGCTGGAGTGCAGTACAGTGGCCAGTGGCATGATCTCAGCCCACTGCAACCTCCGCCTCATAGGCTCAAGCAATTCTCCTGCCTCAGCCTCCCGAGTAGCTGGGATTATGAGCGTGCACCAGCATGCCTGGCTGATTTTTTGTATTTTCAGTAGAGATGGGGTTTCACCACGTTGGCCAGGCTGGTCTTGAACTCCTGACCTCAGGTGATCTGCCCACCTTGGCCCCCCAAAATACTGGGATTACAAGGGTGAGCCACTGTGCCCAGCCTCTTCTGAGTCTTCAATTCAGCAAGAATGTCTCTTTTTTTTTTTTTTTTTTTTTTGGGACAGAGTCTTGCTCTTGTTGCCTTGGCTGGAGTGTAGTGGCACATTCTCAGCTCACTGCAACCTCCACCTCCCGGGTTCAAGCGATTCTCCTGCCTCAGCTTCCCAAGTAGCTGGGACTATAGGCATGCAACACCATGTCCGGCTAATTTTTTGTATTTAGTAGAGATGGGGTTTCTCCATGTTGGTCAGGCTGGTCTCAAACTCCTGACCTCAGGTGATCCACCTGCTTTCGCCTCCTGAAGTGCTGGGATTACAGGCATGAGCCACCACGCCCGGCCAAGAATGTCTTTTCTTTATAATGTTGTCTCTAAGCATGTAATCTTTTCGGCAAATTTTATTAAGCACCTATAGAGTTCAAGCCACTGTGGGTTCAAAGATAGCCCTCATTCCTGATTGACAAAGTATCTTGCTATGACCATCCCTTCTTTCCCCTCTAGTCAAAATTAGTCTCTTCTTCACTCATAATGCAAAGTACATTGGATTACTATTATGCCACTTACTTGAATAATTGTCTTGATGAGTAATATATGTAGTCAGTAACATGGTTAAGTGTGGCAATTTGGATTGATCCCATTGGACTTTTCAATTGCTGCATCCAGGTGTAATTACCATAAGAGCATAGAAGATAGAATCGTAAAGCTGAAAGACATCTTAAAGATGATTTTTGGGGACTGATTTGGAAACAGATCCAAAGACACTAATTGACTTGCCCAAGATCACAGATTGTGGCAGAACCAACCAATGTCTTTTTTAAACATTAAGGACATCTTATATGTATATTTATGCATATACATACTGATGAAATGTGCCTTTAGCAATAGATGTGTCCAGTGATGTACTAATGAAGATTTAACAACTGGTTCTAACTTGTAATGTTTGCCAGTTTCCATGACTGGGTCTTACAAGTTGTTGTGCACTGACTCCATCATTCCACTGGATGTGCCCCTGAAATCATATATTTACTACTAAAACCATTAGATTGTTTCCTTGTTCCAGTTATGCATTCAGAGACACTCCACCTTATTTTCTGATTACATTTGCAGGGAGAAATAACTCCTTACTTGTCAGTTTCAGCCTTCACTTTTAGTTTCTTTTTCTTTTCCTTTTTCCAACCCAGTATACCTTAGAAACTTTCAGTTTCTTTTAAGGATTTAATAACTTGCTTATAAGTGTTTAAAATGACTTA
Organism: Homo sapiens; assembly: GCF_000001405.40. NCBI lineage: Eukaryota > Metazoa > Chordata > Mammalia > Primates > Hominidae > Homo > Homo sapiens. The sequence continues at coordinate 93,507,473 of NC_000012.12, forward strand.
ATGGGTTCTATCTTTTAAGGGAACTTTGGATGAATCCTTGAATATCAGTTATCTATTGCCAATTAACAAATCACCCCAAAGCTCATTGGCTTAAAACAACAATCTTTCATTAGTTTGCGTTCTTCCAGGTAATTCTTATAGTCTGGATCCAGCTCAGCTTATCTTGGCTGGACTTGCCCATGCAGCTGAGGTCACTAGTTGGGTTGTTGAGGCTGGCTAGTCCTAGATGGTGTCACTCATATGTCTGGTATTGAGTGACTGTCACCTGGGGCATTAGGGGGACTGTGTCTCTCATCATCCAGCAAGCTAGGCCTGGATTCTTCACATGGCTTTAGGATTTCAAGAGTATGAGATTGGGGCTGGGCATGATGACTCACACCTGTAATCCCAGCACTTTGGGAGGCCAAGGTTGGGGGATTTCTTGAGCCCAGGAGTTCAAGACCAGCCTGGGCAACATAGTGAGAGCCCATCTGTAAAAAAAAAAATTTTTTGAGATGGAGTTTCGCCCTTGTTGCCCAGGCTGGAGTGCAATGGCGCAATCTCAGCCCACCAGAACCTTTGCCTCTTGGGTTCAAGCGATTCTCCTGCCTCAGTCTCCTGAGTAGCTGAGATTACAGGCATGAGCCACCACGCCCAGCTAATTTTGTATTTTTAGTAGAGATGGGTTTCTCCGTGTTGGTCAGGCTGGTCTTGAATTCCCCACCTCAGGTGATCTGCCTGCCTCAGCCTCCCAAAGTGCTGGGATTACAGGTGTGAGCCACCACGCCTGGTCTTCTACAAAAAAATTTTAAAAAATTAGCTGGGGGTGGGGAGGGTGGGGTGGTGCTGCATGCCTGTAGTCCCAGCTATTTGGGAGGCTGAGATGGGAGGATTGCTTGAGCCCATGAGATTGAGGCTGTAGTGAGCCATGATTGTGCCACTGCACTCTAGGCTGGGCAACAGAACAAGCACCTGTATCAAAACAAACAAAAAAGTGCAAGATTGGAAGCTTCGAGGCTTCTTGAGGCCTAGTCTCAGAACTGGCACAATATCACTTCATAAGGCTATCTCAGATTCAAGGGAGTAAGAGGAGAGATGCTACCTATTAAAAGGAGAAGCAGCAAATACTATGGCCATTCTCTTCACAATAGTTGTCACCAAAACGTAATCGATTTGTTTATGGGTTTACATTGTCATGTCTCCACAGGACAATGCACATGGTATGTTTGTCAGAACCCAGTTGGAGTTTTGTTTCCCAGCATCCAAAGGAAATCCCTAACTTTCATTTTTTCTTCCCGTAAGCAGCCCCGAACACTTACTTATAAGCCATCTCTACCTGAATTAGCAATCATGGATAAGCTCAATAACTGATCATTTCCTTATCAGTTTAAACCATATATATTTTAACACTGTCTCTTTTTCACACACACTAGTTAGCTAAGAATGAGCTGGGGGGCTGGGCGTGGTAGTTCACACCTGTAATCCCAGCACTTTAGGAGGCGGAGGTGGGCGGATCACTTGAGGTCAGGAGTTTGAGACCAGCCTAGCTAACATGGTGAAACCCCGTCTCTACTAAAAATGCAAAAATTAGCTGGGTGTGGTGGCAGGCATCTGTAATCCTAGCTACTCAGGAGGCTGAGGCAGGAGAATCCCTTGAACCCAGGAGGCAGAGGTTGCAGTGGGCCAAGATCACACCACTGCACTCCAGTCTGGGTGATAAAACGAGATTCCGTCTCAAAAAAAAAAAAAAAACTGCCAAAACGCTTTTTGCAAAGTGGTTGTACCATTTTATATTCTCACCACCATGAATGAAAGTTCCAATTGCTATATTCTTGCCCTCATTTGATAATATTTTTAGTTTTAGCCATTCTAATGGATATATAGTAATAATTTGATGGTTTTAATTTGCATTTCTCTGATGATCAATAACATTAAGTTTTGATTCAGGTACTTGTTGGGCACTCATATCTTTGGTGAAATATCTGTTCAAATCATTTGCTCTTTTTTTTTTCTTAGCACTTAAAAAAGACTTTTTGCCAGGCACAGTGGCACATGCCTGTAGACCTAGCTACTCAGGAGGCTAAGACAGGAGGATCACTTGAGTCCAGAAGTTCTGGGTTGTAGTGAGCTATGTCAATCAGGTGTTTGCACTAAGTTCAGCATAAATGTAGTGACCTCCTGGGTCACTGGGACCCAGAGTTGCCTAAGGAGCGTCAGAAGTGGAGCAGGTCAAAACTCCTGTGCTGATCAGTAGTGGGATCACACCTGTGAATAGCCACTGCACTGCAGCCTGGGCAACATAGTGAGATCCTCATCTCCTGAAAAAAAAAAAAAACTTTAGTTTTTAAAAGTAGTTTTAGGTTCTGAGCAAAATTGAGAGGAGGGTACAGAAATAACTTATATATCCTCAGTGCTCCCCTCCCCCATGCCTCCCTCATCACCATCCCCCAGCAGAGTGGCACATTGGTTACAATTGATAAACCTACACTGACACATCATTATCACCCAAAGCCTATTGTTTCCATTAGGGTTCACTCTTGGTGCTGTACAATCTATGGGTTTGAACAAAGGTACAATGACATGTATCCATCTTTATAGTCATGCAGAGTCTACACTGTCCTAAAAACCCTTGGCTCTGCCTCTTCGTCGTGTCCTCCCCACTGACCCCCGGCTACCACTGGTCTTTTCACTGTCTCCGTAAGTTTTTCCTTTTTCAGAACGCCATATAGTTGGAATCATAAAGTATATATAGCCTTTTCACATTGGTTTCTTTCACTGGATAATATGCATTTGTTTCCTCTATGTCTTTTCACAGTTTGATAGCTCATTTCTTTTTAGCATCGAGTAATACTCCATTGTCTGGGTGTACAACAGTTTATCCATTCACCTGCTGAAGGACATCTTGGTTGATTGCTTCCAAGTTTTGGCAATTATGAATAAAATTGCTATAGATATCCATGTGTAGGTTTTTGTGTCCATTTAAGCTTTCAACTCCTTTGGGTAAATACCAAAGAGCACAATTGTTGGATTGAATGCTAAGAGAATGTTTCGTTTTGTAAAAAACCACCAAACTGTCCTACAGAGAGGCTGTACCATTTTGCATTCCCACCAGCAGTGAATAAGGGTTCCTATTGCTCAACATCCCTGTCAGCACTTGGTGTTAGTGTTCTGAATTTTGGCCATTCTAAAAGGTGTGTAGTGGTGTCTCACTTGTTTTGTGTTTTTCTCTGCTCAGACAGCTCATCCACATCACATTTATTTTAATTTGCATTTCCCTGATAATATGTGATATGGAACATCTATTTACTCATTATTTTTTCTTCTTATGATTGAAGTTATAATATTTCTTTAAATATTTTGGATAAATCTTTTGTCAGATATATGCACTGGAAATATTTTTATGGGGGACCAGTGTTAAGATTAGATCTGTTTAAAGAGAAAGGAGAGAAAGTTTCAGGCAGGGAATGCAATCGATGTGAAGGTTTGGGGTAATTTGTTTCATTTATCTTTAACACCATGTTATGGATGGCAAAATAACTTCACTGGCTTTTTTTATCAAGAAAAGACTTACCTTTTCTGAATGCAACAGTATTAGTAAACCTAATGGTGACAATAAAAGCGATTCTGAATAAATGAAAACCAATAGATTGTTCTAGTTTTACTCATAAATATAATTCTTCATATACTGAGTTCAGTTTTTTAGCCATAAATGAAGACATGGGAAAACCATAACATGTTATTTGCTGAGAAGTTCTGGCAAATGAAGCAATAAAATAATCAAAACTAAATCAACATTTAAATACAGAACATAAAGAGATAAATCCAAAACCAGAAGATCTCTTTGAAAGAAAAACCTAAGTAATTAAAAAACTGAAAGCACAGATATTCATTATTTCACAAATAAACGTTAATGCTTTTTAGACATCTTTAAGCAACTTTAGATTGCTAAAACTAAAAAATGCAATTAAGACAATAATCTTATATATAGACAATAATTGTCTTAATAATAATCAGCATCAAAGATTCTTAGAAATGTTGGGAGACTGTGTGGCAAAGAAAGTACTTCAATTACCAGTTACCAACACACAACAATTTGAAATATCCAGGAAGATCAACCCATAGAACAAAGAAAGCTAATAAATTACCTTTTCTTGCAATTGGTTTGATGTACCATTAATATATAGATATTACTAATATGGCAATTAGTTTATATGCTATTTGAATATGATAGTAATATGAAGGAAGATTCTCTTTTTTCCACTTCATTGCCAACAAACAGCTAACTCTAAACAACAGTAAAGTGTGGAATAAATTACTTTGTTAATTAATGTGGTTTGAAGCTTTGTAGGAATCCAATTGGATGGATAGCAGCAGTGGTAAGAGAACATTCCGGAATAATTACCTAAATTAAGGAGCTTGCCCTAGAATGTAAATCAACCTACTATATCTTTTTATTTGAAAAAGTCTTGGTAGAAAAAGCATATCAACTGAACTGTACAGTGTGTTCAGTGACTTAGTAAAGAACATAACTTGTGTAAAGGCTAATGCAATAAGTTTGAGATTGTTCTCTTTATGTAATAGTTTGGAAAACAAACAACTGTGATTACATTTAGAGATATGATGATTATCTAGAGGGAAAGTTCTGTTGAGCATATTTGAACATTTAATTATTGCTGCAAGAAGCCAGTTTGGTCCCAGCTTTATAAAGATATACATTGGGCTGGGTGCGGTGGCTCATGCCTGTAATCCCAGCACTTTGGGAGGCCGAGGCAGGCGGATCACCTGAGGTCAGAGGTTCGAGACCAGCCTGGCCAACATGGTGAAACCCCATCTCTACTAAAAATACAAAAATTAGCTGGGCGTGGTGGCACACACCTGTATTCCTTGCTACTCGGGAGGCTAAGGCAGGAGAATCGCTTGAACCCAGGAAGCAGAGGTTGCAGTGAGCCAAGATTGTGCCACTGCACACCAGCCTGGATAAAAAGAGTGAAACTCTGCCTCAAAATAAAATAATAAAATGAAATAAAGATATAAATTGGCCAGCTAGAGTTACCTGAAGTTACTATCTTCAATTATCTGAAGACAGTTCTGATAGCTTCAGAATTCTTTCATACAAGGCAGGAATGCAACTTGTTTTTTAATGGCAGATAAAATCAAAGAGCAAAAGCAAAAGGTAGAAGCTTGAAAGACCAGAGTTGCTACAGATTGTTATTACATGTTCCATAATTTAACAATTGTCATTGAAGTTGGTGATTGTCTTGATATTGCACATCTGTAAGAAGTAATCAAACTATTGTGAATTTGATAGAATGCTTTAAGTTTTATTTTCCAACAAAAGAATGTCTACATACGGCAAATTCATAGATCTGGAATCCATTTATGTCATCAAAAGAGGATTTAAATTTAATTGTAAGCTTATATGATACATTGTTCTAACTGGCAACTAATGAAGGATTAAAAATGAATTTTGAAAATACCACACCACTTGCTTCATTTTGGATAAAAGTTAAAAGTGAATATTCTGAGTATGCTGAAATTAGTTTAAAAACTTTTTTTTCCCATTCCGACCATTATCCCTTTGTAAATCTGGTTTCATCTTATGAATAATATTTTTTAAAAACCATGGAAACAGTTTAGATATACATCAATCCATGAAAGTAGTAGTATTGTCAATCTACCCTGGATTACATATTTTAACGAGAAAGAAACCAGCTCATTTGTGACATTTAGAATTTTTTTTTTTTTTTTTTTTTTTTGAGAGAGAGGGTCTCATTCATTTTATTGCCCAGGCTGGAGTGCAGTGGTGCAATCGTAGCTCACTGTAACCTTGAACTTCTGGGCTCAAGCAATCCTCTCACCTCAGCCTGCAGCTGGAGCTTCAGGTGTCTGCCATCACGCCTGGCAAATTTATTTTTTGTAGAGACCAAGTCTCCTTGTGTTACCCAGGTTGGTATCAAACTCCTGGTCTCAAGTGATCCTCCCATCTCGGCCCCCACAAGTGTTGAGATGACAGGTGTGAGCCACCTTGCTTGACCTAAAAACTTTTGAATATTAATATGCATTGTGTTTATTCAAAGTATATCTAATGGTCTAATAAACAGAATCACTACTTCAATTATAATCTTCAGTTATAATTGAAGAATGACAAAAAGTTGAGTTATAGAAATTATATTAATCTTAAATTCACATTTTCAGTGAAAGTTTTTAAATAATTTTTTCTCTTTCCGTTTTATGTGTGTTCCAATTCTATTTATTGAAATTTAATTTTATATCCATTAACATAATTAAAAATTGGGGCTTTTAAAAAATGTTTTTCATTCTACTAATTTCATTTTATAATTTATAAAAGTACTAGACCACAATGGATTAAAGAACTATCCTTTCATCACAGATAGTTCAATGACTCCTGTTTTTTTTTAGACCGAGTCTTGCTCTGTCACCCCAGCTGGAGTGCAGTGGTGTGATCTTGGCTCACTGCAACCTCCGTCTCCCAGGTTCAAGCAAGTCTCCTGCCTCAGCCTTCCGAGTAGCTGGGACTACAGGTGCCCACCACCACACCCGGCTAATTTTTGTATTTTTAGTAGAGACGGGGTTTCACCATGTTGGTCAGGCTGGTCTTGAACTCCTGACCTCATGATCTGCCTGCCTCGGCCTCCCAAAGTGCTAGGATTACAGGCGTGAGCCACCATGCCCAGCCAACTCCTGTTTTATAGTGTACTTTCTGGAATATTATTCAGCTTTCTCTTGAATTCTTTTAGTAACTAGGAGTTCACTACGTTTCCATGGACCTAACTCCAATAATGATTGGACAGTTTTCTCCCTCTGCTTTTTCTTTCTTTCTTTCTTTTTTTTTTTTTTTTTTTTGAGATGGCGTCTCCTCTGTCAATCTCGGTTCATTGCAACCTCCACCTCCCAAGCTCAAGCGATTCTTGTGCCTCAGCCTCCTGAGTAGCTGGGATTACAGGCACCCACCACCACACCTGGCTAATTTTTTTTTTTGGTAGAGACAGGGTTTCACCATGTTGACCAGGCTGGTCTTGAACTCCCGACCTCAGGTGATCTGGCTGCCTTGGCCTCCCAAAGTGCTGACATTACAGGCATGAGCCACTGCACCTGGCCATTATTGGACAGTTTTAATGGAAAGTGTTTCCTTATATTGAGTGGAAATCAGTCTGCTTATGGTTTATAATCCTCAGACTTGATTCTCCCCCTGAATCTATATGAAATAAATTTACTCCTATTTGAAAATATTTGTCATATTCCTTCTTATTTTTCTTTAAGCTTTATTTTTTCTTATTATCCATATGACATGTTTCCAGAACTCTCCCTTATCCTGATTGTCCTCCTTTAGACACATGCTTTTAATGATATATTTCTTAAAATGTATTACCCAGGACAACATATTTTTTTTTACTGTGGACAGTATACTTTTACGAATGGTGCCAATAATGCATTACATTTTTTAGCAGTCATGTCATCCTCTTGATTTGCATTGAGTCATCATTTCTTAAGAGGGAATCAGGATATCAAAATAGTCTCCAAACTCAGCTGATTCCTTCTGCAGATACACTCTCCACCCTTCTTGATTCCTTTTCGGGAGAAAAGAAAAAAGTTTATTTTCATTGCTAACCTCACTGATTTTTAATTTTACCATTTAAATGTTAGTAACAGCTGGTAATGTAACCAAAGAAGATTTTTGGCAGGGGATGATGCATTCAGAGCCTTCACTCTGGCTACAGGGAGACCATGGAGGATGGGCTGGAACGGAAGCACGATGGACTCCTGGGCACACCGTTAAGTGACTGATGGAGTCATTCAGCTGACAAATGATAATGGCCTGGATTAAGGAAGGAGAAGAGGGGACCAAGAAATGCCAGAGATACATAGGAAGTAAAAATTAATAGGCCTTGGCAACTATTTTTTTTTTTTTTTTTTGAGACAGAGACTTGCTGTGTTGCCCAGGCTGGAGTGCAGTGGGGTGATCTCGGCTCACTGCAACCTCTGCCTCCTGGATTCAAGCAATTTTCGTGCCTCAACCTCCTGAGTAGCTGGGACTACAGGTGTGCATCACCATTCCCAGGTAATTTTTGTATTTTTAGTATAGATGGAGTTTCGCCATTCTGGCCAGGCTGGTCTCGAGCTCCTGACCTCAAGTGATTCGCCCGCGTCGGCCTCCCAAAGGGCTGGGATTACAGACATCAGCCACTGCACCTGGGTTGGCAACTAATTTACACGGAATGGCAGAGAGTGATTAATGAAAAAGCGGGGAGAAAAGCTGCTCTTGACATCTGAAAGCTGACTTGGCATTCACAGCTAGGCTATGTTATTTTCCTATTGGGCATAAGTCTCACAGAATACCAACATTAAACAAGATGACTCTGAAACCTTAATAAAGTGAGAAAAAACAAGTCCACTTTGTAATTTTGTCTAAGCACAGGCAAAAAGAGGGTCATGGTGCCATCCAGAAAATACCAAAAATCACCCTCTCTCAGCTAAAATGAGCAACTGCTACTTTACCAGTGACAGCTTTGTCCCAGCTCTAGTCTGCCTTCCCTATAGAGAAGATGTATTGAGATAATCATGAAATTCTCCTTCTTTCTGATAGTATCCAATCTGGAGCAAACCCGTTTCCTTAGACCCTCTCCCAATCCCAAATTCTATACTAGGTTCTTCTAAACACTCTCATACTGAGACACCCCATGGTTCCCTATGTTGTGTGTTCTTCTTTGCTGCAATGAGTAATAAACTCAACTTGTTTAACTAGAGGTGTGTTCCTGGTGGTCTCTGGTTAAAGAGCATTGATGTTAAGAATAATTTCAGAGTTTCTTGCTTGGACAGTCAGGTGTGAGTAGTGCCAGTAATAGAAATAAAGAATACTGGAGAAGAAGAAAATGTCTTCAGTTTTTAACAGGTTACCTTTGAGATATTAGTAGGTTACTCCAAGTGGAGATATCCAAGAAGTAATTGGATGGATTTATGACTCTGGAGCTCAAGAGAGATGTCTGTGCTGAATCTATCTATCAGTCATCCATGTACCTACCTACCTACCTGTAGCTACACATAATATACTCAGAAATGTACATATTTGAGAGCTTTTTTTTTTTTAAGGCAGGATCTCACTCTTGCTCAGGCTGGAGTGCAGTGGCTCAATCTGGCCTCACTGCAGCCTTGACCTCCTGGGCCCAAGAAATCCTCCTACCTCAGCCTCCCAAGTAGCTGGGACTACAGGTACATACCACCACACCTCGCTAATTTTTGTGTTTTTAGTAGAGACGGGGTTTCACCATGTTGCCCAGGCTGGTTTCGAACCCCTGGGCTCAAGCGATCTGCCTGCCTCGACCTCCCAAAGTGTTGGGATTACAGGTGTGAGCCGCTGTGCCTGGCCCATTGTGTGTATAATAGCTGAAGCTGTAGGATTGGCAAAGAGCCCCCAGAGAAGGAAAACAATGAGAAAAGAAAAGGGCTGAGGACACGGCAGCAAGGAATATCCCATATACTTATGGGATGAGCAGAAAATGAGATACAGAAAATGAGAAAAGACTCTTAGAAGGAGCTGTCATGAGGAAAGATAATCAGAAGCAGAAGACCAGATGTTAGAGGAGAGAGTTTCAAGGAGGATGAGATTAGTAGTTTAATAGGCTGCTAAAAAGTCAAGTAAGATAAAGTGCCCTTCAAGCTATTTGATATATATCCCCATCATTTTTCGAGCACCTCTGTTTTTTGGCACAATAAGATGTTCAGGCTCCTCTTATACTTTCCTGTCCTAGCCCTGGAATCAGCCATTTCTCTAAGGAGTCCTGTATCCTTTTAGTGGAAACTGGTATCTAGAAACCAAGATCTGGTGTAGTATTCCTTTCAAGAAGCTTGTCTGTGAAGGGTTATGGCTGTATGATCACACGTGGGACTGGAAGTACAGAGGGGATACCTGGCTCAGGTAAAGATGAACAAAACATTGCTGGGCATGGTGGCTCATGCCTGTACTCCCAGCACTTTGGGAGGCCAAGGTGGGAGGATTGCTTCAGCCCAGGTGTTTGAGACCAGCCTGGGCAAGAGAGAGAGACCTTGTCTCTACAAAAAATAAAGTAGCCAGGCATGGTGGCAGGCATCTGTAGTCCCAGCTACTCAGGAGGCCAAGGTGGGAGGATCCCTTCAGCCTGGGAGGTTGAGGTTGCTGTGACCCGTGAGTGTGCCACTACACTCAGCCAGGGCAACAGAGTGAAACCCTGTCTCAAAAAAAAAAAACAAAAAACCGCAAAGCAGAGATAGTATGATCAGAACTGAAGCTTAAGGCCAGGCCTAGTGGCTCACGCCTATAATCTCAACACTTTGGGAGGCCGAATTGGATCACCTGAGGTCATGAGTTCAAGACCAGCCTGGCCGACATGGTGAAACCCCTTCTCTACTAAAAATATAAAACTTAGCCTGGCATGGTGGTGCACGCCTCTAATCCCAGCTACTCGGAAGGCTGAGGCACGAGAATCGCTTGAGCCTGGGAGGCGAAGGTTGCAGTGAGCCAAGATTGTGCCACTGCACTCCAGCCTGGGCAACAGAGTGAGATTCTGCCTCAAAAACAACAACAAACTGAAGCTTAAGGTCAGAAGCAGGTTTGAAGATGATTTGACCTTGAGTCCCAGATAGCGAATAGAGCTCCTAAGGTTGGGATTCATTTTTTAAGAAATGTGGGTGAAGCTCTGCTTCTCAATAGACATGAAGTGATCTCAGCTGAGGAAAGAGGCCATCTGCCCAGGCTGGGCACCAAGCAAAACCTGAAACCACCTTTGAAATGTTTGGGAAAGCTACCTGTGCCAAGAATTTTATCCTGGTGTAAAAGCTTTGTATAAACAAAGCAATTATAACTTTGTTTATTAAAGTGAGAATTATTATTATTGTTATTATTTTTCTTTTGAGACCGAGTCTCGCTCTGTCGCCCAGGCTGGAGGGCAGTGGTGCAATCTCAGCTCACTGCAGGCTCCGCCCCCCGGGTTCACGCCATTCTCCTGCCTCAGCCTCATGAGTAGCTGGGACTACAGGCGCCCGCCACCTCACCCGGCTAATTTTTTGTATTTTTAGTAGAGACGGGGTTTCACCATGTTAGCCAGGATGGTCTCGATCTCCTGACCTCGTGATCAGCCCGCCTCGGCCTCCCAAAGTGCTGGGATTGCAGGCGTGAGCCACTGTGCCCGGCCGAGAATTATTTTTATTGACTTTAATATTTTTCATTATTAAGGAAATAATGGAATGTTTTAGTTCCATTATTTGAATTAAAATCTTCCAAAGAAGATTGAAGCTGTACTTCAATCTTGATCCCAACTTGATCCCAACCTTTTTTGTTCTGGAAAATGCCCATTTTCTTACTGCAAATGCATCTCAAGGGGATTCCCTCCTCCTGGCCATAGTAGATTGGACTCGAGGTGAGTAACTATATTAAGTAGGGCTGACCCATTTATGGTGTTTTGTTTCTTGGTAAGCACATGACTCACACTAGGCCAGTGAGGGTCATTTCTCAGGATTTGAAAAACCAGAGCTGGCGCAAGAGGCTTATTCGTTTTCTAGGACCAACAGAGACGGGGGACATTAGGTTTGTTTGTGGCGTAGTTCCTAGGAAGAAGCCAGTGCAAGAGAAACAAGAGATGAAGAGAGAAGATTCCAGGCTGTGTCTGAATCTCTGATTCCTGGTCTGTGAGCCCCGGGTGTGCTCTTGCCATCTCAGAATCACGTGAACCTCTCTTCCAACACAGATTCCTTTTGGCCTCTGCTAGTTTGACTTTGCGTTTCAACCACATTTCACCAAAAAAGAGAGACCTTGCTCATAAAGTGACTTCAAATAAACTTGGTTTTAATTTACATTGTCAAAAGCTAACCTCCTTTTGATAAGTATCTCCAGTATCCCACCTAAAATGCCAAGAAATAAAGTGACCACAAATGGCTGATGTGTTTTTCCTAATAAAAGCAGCAATTGTTCAAAATAATTTTTTTCTATCTATACCTAATATTAGAACATTTATGCAGGCAACCCCCCAAGGATCTCTTTCTTGTGAATCACATTAGTCTAAATTGTATTTCCACTTCTCTCCTTCCTATCACATGATTGCATTGAATGTATATTATCACTTCATTCAAATACTTTCTTCTCTAAAGCAACAAGAAGTAAATCATTTGTAAGAAAAAGTACATATACATTCTTATTTTCTTCCCTTAAGTTACATATAATTTCCCAGATGCCTACTCAAACTTATAGTATCTCTAACCACGACTTATTTTAATAGGTTGGACTGTCCCTATTTGCTCTTTTAGATTTCCAGGTCCTTAAGGTTAAGCAGAAACCCTAATCCTTGTGTTTATCCAGGCAAATGCTAATTTCAAAGACAGCTATCTAATCTGGTTAGCGGTTTTGTTCTTTGAAAATAATCCTGGGTTTGCTTATAATAGCAGGGTTAATCATTGTACCGATAGTTTTTGGTTTGTTTTTGTTTTTGTTTTGTCTATACCTTCATAGAGAATCAGTCTCCTATTTTGTTCTGGGATTCACCCGTTCCCCATTTCCAGTCTGAGATCTCAGTGGTACTCTGACCCCCTGCATTAGGAATAGAGTCATGGCCCAGGGCCAAGAAAACCTGCACATGTGTTCCTGAAGTGGGCACATGACCTAAACCAGTACAATTAGGGGACATTTCCAGACTTTCATGAATGCCACCAACAGATAAGTTTTTTCTCTCTGCTGGACATGACCTTGAGGGACTATGAGGCTGGCATTTCTGCAGCCATCTTATGATCATGAAAAGATTATCTGAGAATGAAGTCAGCCCAAAAGGCTTCTGAGAGATGGAGAAAAGGAAAACAGGTCCTAATTATTTGCTAATTACCTAAGCCAAAAAAGAGACTTTTTTGCTAAAACTCATTCAAATGGATCTTTGTTACTTACAACCAAAATATTCTTAACTGATATTATACTTATCATGTGAAATTAAATTGAGTAAGAAGAAAAAGTGGGTAAATACATGTGTATCTGATTTTTTTAAAAAAGAATAAGATCTGAGAAATGAATGAAAACTCAGAATCTATTGGCCGTATCAGCTTATACCTATATGTTTGCCACAATTATTTATCTGGAAAGAGAAACAAGGCTCTGAGCATTTTCTTCTAAGACATTCAGTCAGTGTCTTGGGACATCCAGAGTTGGAGAGATTTAACCCAGTCCCTTACAATCTCTATGGCAACAATCTACTGCAATAAAACAGTTGTTCTGAATAGTGACCTTGAGATGCACTAAAGCCAGTCGTCAGAAAAAGATGCATAGTCTTACAGAATTTTAGATCACCTACTGCTTAGTAATGCCATTTTCAACAGTATAGATTGAAATACATATGTAGGGCTGAAACTTTAAATAACTGAAAGATTAAATATATGAAAACAATGGTTTTTCCAATGCCTTCCTTTCTTGATGAAAATCCCTTCTTTATAAAAACTACTACACAAGAGAGTTTTTACCATGGCTGGGCCTTCTTAGGTCTTGGAGAACATAGAAAACTAATAAACACTACCTCTCTTTCCCCATCCTATAACTCCTATGCTAGGACTGGAAGATAAACAAATCTTTTTATTTTTTGAAGTAATCTTTAAGAAATGTGATACATTTTCTTTCAAATTACCCAGAAGGAAGCATATGGAGTAGAAAATGGAAGAAATTTACAATTAGCAGATTCATCTGAATTCTATCCCTGTCCATAACTGGAAGAACTACTAGATGTAGTTCTAAGTTAGACGTAGGGTAAGCCCCACTGGGGTATGGCCCAGATCTGTCTTAATTCATTGGCATACAACCAATGCCAAGCACAGTGTCTGGCACATATACTAGGTGCTCAATAAATTTTCTTTAAATAAACTCATATATGGACTTTGCATGAGTTTCTTATCCTTTCTTAGTGAGGTTAACTGCTGCAACAACCACCAAAACCGCAGTGCCTTGATACAGTAAATGTTTACTTCTCACCTTTGTTACAGTCTAACTCTGGCCAGTGAATGGGGAGAAATGTGTATGCTCCACAGTGCCATTCAGGGATACAGCCTCCTTCCAAGTGGTAGTGGTGGCTTCCCCATTCCTTGGGGCCGTGGGCTCCTCTTCTGGATTGAGGGCACCCAGCCAGCTGGCAAGGAAGAAAGAATGTGGAAAACAGAGGATCATGCGCTAGCTTTCAATGGCCAGCCCTGGGGGGGGGGACTCAAATCACTTCCACTCACATCCCATTGGTCAGAACAAAGTTTTATGCAAGCTCACCGCTGCAACTGCAAGACAGCTGGGAACTATGCTCTAGCGGTGTGCCGTGGAAGAAGAGAAACTCAAACACTGGTGAATGTTAGCTTGCTTGGCTTCACTCTCTGAGCCCCATATTCTTTTGAAAGTGGAATTAATAATTGCTATTTGCCAGCACTTTATGAAGATTAAATGAGGCAATAAATGTGGAAGCACTTGATAAAGTGCCAATTAAATCTTAGCTATAAATATTCCTGGGTAATTTGCTTGGTTACATTACCTCTGCACATCATCTGTGAAATGTGTAGGCTGAAATGTACTCTAGGAGTCCTTTCCAGCTCTAAAATGCTTAGATTCTGTGTTTCTTTTAAACTTTCAGCAAGTGTCTTTGAAATTTTGTCGACCCTTTAGGATCCTACATGTGATTCTACAAGCTAACCCTCTTGCCCTCAAATCCTCTTTCATTGCTATAATTTTGCCCGTGATCTTTTTGAGACATAACCTGACTCTGTTTTATCTCATTTTAATTCTGTTATTTCCAACTATAGATTAAAGGTAATCTTTGCCTTCCTATTACATTAGCCAGTTTCAGTCTGTTAGATTTCTTTTTTCTTTTTTCTTTTTTTTTTTTTTGAGACAGTCTCACTCTGTAGACCAGGCTGGAGTGCAGTGGTATGATACTGGTTCACTGCAACCTCTGCCTCCTGGGTTCAAGCGATTCTTGTACCTCAGCCTCCGAATAGCTAGGATTATAGGGGTGCACTACCATGCCTGGCTAATTTTTTTTGTATTTTTAGTAGAGACAGGGTTTCACCGTGTTGGCCAGGTTGGTCTCAAACTCCTGACCTCAAGTGATCTGCCTGCCTTGGCCTCCCAAAGTGCTGGGATTATAAGGGTGAGCCACTGTGCCCAGCCTGGTCTGCTAGATTTCTTAATTTCAGAAGGAAATTGTAGCTGTGAGGAAAAGAACCCAAGGAGATATTTGACAGATTTGAAATATTAAAAACAAATATGATTAATCCTGCCTTGAAAGAGTCTATATAATAGAGGTTTGGTTCAATCTGTCTTTTTTTCCTGTGGCTTCCTTAGTTGTCTTACCCCAGCTTCCCAGCCTTTTTTCTCCAGCTAAATGCCCCTGTCCATTGACAGCTGTTTTGAATGGTTCCTGGGGAGTCAGCCAGGTGAAGTCTGAAATCTTCTATATTAAATTCAGGCGAGGGGCTGACATTCATTAACGCTCAAGGGTATACTGGCTCCTAGGTCATTCACATAAAGGAGAGAAACTGGTCTATCCACTTCCATTCTAGCCCTTTCTAATCTTTCTCTAGACCAAAATCAGGGTGCTCTTTTTGCGGTGCAAATCTGGTGTCATTTCTGTGCTTTCAACACTTTAGCATGTGTATTTAACTTTTTAAAAACTTTTTGATATAGACAAATAATAAAATGCACAGATCTTCAGTACAGTTTGATGAGTTTTGATATACCTGTGAAACCACCACCCTAAACAAGATAATAGACTATACCATCATCTCAGAAAGTTCCCTTGCTCCCCATTTCCTGCCATTTCACCCTCTTCTTACCTGCTACCCAAAGAGGAAACCAGTTTCTGATTTTTGTCACCATAGATTTGTTTTGTCTATTTTTGGATTTCATACAGTCATACAACATAGACTTTTTTGTGTCAGGTTAATTTTACTGCACATAATCTTTCTGAAATTTTCCTGTGGTGGCGTGTGATCAGTAGTCTGTTTAATTTATTTATTTATATGGAGTTTTGCTGTTGTTGCCTAGGCTGGAATGCAGTGGCGCAAGCTCACCACAACCTCCGCCTCCTGGGTTCAAGTGATTCTCCTGGCTCAGCCTTCCGAGTAGCTGAGATTACAGGCATGTGCCACCAAGCCCGGCTAATTTTGTATTTTTAGTGGAGATGGGGGTTTCTCCATGTTGGTCAGGCTGGTCTCGAACTCCTAACCTCAGGTGATCCACCCACCTTGGTCTCCCAAAATGCTGGGATTACAGGTGTGAGCTATTGCGCCTGGCTAAGTCTATTCCTTTTAAATGCTGAGTGTGGATGCTCTATATGAATATATAGCTTTTTTTTTTTTTTTGAGACAGAGTCTTGCTGTGACACCCAGGCTGGAGTGCAGTGGCATGGTCTAGGCTCACTGCAACCTCCTCGTCTTGGGTTCAAGTGAATTATCCTGCCCCCAGCCTCCTTAGTAGCTGGGACAACAGGCACGTGTCACCATGCCTGGCTAATTTTGTATTTTTAGTAGAGATGGGGTTTCACCATATTGGCAGGCTGGTCTCAAATTCCTGACCTCAGGCGATCCACCCACCTCAGTCTCCCAAGGTGCTGGGATTTCAGGGGTGAGCCACTATGCCCAGCCTATGGCAATTTATTTATCCACTCTCCTGTTGATTGACATTTGGGTTGGTTCTAGCTTGGAGCTATTTTAAGCCTGCTATGAATATTTGTCTTCAAGTCCTTTGTGGATATGAGTTTTCGTTTCTCTCAGGTAAATACTCACCAAATCATAGGGCCTTTGATAGTCTAAAGACCCATTGTTTTTAGGATGAAGACTCAAACCTAAGGCCCCACATGGTCCTGACCACTTCTCTGGAGGCGTCCTGCACACTTGCCCCTTCCCTTAACTCTGAATTTCAGCCTCTATGTATATGTTCTTCCCTCTGCCCAGAACATGCTTCCCTCCCTCTCTTCCTGTTAACCTTGACTCATCCTTCAGATCTAAACGCTGGCAACATTAAGGTAAAGCCCCTTATCATAGGCATTCCCAGCTCTGTGTGCTTGATGTCCTAGCACTTACCAAGACTGTGGCTTTATATTGACATGTATGAGTATTTGTTTAATGTTTGCTTCTCGTGCAACAGCAAGCGTCACTAGGGCAGATGTTGTGTTTGTTTTATTCACGCAGTGCCTAGCCTAGCTTCTGGCACATACTAATCACTCAACAAACCATTGTGGGATGCATGAATGATGACTGCCCTATACCCCATGGCGAATTTTTTTCTCTACTTTGGTGAAGTCTCATTTGGTCACCCAGAGAAGAAACCCTCTGTGCCCTCATCATGGATTTTTTCATGACCTGGACACAGCAAGAGGGGAAAAGACGAGGCAATCAGTTACGTTCAGGCTACCTGGCTTCCAGGAAAGAGAAAAGCTTAAACTTCAATCTTGATCATTCTTGTCCTAAACCATTATGTAAACCAAATTCCTGCTAAACGGGCTTCCAATCCAAATAAGACAACAAGGCAACACAGTTAGCAAATATTTCACCTTGAAGGAGGCCAAGAGATTTGCTCCTGGTATTTTTTCCCCTTGGTTTGTCTTCTGGAACAACCGGGTACTGGGGGCATTCTCAAGATGGCACTGCGTTTCTTAGAAAGTGGGACTGTTTCTTGGTAGAAGTTGTTCCAGACGCTGGGTGCAATGGCGCACGCCTGTAATCCCAGCACTTTGGGAGGCCGAGGCAGGTGGATCACCTGAGGTCAGGAGTTTGAGACCAGCCTGGCCAACATGGTGAAACCCAGTCTCTACTAAAACTACAAAAAAAACTAGCCAGGTGTGGTGGCGGGTGCCTGTAATCCCAGCTACTCCGGAGGTTGAGGCAGGAGAATCACGTGAACCCCAGAGGCAGAGGTTGCAGTGAGTCGAGAATGTGCCATTGTATCCAGCCTGGGCGATAAGAGTAAAACTCCGTCTCAAAAAAAAAAAAAAAAAAAAAAAGAAAAGAAAAATTAGGGGCCATAATGTTCTTCCATCAATAAAATTTGTTTCCCACGTGGAAATGCACAACCATGGGGCATTTTTACTGTCTGAGTGGCCACATGGGGGTGCTGAGTCGAAAGGCACATTTAACAACGTGTTGTTACTGTGAGCAAGGCTATTCGGGGATGCGTTTTGCTATGCATCCCCCCAAAATCCCAATACATGCAGTAATAAAGATGATTAATATAATCTTACATACCTTCACATGACTCTGTCTTTTTCATGGGGAATTTCCTCCCCAGGTGGGCGTTTTGTCTGTCTCGAATGATAATAATGAGTAGACAAGTGTATGGATACTGTCTCTTCTTTAGATGTTTTGCCTTTGCAAAAAGAGTGCAAATCGAAGTGATCCTACAGATGAGCTGTAAGTGTTAAAGAAAACAACATTAGTTTGTATCACCACCAGACTACTTTTATTGCCACCAGAAAATGAAAGTGTTTTAGGAAACAGCAAAGCCCTATAAAAGGAATAGAATGATGTCCGCCAGTCTTGAAATAGGGATGGGTGATTCTTGAAGAGGATTTGAGGAAGTCAAAGGTGATAATACACGTTAGAAAGTTGTGGGGGGTACAGGTGATGGATTGCTTTTTATTTAAAAATATTTATTATTATTCTTTTGTACTTGATCTTAGCCAAAAGGCCGAGGAGCAATTATTATTATTTTTTGAGACAGGGACTCGCTCTGTCACTCAGGCTGGTGTGCAGTGGTGCTCACTGCAACCTCAACCTCCCAGGCTCAAAGGATCCTCCTGCTTCAGCCTCCTGAGTGCGTGCCACTGTGCCTGGCTATTTTTTTTATTTTTTTGTAGAGATGGTGTCCCACTGTGTTGCCCAGGTTGGCCTCAAACTCCTGGGTTTAAGCTATCCTCCTGACTCAACCTCCTAAAGTGCTGGCATTACAGGCGTGAGCCACTGCACCCGGCCTGGATTGCTTTTATAATTAAAACAGAAAATGATTTAAAAATCTAGCAGAGAAATGAAGGTTAACATAAAATAACAACAACAACAACATAGATGATATTAACACTCCTGGAAAAGCATTGAATGGAAGAAGGAAAGATGAAAACAACTCCTTCTCCTCCCCCAAAATAAACAACAAAAAACTTGATCTTGAATATGGGTCCATGGAAGAAACTCTCCTTCAGGACATTTTAGATGGAAATAGAGTCCATATGCAGTAATGGGTGTGCTTTCATCTAAAATGAGCTTCTGTTAATAATAGTTCTAGAGCACTTTGTGTGTGCTAAAATTTTTTTCTGAGATTTTGGTTTGAGGATCTTTCCTAATTTAAGAGAATTTTATTCGTTCACTGTTTTGTTAGGTGAAGAGTTGGAAATATTTCTGTCTCATTAAACAGCCTCGATTCAAAGACAGACCACCTGCCTGATTTCCTACTCTAGTCCTCTAAAATAAAGACAGGCAACTGTGGGCATTCCTGAAAATTGTTTGCCTTGTCCATTCAAGCTCATTTTTAAAGAATGACTCACGGCCAATCTGCACTCCAGCCTTTGATACTTAAGAGTGTGTGTGTGTGTATGTGTGTGTGTGTGTGTGTACGCAGAGGAATGGTGGAGAGAGGTATAAAAAGAAAATGAACAAAGAAGTGTGGGTTAGAAGCCATACTCTGAGCTAAGGGCTGCACTTAATTGGAAATTAGGGGCCAACCTACAAGTACAATGCTATAAAACTAAGATCAGGACAAAGCCATCAAAGTCCAAGATTACTCTGGGGGATAGAGACATGAGTCTGAAGCAAATGACATTGTGCCTCAGTGTGTGGGCAGACCTAGCTTTGAGGAGACTGGGGAAATGTTATAATTTTGGAAACCCTCTTGAATAAAGAATACAATTTTAGGTACAAATACAGATGCTCCTCAACTTAGATGGAATTGCATCCTGATATACCTACCATAAATTGAAAATATCCTAAGTCAGAAATATAGCCAGGTATGGTGGCTCATGCCTGTAATCCCAGCATTTTGAGAGGCCAAGGTGGGAGGATTGCTTGAGCCCAGGAGTTCTAGATCAGCCTGGGCAACATAATGAGACCCTGTCTCTACAAAAAAATTTAAAAATTAGCCAAGCATGGTGGCACATGCCTGTAGTCCTAGCTACTTGGGAGATGGAGGGGGGAGGATCGCTTGAGCCTGGGAAGTAGAGACTGCAGTGAGCTATGATGGCATGATGGCACTCCAGCCTGGGCAACAAAGTGAGACCCTGTCTCTAAAAAAAAAAAAAAAAGAGGGAACAAAAAGGAAATGCACCTAACCTACTGAATATCATAGCTCAGCCCAGCCTACCTTAACTGTGCTCAGGACACTTACATGAGCCTACAGTTGGACAAAATCATCAAACACAAGCGTGTTTTATAATAAAGTGTAGAACATCTCATGTAACGTACTGAATACAGTACATTGTAGAGTACAGTATCAGTTGTTTACCCTCCTGATCTCATGGCTGGCTGGCAGCTGTGGTTGATACCACTGTTCAGCATCTTGAGAGTACTATTGAATATTGCTAGCCCAGGAAAAGATCCCAATTCAAAATGCCAAGTATGATTTCTACTGAGTGTGTACCACTTTTGCACCATTGTAAAGTCAAAAAATCATAAGTTGGGGACCATCTGTACAATAACAAGACGACATGGCAGTGATTACTAAACACATACACACATCCACTACACCCGACTTCGCGTATCCCCAAGCCAGATTCCATAGTGTCCAGGGGCACTCCAGAGTTCTCTGACACGAGGAAGATTGTGATGGAAGAAAAGTCAGAGAGAAAGGACTTATTTGTTAAAATGCATGATCAGGTGCAGTGGCTCATGTCTGTAATCCCAGCACTTTGGGAGGCAGAGGTAGGTGGATCACCTGAGGTCAGGAGTTAAAATAAAGGCCAGGCGCAGAGGCTCATGCCTGTAATACTAGTACTTTGGGAGGCTGAGGTGGGCAGATTGCCTGAGCTCAGGAGTTCAAGAGCAGCCTGGGCAACATGGTAAAACCCCATCTCAACTAAAATACACACACACACACACACACACACACACAAAACAGCCAGGCGTGGCAGTGGGCACCTGTAGTCCCAACTACCCAGGAGGCGGAGGCAGGAGAATCACTTGAACCGGGAGGTGGAGGTTGCAGTGAGCTGAGATCACACCACTGCACTCCAGCCTGGGTGACAGAGCAAGACTCCATCTCAAAAAAAAAAAAAAAAAAAAAAAGAGAAAAAAAAAAGAATTTTATTTTTATTTCTCAAAAGGTATACGCACTTTCCATTTTGATACTGTCAAAATGCCCTCAGAAAAGTTGATGTCTGTAGGCCCACAATGGTACACAAGTGTCCTCTTATTCCTTAACAAAACTGAGTGAGATTCTTTTTTAATCCCTGTAAACCTGCTGGGTAAAAAATAGCTTATTGTCAATCATACTTGCTATTTTTATTATTAGCTTGATGGCTAATTTTATGTGTCCATTTGGCTAGGCTCTGGTACCCAGTTTTTGGTCAAACACCAGTCTAGACGTTGCTGTGATGGTATCTTTTTAGATGCGACTTAAATTTAGGCTGGGTACGGTGGATCATGCCTGTAATCCCAGCACTTTGGGAGGCCTAGGGGAGAGGATCCCTTGAGCCCAGAAGTTGAAGACCAGCCTGGGCGACATGACAAAACCTTGTCTCTACAAAAAAAAGGAAAGAAAAGAAAATTAGCCAGGCTTGGTGATGTGTACCTGTAGTCCCAGCTACTTGGGAGGCTGAGGTGGGAGGATCAATTGCACCTTGGAGGTTGAGTCTGCAGTGAGCCATAACTGTGCTACTGCATTCCGGTCTGGGCAACACAATGAGACCCTGTCTCGAACAAAACAAAACAATATTTAAATCAGTAGACTTTGAGTAAAGCAGATTACCTCCATAATATGGGTAGGTTTTGTGCTCCTTATGAGAATCTAATACCTGATGATCTGAGGTGGAACAGTTTCATCCCGAAACCATCCCCCCCGACCCCTGGTCTATAGAAAAATTGTCTTTCATGAAACTGGCCCCTGGTGCCCAAAAGGCTGGGGACCCCTGTCCTAGAAGAACTCATGTTGGCATTAAGAGTGTATCCGCCATCATCCATGTGTCCTCCACCTGAGGGATGCCCTTTTGCTCCTCCACTACCTTTTCTTCCACATCTCAGACATCTTGGAGGGCCTCTGTTTCTCGAAGGAGATGGTGGTCTCCACCTAACACCACTTTCAAAAGATGGTTCGTTGGCTTGCTCTACTTGAATTGCTTTTCCATCCAAAGACTTTCCCTTCATATCGTTGGCAGCATTCTTAGCATCTGCAGGGCTCTCAAAAGTAATCAATGCAAAGTCTCTGGACTTGATTTTCCCATCCTTCATCAAAAGAACTTCTGCTATGTGGCCATATTTCCCAAATACTGCTTAAAGAGCCTTTTCATTAGGTTCTGTATTAAGGCCACCTATGAACAGCTTGCCAGGTGGATCTGCTTCCACAATTTTGCTCCTTTTCCAGATTTTCTGAGATCTCACCTTTATGCTTCCCTGGGTGATCATTAGCTAAACTAATCTAAATGTCTCTTTATATATAATTACACATGCACACATACATATACATACACACACACACACCCATCCTATGGGTTCTGCTTCTCTGGAGAACCTTGTCTAATACAATTAGTGAGGTTACCTAGGTCAAATGTTTATTGGTATCTGTATTTCATTTCATCTTATTCCCTTCCCCCTTCCCTTTCCTCCTTTCCTCTTCCTCCTCCTTTCCCTCTCTTTCTTTTTGTTCTTTGCCCAGATCTTTTTTTAGATCCTCTGTGTGAACAGGGGTCCCCCAAAGTGAGGGGCTCTGGCCTATGTTCCCTAATTTGCTGGGAGTGAAAAGCCTTTTTGACTAGGGACTTGTACTACCAGTGAGATTGTGCAAATAAATACATTAAATAAATAAAGCTAAGTAATGGAGAAGGCTGCTTAGTTATGGGAACTTACTTTCAAAACCATTTCCTCCTTCATTTATCAGTTAACAGCTGAATGCAGAATTTCCTGTTGTTTCTTTTTTTTTTTCCTTTCCTTCATAGCAAGTGATATCATCACAGCTACCTAGAAGAACGATTTCCCACAGTGACGGAGGTTCCGTGATGTCATTGGGATTACAAAAGCCAGGAAAGAAATTTGCTATCGGTATTTGTTGCCAGAAATTACGAAGCAAATTAATTTCAAACTTTCTGGGAAAGAAACCCTTCAGTGAAAGTAAACATTTAAGAAATTATTATTATACAAGGAAATTCTGTCCTTAATCTGCCAGAGAGAGAATGCCTGCAACCTCAAGGTACTAAATAAACAGGCCTGGTATAAGAGAGAGTTCTATTTTGGGGATATTTAGTGGGCTAAGTATCTGTGCCAGCGGTCCCCAACCTTTTTGGCACCAGGGACCTATATCATGGAAGATCATTTTTCCACAGACTGGGGTTGGGGATGGTTTGGGGATGAAATTGTTTCACCTCAGATCATCACACATTAGATTTTCATAAGGAGCGGGCAACCTAGATCCCTCACATGTTCAGTTCACAATAGGGTTCGTGCTCCCGTGAGAATGTAGTGGCGCCACTGATCTGATAGGAAGCCATGCTCAGGTGGTAATGATCGCTCACCGGCCGCTCAATTCCTGCTGTGTGGTCTGGTTTCTAGCAGGCCATGGACGGGTACTGGTCCACAGCCGGGGGGTTGGGGGCCCCTGATCTGTGCCAAAACGCTAACTATCTTCAGATTGGCTAGGCTGGTAACTGGACTATTTTTCAAGCAACCAGACCTGTCCTGATGAAGCTTTGAAGTGTCTCGCTTTCTCTATCCTAGGTCAGATCTCCTGAACACGGTCTCCCTTCCCTTTAATGGAAGTAGAGGTGCTAGGTTTCTGTGACTGCTGTAACAAATTACCACAAACCGGTGGCCCAAAACCCCGGAAATTTATTGTCTCACAGTTCTGAGGCCAAAAGTCCAAACTCAAGGCGTCGGCAGGACTGGCTTCCTCTGCAGGGTGCAGGGAGAGTCCGTTCCACGTCTGGCTCCTGTCTTCTGGAGGCTGCCGCCATCCTTGGCGTTCCTTAGCTCATAGGCGCATCCCTCTGATCTCTACCTCCATCTGCACAGCCCCTTCTCCATGTGTCTTCTCCCTTCTCTTCAAGTTTTTTTTTTTTCTTTTCTTTTCTTTTTTTTTTTTGAGTCAGGGTGCTCTGTTGCCCAGGCTGGAGTGCAGTGGCCCTATCATGGCTTACTGTAGCCTTGACTTCCAAGGCTCAGACAATCCTCCTGCCTCAGCCCCCCAAGTAGCTAGGACCACAGGCATGTGCCACAACGCCTGGCTGAATTTTCAATTTTTAGTAGAGATTGGGGGTCTCACTATGTTACCCAGGCTCATTTTGAACTCCTGGGCTAAAGCAATCCTCCTGCCTTGGCCTCCCAAAGTGCTGGGGTTACAGGTGTGAGCTACTATGCCTGGTCATGTCTCTTTTATGGTGATACTTACCACTGGATTTAGGGCCCACTCTAACCAGGATGTTAGGTCATATTCTCAGGTGAAAGGTGTTAGGGCATGGACATATCTTTTTATGTCTTTTTATGCCACAATTTAACCCACTGCAGTGGATGAGGGTTTATGACCGCCTGGCCCCATCTTCTCCCGGAGGTGATGGTGACTCTTGAGAGCTGACTCTTTCAAGTGGTGGCATGTGAAATCTTCACAGGTTCATTCATTCATTACTGTAATGGGCTGAATTGTGTTCTCCTGCTGCTCTCAAAGTCATATCTTGAAGTCCTAACTCAACACCCAGTACCTCAGAATGTGACTGTATTTAGAGGTGGGGTCTGTATTAGTCCATTTTTATGCTGCTGATAAAGACATACCTAAGACTGGGTAATTTATAAAGAAAAAGAGGTTTAATGGACTCACAGTTCCACATGGCTGGGGAAGGCCTCACAATCACGGAGGAAGGCGAAAGGCACATCTTACATCACAGCAGACAAGACAGAATCAGAACCAAGTGAAAGGGGTTCCCCCTTATAAAACCACCAGATCTCGTGAGACTTATTCAATACCATGAGAACAGTATGGGGGAAACTCCCCCCATGATTCAAGTATCTCCCATGGGGCCTGTCTCACAACAGGTGGGAATTATGGGAGCTACAATTCAAGATGAGATTTGGGTGGGGACACAGCTGAGCCATATCAGGGTCTTTAAATTGGTATTAAGGTTAAATGAGGTCATTGGGGTGGGCCCTGATGCAACATGACTGGTGTCCTTATAAGAAGGGGAGATGAGGACACGGGAGAAGGCAGCCATCTGCAAACCAAGGAGAGAGAACTCAGAAGAAATCAATGCTGCCAACAACTCGATCTCAGACTTCTAGCCTCCGGGACTATGACAAAGTATTTTTCTGTTGTTGAAGCCACTCAATCTGTGGTACTTTGTTATAGCAGCCCTTGGGAACTAGTGCAGTTACTAAGAACCCACTCTCTGCCACATCTTCCACAAGGCAGAGGCACATCCTCTGGGACTGGCTGTGAGTCTGGAGATAGTTACCATTTTAGTCCAGATAGTTAGCCCACCAAGTACCCCCAGAGAAGGACTATTTGTCTCTTACTAACATCTCACTGATATGGTTTATTATTCTAAAGATTTGGGTGTAAACAAGAGTTTATTATGTCTTCAAATATAAAAAGCTACAGTAAACAGCTGATTTTTGAAAGTATAATGAGGAAGATGCCATAGAAACTGTGAAAGAGGTCAGTGAAACTAGAGGAGTCCACCTGGGCTTAGATGATGTGATGTTTAAGCTGGGATCAAAAATGAATAAATCACAGGTGAACGAGGAGGAACGTTCCAGTCAGGGAAAAGTAAAAGTCTAAAGAAAGCCTGAGCAACATGGTGAAACCTGTCTCTAGGAAAAATAAAAAAAAGTAGCTGGGTGTGGTGGCGCACCTGTTGTTCCAGCCACTCAGGAGGCTGAAGTGGGAGGATTGTTTAAGACCGGGAGGTGGGGAGTGCACTGAGCTGTGATTGCACCACTGCACTCCATCCTGGGTGACAGAGTGAGACCCAGTCTCAAAAAAAAAAAGTCTAAAGCAGAAAAATATTCGAAAAACTGGAGAAAGCTGGGGAGATAGGCTGGGCCATACTGTGAAAGGACAATGAGAAGACCCCAAAGTGTTTTGGGCAGGGATGTTCTTATTGGAAAGATCACTCTGACTGCAGCGTGGACCCAGAGTTAGATAGGAGAAGACTAGAACCAGGAGACTCAGTTAGGAGGCCGTCCCAGGGGTCTGCAAAGGGGGATGGTGGATGGGGTGAGAGATTGAGTGCAGATAGAGAGAAATGGAAGGATTAGATATTTAGGAAGTTGAAGAAAACACATTTCCTCATTAGTTCAGTGTAGAAGGGTTGAGGAGGAGGAAGGAGTTAAGTATGATTTGGATAATTTGATGGGTAATGAGTCATTTACTTTGGGGAATATTGGGGATGCTTATGGGGAAAGGGATTATATTTATCAGGACTTCCATGATTGCAAGTGACAGAAACTGAATTCAAATAATTTAAGGATATAGGACTGATGTGAAGAAACAGAGCTACTCTACCCGCTTCATTTCTCTCTTTTTAAAATTTTCACTTCTCTTGGTGTGTTGGCCTCATTCTTTCCTATTGCAGACTTGCTTCCTCCAGGCAATGGAGAGAAGGTGGTATTGTTGCAACTTGACATTTACGTCTTCCTAGCTCAGGGACTCCAGAGAGAGAGCTTTTTTCTCCCAGCATCTTAGTTTGAATTTCACTGTGCAAGGTTTAGCCCCACCCAATTTTAACCTTTCTGAAATCGGAAGCGTCTTTTAATAGATGTCATCTTCCTTTTTTGTTGTTCCAATTGGCAGTATTATTTCTTAGTGATGGATAAAATAACAGTGTTTCTTACTGTAATGGAGTCTTAGATGTAATGAAATCCGTATAAAATTTTAGAGAAGGGCTCTGACTGGTTTGGTGTGTGTCATTGATTGCCACTGGGCCAATCATGGTGACCCAAGAGATAGGGGAGTAGATGATCAGTACTGGGATACAGGCCCATCCCTGTGGCCAGTGCCATAGGGTGCTATGATTGAAAATCCCATCTGAACTACACTTAGTAGGGAGTGGCAGTTGCTGCAAATAACAGAAATACTGCTGGGAACACATGAAGCTTGTCAGGCCCAAAAACATGATGAAGAGTGCTT
Source organism: Homo sapiens (assembly GCF_000001405.40). Lineage (NCBI taxonomy): Eukaryota > Metazoa > Chordata > Mammalia > Primates > Hominidae > Homo > Homo sapiens. The sequence continues at coordinate 93,534,753 of NC_000012.12, forward strand.
GAGAAAACAGTGAGTTCAATGTAGACTGGTGGCTAAACTGGCTGGTGAGATACTGTATTAGTCTGTTCTCGCACTGCCATAAAGAACAACCTGAGACTGGGTTATTTATTTATTTAGAGACAGAGTCTCACTCTATCACTGAGGCTGGAGTGCAGTGGCACAATCTTGGCTCACTGCAGCCTCCACCACTCGGGTTCAAGCAATTCTTGTGTCTCAGCCTCCAGAGCAGCTGGGACTACAGGCGTGCGCCACCATGCCCAGCTAATTTTTGTATTTTTAGTAGAGACAGGGTCTCACCATGTTGACCAGGCTGGTCTTGAACTCCTGACCTCAGGTGATCCACCCACCTCGGCCTCCCAAAGTGCTGAGATGACAGGCATGAGCCACCGCACCCAGCCGAGACTGGGTACTTTATAAAGAAAAAGAGGTTTAATTGACTCATGGTCCCCAGGATGTACAGGAAGCATGGCTGGGGAGGCCTCAGGAAGCTTACAATCATGGTGGAAGGTGAAGGAGAAGCAGGCATGTCTTTCATGGCCAGAGAAGGAGGAGGAGATAGAGAAAGGGGAGGTGCTACACACTTTTTTTTTGTTTTTGTTTGTTTGTTTGTTTGTTTTTTTGAGACAGAGTCTCAGTCTATCGCCAGGCTGGAGTGCAGTGGCGCGATCTCGGCTCACTGCAAGCTCCGACACCCTGGTTCAAGCAATTCTCCTGCTTCAGCTTCCCAAGTAGCTGGGAATACAGGCACACACCCAGCTAATTTTTGTATTTTTAGTAGAGACGGCGTTTCACCATGTTGGCCTGGCTGGTCTCGAACTCCTGACCTCAGGTGATCCACCTGCCTCGGCCTCCCAAAATGCTGGCATTACAGGCATGAGTCACTGCGCCCGACTGCTACACACTTTTATAAACAACCAGACCTTGTGAGAACTTACTCATGGGAACAGCAAGGGGGAAATCTGCCCTCATGATTCAATCACCTCCCATCAGGCCCCCCTTCCAATGTTGAGTATTAGAATTCGATATGAGATTTGGACAGGGACACAGACCCAAATCATATCAGATACCCAAATGATGATGTCCCCTGCCCATTAAATTTGGCAGCAAATTTGTCACCTTCAACTTCACTGAGAGCATTTTCAATAGAGTGCAGGGCAGGAGGCCAGCTAAAGGGAGTTGAGGAATGAATGAGAATTGAGGAAAATGAGATAGGGTGGTCAGAAGCCAAAGAGAATTAAGGTTTGTTTGGGGACATTCTCTGCATTGAGGACAGAATTGCTCATGCAGCCCTTCAGGATCCAAGGCAATGCCCTAGAGCAGTAGTTCTCAAAGACCATCAGGAGCCACCACCTGGGATTTACTAGAAAAGCAAATTTTCGGGACCCACCCAAGACCTACTGAGTTAGAAACTCCAAGGTAGGGTCCTGTGATCTGCATTTTAACAAGCACTCCAGGTGATTTGGATGCAGGCTAAGTTTGAGAACTAGGGCCTTAGAAGCCTACAGCAACAGGCTTTTATGGAGCTGAACTATGATATTATCTGTCTCAGGGAGGCAAATGTGTGTTGTTAACATGTTTACTTCAGCTGGGCTTGCTGGAAGCAAAGAATCTGGTTTGAGTTGGGGCTAAGGGGGGTAAGGGCACAGATTTCTATAAAGCAATCAAATGAGAAAAAGGACTGTTGCCTTCCCAGGGCAGGATCCCTGCTGTATGAAATCCACCTATTTGGGTTTTTCAAGCAGATGAGCAATTTGACATCTTTCCACTCCTCTGAGCAACACAGTGTTAAGTGGATCTCTTGAAGGATGAGCCTGGTGCTTGGCTGAAGCTGTCACAAAGTGGCATTTCTCACAGTATTTGCAGAGGCCCTGAGAAATGTTAACCAGAGACTCAGTTTGCTCTTTGATTTCAGTCTTCACGGTTGAAAACCTTTCTTAAATGCATCTTTTTGCCACTTTAGAGGCTAGAATAAAAACCAAAAGAGCAAAGTTTGTGAAAGATTGTTTTATCTTTACAAATCAGAATGGGTTTAAGATGTAGCTCTCTAATGTCACTCTTACTCACTTGCATTCTGATTTGCTTTCTTGAGAGAAAGAGATTGGGATGCCTGGAGTTCCTGTTGGCTGCTGGGATTTGCATGTGATCCCCGACATAGACTATTTGTGACACACGCTGGTATGTGTGTCTGTAGCTGATGTCCTATTAATAGCTGATACATGAATGTCATTTGTTGGTTGGGCAGACACAGGAAGTGTGGCACGATGTAAATTCTGTGAAGACAGGGCTGGTTGATTCAATGTTTTATCCCCGATACCTAGAACAGCACTCAATAAACATGTTGAATGAATGAAAAAAATGATAATTATAATTGAATCCTGGATCACTCAGAAACCTACAGATTCAGGGTCACCAGTCTGAGCATTAATTCTCACCATCTGGGATCCTAAATATAGCATGTGTAGGCAGCACTGGCTGCATAATTTGTTGGGGCCAGTGCAGAATAAAAATGCAGAGCTTCTTGTTCAAAAATTAATAACTGTGAGACAGCATTAGCAGAGTATTCAGCCAAGCATGCAGCTCTTCTGAGTGTGGAGTCCTGTGCTCCTGCACAAGTCACACCCACGATGCCAGCCCAGCAGGTAAGGAATGGGACAAAATTTTACCAATTCTGGTAATTTTCTGGAAATGGCTTTACAATTTTTTCCAGAAATCCTTGAAATGACTTTTTAATTTAATTTAATTTTATTTTAAGATGGAATCTCACTCTGTTGCCCAAGCTGGAGTGCAGTGGCATGATCTCAGCTCACTGCAACCTCTGCCTCCCGGGTTCAAGTGATTCTCCTGCTTCAGTCCCCTGGGTAGCTGGGATTACAGGCACCCACCATGATGCCCAGCTATTATTATTATTATTATTATTTTTAGTGGAGATGAGATTTCACTAAACCCCGTTGGCCAGGCTGGTCTCGAACTCCTGACCTCAGGTGATCCACCTGCCTCGGCCTCCCAAAGTTCTAGGATTACAGGCATGAGCCACCGCGCCCGGCCATGACCTTTTAATGTAGTTATTTTCCATGAAAAAGAAAGTAACATTAAAAATGAAGGTTGTCTGTGATAGGACTGGATTATCCCAATTCTTTTCTTCCTCCTTGGAATGTATCCTTTCTTTGCTATGTTGCTCTACAATGCCTCCTACTGGAGAGATTAGAGTCTGTTTCCCCACTTCCTCATGTCGGGCTGGATCGTGAGGCTTGCTTTGGCCAATGGAATGTTAGTGGGCATGATCAGAGGCTTTAAATGTGCTCATGAGGTTTGGCTTTGCTTCTCAGGCTCTGTCCTTTACCATGAGAACTGTCCTGGGTAAGCTGTTGGCTCAAGCAAATGACAGAAATATGGGGTAGACTTGATCCCAATCAGCTGCCCCAGCTAACCTGCAGACCTACATAGAAAGATGGAAAAGAAATGCTTTTGGTAAGCCAACAACGTTTTGGAGTCTTTTGTTACACAGCATTTACATAACAGAAACCTAAGAAGGCATCCTTCAGGAGGATCCTAATAAATGAATATCAACTGGTTTTTTTTTAAATTTTGAGGATGCTGAAAAAGAACGACAAAAGAGACTAGAAAAAGAATCAAAATTAATGCTGAATATTGGTATACAATCCTGCTCAGAAGATGGTTTAACCTGATGCTCAAATCAAGTCATTAAGTCCTAAAAAAACTCAGTGCTAAGCACTTTGCAAACTTTAATTCAAGTAATCCTCCCAGTAACACTATGAGTGAAGTTGCTAATATCATTGTCGTTTTCAGCTGTGGAAGCAAAAAATCAGAGAGATGTAAGTAACTCAGCTAAGGCCACACAGCTTGGAAGTAGTGAAGCCAGGATCCTAACCCAGGTGGGATGGATCCAGAGCTGCACACTTAATCACCACGCCTTGCTACATTGCCATCTAGAAAGCAAAGGCCAGTGGCTCATGCCTGTAATCCCAGCACTTTGGGAGGCCAAGGTGGGCAGATCACTTGAGGCCAGGAGTTTGAGACCAGCCTGGGCAACGTGATGAAACCCCGTCTCTACAAAAAATTCAAAAATTAGCCAAGCCTGGTGGCTTGCACCTGCGGTCCCAGCTACTTGGGAGGCTGAGGCTGGAGAATCACTTGAGCCCGGGAAGAAGAGGTTGCAGTGAGCCGAGATCGCACCGCTGCACTCCAGCCTGAGCAGGAGTGAGAGCCTGTCTCAAAAATAAAAAATAAGGAAAGTCCTGGGGAAATTCAAGGTACTTTTATCTCTGTCCTGAACTTGACTTGACTTCAGACCACTTCTCCTTCTGCCTCCTCCTTGATGATCAACTCAAATACCTGTTTCTTTGCTCTTGCCTTCACCCACACCTTGAGTTTGATGCCCGAGTGGATGATGCTCCCAGCTCCCAGCAGCCCAAACTCCACTCTCCTTACCTAGCATGATGTGTCTGAGGAAACTGAGCCAATAACCCACTTGTTTGCATAGCCTAGGGCTCTTTCTCCCAGGATGTAGCTACCATTCCCAACCTTAGAATTGGGCCCACAAGAAGACCTTGAGATTCAAAAGCTTTCAAGGTATGTGGGAAGGGTTTGCAAAAGGGGAATCAGGTTTATGGCTAAATGTCAATAAGAATGTATGCCCCTGCCTTTCTACACTTCTCTGAATGCCCTTCAGCCAGGCTTCTTGGTGACTGTGTGGTGGCTGAGGCCATTCCTATAGCATGAATATATTAAAACATGGTATAATCCAGACATTTGTCATTCTCCCTCCAGGTCATTACATATGAGCGGGTCTCTTTGACAATGCTGTAATATGCCCTCAAGGAGGCTTCATTTATTTAGAGCTGCATACAGATTTTGAAGAGAATGTATTTAAGACAAGTAGAAAAAGAATCTTCCATCCTTATTAGAGATTATGTAAACTCCTTGCCAGATTCTAATCTTGCTGATCCCAAACTTGCCAAGAAAGCTTTTTTTTGGACATCATTAAATAGATCTTATTCTAGTTGTCTTTGTTTGTTTTTTAGAGATTGCAAGTACTCCATAGGATCTCCTTAAAGAAGCAGCAGGAGGAAGAGGCCTCATTTTTAAGAAAGCTTGTCTTATGCTTGGGCAAAGGTGGACACATCAGCTACTGGTGCATGGGCCGGCAGTGGAGAGGAAGGATATTCACAAGACTTAACAGCTAGTCCAGAAAGAGTTCTGATCAATCAGGGAGAGGCCCTGTTCCTGACCCATCTGCCAAGCAGATGGGCTGTGATCAGACCGGTCATCAGAAGGGGAGCATCTCTTTCCCAAGAATCCCAGTCCAAGTTCCAAGCCTGTGCTGGGAGCCACCGTTGTTGGGTTGAACTGATCCAGAATATACGGTCTGAGAGTAGAAAGGGAAGGTTCCCTGCAGTAGGCAGAATAATGTCCCCAAACCCACCACAAAGAGGCCTATGTGTGAATCCCCAGAATCTAGGAATATGTTACATAGCAAAGGGAAATTAAGGTTGCCAATCCATTGACTGTAACATAGGGATATTACCCTGGGTTTTCCAGGTAGGCACAATGTAATCCCAAGGATCTTTAAGAGGAGAAGAAGGAAGTGGAAGAGGAACCACCAAAGAGAAGGCAGCATAAGAGGGATCTGGCCTGGCATTGCTGGCTTTGAGGTTGGAGGAAGGGACTACCAGCCAAGGAAAAAAGAAGCTAAAAAAGGGAATGAGACAGATTCTCCCTAGGGCCTCCAGAAAGAACACAGCCCAGTTAACACTGTGATTTTAGCCCAGAGAGATCTATTTTGGACTTCTGATCTCCAGAACTATAAGATAACAAATTTGTGTTGTTTTAAGCCACTAAATTTATGGTCATTTGTTGTGGCAACAATAGAAAAGAAATACATTCCCCAACAGGAAATTAGGGCGGTCTTACAAAAAGGAGGAGGAAGATGCTGGGCAGGCCAACAAAAATATCAGAACAGATGTGTACTGCAGATGAGATCTCTGGGAGTGCTTGTTCTATAGCTCCCTGGATGGGTATTTTCCCAGGGGAGACAGAATATACTTTCAAAGTATCAATAGTGGTATGGACCTGTTCCACAAAGCAAAAGCTAAGCTCATAGCACCTGTCAGCAAGACCAGAAGAGCTGGAGTTAGGAGTGTGGCCTCTGAAGGCGCTCCACACAGATTGGAAACCTGGTTCCCTCATTCACCAGTTGGGTAACTCTGGGCAAGTTACTTAGACTCTCTGTGCTTCAGTAAAATGAGGATGATAAATATCTGACAGCATTTTCATAAGAATCGATGACATTTATACACATAAAGAATTAAGAATCACTTCTGGCATATGGTTAAGGCTCAATGAATGTTAATGGTTGCTCTTATGACTAATACTATAACCTAGCTCTGGAGCCAGACTACCTGGGTTCAAAGCCCAGCTCTGCCACTTAGAACTTCTATGCTTGGGCAAGTTACTTAGCATCTCTGAGCCCCAGGTTTTTTCATGTGTAAAATGGGGATATTAAAGGTACTTACCTCATAGAGTTGTGATGAGGATTAAAACATTAATTTATGTAAAGTACTAGAACAATGCCTGATATACACGATACATGTTATCTAGCATCATCATCGTTAGTACTAGTATGAGGTCACTGTCACTCTGGAGGACTAATAACTAAAACACCACCGCCGTGATGATGCAGTGGCATCTTATGTGATCATTAAGACCTTTTAGGTTGGGAATAACCATGGTTCCCAAACTGTAGGGACCTCTGGGAGCAACATTCTCTATCTTCCTATCAGAATTCAAACCATGGAAGCACCCCAGTGAGATGGCTATATAATATATGAAAAGAAAAGAAAGTAGAAAAATTCATCATCAGAAACACACTGTAAGACTCCTGAAAGGGATGTAGAGAGAACCCACTTGTGTCTCCTATTTCTCTGCTCTGCAGTTCTACAGGGTTGCATTTGCCTGATGCTTTTGATTCAGTGTTTTTACACTATGTAACATAGTGAGAACGTTAGGTTAAGGAAGCTTGCCATTTCCCTTTTCAGAGCAGTCCTTTCAACAATACCAAGAATTCGCACTTTGGTAGATAATGACAAGAAATACGACAGCCCAGCCGTTAGTAAACAAGCAAATCATCTAATGGCAAAGGCTGATTTAATCAAAACATTCTGGTTCTCCCTCATCTGAACCCACACAAGGAATGAACCAATCCAACTGGAAAAAAATATTTGTTTTATCTTTGCCACATTTATTTACTCTTAAGGACTGTTTAACTTGATGGGGCAGAGAAGTTGGAAAGAACAAAAATACTCAAGGCAGTGAACAGCCTCCCAGGTCTCTGGCAGCAGGCAGGAATGCCAGTGGCCTGGAGGTATTTCCACAGGGGCCTGTTTGTGAGCAGTTTCTGAAGTTGTTTGCCCTCATCTTGAGGGGTGGAGAAATGACCTGCTTATGTGGCAGGTTTGCAGGGCAGGGGGTGCAGAATAAGAACTAGAGAAAATAAGCCAGGAATTTAACCCCTGCTCTGTAAATGATTCCAAAATATGAAATACTTATTCCAAAAACTCTACTGAGCATTCTATATGTGCAAGACATTGAGACAGGTGTTACAGGAAGGCTAAGATAAAGTAGACATAGATTCGAGCTCAAGAAACTCTGTCAAATAGGGCACGAGAAAGAAACACAGATACCTACGGGATGTAGAAAGCTCCAGGTGTGTTTTATTTTATTTTTTACTTTTTTTAGACAGAGTCTTCTTTCGTTGCTCAGGCTGTGGTACAGTGGTGTGATCTTGGCTCACTGTAACCTCCACCTCCTGGGTTCAAGTGATTCTCCTGTCTCAGCCTCCCGAGTAGCTGGGATTACAGGCATGTGCCACCATGCCCAGCTAATGTTTGCATTTTTAGTAGAGATGGGGTTTTGCCATGTTGGCCAGGCTGGTCTCGAACTCCTGACCTCAAGTGCTTCACTTGCCTCAGCCTCCCAAAGTATTGGGATTACAGGCATGAGCTACTATGCCCAGCCTCTAGGTGTGTTAAATTGGAAGCCCTAGAAACAGGACTGGAGATGGGGCTTGTGTACAGGTGCTTACTGTTGTAAATTGTTTTTATTTTTTTAGAGACAGGATCTCATTCTGTTGCCCAAGATGGGTGCAGTGGCATGATCTTAGTTCACTGCAGCCTCAACCTCCTGGGCTCAAGCCATCTTCCTGCCACAGCCTCCTGAGTAGCTGAGACTAGAGACGTGCACCACCACACCTGGTTAATTTTTTTATTTTTTATAGAGACGGGGCCTCACTAAGTTGCCCAGGCTGGTCTTGAACTCCTGGCCTCAAGCCATCCTCCTACCTTGGCCTCCCAAAGTGCTAGGATTATAGGCATAAGCCAATGTGTCTGGCTTTATAGGTGCTTTCTTGTAGAAGAGCTCTTGGGTGGAACCTTTAAGGATGCAAGTGAAGCAGAATAGGGCAGGGGAGAAGCTGGGCAAAGAGGTGACTGCAGCCCCAGCCTGAAGCCATTCTTAGATCTGGAGGGTGATTGGTACCTGTGGTAAAATACAAAATATATATTTACTCTTGGTCCCTGGTTCCCAGCATAGAGCTCCTAACACCCTTGGAAATTACTCTTTTGCTAATGAGAAGACTCTTGTTGGGCAGAGGGGGCCTAGGTAGCTTTAGGATGGGACCTGGACACAGGAAAAACCAACCATGTACTGAGAAGGTTAGAACTTCCAGCCTTGCTCTTCCACCTCTGAGAGCAGGAGAGGGGCTAGAGATTGAGTTCAATCACCAATGGCCAATGATTTAATCAATCATGTGTACTTACTGAAACTGCCATAAAAAATCCCTACACAATGGGGCTTGGAGAGCTTCTGAGTTGGTGAACACATCCAGGAGAGTGGCTCATCCCAACTCTCCAGGGACAGAGCCTCCTGCATTCAGATGCTTCCTCAGTACCCCTCCATCTGGCTGCTCGTGTGTGTCCATCATAATAAAGTGTAATAGTAGGTATGGCATTTTCCTGAGTTCTGTGAGGATTCTAGTGAATTATCAAAGCTGGGTAGGGAAAGTCACAGAACCCTTGAATTTATAGTCCACTGGGCAGAAGTGTGGGTCACCTGGGGACCCCATTTGTGGCTGGTGTCTGAAGTCTTGTGGAGCTGAGCCCTTTAATCTGTGGGATCTGGGCTTGGTAAAGTGAATCTGGGCATGACACAACAGCATTTACTACAAGGTAATGTTACTGAAACACCAGGGTTCCAGTCTAGGTTCTGCTGCTTGTTACACAGAATGCCAATCACTGAGACAGTAACTATTGCCAGGGAAGAAAACTTTAACGGGGTGTTGCAGCCAAGGAGAACAGGAGATAAAGTCTCAAATGTGTTTGTCTGACCGACTAAAATTGGGGGTTTTGTATAGCAGGAAAGGTGGGAAAATAGGAATTAAGGAGGAGTATAGAAGCAATCATGATGGATGAGGGGTCTGGCGTCTCTGTCTGGATACAGTGATCTGATGAGTTTTAGGTTTTTGTTTTTGCCTGAGTGTCTGTTTTTTGAGGAAGGAATTCAGATGAGATAAATGTAAGTTTTAAATTTTAAAAACAGGAAGGTTAATTTTTATGTTTCTTTTAAAAACCGTAATATCATTTCTATGGGACAATTGGGCTGGTTTTAATCCCCTTTTTTCTATTCATCAATTTTTCGATCATGGGGAATATGGTTGTCTGCCTTTTTGGCTACTTAATGCTAAGGGGTGCATTGTGGGATAATGATGGGAAATGCAAACATCACCCCTGAATCTGAAGTGCTCAGGATTACCTGACTGGCATCCCGCTTGTTGGAGCACCATGATTAAAAAAAAAAAAAACACCCAAGAATTAAAGTGGATCCCTTAAGGAATCCAAGAGAACAATCCTAAGCCTATTAAAAAGTATTTCTGATTCATGGCTGGGTGTGGTGGCTCACACCTGCAATCCTAGCACTCCGGGAGGCTGAGGCAGATGTGGCTCACTTGAGGTCAGGAGTTCAAGACCAGCCTGAGCAACGTGGTGAAACCCTGTATCTATTAAAAATACAAAAATTACCTGGGCATGGTGGTGCACACCTGTAGTCCTAGCTACTTGGGAGGCTGAAGCATGAGAATTGCTTGAACCTGAGAGGTGGAGGTTGCAGTGAGCTGAGATTATACCACTGCACTCCAGCCTGAGTGACAGAGTGAGACTCTGTCTCAAAAAAAAAAAAATTACTAACAACTATTTCTGATTCATTACATCCTGCATGCAAGAAGGGTTTTGGGGAGAATAATACCAACCTGAAAAGCACATGTTTCCTTTATGACTTCTTATTTAGGGTCTTTGGCTGGGCATTGAATATTAACTTAAGGCCATCTTAGGGTTCACAACAGCATGCCTGTTTTTTTCTGGAGGGATCCCAGAGGGGCAGGTTTTATCTGAGCGTGGTGAATCCATGGCTTAACACTGGCTAACTTGGCAGATAAGTGGGTAGTCAGCAGCATCTCAAAAGGGCTGACCCATTGTAGTTGCAGCTGGTTTGCAGCCTGCTGGGATTTCCAGGTCTTCAGCATGACTTGGTTTCTCAGCTTCAAAGAGAAAAGAGGCACATCTGTAGGACACTGGAGCCTGTTGGAAGCAAGCTCAGAAAGACTAGTTAATATATTTTTAAAACACAAAGTTAATATTCCCATCATTATAAAGCCAGTTCCCAATGGCTTGCATATGAAGCATATTGGTTGCTTCCTCTGGGGTGTTCCACTTAATATTGATAAGTGGAGTTGGGCAGTCCACTTCTCAGGGTAAATAGATCGTATAGTGGCTTTTATCCAGTTCACCAGGCTGGCCGTTCTCTCAGGAATAGCCTCCTGTGTGTCTGAATTATATATACCGATCTGTGATTGTTCAGTAGTGAGCTGCGGGTCTTGTATTAACCAAAACATACTCTTTCATTTTGCAGCATTTAAAACCAAAGACATTCCTCTCAAATTAGTTATTTTTACAATTCATTTTAGAGGAGGTTTTTTTGGGAAGCTGATGATACCAATTGGTATACCAACACAAGATGGAACAATCCCTTTGCATCATATCCTCTGGTTTTAATAGTTATTTGGTGTTGCATTTTCCCCCACTTTGACTACCTTCTTGGAAACCACAGGTGTGAGAGGTACTTTCTGGTGTACTGGCATAGTTTTTCTTTTGTGGGTAGTCTCGAGGCTAGTGATCTGAGCTTAGACAGACCCACATCTGAGCTTGGTCCAGCCTTAAGGCCCAACTCAGTGTTTTTAAATTTTTAATTTTAGCTATTATAGATAGTGATAACCAAGGGATTGAATATTTCACTTTTTCCTTATTCGTTCACATTAAAATAGATGTATATTTAGTGAACCAATTTCCCTGGGAGTTGAATTCATTTTTATTTTACTTTTATTTATTATTATTATTTTGAGACAGCATCTCGCTCTGTCACTAAGGCTGGAGTGCAGTGGCATGACCATAGCTCCACAGCCTTGACCTCCTGGGCTCAAATGATCCTCCTGCTTCCACTTACTGAGTTGCTGGGACTACAGGCACATGCCACCATGCCAGGCTAGGTTTTTTTTAAACTTTTTGTAGAAACAGGGTCTTGCTATGTTTCCCAGGCTGGTCTCAAACTCCTGGCCTCAAGCAACCCTTCTTGCCTCAGCTTCCCAAAATGCTGGGATTACAAGTGTGAGCCACCATATGTGGGTGAATTCATTTTAATTTTTTTTCTGGTAATTTTTACCTTTAACAATTGAATGCAGCACAGATGCACCTCCATACCACAGAGGTCCGCTATTAGTTTAGTCTGTGCAATTAACTCCTGTTTTGCTTTATACTGGGTTAGCATTCCTTATGTACACATCAGCCTTTTAATTGCAGTCCTGGAAGTTTTTTTCTAGTTCAACGGCACAATGTCTAAAGTTACCAGAAACCTACATTCAAGAGTCTTTTTATGAATTTTCCTAAAGGAGGATCCTTTGGATTGTAACTGATTCTAAGCCACTTTTTGAGAAGAATCAAAGTAAAATAATAACTATAGATGACAAAAATTTTAGGACAGCCATAAAGACACAATTTGGTTATTTTGTGGCATATAATAACTTAATGTAATAATCATAATAATTACAGAAAACATACACTGACATATTAGAATTTTAGAAATTTTGTGATCTGGGAATACATATTAACAATATATTTATATAGCTATAACTCAGAATGGGTGGACATGTACCCTAGAACTTAAAGTATAATAAAAAATAAATAAATAAATAAATAAAACTCAAGAAAGTTACACATAATTTTATATTTGACATATAAAATATGCTTTCTGTATAATTCTAAAATACCAAATAAGCATAATATGTCTCTCTTGGACTTTTGGAGACCCTAATATCTTAAAAGTTAGTTTGAGGTCAAAAAGACTGAATTTTGAATTTGACATTTTTGCTTTGGGAAAGTTTGTCAAATATCAAAGGTTTAAAACACTTGATATCACAAAATAGAATCACAGGTCATTTATTTAGCCAAAACAATAATTTAAAGATTTAAAAAAACAAAAGCCTTTATTCTTTGATAAAGGGGGTACTCAGTTTCCCAAACAGTAAGACCAAATCAAGGCACAATGAGACCAACTAAATCTGTCTCTCTCTCTCTCCTCTTTTCCCTGCAGTTTATTCAAAAGGTAAAATTTTTAAAAATTATTTTTTATTAATTGTACATGAAAATTTAGTTCAAAAAGAGAAAAATAAATTTTACTTTTGTATAGTATATTATTAATTTTGAAGCTAATTTTAATAAAATCCTATTTAAAAAAAGTATCTAATTTTAAGCAGTTTGACCATAAGTTAAGATTTTTATAACCTTTCATAGGTTTTTACAATTTGTTACTAAAGAGTGGATCAATATTCTAACAAGAGCCTGTTATTCTGACACGGGGGCCCAGATGCTGGCCTTGCAGCAGTGTGCTTTTGATATTAACGTTTAGTTTACAGAAAAGCTCTGAACTATTGTTATGTCTCAAAATCGGCCCTTACAATCTCACGTGCCCACCTCTTCAGCAATAGTCCCCAGGGCTAGAGGGATTGAATAGTTTTAATTTCTGGTCCTGTGTCTCATAAAAGCAGTTTATTTTGATTGTTACCTTTTCCTGGGTCTGAAGATGAGGCTTTGACTAGTGCCAATGTTCAAGATTTAGCAGGAGTCAGTGAGTGTCTGTCTTTCTTTTCCTCCCTTCCTTCCTTCCTTCCTTCCTTCCTTCCTTCCTTCCTTCCTTCCTTCCTTCCTTCCTTCCTTCCTTCCTTCCTTCTTAGATAGGGTCTTGCTCTGTTGCTCAGGCTGGAATATAGTGGCATGATTACAGCTCACTGCAGCCTCAACCTCCTGGGCTCAAGTGATCCTCCCACCTTAGCTTCACAAGTAGCTGGAACTACAAGCACGCACCACCACACTGGCTCATTTTTTAATTTTTTGTAGAGATGGGGTCTTTCTATGTTGCCCAGGCTTGTCTCAAACTCCTGGACTTAAGCTATCCTCCCACCTTGGCCTCCCAAAGTATTGGGACTACAGGTGTGAGCCACTGAGCCAGGGCTAGAATTCTTATTCTTAATAACCTTAAATTTTAGTGAAAAATCTCGGAAGCAAGAAATCCTAAACTGTCTATCAGATATTAGCACTTTATTAGAACCTTCCACAATTTTTTTAAAAATGTTTATTTTTATTACAACGCTCCACATTTATAAGAGCCTTTCACAATTAAAAAAAAAGTTTCTCCATATCACAACCTTCTTAAAATTGGCCAAACATCTAACGAGTATCCTAAATTATTTTAAGATTTTAAATTACACAGAAGTTTATTTATAGTATTTATTCCATTAACGTTATTCATTTTTAGCAGTTTATCTAAATGACTTATGAGAACTGAGATATTAGACAAAGCTAGTCATTATTTCCTTGTTAATCATTTTTACAACCTGTGCATATTAGGTGTTCACCTAAGTAAGAAACTTAAATACATGGATATTTTCACCAATAACTCAGAAGATTCGGCTATTTGCATTAAACCGACAATATTAAATTGTTCTTATTTATCAAAAAATCATACAAACAAAGATTATTTTGTTTTTGGCTGGTTTTACAGTATTATAACCTATTGTGCTAAACCCTGATACCTTAAAATATCTAGCAGAGACAAACATAAAACCCAGACAAAAATATATGCTAGCCGGCACCTGAGCTGAGATCATGCCACTGCACTCCAGCCTGGGCAACTGAGCAAGACTTCGTCTCAGAAAAAAAGAAAAAAGAAAAAGAATATGCAGAGGCCTCATCCTAGGGTGGGGAAGTCAATTTCCCCTTCCCACTGGCTCAGTGCCCCAGTCCATAGCAGACAGGCCATCATGCCCACCAACGCTAATTGCAGCCTCACACCAGGACATGCTCAGCACCTGGATCAGGGATGGGAAGAAGCCCCCGATAAGTAGCCCATGGATTGAGCTGGTGCTGCCATCCTAGAGTGGGGACAGCTGCTGCCTGGCTCTGGCCTGGGCACCATGCAGTGTGCATGCAACCCCGATCCTCTCTGTGTTTGTGCCCGGGCCCCCACCAGGGGCAGAGGGCAATGGCAAACACAAGCCTCCTCTCATCAACACAAGCTGGCTGCCACCTCGAGTGGAGGGTGGCAGTGGTCATTGGGCAGGGTGGGAGACCAAGTAGGGAGGATGGGGTGCAGGTGCTGAGAACCCAGGGTGGAAAGGGGAAGCGGGATGTGAGCCAAGTCTCCAAACCCCCATGCTTGCTCCATTGTCCAACTGGACTTAGGAAACACAAATTAGAAGGTAAAATTAAACTTCAGATTCGAGGCTCTGTGTGGCTACACTAGTTGCACACCCATGAATTCAACTCTGGCCAGATAATATTTACATTTCTAGCAGGTTCCCAGGTGACCCTGAGAAGCACTTGATCTTTCCTTTCTTTTCTTTTCTTTTTCTTTCTTTCTTTTTTTTTTTTTTCAAGACTGCCCAGGCTGGGACTATATGTCCCTTCTTTTTTTTTTTTTTTTTTTTTTCCTTTGAGACGGAGTTTTGCTCTTGTCGCCCAGGCTGCAGTGCAATGGTGCAACCTCGGCTTACTGCAACCTCTGCCTCCCAGGTTCAAGCAATTCTCCTGACTCAGCCTCCTGAGTAGCTGGGATTACAGGCACTCACCACCATGCCCGGCTAATTTTTGTATTTTTAGTAGAGACAGGGTTTCACCAGGTTGACCAGGCTGGTCTCGAACTCCTGACCTCAAGTGATCCACCCACTTTGGCCTCCCAAAGTGCTGGGATTACAGGTGTGAGCCACCACGCCCAGCCAGTCCTTTCTTTTGAAAAGGTGCAAAGCATTGCTCCACAGTGTGACTTTCCTCTTTTCCTCAGTAAAATCGTGATGCTATTTCCCGCATGTCCTGCCTCATAGGCTTTGGTGAGAGGACAAAGGGAAGGATGCCTGAAAGTGCCCGGCACAGTGGTTAGAACAAAGCATGCACTCGGGAAATGTTAGCAGCAGCACTAATAGTAATAGTCATAATTATTCTTGCTGCCATCACTTCCACTTTTGTTCGGGCTATTGTCTCTGATGACTTTCTATTGCTCCCTATTTACCCTCTGCTGTCTTCAGAAAAGGAACTAGAGAAGTACAGGGGCAGGGCAGGGCTAGGGAGGGACACCTCAGGTCAGAGCCAGTTATTGCCAAAAGTCAAATCATGAAGAGATATGTAAGGATGCTGAGATTTGCCAGAACAAACTGAAAACTCAGATCCTCTGAAACTGGCCCTGGAGGAAGAAATCTGAGTGTGAGGAGAATATAGGCAGACCATTGCACCCCATTGTTCCCTGGAGATTGAGTGCCCAGTCTGTAAAAGACACATAAATATCTCTAAGGGGTGGAAAGCTCCAGGTGTCCTTCAGAGGAGGACAGATCAAGTCCTAGAGATAAAGATCCAACTCCCACAGCCACCCGCTCCTGTCCTTTCAGGAGTGAGTGGGGAGGTACCACTTTCCCTTCAACGTTTAGACCAGGTTATGACGTCCAGAGCACAAGAACCCTGCACAGCCAGCCACAGAGGCAGGCTTCTCCCCACAGGGCTTTACCACATTCTAGATTACATGGTCTTGCTTGCTCTCTAGGGCTCACCCTTCCCATCTCACATGGCAGACATCCACTGTTCTCAAACTCCAGGCCAGGAGACCACAGCCAGAGAAAGAGAACAAGCCTGAGTGCCTCTGCAGTGGGTCTTGACTGTGGAATCTTCCAGGATGCTTAAAAAATACCGATGCCTGGGTCCCTCCCCCAGGAATTCTGATTTAATTAATTTACGGTACATTCTATGTATCAGTGTTTTGAAAACTCAGCAGGGGTTACTACTGTGCACTTGAGGCTGGGAGCCACTGCTGTCCCGCCCACTCAGTTGTAGGATATTCTCTGAGGATCCTTCTCTGAATGGCTGACAGGCAGGGTGAACAACCCCCTCAGAGGCACCTCCATTAATCAGATGCATGAACTTGCCTTAGTAGCTATCCAGGAAGGTCTTCAGGAACCGCACTGCATGACCACAAGAGAGAGCCAGCCACTGCAGGCGAGGTGAGGATGGCCTGTGCACACGGAATTATTTTGGGAAGAAGTGGGAGGATCACCAGGTCAGCACAGGGTCGATTGTAGGGCTGTGTCTAGGGCATATTCCCTGGAAATAAAATAGGTTCTTGGAGCTGTACTGAGAGCAGCTTTCGACCATGCTAAATTCCTATTAGTAGTTTTTTTTAAATGAACCAATTTGCTATTAATATGTATTCTTTGGTGAAACTGTCCAAATATTTTGACCATCTTTTATTTTATTATTATTATTATTATTTTTGAGACGGAGTCTTGCTCCATCACCCAGGCTGGAGTGCAGTGGCATGATCTCGGCTCACTGCAACCTCCACCTCTTGGGTTCAAGTGATTCTCCTGCCTCAGCCTCCTGAGTAGCTGGGATTACAGGCGCCTGCCACCATGTCCGGCTAATTTTAGCATTTTTATTAGAGATAGGGTTTCCCCATGTTGGCCACGCTGGTCTCGAACTCCTGACCTCAGGTGATCTGCCCCCCTCGGCCTCCCAGAGTGCTGAGATTACAGGTGTGAGCCACTGCCCCCAATCAGTTCAATTTTTAAAAAATATTTTTTATTGGCCTGGCATGGTGGCTCACGCCTGTAATCCCAGCACTTTGGGAGGCCAAGGCAGACGGATCACCTGAGGTCAGGAGTTCGAGACCAGCCTGACCAACATGGTGAAACCCAATCTCTACTAAAAATGCAAAAATTAGCCAAGCGTGGTGGTGGGTGCCTGTAATCCAAGCTACTCGGGAGGCTGAAGCAGGAGAATCACTTGAACTTGGGAGGTGGGGGTTGCAGTGAGCTGAGATTGCACCACTGCACTCCAGCCTGGGCGACAGAGCAAGAATCCCTGTCAAAAAAAAAAAAAAAATTATTATTGAGCTGTAAAAGTTCTTTTTAAAATTAAACTTTTTTTTTTGTAGAGTTGGAGTCTCGCCACATTGCCCAGGCTGTCCTCGAACTCCTGGGCTCAAGCAATCCTCCCACCTCGGCCTCCCAAAGTGCTAGGATTACAGGTGTGAGCCACCATGTCCAGACCAAAAGTGCTTTATATGTTCTGGGTACAAACTGTCAGATATAGAAGCCTTCTTCTGGCTCCAAGCAGTTGTGCTAGAGAGTGTTCACCAAAGCCTGGTATAGGTGCCCCGTGTTTATGAGCATTTGGCCTGGTCTGCCCTCTCTTCTCTGCCAGGCAGCACTGCCAGCTCAGGTACAACCTGCTCACATCAGATCAATTCCACAAACATTTACTGAACATCTATTCCCTGACAGGATCATGCTAGGAACCGGGGAGAATGAAATAAATAGCTCTTGTTTATTAATATTCTTTGTAGAATGTTGACCTCGAGCAAGTTACTTGCTTCTCGATATTTCAGTTTCCTGATCTGTAAAATGTGACTGTGAAAGGGCCCACCCTGAAGGGTTGTAGTAAAGTCTAAGTGAGTTAATACATCAAAATACTCAGTAGGATGTCTGGCATATATTAAGTACCTAATAAATGTTAGCCAATGTTGTCATTATTTTAAAAATTCTCATTATTTGTTATGGCCTGAATGTTTGTGTCCCTCCCCCCAAATTTTTATTTACATATATATATATATATATATATATATATATTTTTTTTTTTTTTTTTTTTTTTTTTTTTTGAGACACAGTTTTACTGTTTCCCAGGCTGGAGTTCAGTGGCACAATCTCAGCTCACTCCAACCTCTGCCTCCCAGGTTCAGGCGATTCTCACGCCTCAGCCTCCTGAGTAGCTGGGATTACAGGCGTGTGCCACCATGCCTGGTTAATTTTTTGTGTGTTATTAGTAAAGATGGGGTTTTGATATGTTGTTCAGGCCGGTCTTGAACTCCTGACCTCAGTTGATCTGCCTGCCTCGGCCTCCTGAAGTGCTGGGATTACAGGTGTGAGCCACTGCGCCCAGCCTCCAATGCAATATTATTAAGAGGTGGAGCCTTTTGGAACTTATTAGGTCATGAGGCAGAGCCCTCATCTATGGGATTAATGCTCTTATGAAAGAGGCCTGAGGTAGCTTGTTCATCCCCACTGTCATATGAGTATGCGGCCAGAAGGCACCGTCTTTGAAGCAGAGTGCAGCCCTCACCAGCAACTGACTCTGCTGGCGCTTTGATCTTGGACTTCCCAGCCTCCAGAACTATGAGGAATACATTTCTGTTGTTTATAAGTTGCCCAGTCTAAGGTATTTTGTTATAGCAGCCTGAATGGACTAAGACATTATGACAACTGCTACCATGGTGAGACGGAACTTAGAGGGTAATGGGGAAAACAAGCAATTATAATAGAGTGGTAGGTACTAATATACCTGGAAGCAGAGGTGCCCCTATACAGGATTGGGGGTTATTGAAGGTTTCCTAAAGAAAACAATGGCTTAGCTGAGAACAAGAAATGATCAAGACATTTCCAGGTGTGGGAAGGACTGTGTATTAGTCCATTTTCACGCTGCTGTTAAAGACATACCCGAGACTGGGTAAGTTACAAAGTAAAAGAGGCTTAATGGACTCACAGCTCCACGTGCCTGGGGAGGCCTCACAATCATGGCAGAAGGCAAGAGAGAGAATGAGAGTCAAGTGAAAGGGGTTTCCCCTCATAAAACCATCAGATCTCATGAGACTTATTCACTACCATGAGAACAGTATGGGGGAAACCACCCCCATGATTCAATTATCTCCCACCGGTCCCTCCCACAACACATGGAAATTATGGGAGCTACAATTCAAGATGAGATTTGGCTGGGGACACAGCCAAATCATATCAGACTGTGAGGAGGAGGAACATTCCAGGCAGAGGCACTAGCAATGTACAGTCTGCAGATGAGAGAGGAATGGCTTGTTGGAGAAGTTGTGGGGTGCTGAGAGGAAGAATGGACACAGCGGTGAGGTCATCCAGGCCTGATAAGCCATGATAAGGAGTTTGGACTTGATCTAAAGATGGAGAAGTCATAGATCCTGCCCTTTGAGTAGCTCCAAGTTAAACAGGAGAGGTGGACATAAAACAGATCATTTATTAATTATGTCATAGTTTAATATAATGTGAGATGACAGAGGAGAGACCCCAAACCCTGACTATGGCAGAGAAGTGCTTCTGGAAAAAAACAAGATGATATATAACAAAAAAACAAGATGATATATAACAAAAAAACAAGATGAAATGCCCAGATCAACATGGACAGGTATCACAAGGGAACACTTCCTCTTCCCAAGCATGCCGTCTTCCCCTCTTCCCAGAGTCTTTTGGTGTAACATCATCCTCCACCAAGTCAGAAACCTTAATGTGACCCCCCTTGCTACTTTTTCCCTCATCCCTCCCTCACATTCGACCAATGGCCGAGTCCCACTGAGTTGTTGCCTCTAACTCTGTTACTCCCAATTTCCCTAGGCAAGGGCTTCAGCATCTGTTCAAGGGATGCTTTCAGCAACTGGGTCTATCTATCTGGATTTGCCCTGATCAAATTCCCTTTCCACACGGTGACTGCCAGAGTGTCTTCCAGCACTTCCAACATGTCAATCCAGTCATGTCTCTCTCATGGGCAAAACTATTTAGTTCCACAACATCTTGCTGTGTCTGAATTTCTACGCATCCATAGATCTATTGAGAGCTAAGAATGAATGTGTGTAAAATATCTTTACCTCCTCTGGGGAACTTAAGAGACCTCTTTTTAATCCTATATTTAGTATTAAAGATATGTCAATATCTTTTCTTATGTGTCATTTCACTAAACCTGAACTATCCTTTCTTGAAAAACCTGAATTAAGGTTGGAAGGTGTGTCTAGACCTTCTGGTAGTAGGGATTAAAAAAAATAAATATGTAAATATGAATTCTTAACGTCCTTATTTGTTTTCCCAGGGTGAGCACCATATAAATGCTAAATTATTGGTTAGTAGGAAGGAAGGTTATTCCGTGATGGAGTCCTCCATATACACTGACCTCAGCCTGAATAATGTAAGATTTCAGCATTTTCCTCCTTCTTTGTTCTTCTCTAAGGTGGTTCTTTTCTACTTTTGCTTTTGCTTTTAAGAGTCAGGTTTATTAGAGACTAATTTTAATAAAATTTACCACTGTACAGTACATAATTCAGTAAGTATTGTTGATTGTCTACAGTCATATATCTTTGTGAAGATATAGAATACTTCCATCAACTCCAGAAATCCTCTCATGCATCTTTGCAGTTGATCTCCTCATCCACCCCCATTTCCTGGCAATAGCTGATCTGTTTTCCAGAATGTAACATTAATGAAATCATATAAAATATAGTCTTTTGTTTCTGGTTGCTAATAGTATATTGGTTTTGAGAATAATTAATATTGTTGCATGAATCAGTAGTTTGTTTTTTTTCATTGCTGACCATTATTCCATGGTCTGAGTGTAGTGGAATTTGTTTATCCATTTCCCTGTTGATGGACATTTGGGCTGTTTCCAGTCTTTAGCTATTATGAATAAAATTGTAATTGTAATGTGAATACAGGCCTTTGTGTAGACATATGAATTCATTTCTCTTGCATAAATCCCTGAGAGTGGTATTGCTGGATTATATAGTAAATGTGTATTTAATTTTATAAAAACTGCCAAACTCTTTTAAAGTGGTTTTATCATTTTTCATTCCCACCATCAGTGTAAGAGAGTTTCAGTTACTCCACATGCTTGTCATTGTTTGATAATGTCACTCCTTGTAATTTTAGACATTCTAGTGGGTGTGCAATGGTACTTTGTCATATCTTAATTTACGTTCCCCAAAATTCAAATTAGCATCTTTTAATGAACAGATTTTCCATTTATATATATATTTGTTGGTGAAAGTGTCTGTTCAAATATTTTGATCATTTTTTAGTTCAATTTAAAAAATATTTTTATTTTTCAGCTGTCAAAGTTCTTTATATATTCTGGATACAAGTTATCAGATACAGAATTTTATAAAATTTTTCTGTCTGTGGCTTTAAATTTTTTTCTTATCTTTTTGCCCAGGCATGGTAATCCCAGCACTTTGGGAGGTTGAGGTGGGTGGATCACTTGAAGTCAGGAGTTTGAGACCAGCATGGCCAACATGGCAAAACCCCTTCTCTACTTAAAATACAAAAATTAGCTGGGTATGGTGGCACATGCCTGTAATCCCAGCTACTCTGGAGGCTGAGGCAAGAGAATTGCTTGAACTTGGAAGATGAAGGTTGCAGTGAGTGGATATTGTGACATTGCATTCCAGCTTGGTCAACAGAGTAAGACCCTGTCTTAAAAAAAAAAGAAAAGAAAAGAAAGAAAGAAAAGAAAAGAAAAAAAGTTTATCTTTTTATAGCAGCTTTATTGAGATACATTCATATGACATCTTTTGAAGAGTAGAACATTTTAATTTTGATGAGGTCCAATGTATCAGATTTTTCTTATATGGTTTGAGATGTTTGTGTCCTTTCTGAGAAAGCTTTGCCTAATTCAAGATCATATAATTTTATCCTATGTTTTCTCAGAAGTTTTATAATTTTGACTTACATGTAGGTCTATAATCCATTTCAAGTTAATTTTTGTATACGGTATGAAGTAATGATCAAAGTTCATTTGTTTTGATGTATGAATGTCCAATTGTTATAGCATCATTTGTTGAAGAGCTATCCTTTCTCCATTGAATTACCTTGGCACTTTTGTTGAAAATAAATTGACTCTATATTTGTGGTCTATTTCTGGATTCCCTTGTCTGTTCCTTTGGTCTATATGTCTATTCTTACACCAGTATTGCACTGTCTTGATTCCTGTAGCTTTAGAATAAATCTTAAAATCAAATAGTATGACTCTTCCAACTTTGTTATTCTTTTTCAAAATCATCTTTAGGTCCTTTGCATTTTTATATAATTTGTTAATTTTTACCCCCAAAAAAGGCTGTTGAGGTTTTGTTTAGGTTATGTTGAATCTAAGACTAATTTGGGGAGAACTGACATTTTAGCAATGTTGACTCTTCCAAGCCATGAGCATAGTCTGTCTCTTTATTTATTCTACCATAATTTCTCTCAGTATTTAAAAACATTACTTCAATGTAGAGGGCTTACATTACTAATTATTTCACGTTTTAAAAATTATTATAAATTGTGTTTTTAACATTTTAAATTTCCAATTGTTTCTTGCTAGTAAATAGAAAAACTATTTTTTATATTGACGTTTTCATATCTTGAAGCCTAACTAAATTTACATATTTTATTTTTCTAGCATTGGCTAGAACCTTAGGGGGGAAGCATTTGATTTTTTACCATTAAAAATGATGCTAACTGTAGGTTGTTTATAAATAAGATTTATCAGATTGAGGAAGTTTCTTTCTATTCCTAGTTTGCTGAAATTTTTTTATGAGGAATGTATGTTGAATTTTATAAACACTTTTTTTGCATGTATTGAGATAATTATATAATTGTACTATTTTAGTACATTGAGATCAAGAGTTTCAGTGATTGACTTTAAATGTTGAACTAACCTTGCCTTCCTAGAATATGCCCAAGTATGTCCTTTTTAAATATTTCTGGATTCAGTTTGCTAATATTTTGTGACTATGTTCATGAGAGATATTGGTTGCTAGCATCATGATGACAGGATCAAATTCACACATAATAACATTAACCTTAAATGTAAATTGGCTAAATGTCCCAATTAAAGACATAGAATGGCAAGCTGGATAAAGAGTCAAGAGCCATCAGTATGCTGTATTCAAGAGACCCATCTCATGTGCAAAGACACACTTAGGCTCAAAATAAAGGAATGGAGGAAAATTTACCAAGAAAATGGAAAGCAGAAAAAAGCAGGGGTTGCAATCCTAGTTTCTGACAAAACAGATTTTAAACCAACAAAGATGAAAACAGACAAAGAAGAGCATTACATAATGGTAAAGTGCTCAATTCAATAAGAAGAGCTAACTATCCTAAATATATATGCACCCAATACAGGAGCAACCAGATTCATAAAACAAGTTCTTAGAGATGTACAAAGAGACTTAGACTCCCACACAATAATAGTGGGAGACCTTAACACCCCACTGTCAATATTAGACAGATTATCAAGATGGAAAATTTAAAATGATATTCAGAACTTGAATTTAGCTCTGTAGCAAGTGGACCTGATAGATATCTACAGAACTCTCCACCCAAAAATAACAAATATATATTCTTCTCAGTGTCACATGGTGCTTACTCTAAAACTGATCACATAATTAGAAGTAAAACACTTCTCAGCAAATGCAAAAGAACTGAAATAATAACAAACAGTCTCTCAGACCACAGTGCAATCAAATTAGAACTCAAGATTAAGAAACCCATTCAAAACCACACAACTATGTGGAAATTGAACAACCTGCTCCTGAATGACTCCTGGATAAATAATGAAATTAAGGCAGAAATCAAGAAGTTTTTTGAAACCAGTGAGAACAAAGAGACAACATACACCCCAGAATCTCTGGGATGCAGCTAAAGCAGTGTTAAGAGGGAAATTCATAGCACTAAATGCCCACAACACAAAGCTAGAAGGATCTGAAATTGACATCCTAACATCACAACTAAAAGAACTAGAGAACTAAGAGCAAACAAAGTCCAAAGCTAGAAGAAGACAAGAAATAATCAAGATTGGAGCAGAACTGAAGGAGACAGAGACACGAAAAACCCTTCAAAAACTCAACAAATCCAGGAGCTGGGTTTTTGAGAAAATTAATAAAATAGGTAGACTGCCAGCTGGACTAATAAAGAAGAAAAGAGAGAGGAATCAAATAGACACAATAAAAAATGATAAAGTGGATGTTACCACTGACCTTACAGAAATACAAACAACCATCAGAGAATACTATAAACACCTCTATGCAAATAAACTAGAAAATCTAGAAGAAATAGATAAATTCCTGGACACATACACCCTCCCAAGACTAACCAGGAAGAAGTTGAATCCCTGAATAGACTAACAAGTTCTGAAATTGAGGCATTAATAAATAGGCCGGGCGCGGTGGCTCACGCCTGTAATCCCAGCACTTTGGGAGGCCGAGGCGGGCGGATCACGAGGTCAGGAGATCGAGACCATCCTGGCTAACACGGTGAAACCCCGTCTCTAATAAAAATACAAAAAATTAGCCAGGCGTGGTGGCGGGCGCCTGTAGTCCCAGCTACTCGGGAGGCTGAGGCAGGAGAATGGCGTGAACCTGGGAGGCAGAGCTTGCAGTGAGCCGAGATGGTGCCACTGCACTCCAGCCTGGGCAGCAGTATGAGACTCCGTCTCAAGAAAAAAAATAATAAAAAAAATAAAAAATAAAAAAAAAATAAATAAATAGCCTACCAACCAAAAAAAGCCCAGAACCAGATGGATTTACAGCTGAATTCTACCAGACGTACAAAGAGGAGCTGGCAGCATTTCTTCTGAAACTATTCCAAACAATTGAAAAGG
The DNA here is from genome assembly GCF_000001405.40 of Homo sapiens. Taxonomy (NCBI): domain Eukaryota; kingdom Metazoa; phylum Chordata; class Mammalia; order Primates; family Hominidae; genus Homo; species Homo sapiens. Next base: position 93,559,832 of record NC_000012.12, read on the forward strand.
AGGGACTACTCCCTAACTCATTTCATGAGACCAGCATCATTCTGATACCAAAACCTGGCAGAGATGCAACAACTAAAGAGAACTTCAGGCCAACATCCCTGATGAACATTGATGCAAAAATCCTCAATAAAATAATGGCAAACCAAATCCAGCAGCACATCAAAAAACTTATCCACCACAATCAAGTTGGCTTCATCCCAGGATGCAAGGCTGGTTCAACGTATGCAAATCAATAAACATAATTCATCACATAAACAGAACTAAAGGCAAAAACCACATGATTATCTCAACAGACACAGAAAAGGCTTTTGATAAAATTCAACATCCTTCATTTAAAAAACTCTCAATAAACTAGGTATTGACGGAACATACCTCAAAATAATAAGGGCCATTTATGACACACTCACAGCCAATATCATACTGAATGTACAAAAGCTGGAAGCATTCCCCTTGAAAACCTGCACAAGACAAAGATGCCCTCTCTTACCATTCCTATTCAACATAGTATTAGAAGTTCTGGCCAGGGCAATCAGGCAAGAGAAAGAAATAAAAGGTATTCAAATTGAAAGAGAGGAAGTCAAACTATCTCTTTTGGCAGATCACATGATCCTATATCTAGAAAACCCCATCATCTCAGCCCAAAAGCTTCTAAAGGTAATAAGCAACTTCAGCAGTCTCAGGATACAAAATCAATGTGCAAAAATCACTAGCATTCCTAGACACAAACAATAGACAAGCAGAGAGCCAAATCATGAATGAACTCTCATTCACGACTGCTACAAAGAGAATAAAATACCTAGGAGTACAGCTAACAAGCAAAGTGAAGGACCTCTTCAAGGAGAACTACAAACCACTGCTCAAGGAAATCAGAGAGGACACAAACAAATGCAAAAACACTCCATACTCATGGATAGGAAGAATCAATATCATGAAAATGGCCATAATGCCCAAAATAATTTATAGATTCAATGCTATTCCCATTAAACTACCATTGACATTCTTCACAGAGTTAGAAAAAACTACTTTAAAATTCATATGGAACCAAAAAAAGAGCCCCTGTAGCCAAGACAATCCTAAGCAAAAAGAGCAAAGCTGGAAGCATAATGCTACCCAACTTCAAACTATACTACAAGGCTATGATAACCAAAACAGCATGGTACTGGTGCAAAAACAGACACATAGACCAGTGGAATGGAATAGAGAACTCAGAAATAAGACTGCACATCTACAAGCACCTGATCTTCTTCGAATCTGACAAAAACAAGCAATGGGGAAAGGACTCCCTACTTAATAAATGATGCTGGGAGAATTGGCTAGCCATATGCAGAAAATGGAAACTGAACTCCTTCCTTACACCTTATACAAAATTAACTCAAGATGGATTAAAGACTTAAATGTAAAACCCAAAACTGTAAGAACTCTAGAAGAAATCTAGACAATACCATTCAGGACATAGGCATGGGCAAAGATTTTATGACAAAAATATCAAAAGCAATTGCAACAAAAGCAAAAATTGACAAACAGGATCTAATTAAAGTAAAGAGTTTCTGCACAGCAAAAGAAACTATCTTCAGAGTGAAGAGAAAACCTTCAGAATGGGAGAAAATTTTTGCAATCTATCCATCTCACAAAGGCCTAATATCCAGAATCTACAAGGAACTTAAACAAATTTACAAGAAAAAAAACCAAACAACTCCATTAAAAAGTGAGGAAAGGACATGAACAGATGCTTCTCAAAAGAAGACATTTATGCAGCCAACAAACATATGGAAAAAAGCTCAACATCACTGATCATTAGAGAAATGCAAATCAAAACCACAATGAGATACCATCTCATGCCAGTCAGAATGGTGATTATTAAAAAGTCAAGAAACAACAGATGCTGGCGAGGCTGTGGAGAAATAGGAACGCTTTTACACTGTTGGTGGGAATGTAAATTAGTTCAACCATTGTGGAAGACAGTATGGCAATTCCTCAAAGACCTAGAACCAGAAATACCATTTGACCCAGCAATCCCGTTACTGGGTCCCAAAGGAATATAAATCATTCCATAAAGATACATGCATGCATATGTTCACTGCAGCATTATTCACAATAGCAAAGACATGGAACCAACCCAAATGCCCATCAATGATAGACTGGATAAAGAAAATGTGGTATATATACACCATGGAATACTATGCAGCCATAAAAGGAAAGAGATCATGACTTTTGCAGGGACATGGATGGAGCTGGAAGCCATTATCCTCAGCAAACTAACGCAGGAATAGAAAATCAAACACCACATGTTCTCACTTATAAGTGGGAGGTGAACAATGAGAAAACATGAACACACGGAGGGGGACAACACACACTGGGGCCTGTAGGGGTGATGGGGGAGGTGGGAGCAAGAGCATCAGGAAAAATGACTAATGCATGTGGGGCTTAATACCTAGGTGATGGGTTGATAGGTGCAGCAAGCCACCATGGCACAGATTTACCTATGTAACAAACCTGCATGTCCTGCACATGTACCCCAGAACTTAAAATTTAAAAAAAATTTTAAAATGAGAGATGCTGGCTTATACTTTTCTCTTCTGTCTTGCCTGTCCTTGGTATGACAGACTACATAATGTTGGCCTCCTGATACAAGTTGTTAAATGTTCTCACATCTCCGATTTATTTTTTTTTTAAGTTTATGTAGGGTGGATATTATTTTTCCATGAAATGTTTGGTATAATTCATCAATGAAGGCTTCTGAACCTGGAGACTTTATTTCATTAATATAAATAGGGCTATAAAATTAGCCACTTGTTTATTGTTTGTTTGTTTGATTATTTATTTATTCTGAAGGTACATCAGCAATCTACTTCTTCTTGAATAAGCTTTGGTAGTTTGTGTTTCATTTTGTGGTGGTCTTTGTGTGGGATGTTGGCATATAACTATCTTCTGACTTCCCAGTGCTACAGTGATCATCTATGTATTTATTCATATCATCTTATGCTATTGTTATTTTTGTCCATTCAATGGCTGGAATCAATAGATCACAATATAATCTGTTGTCAATGAAGATGTGGCAGGGGGAACTTTGTGGTTGTGGCAAAGTAGAAGGCATTGTAGATCTTGGGCTAAAAATATAAGAAAGACAAGGATTTGCCTGATGGCTTTGTCAGTCAAATTTGCCTCTTTTAATTAGTATGGGTTTTAAAAATGGGAGAAAAATTTAGAAAAGAGTAATTGGCTCAGAGAAACTTGTAATAAAAAAACACTCCTTCCCTGCAAGCATTGGAAAAGCCAGAGAAAAGCCAGATAAATTGGCAGGACTTACTAGCATGATGCTTTCTCTCTCTCTCTTTTTATTTATTATTATTTTTTGGCATTGTATAAGAAACAAGACTTGACTTTAGTATGTATTTTAGAATTGTTGGCACATACTGAAATGTAACATTTTTTTCGATTGGGAGTTTTTGATAACAAAACAGACAAAAAAACCAATTTTCCTCAATTCTTTATCCCGGTCCTATGTTTAAATATTGTAAATCACATTTGAGAATATTATAGTTACATTTGTTGGAATAGTACACAGTGATTTGAATCACCTATTTTAAAAGCAAGTTACTTGCCAAGCTACTTTTTCACTTAAAATGTTACTTTCATTTATATTAAACCCTATATATACTGTTTTTCTAAGGACAATTTGTTTACAAGTACAGAATAAACTACTTAATGTACTTTGGTTTAATTTACTTACATGTGAGGTAAGTATTTTTTTCTACCATCATCAAAGGGTTGCCACAAGAATAAAATCAGGCATATGCTATAATATGTTGGTGAAGAGAGATTAAAACCATAAGTAAAGGCAAAGTGATAAAGGCAAACTGATATTATTATATCACATTCCTTTATGGTGGGACATGATAATTATGATTGTAAATTTAACGCGATAGGATAGCAGAAAAGGCCTATATGTGTGATCAGCTGGCCTTTCCAGGTGGAATGTATATAGAAGTTGTCCTGTGGTTTGAGGAAGCAGCTACTATTTGCAGAGCCTCCCTCATGTGGTTCTGCCACAAGCCTTGGCTAAAGGTAGCCTCACCCGTGATTGCCAGCCTGCAGGTTGGTTCACTGGGTGCTGCTGCTTCTCAGAATTCCGTGACTAAGCCAGGAGTGGTGTTTGTTCTTTACTGATAGGTATTCTTCTGCCTGCTCTGCTTACCACATCATCACACCAGGCCTTGACCTTTGTGAACCTCTCTGGAAAGTCAAACATACCTAGAGGCTGACCAGGCTTAGGTCTAATAACACCATCAACTGCTCTTTGCAAGGTCATGGAAAAGAGGTTGGAAGTGATTCAAATGAGAAGGAAACTTAATAGCTCATCCAGTCCAAATTTCTCATGACATGGATGGGAAAACAAAAATTCAGAGACGTTAGGGGGCTCCATCCGGGTCCCCTCTACTGTGATGCCTTTCTGGACATCCCAAGGTGATTACAGTGGTGCTTCTGGCTGTTTGCAAAACCATTCTGTGCACTCTCCCGTGACTTCTCACCCTTTGTTAGAATTATCTGTTGATGGTTTCTCTCTCACTAGAACTAGACCTCTTTAAGAGGAAGGCTGAGTCCCCCTAGTGGGTTCTACGAGGCCTGGAACATTGTAAGTACTCATGCATGTTTGTTGACTTGATGAATCTCTCTCATGCTACTAGGTACTATTGTTTTGGGGCCAGGCTCATGGAGATTAAGCAGGAACTTCAAGAAAGCCAAGCTCTTCTTGGTAGCACACCAGAGTCTGAAGGGTAAGCCAAAGAGTAAGCTGGGAAGCACATCCAAGTAGGGGAAGATAAAAAAAAGTGGATCCAGGGCAGAAAGAAGGTGGCAAAAATGTTTCGGTTCCCTCACTTACAGACGCATTAGATTCATTTATTTATTTATTCATTCAATAACTTTATATTGGGCCAGAAGCTGTTGTAGGCACTGAGGATAGAGGGGTGAATATAACAAAGTCCCTGCTTATATCACAGTGGGAAGAAAGGCAGTAAACAAATAAATGAGTAACCATTATATGGTCAGAGAAGAGTAAAGTGTTAGGATAAAAAAATAAAGCAGGAGGAAGAAATGGTCACTGGTGGGGCTTCTATTTTACATAAAGTGGGGAGGGAAAGCCACTCAGAGCAAAGACATGAATGGAGTGAGGGAGCAGCGACATGGGACTACTGGGGAAAGAGCATTTCAAAGAGAACAACAGGTACAAAGGCCCTGAGGCAGGATTGTTGTGTTTGGGAAATAAGGAAGCCAGAAGGTTAGAGCACCATGGCTCTAACGAGTAAAATAGTGTCCTTCCCAGCACCAAAGTCTTATTGATTGATGATCCTCTGACTATACAAACCAATTCCAATAAAGAGAGTCCCAGCCAGGTGCAGTGGCTCACGCTTGTAATCCTAACACTTTGGGAAGCTGAGGTGGGAGGATCACTTGAGCGGGGGAGTTTGACACCAACCTGAGCAATAAAAGGAGATCCTGTCTCTACAAAAGTACAAAAATTAGCCAGGTGTTGTGGTGCACACCTGTGGTCCCAGCAACTAGGGAGGCTGAAGTGGGAAAACTGCTTGAGCCCAGGAGTTTGAGGTTGCAATGAGCCGAGATTGTGCCACTGCACCCCAGCCTGGGTGACAGAGACAGTGTCTCAAAATAAAAACAAACAAACAAACAAAAAAGAGTCCCATACAATGCTCAAGGCAGACTTTTATTTCTCAGGGTTATCTTAATAAAGACCTTCCACTCCCTTAGAACAAGTGTTCTCACCTGAGGTCAACAGACCCATGCGGATTTAGAGTGAGGTGTCAGGTTGTCAATCAAGCCCCCAAATCTGTGCATCTAGAACATTTTTCTGCAGAGAAAGTCTTAGGTGTAGCCTGCCAATAAATGCCTGCAGAGCTAGGTGGGAATATAGAAGAATGAAATACATCAGGTGTGAGAACCCAGTCTCTTAAACACAGAGGAATATTATTTTCTTCCACAGAGAAATATGCCTTCTCCCTTTTATTCTGACATATTCAGCCTTCTGGGTCTGTCTTTTATTTCGTCACTTCTGGTAGAGACTTGGGTCCAAATAAATATCTCTCCACCATAAGAAACAGTAATGCAAGGGTGATGACAAAAGGCAAGCAATGCTCAGTGTTGGGGAGACCTTGGGGCGGGTGAGGATTGGGCAAACGGGAGGGCACATGCCTTCTAAGGCAGGCACTCACTCCTCTGCTTCAGTTGATCACTGCCTTGAGGAAATGGGACCCAGTATTGACAGACCTTATGGCTGATTAAGAGAAAGCAGAAATCTGGTTCTCTTTGGAGATGAAATCTCAATTTAGTTCACATTTTCTTTAGAGAATCCTGGCATACCAACCAGAACACTCTGAGTGAGTCAAATATGGTCCCGATAGGCAGGTGGTTTGTGACCTCTGGTCTCTAGATTCTACCGGAATTTCTGATTGATTCATGTCTTAAATAAGATTGATGACTGCTGTCCTAGAACATGTTTCCCCTCCATTCTGTGGGCGGAAAGACAGACGGCATGGACATTTACCATGTTCTTGGGTCCCAGAAGTCCAGGAGAAAGCCATCTGCCTCACTGCTCCCTGCCCCATCCTGGGCCCAGAGCACTAATGCCAGTGGCATCAGCTCTGCTCCTCTCCCTCTTCCTTTGTCTACCAGTGAGTGTCCTCCATTATGGGGATGGAGCAAGCAGTATATTGTAAAAGGGACTTAGTGCTGAGAAGCACCAGAGGAAAAGTAGGAGATGCTCATTAAAGTGGAAGGCAGCTCTCTTCTTCCCCTTCTCAATTCTGCATTCTGCTCTCTCCCCTAAATGCCCCCCACCCAACCCCCAAACTCTTGAGAATGCCCAAATCCAACCAGGTCAGGAAAAAATAAACTCACTGGCTCCTGTATTGAGAAGTCCAAGTGTGGTGCGGCTTCCGGCATGTGGGATTCAAGCACTCAGGAATTTCTCCCTCTCACCCAACCTCAGCTCTGCTCTCTTCTCTGTTGCCTTTGTTCTTTGACAGGCTCCCTCCAAGTGGTGGAAAAGTTGACCTGTATGGTCATTATCACTCATCATTTCAGAAGGGGAGAGCCTGCTTCTCTTGTAGCATTTCCATCAAATCCTGAAAATAAAAATAATCTGGTTGGTTCTACTGGACTTGTGATACTGGACAAACCTCTATGTCCAAGAGCTCGAGTCATTCCCATTGGCTCACCTGGGCCACACACTCTTCGTTGAGTGCATCCCAGGATCACAGGGAGTCTTGAGGGTGCTGTGTGTGGTGGTGGTGGTGGTACGGAGATGGCAAACTCTAAAAGGAAGAGATGGTGGATACTTAAAGCCTACCTTCTGCCCACAGGTGTGTCAGACACAATCTCCAAAGGCCATCCTATTGTTACCCTATCCCCCAAACAAACACTGAAAAACTCTCCTGGCAATTTGGCAGTAGCTCAGTGTGGAGCATTTGTTAATTCCAGTACTAGAACGTCTGCATTGCAAAACCAGAAATGTCCAGTTCTGGTTTGGCACACAGAAGAGATTTTCAAGCCTTGGCAACTCCTCAGTGCAGGCAGTGGAGGAAATGCTCCAGCTTTGTGAAAATCTTCTCCCTTCGCTCCTCATGGAGAATAACCGTTCATCACTGCAGCCATGAATCTGCCACACTGAATAGATATGGTCTGAAAATCTAGGAACAAATGGAATCACTTTGGAAACCTGTAAATTTTAAAGCCGAAAGGGCGCTCCAGGGAACCAACTACATGAAGTTCTCTGGAAGCCACAGGATGGGAGGTTTGGTGGGGGTGGAGGTGACCATTGAATTTTACATAGGCAAATGTAAGACAATCTTATCCATAGACAGAAAAATCCAAACTCACCGAGAGTAAAAGGATGACAGTTGAAATAACAGCTAATTGTTATTAAGTATTTGCTAAGTTCCAAAGCACTTTTCATAGATTAGCTCAATTAATTCTCACAACAGCCCTGTAAGGTAGGGACCATGATCATCTCCAGAAGAGGCTAAATAAATTGCCAAAGATCACATATGTAGCAAGTGGTGGCAGAGTGAGGATTCATACCTGGACAGCTTAACTTTAAAGCCATGGTGCTAATGCATTCATTCATTCATCCATCCATTCATTCATCCATCCATTCATTCAATGATTATATTGGATGCCTACTACATGCTAAGAACTATGTTCAAGGTGCTGAACTACAGCTGTGAACAATGCAAGTACAAATACATGAAGCAGAGTTGGGGAGAAAGTAAGCTGGAGAAATAAGACATAAACTAGGTTAGATGGTGAACATGATTAAGGAAAAAACTAGAGCAGGGAGGAAAGAGAAATGTGCAGGGGGAAGGTCAATTCTGAGTGAGCCAACAGGCAAGGTCTCACTAAGAAAGCGGCATTAAATAAAGATTTGAGGAAGTGAGGGAGTAAACCTTGCAGCTATCTAAAAGGAGAGCATGAGAGGTAGAGGAGACAGCAAATACAAAGACCCTGAAGCAGGGGCAAGGCTAATGAGTTCTAGAATTAGCAAGGAGTCCAGTGTAACTTGAACAGAGTGATCAAAGAACAGAGCAGGAGGAAATGAGGTCAGAGAGGTAAACAGGCTGGAGTGCAGTGGCACCGTCTCGGCTCACTGCAACCTCCACCTCCCGGGTTCAAGCGATTCTCCTGCCTCAGTCTCCCTAGTAGCTGGGATTACAGGCATGCACCACCACACCCGGCTAATTTTTGTATTTTTAGTAAAGACGGTGTTTCACCATGTTGGCCAGGCTGGTCTTGAACTCCTGACCTCAAGTGATCCACCCGCCTCAACCTCCCAAAGTGCTGGGATTACAGGCGTGAGCCACCGCGCCCGGCCAGGATTCTTTTAATCAAGTATGATGCAGCCATCAGGGTTGGAGCATTCTAGGAAGAGGGAACAGCATGCACCAAGGCAACAGGAAAGCACATAAAAAAGGAGTTGCTGGAAGATTCATTTCAACCCACTATCAAGTAAATATTAAACTTACTGTATAAAAATGTTAGGGCCAGGAGGGGTGGCTCACGCCTGTAAACCCGGCACTTTGAGAGGCCGAGGCAGGAGGATCGGTTGAACCCAGGAGTTCGAGACCAGCCTGACCAACAGGGCGAAACCCCGTCTCTACTAAAAATACAAAAACTAGCCGGGCGTGGTGGTGGGCGCCTGTAATCCCAGCTTCTCGGGAGGCTGAGGCAGGAGAATTGCTTGAACCTGGGAGGCGGAGGTTGCAGTGAGCTGAGATCACGCCCTGCACTCCAGCCTGGGCGACAGAGGGAGACTTGGTCATGCTCCCTCCCCGCCCTCCGTCAGTTTTAGGAATAAATACCTTTTTATTTAAGCTAAAGTGTGGGTACACCCTTCCTCTAGGATTCTCCATCAAGGAATAAGAAGCCATATTAGGACAATTTAGAGGGCAGTTAACCCTAGTAGACATAGTGGTTCTTAAAAGGCTTGGGGCCTCAGACTGTACACAGGCTTCACATGGAATCTGATTTGTTCCTTTATCCCAGTCCCTCACCCAGAACCCGAATCTAGCCCTTCATGTTATAAAAAGGGCCAGAGGTCCAAAGAGGGTAAGTGCCTTGTGCAAAATTATTCAACTACTTTGTAGAGGATTTTAACTAGGGTTCAGTTAGCTCCGCCCACACTATAAAAGGCTCTTTCTAAAAAACGAAACATGATTAAGGGCACACGGCTCCAGCGTTAACAAAGCTCTTTGTTAGCTGGGAAATGCCCCCCTCCCCGACTCATCTGCTTATCATCTGCATAGAATTATGTACTCAAAAGCAGGAAAATTATTGAGAAAACCATTGGTCCCCGGCTGCAGACCCCAAGGTTGGGAGCTGGTTCCCGTTTCCTCCCAGAGCCGGCAGGGGGGGCACCAGGCAAAGTTTGCAAGACGCGCCTCCCTCCCACCCCTCCCCCTTCCTCGCCCAACTTCCCATAGCCGCGGCCTCAACTAAAAGTGGCCATTGACCTTTCAAGCTTTCGAGCAGTGATGCAATAGAATAGTATTTCAAAGAAAAATGCTTATCGAAATTTTGGATCCGGTTTTCCCGTGATTGTTAAGGGTTTCTTTTAAAAAGTAGGTCACATTTCAAGTAGGTCATATTTCGGGGGCGGGTGCGCAGACAAGGAGATGAGTTTCCACTAAGGCCAGGGGGCCTCCAACGGGGTTGGAGGTGAGAATCCCAGGTAGGGTAGAGGTGCCGAGATCCTTCCGAATCCCAGCCCTGGGGCGTCAGCCCTGCAGGGAATGGCAGAGACACTCTCCGGACTGAGGGAACCGAGGCCAGTCACCAAGCCCCTTCCGGGCGCGCAGGTAAGGGCGCCCCCTTAGCAGCCGGCGCAGGTGACCCGGGCGGGCCGCCGGGTCTACCGGAGACGTTGGAGCAGAGGGGAGGAGGAAGGGAGGAGCCGGGTGGGTGCGGGTGACAAGGAGCCGGAGCGCCAGGGGGAGGGGACTAAGGACGGCCGGCGCCGCTTAAGGAGGCGCTGCTCTCCCGCTCGCTGCCTTCCAGGACCTGATCAAGGGGACCGCCTCCGGTCCCCGGCCGTGGGCACCGGGACGAGCACGGCGTCCCCACGCCATCGATGTGTCTTAGAGCCGGAGAGTCTGGTTTCCGAGGACCCACAGTCGCTCCTGCACGCCCACCCCCCGCAAAAGTGCGGCCAGGAGGGTCGCATCGAGGGGGCGCCGCCGGGATGTTTAGAGGAACCCACCCCCGTGGCAGGCCAAGGGCCAAGGATCGCTATCCTTCCCTGAACCCGGGCGCTCAGCTGGCCCGGGTAGGGGGCAGGCTCCGGCCGCCGAAACGGGGTTGGCTGTAGCCGGTGGCCGGGGAGATCTCTAGCTTGCGCCCGAGCACCCCGGGGTGTGGGGCCAGAGGCAGGCCGACCCCGGCGTGCACACCGCCCGCCCTGCACCCGAGCGCTCTCACCCGGTCTTCCCTGAAGCCTGTGTATTGCGACCGAGCCTCTTTAAAGCAGTAGCGGGGCCCGCGGTCACGTGAGGCCGATTCCTGGAAAGTTCCTGGAAAGCCGCCTCCGCAGCAGCCGGGCGGGGCGCGAGCGGAGCGCTGACTGGGGAGGGAGGCGGGGAGCAAGGGAGGCGCGTCGGTCTGGGAAGTCGCGCGCACTCGCTGCTCCTGGGACCGACGTTTAACTCTTGCCAAGTCTCGTCGCAGCCGCCGCGGCTGGCGGGCCTTGGGCTTCCCCTGAAGCATGAGCCCTCTCGCCCGCAGCCACCCTCACCGCGTGGCCCGCGGACAGTGCGCGCCGGGGTCCCGGGTGCACAGCCTCAGGATACCCCGTGCCCGCAGCTCGGGCGCCCGCGGCAGGTACCGGTAGTGGGGGAAGCCCGAAGGCTCCGCCCCGAGGAGAGTTACCGGGGAGGGCGGCGAGGCGCGGCCGCGTGCGCCGGGGAGCGGCGGACGGCCTGGGCTTCCGCAGCTCGGAGCGCCGGGGAAGAGAGAGTCCGAACCGCGGCTCTGCCCCGCGGCCTAGCGTTGCTGCCTGCTTTCTCCAGCCCCTTCTCGGCGTCTGGAAGTGTCTGGAGTTTCTTTTTTTTATTTCCCCTAAACTGCCATTCAAATTAATAATCCTCCTAATAACCTGATCTCCCGCTCCTCCCCACCGGCCTGCCTCCCGCCCTCGCTCCTTCCTCCCTCCCTCCCTCTCTCCTTCCCACCTCCAGGGTCGCAGCCGGAGGGAAACCCGGCAGCAGTCCGAGAGTGGAGGTGTCCCAGCCCGTAGGGGGCGTCGCCGCGCGGTGGGGGATGGGGTCGAGGCAATGATCCTCGAGGCTTTTGTGTGCCCTCTGCGCACGGAACTCCGACCGCCGCCTCCGAGCGCGGGGCTGGTTGCATCCCCGGGCATCTCGTTCCCAAATTAAACGTTAACGGGGGAAACAAGGGCAGACGCCCCTCCTCTCCCGGGCCCCTCCCACCTCCCCTTTTCCCCCCACCCCCCCGCCCCATGTCCGCTGAGGAGGCTGCCTGGTGCGGAGGCGGCGGCGGCGGCCGCGGCCGAGGTCGAGGTAAGAGCGCGGCGTTGGTGGTTTGCATTTTCCGCAGCGCTCGCGACCGCCCGCTCGGCCCCGGCCTCGCCTCGGAGCCCCGCGAGGGCTGCGCGCTCGGGCCGATTCCTCGACAGCGCCCGCGGCGGCGAGAACCACCGCAGCCATCCTGGTCCGGGAGCGACCGCCGCGGCACCCCCAACCCCGCCAGAGCGGGCACCAGGAAGCGGGGGGAGGGGAGCGAGGAGCCTCCCGGGCGGAGATGCGGCAGCTCCCGCACCTCCGCACCCCGGGTTGGTGCCTCGGGGCCCCGCAGCGCTTTAGGGCGGAGAACCAAGTTTGTGTGGGTGCTTCTTCCTGGGGGCCCTCGGGCTGCGCCAGGTGTGAGACCGGAATGCCAATTTGGGGAATCTCTCCTGTTCTTTCCTTTTTAATTTTTTCTACTTGTCCTTGACAAGGGCCTATTCCCACTGGATCTGCAGGTGACTATTTGCTCTTCCTAGGTCGCCAGTCTTTGATTTCAGCTAGTGACCCTGGGCGGGAAGACACCCTGTTCACCCTCCTCCTGACCTCCGCCCCCCACCTCTTCAGCCAACTTTATCTTGGATCTCTGCTCTCTTTATCTTTTCTCTAGAGCTGGGCCAGGGCGCTAACTGGAAGCTTGGGGTTAAATGGTGCAGGAACGTAGAGGCGGAGGAGTCCCTGGGATTTTCCACGTCTATTTCCCCACCCCCACCCCAGCCGCAGGGGTCCAGTTTGGACTGACCCAACCTCCCGCTTTCTCTTTGTAGGCGATCAGTGGGTGACCGCGGCTGCGAGGGACTTTGTCATCCGTCCTCCAGGATCTGGGGAGAAAGAGCCCCATCCCTTCTCTCTCTGCCACCATTTCGGACACCCCGCAGGGACTCGTTTTGGGATTCGCACTGACTTCAAGGAAGGACGCGAACCCTTCTCTGACCCCAGCTCGGGCGGCCACCTGTCTTTGCCGCGGTGACCCTTCTCTCATGACCCTGCGGTGCCTTGAGCCCTCCGGGAATGGCGGGGAAGGGACGCGGAGCCAGTGGGGGACCGCGGGGTCGGCGGAGGAGCCATCCCCGCAGGCGGCGCGTCTGGCGAAGGCCCTGCGGGAGCTCGGTCAGACAGGTAGGGAGCCGATCGGCCGCGACGCGTGCGGGAGGGAGCGCCTCCCCAAGGAAGCAGCTAGGAAGCGGGGTCGAGGTGGGAAGCAAAGAATAAGATGGAAATACGTCCCTTGCTTCCAAGGGACCGCGGAGAGCACGCTCGCAGGGTCCTGGGTCCTTGGGAATGCGTAAGGAAAGTGGTTCTCCAGGGACTCAGGCCTGGCGGAGCGCAGAGCGCGGGAAGAGCTTCTTGGAAATAGCTTCTTAGCACGCTGGAAGATTTACTGTTTTCCGCAGCTGCTCAGGGTTAGGCTCCCGGGCTCGAACCCCGGCCGGGGAAAGCGTCGGGCGCCTCCCTTTGCACGGGGTGCAATCAGCAAGTCGGTGCCGCGGGCCCCGCAGGCCCAGCAGCATCTGGCTCCCGGGCGGAGCTGCGGCTGCAGCCCAGGATCTTGGCGGCCAAGTTCAGGGACTGACACTGCCGCGAGGGCGGCTGCCCGGGCGTCGAGAGTAGGCTGCGAAGCCCCCGCCGAGCGCGGCTTCCATGGTCGGCGCGCCCAGGGTACTGCCGCTTTCAAGTACAGTCAGGCAATTCGCGCGGCACGCTGTCTCTAGGCATCTGAAAAAAGAAAAAAGAAAAAAAGTAAAGTATCTGGCAAATCATTCTGGCTTTCCAAATCCGTATCCTAAAAGCTTACAGTTGTGGCACAGTTGAAATTTTGGTAGCAACAGGGGGAGGGAGAGGGAAAAGTTCTCTCGCTTGCGATTCCGGTCTTTCCGTGTGGGCCACGGGCTTTCCCTCCCGGGGAGGCACCGGCAGATTGCAAGTATCCCGGTAATTGTGGGGGTGGGGGGAGCACAAATGTTCAGACTTCTTAAATACGGACGGTCTCTGAGCCTTCTTAGAAAGCAGAGTGGGCCGGGGAGATGGTGCAGGCAGATGAAATCAAGAATGCAGGGGAGATGGATGGTTGTGATTGGGTTTGGATTAGGGCAAAGTTCAAAAGAGTTTAGGGAAGATTGTAAACTTGAAGTAGTAATTATCACTTGGGAATTCCCATTTCTTAGTGACTGGTAAGGTAGTCATAAAGCAGCGAACAGAAGCTATTGTACTAGAGCTGTGCTTTTACAACAAGTACATAGCAGTGCTTTCTACATAGAAGGCTGTTCATAGCAGGCTTTGCAGATTCTTTTTTTTTTTTTTTTTTTTTTTTTGGTGGGGGGCACACCAACCATCCAAAAAAGTTGCTTCTGTTTTTACTGTAGTTCAATTACAGGAGTTGGGTTTTCCACTTTTTAAAGGGCATGGCTTTTATTTCTAACTTCTGATTTTTTTCTAATTTACCTAAATCTTTATTTTACTTAAATAATGTTAAAAGTGTCATGCTTCATCAGCCAGTGTGTCATGCTGCAGATGTTCTTTTGGTTCATTAGAAGAAAATCTTAAGAAGAGCTTCAGAAAGTTGATTTTTTAAAAAAGAAAGAAAACTGGCTCGCCGTTTGTGTTCATAAAATGGACCCAAATTTTTATTAAATTCCTACTGAAAGTATTTGTGGTGGCCCGGTAAACTTTCGCTCACACACCACCTTTTTTTTTTTTCTTTTTTAGAGCTAAAAAAATTATTGCCAATTACTTGCTCTGTTCTAAGAATTCTTATAATAACTGTTTTACCCTCTTTTCTTTTTCTTTTTGAACAAAAACCCCAGGATGGTACTGGGGAAGTATGACTGTTAATGAAGCCAAAGAGAAATTAAAAGAGGCACCAGAAGGAACTTTCTTGATTAGAGATAGCTCGCATTCAGACTACCTACTAACAATATCTGTTAAAACATCAGCTGGACCAACTAATCTTCGAATCGAATACCAAGACGGAAAATTCAGATTGGACTCTATCATATGTGTCAAATCCAAGCTTAAACAATTTGACAGTGTGGTTCATCTGATCGACTACTATGTTCAGATGTGCAAGGATAAGCGGACAGGTCCAGAAGCCCCCCGGAACGGCACTGTTCACCTTTATCTGACCAAACCGCTCTACACGTCAGCACCATCTCTGCAGCATCTCTGTAGGCTCACCATTAACAAATGTACCGGTGCCATCTGGGGACTGCCTTTACCAACAAGACTAAAAGATTACTTGGAAGAATATAAATTCCAGGTATAAATGTTTCTCTTTTTTTAAACATGTCTCACATAGAGTATCTCCGAATGCAGCTATGTAAAAGAGAACCAAAACTTGAGTGCTCTGGATAACTATATGGAATGCTTTCTAAGAACAGCTGAAGCTAATCTAATTTAAATTTAACAGCTTGAAGAGGTAGCTAGGTGTTTAAAGTTCCTCCAGATACTTTTACCTGAGTGATGCTTCCCTTCCTAAGGCTGACCAAGACCTGTTGATCCTTTTAGATTAAAAATAAAATGTCGCATGTAAAGGCTGAAGTCGCGTTTTATCAGAATGCCTTGCCTTCTTAGGTTCTTTTCCATTATGTCAAAGGTCCAGGCTCCAGTAGGAGAGAAAGAACTCCTCATAGGAATACTGAAGAAGTGGGAAGGAACCAAGCTGACACAGGCCTCACTGCAATTTGATATGCCTGCTGATCAGAGTCTCTTGGGCATTTTATATTTTGCATTCTGATGTACCTAGGAGTTTTGTTAAACAGATGATGTATGTGAGTATTTATCCCATTTTATGCAATTAACCAAATCAACCAAAAAAAGTGACCATGAAGTCCTGTATTTGTCTTTTTACTACATGTAGGAACTCTCATGTGAATGAGTACTGTAGTAATCCATTCTATGGGAGCCTTATTTCAGAAATATTTCAAACTGGTGCAAATGGAAAAGACTTTCTCTTTTCCTTTAAAGCTAAAGACAAGAATATCATGCTATACAGGTGCAACTCAATCCCCGTTAATAAAAACCAATGTAGGTATAGGCATTCTACCCTTTGAAATAGCTGTGTCCCAACCTGTTGCCATTGATTTTTTGGAAATGGCTTTAGAAATATCCAAGTTGTCCTTGAATTGTCTAACCATGGACATAAACAGTTGTCTCCCTTCTACTGTGTAGAATACTTTGACTTAATTTTCTTCCAGATACAGGGGGATACCTGCCTGTTTTTCAAAGTGTTTATTTACTGCTGTTACTATTTGATTAGAATGTATTAAATAAAAAAAACCTGATTTCTACAAGTTGCACTTATTGAGTTCTAGAGAACGTACACTTTCATGGTAATAGAGGATTGCCATAAAAACTTACGTCAAGTGAAATAAGCCAATTATTCAACAAAAGGTAGAACATTACTTGCCATTCTGTAAAGTTATGGGCTGTACCTGCCCCCTTTGCAATTTGGAAAGCATGGTTTAGAAACTACAGGCATTGTCAAGTGGCCGGGTCTTTTATAATTTGAATAGGCATAACACTGATGTCCTCTGTGTTTCCAAAAACATGGTTTAGAAACTACAAACATTATGACATGGCCAGTCTTTTACAAGTTGAGTAGGCATAATACTAAAGAAAAATACAAAGTTTTGTGGCCACTTATTTTTTGCTATGTTAGTCTGCATAACTGTTATAAATGTACCATCTTTTCTAGAGTCCAGACATTATTTATTTTATGGCTTTAAAATTTTCCTGCATAGCTACAATCCTGTGGTGTGTCACCATAAAGGTGGACCCTGTGTGAATGAGAAAATTCAGTTATAAATTGTAATAAAACCTGCTTACTGGATATCTTACCTTATTTTCATGAAGAAGTTGAAAAATGGTTTTGTGCCTGGCAGGAAACATACTATGTATATCCAAACAGCAGAGCCAAACACAAAAGATTGCTAGGTGTGCCTCAGGAAGAGTTTACTTGTGGCCTAAAACTTCAAGAAAAGCTAGACATTTGGGGTCGGATCTATGATGGGGCCATAACCATTTGATGAGGATGCTTAGAATCTGTGCTTCATTCACCGTTTTTCTCCCACTGACAACACCTGTTTAGTGTTGGATGTTTGATTTTTCTGGCAAAACTTCTATATGATCAGTGCCAAGGGGCTTTGTGGAATTTCTTTAAAGGTCTTTTGCCTTTCTATTGTCACTGTTTTGAACACTCTATTTCTCAGTTACTGGGAGTGGGGAGGCAGTTGTGAGGCATGAGTACCTGTGAAATTGGAAAAAGTTCTGAGTTACTGCTCGCAAGTGACTAATTATGAGAAGGCTGGAGGACAGCACAAACATCTCTGGAGTGTGCCATGAAACCTATTGCCTTATATTTCAATCTTCCATATTGCAAGTAGGTTGATAAACATCAGGAGGCAATTATTTTTGGTTTTGTTTTGTTTTTTTACGATGACTGACATCATTTATTTATTGAGTTTATTGTGAACCAGGTTCTCACTCAGCACTTGTATTATCTCATTTAATTTTCCCAAGAACGAAATGAGCAAAGTACAATGATGATAGGAGGTTCCCCTCCTGATTTGTGAGTCAAGAGGCATTCCAGGAATATCCTAGCTCTTTTTTTTTTTTTTTTCCCCCGGGAGAGGAATTGGGAAGAGCAAATTGCTGCTGAAAATTTCTACATTGATCCAGACAAACAAGTTAGAGCAGGCTGAAAAAGAACCCTTGGTGTTTTTACTGCTGTTCAACCAGATCAACTGGAAAAGTATAGATACCTTAATTAGCACTGTGCTCTGTGGGATTCTGGTCAGCCTGGCCCAGTGGTTTTTTTCCCCTGAACACGCCTGAAAGGGGAGCTCATAATGACTGCTGTGCAGGTGGGCGGGGAGGGGGCTTCCTATTTGATTTAGTGGCTGATCAATGCCAGTTACCAATTATTGGTAGCCCCATTTATACATGGTGGAAAAAAAGTACACTTGTCTAAATTATCCTCACCAAAGCCTGGAAGAATATCCAGTGTTTTCTCCCAATGTAGGGCAATTTAGGGCATTTGTGAGGATATTTATTATTGTTGTTGTTGAAGAATATGGTATACAAGACTTATATATCCCCAAACTCTGAAAATATTTTGACCTCAGTTTCTGTTCTGGGCAGAGATGAGGCAGTGCAGTTTTTCATGACCATTACAGTGAGCAGTGGTGATTGCTTTTTAGGGACTTGGAGATTTTTTGGAACTTTGGATAGTGGAGAAAAAGGCAGTTCAGCTTATGAGATGAGAGGTCTTTTTTGGTGTGTCAGTAAGAAAGTCTTGACTTCATAATAATTATGTAATCCAAATAGGTAACAGAATGGGACAGTTGTTTGGGAGTGTTTATTTTCTTGGGAAGGATTTTCTCTGCTTTTAGAAAATTGTACCCTGTTAGGAGGGTAGGAGACAGAGACGTCATCTTCGTCAAGTAATCCAAAGGATGGAATGTCCTGAGACCAGGCTATGCCCTTCTCAGTTGTGAGTTTAGGCACGGGGTAGGTGGGGTTTGAGTGGCTGTGGTTATGTCTAACAGCTGGGCTGAAGTCTCCGTCTTTAAGTCGTCCTTTCTATCCTTTAGAGCAAAACAATGTTCTTGTAGGCCTTTCATTTACTTAAGAGGTCTTCTGTATTCTCCTTTCCCAGTTTTTTTAACTTCTTAGAATTTTAAAGCTTGAAACCACTTTTTAGATCACATATTATGGATTTTATGGAAGACTTTCAGATCCAGAGGGGCTGGGAGATTTGCATGCTCGCACACACACACACACACACACACACACACAGGCACACAACCCAGCCAATCAATGACAGAGTCAGGATTCAAACGCAGATATTTTAGTCTTAGGATTACTATTTGTAAAAGTTGCACGCTCCTACCCTTTGATAAAATTGCCGAGACTCTTCTTTGCTTTCCTGCAAGTCCTACAGTTCTCTTAACATCATATATTTCTTCCGCTGGGATTCAGAAGCCAGGCCTGTGGAATACCCTGTGGGATAATTACAGTTCTTGGCCTCCTCTACCCGATTCTGAAAAATCTGCCTCTGCTGGATTTCATGATGTCTTGATCCACATTAGTTTTTTGTTGATTTTAACTCCTTAACATTTCTAATCTGTTTGCTGTTTTAAAATCCAAAACCTCCCATCCATGCTGTTTGATGATCTCATTTCTACCTCCACCAGATGTGACACACACCCAGCCACAATGCCTGGGCGACTGCCCGCCCTCCCATCCTTACCAGCAGGACCCATTCTTGCTTTTGCCCATTCATGGGCATAAGGGATAGTTAATTCCTGCCTTACTTTCTCCCTTTCCTATCATAAAGTTGCCCTCTTGACTTATCTAACACAGCCTTTCTGGCCGCATGATACTCCAGTGAAAGAGGATAATTATACTCTCCTTGAGTTGGGTAATTGA
Source organism: Homo sapiens (assembly GCF_000001405.40). Lineage (NCBI taxonomy): Eukaryota > Metazoa > Chordata > Mammalia > Primates > Hominidae > Homo > Homo sapiens. The sequence goes on from NC_000012.12 coordinate 93,579,346, forward strand.
ATGATTTGGACTACCTTAAGATTAAATCTCTTTGTATCTCTTTTTGGTTCCATTCAGGTTGTGAAGCAAGTAACCAGCCCCAGATGCCACACTTTTGTTATGGGCATTTTTTTTTTAAATCTACTTATTTTTTAAGTATGGCAGGCTCCTTTTTCAGTGTTAAGTTAACCTTCATTTGCACGGAATAAAAATGCCCTCCATTCCTTTGCTTCTGCTGCTGTATGTCTGTAAGTAAGAACGATTCTGTGAGAGTTTTGTTTCATTTCTTCATATGCATGGTTCTTATATTCTCATCTTCACATATTTTTGATTTTTCTAACTTTTCCTCTGTGTGGCTTGAGTTCAGGTGACTATTACTATGGTAATAAAGGTAACAAGTGTTGTTAGAGTGGCCTCTAAAAGTCCTGGAGTCCCCAGTGTCTGAAGTCATGGAGCAGAGCTGGCTTTTCCTATCTACCCCTTCCTGAGCTTTGTCAGCAAAGGAGGCTGGATCAGCTAAGTGTGCCACAGAGAATAGGACTTACTTCAATAAACATGCATTTGTAAAGATAAAACTAACTGCTTTTACAGACAACTCTCACTTTGACCCACATCCTTAACTTATAGGCATTCTGACTTGCCCTAGATCAGAAGTGCATTTTGTGATGTATTATTCACGTGGCTTTGCCTCTCTTAGAGAAAGGCTTGCCAGAGTCCTAGTGAGAGAAAAGGAAATATCGCCAGCTGCCTTCTTCTCCTGTCTCAGCATAAATGCCACCCAAGGAGCCCCCTTGCCATGGTGGGGTGAGACTTTTTCGCCAGTTAAACCATCACACAACTTCATAAAATTTTCCTACATCTCCCCAGTTTCCGGTTTCCTACAGTGTTAAAGATAAAAATTTGTTTGTTTTTGCTAAGCATTTTTTCCCTTCTGTTAGTTTGGTATCCTTTTTCCTGTTTAGTGTTTGGTCCAGAATGCTGCTGTGATCTTTAACATTCAGAAAAAATCCATGTTAGCCAGGCACAGTGGCTCATGCCTGCAATCCCAGCACTTTGGGAGGCCAAGGTGGACGGATCACTTGAGGTCAGGAGTTCGAGCCAGCCTGGCCAACATGGCGAAACCACATCTCTACTAAAAATACAAAAATTAGCCAGGTGTGGTGGCGCACACCTATAGTCCCAGCTACTTGGGAGGCTGAGGCAGGAGAATTGCTTGAACCTGGGATGCAGAGGTTGCTGTGAGCGGCAATCTTACCACTGCACTCCAGCCTGGGCAACAGAGTGAGACTGTCTCAAAAAAAAAAAAAAAAAAAAAAGAAAAGGAAAAGAAAAAGAGGCCATGTTATTTCTACCCAGAGAAAGTTGTTTGACTTCCCATTTTAACATTCCCCCTTGCCATCTTGATGAACTTGACCCATCTTAGGTTTCCAGCATAGCTTGTTTCTCTTCATTTTTATTTCTAGGTTGTGGCCATCAATTCTGTATTTGGTCAGAAAGTGTCTTTGTATTTTGCATATTGGATTAGAGCATCTGCTCTTAATTATCTGTAGGAATAAGAGGCAGAGAGACTGGGGAATAGTAGAAGCCCATAAACACATCTAGCCAATAGTTTCAACTTCCTCCCCATTCTGTCTCCTTTGCTAGAACCACTGACAGAAAAATCAGCTGCTTCTCTGTTCTCTCATTTTATTTTCCTTGTCCATCATGTGATAGGGATGTTAATATGCAACAAACTGGCTAAAAAAATATCAAGAGAGAAAAGTAAGGGAGATGGAGCATCAGTAGTGTGTGGAGGCTCCTGAGAGTCAATTACTAAAAACTGAGAGATTTTGTGAGCTCAATCATTATGCATAAATTATTGATAGATTGAATCAGCCATGGTGGGAGTATTACACCACAGAAATAGGCAGATGCTATAAATTAAGACTCTCCGCCACCAGATAGCTGATTTAACAACATAGCACTGATCTAGGTATTATGTCCTCCTCAATAATTGAGACCTCATTAGGGTAAGATCAGTTTATTTGTAGCCTCTTTTATACCAAGCCCAGTGCTTAGAGCAGAATAGGAGTGAACAATTCAAGGAATGATTTTTTTTTTTTTTAATGTGTGTCAATCTTATATTGGGTTACATTGTCTTCTACTATGGATCAGGCCATCTCCTGATTCTGTGTCTTTTTCTAGTTACTCTGGGGTATCTGTAGCTACCTTTTCAATTTCTTAGTAGGAAGGTGTTAGGCAATCTCAACATCATGTGATCATTGTTTACAACAACTCAGCTCTAATAGATCAGGGCCTCTTTTTTCCTTCTAGCTTCGTTCATTTATCTCATTAGTTTTCTCTTTTTTTTTCTTCCTCCCTCCCTTCTCACCTGCTTTCTCCCTCCTTCTCTCCTTTCTGCCAACGTTTATTGAATGTCTACTGTATTACTCAACAGTAGGAAGTGTTCTTTCATTGAGGGAGCTCTTACAGACCATGAGAAAGGATGGAGAGGATGGGGACTAACATTTATTAAACAGTCTAATATATCCCATTACCCTGCTTAGCCATTGCATTTCATCTTCACAACAACCTGATGAGGTATGTATGACCCTCATTTATTCCAAATGAAACAGAAACTTAGGTCAAATATCCTGCCCAGTCAAGTAGGGAAGTCATGAATCAAACCCAGGTTCTGCATCTCAGGATACCATATTGTATAGGAGCTGTAATTACATGAATAACTTATTGTAAAATGCATTGTTAAAGGCAGTGTAGTTACTTTGCGGACAGGGTGCCATTGACCTGCTTTGAGGGTTTATGAAGACAAGCCCCCAGAGGAAGGTATCTTGTGTCTGAGTGTTAATAGACTGGAAGGAGTCCTCAGACCTGCTGAGTGGGGAAGATCTTTTGGCTGAAAGGTTGAAGAAGAGGGTAGAGATGAGGCTTCTGGGAGGTGCTGTCTGAGGGTGACTTGGGGCAGATCTTGCAGGCCTGGCTGAAAACCTTGGAATTTATCCTGAGGGCAGTAGGGAGCAGATGTCAGCTTTTTAAATGGAGGGGAAAACAACAGAACTAAGTTTGTGTTTTATATCATCCCTCTGGAGGTCCTTTGGAAAAATGGCTTGGAACAAAGCAAGGGCGGAGAGAGGGAGACCGGTTAAGTGTTAGGTAGGAGGGAGGTAGTCCTTGTGAGAAGATTGGAGAGAGAGTCAGAGGTTGACTCTTTCCTTCCTTGGCTGCAGGCTCAGATTTGCCCTGGAGTATGCGGCTTTGAGTCACACAGATTGCACGCTTCCCTTTGAGGAGCGGCTTCCACTTTGGGCAAGTTGGGGTAACTGGCACAGATTCTCTTCTCAGGAAAGCAAGAGGTCGCGGTGCAGCGGGCACAACCCTGAACTAGGAATTGGAAAACTTGGGGTCCACTCTGGTTCTCTGACCTTGGGCCAAACATTGAATCTCTGTTATCTGTAAATTGAAGAGCCTGGAGCCTTCAGGATTTTTGGTCCCTTCCAAGGAGGTCCCATCTGCCCAGATGTGATAGTACATTGGGGTGAGAGTGCTCAGAGGAGAGGCAGGCTCCACCTATCAGTGGAGTCTCAGTTTCTACGTAGATTGTAGTACAGATTTTACCTCTATGCTATAATATATTCTCATTTATTTTGAAAATATACTTCCTTCTTAACTCTGGGTTTTGTTTTTTTTTTTTTTTTTCACAGCCAGCTGTTTTTTATCCTGGTTAGAAGAATTTTGTGTTTTCTTTTAGCTATGGATCTTTGAACATTACCCTATGATCGAAGAGTTTTGAGTTGGGTTTTTAGATGTTGGTTGTCATGGAGAAACAGGAATCTGGTGTATGCCAGCCATCATCATCATCATCATAACCCTTTGGATGAATTTTCATTATCAAGGGATCTGGAAGGCTGTCTTCGCTCTGCTTCCCAGCTAACAAACAGATGTGTTCCCAGAAGATGATGGGCATAGGGTGTGTTTTTGCAAGTCATTTTTCCCATTTACGTAGATTATTCTTATTTCCAATTGATCCTCAATAGATAAGAGTGCCATTGAGCTTTATTTTCATCTGTCAGGCAATTAAGAAAAAAGTAAAGGAAACAAAAAAGCTATAATATACTAAGGAAATTCTTAGATTCTTTGGTAAAATTAAAAGAATCTTGGTGCATGAATGATCCGGCCCTAATCTATCCATCTTGCACATTTGGGTTTTCCTGGATCTCTCTTAAAGTGGGGCACATCTCTGGTCTTGATAGTCAAGGAGGAGGGTTGGGGTAATCAGATGTCTCAAGCAGAGGTGCATCATTGAGCCTGGGTAATGGCTGAAAGTCCCCCAGATATCCAGTTTGAAGCTGCGTTGGGCAGGCCATGGGTTTTATTACGTCCAAGGCGTGACAGGCAACCATTCTATAACAGACCAACTCTTGGGCTTCCAGAAGACTGAAAAAAGCTAGAACATTTACTAATGCCAGGTGTTGCATTTGACACTTTACAAGTATAACCTCACTGAAAGTTCCCCACAAACATCTGAAGTAGATTCTGCTTTTATCTCCACTTCAGAGACAAGGAGATTGACACTTACACAGATTAAATGATTTAATAGTGTCGAAAGACAAAATCACAACAATTTCTCTTAAAGATCTTAATTACCTTTATTTGCAATTCCAGAATTGGGTAACACTTCATTCCATAAAATAGAGTAAGTGTTCCAATTAGCTAAGCAGAAGAGGTTGGTTTTACAGCCAGAGAGGAGTAGAAGAAAGCAAAAAACAGAACCCAGAGTGGATTGGTCCTTTCAAAGTTAAGTTCCTTGTAAGGTGGGGACAGGGAGACAGAACAATAGAAAAGTAACTGATTGGTTAACATCAGGTTACTCCAGGTTACTTTTTTGTAAGGATTACAGTAGAGGGAACTTAATTATCATGCTGATTGAAACTAGCCTGCTTGGGAAATTAGGCTGTTACCTCTCTCCCGATTTCTCAGAGGGTCAGATAACAACCTATTTTCAGTTTGGTAAAAATCTCAGCTTGAGTGACTCCATTTTGATTAAATTAGATTTTTGGGGTCTAGTGCAAGACCTTAGTCCAAAACAATGACTTTCTATAATTTTTATTTAACAGGAGGGAAACTTGAGATTTGAATTCAAGCCACTCTGACTCAAAAGCCATGGTTTTCTCACTCTTTTGTTCATTTTCTCAATAAGCTTGCAAATGCTTTTAACCTCTGATGCCTGCAGCCAGCATGTACCTCAATATTGTCTGCTAGTCACATGTAGGTAATATTTCATCATGTGGTTAATACTAAGAGGGCTATGACCTCTTAATAATGATGCATCTTAATAATGATGCTATTATTGGGACTTTGATTTCAGAAGTAATGCAAGATCTGCCTAAATCCTAATTATCCAGCTTGGAAGAGTCCCTGACATCTGAATTTACACCTTTTCTTCCCTTCTTTTTTTTTTGAGACGGAGTTTCGCTTTTGTTGCCTAGGCTGGAGTGCAATGGCATGATCTCAGCTCACTGCAACCTCTGCCTCCCAGGTTCAAGTGATTCTCTCGCCTCAGCCTCCCGAGTAGCTGGGATTACAGGTGCCTGCCACCATGCCCAACTAATTTTTGTATTTTTTGTAGAGACAGCGTTTCACCATGTTGGCCAGGCTAGTCTCAAACTCCTGACCTCAGGTGATTCACCTGTCTCGGCCTCCCAAAGTGCTGGGATTACAGGTGTGAGCCATCACGCCTGGCCATTCCTCCCTTCTTTTAATCTCCTTTAGGTGTCTATCCAGTGCAACCATAACCCACAAGCTCTTCCCTATCACTCCTTTCCTTTCTCTGGAGGTAAATTTTATAAATGATGTGTCCATCATAATAGCCATTTTACGTTGCAGAACAAACAACCCCAAACTCTCGGTGGCTTAAAACAATAAAGATTTCTACATCTATACACATCTGTCATAATCACCAGGGAGGCTCTTTTAGCCACTCAGAACCAGGCTGATGAAGCAGCTGCAGCACCTCCTCAAACAGCTGGTCTGAGGTGCTGAGCTGATGGGCAAGGAGAATCAGAGGATCTCTTAGTGGTGTTTAAATGCCCTGTCACTTCTGCTCCTGACAGATTGGCCAGAACTCTGTAAAATAGTGCCACCCAACCATAAGGGGGCCAGGAAGCACAGTTCTCCCCTGTGCCAAGAAGGAGAGAAACAGAAATGTTTGGTGAGCGGCATGGTGTAACCACCACATATACCATGCCATATATATCCTGCTTCCTTCTTTTTTTCTGCCTAGCTTGGCAAATCTGACTTCACGTAAACTTTATAGAACATGTATAGCCTCTTTAATTCCATTTCTCTTTCGCCTTTGTCTTCCAAAAGTTTTTCAGGTACTGCAAAACAGTGTCTCTCCTTCGTGTAAGCCAAAAGGAAAGATCTCAAGCCTTGAAGTGAAATATACATAATTCATCCCTCAGTATCTTCAGGGATTGATCCCAGGACTCCCGCCCCTGCCCCCTCAAAAGCCCTGCCAAGGATACCAAAATCTGAAGATGCTTAAATCTCTTATATGAAACGGTATAGTATTTGCATATAACCGGCATACACCCTCACATATACCTTAAATCATCTCTAAATTACTTAATAATACCTGATACATGTAAATACTATGTAAATAGTTGTTATACTATATTTTAAAGGTTTGTATTATTTATTAGTATTGTATTGTTATTTTTTATTGCTTTTTTTTCCCTCCCCCAAATATTTTCGTTCTGTGGTTGGTTGGATCCGTGGATGGGAAACCCACGGGTACAGAGGACTGACCATATTAAAGAGTTAGGGCTACTAACCTCAAAAAGTTTCTGAATGACCGGAAGTTCTTCTGATCTTCACAAACATCTCTTGGGTTTTCTCACTTGCTAAAATTAAATCTGTCTTTTCTCCAGTGTCAATATTCAAGATAAATAAATTATGTTCACATTCACTCCTATTGTTTACTGTTTTGCTTAATTGGCTATATTTCAATAATATTAAATGGTATTATTTTCTACCAGTTTTTAATCAGACTTGAAGCTTTTCAGGCACATTAGAGAGTAAATGGACTTTTGTGTGATAAATTGGGTACCTAATCACCAATTTTAATTTACTTCTGAGGAAAATTCTATTGTAAATTCCAGACAACTGGTTTGCAAACCCTGCTTTAGAATGCAACCTCTTTCTAGGATGAGGCCTTTTTCTGTAGCAAATTTCTGTATAACGAAAATACCAGAATAAATGCTGGGTTTTAATGGACAGTTATGCTCTACTACATTCATGAAAAATGTACTTAATTTACAACTCTACTGAACACAATTCAGTTTTTTCCTTCGTTCAGTTTTTTTTCATTTCAGTTTTTCTACTCTAACCCAGATTGAAACTTTGCATTATCTTTAACTTCTCTGTCTTTATATTTATTTCCTTCATTTAGTTATTCATTTTTTCAATCATTCATTCACTCACTCATTCAATAAATATTTACTGAGCATCTACTTGTTGTAGTCATGAAGCAAGGTTCTGAGGAATGTTAAAAAACACAGTCCCTGGCCGGGCACAGTGGCTCACACCTGTAATCCCAGCACTTTGGGAGGCCGACACGGGTGGATCACTTGAGGCCAGGAGTTCAAGACCAGCCTGGCCAACATGGCAAAACCCTGTTTCTACTAAAATTACAAAAATTCGCCAGGTGTGATGGCGTGTGCCTGTAGTCTCAGCTACTCTGGAGGCTGAGGCACGAGAATCACTTGAACCCGGGAGGCAGAGGTTGCAGTGTGCTGAGATGGCACCACTGCACTCCTGCCTGGGTGACAGAGTGAGACTGTCTTAAAGAAAAAACAAAAACAAAAAACATAGTCCCCGACCTCAAGGAGATTCTGTATAGCAGAGAAACACACAAGCCAGCATGCCATGATACATGGTACAATAAGATAATGGCTGCAACGGAGGTCTCTGCAAAGAGCAGCTGAGCAGAGAAGACCTATCTGGATCTGTTTGAAGGAGTCAAGAAAGAAATCAGAAAGGAGGCAGCTTTTCATCTGAGACTTAAAAAATCAGTTGGTGGCTGGGCGCAGTGGCTCACGCCTGTAATCCTAGCACTTTGGGAGGCAGAGGTGGGCAGATCACGAGGTCAGGAGATCGAGACCATCCTGGCTAACACAGTGAAACCCCGTCTCTACTAAAAATACAAAAAAGTAGCCGGGCGTGGTGGCACGCGCCTGTAGTCCCAGCTACTTGGGAGGCTGAGGCAGGAGAATCGCTTGAACCTGGGAGGCAGAGGTTGCAGTGAGCTGAGATTGTGCCACTGCACTGCAGCCTGGGTGACAGAGCGAGACTCTGTCTAAAAAAAAAAAAAAAAAAAAGTTTGGCTAGGCCAAAGAGCCAGGCAAGGCAGTTCCAAGTAGAGCAGACCACACGAAGGTGTGAGAGAACACAGTTTGTTCCCATAAGTTCTACCACTGTGGGTGGAGCTTCAAATGCAAAAGAGGAAACCAACTAGGAGATAACCCTAAGTTGGTGGGCAGGGAACTGAGCACTCAGGGCTTTGCCTGCCTCTCAAAAGAGTTTGTATTTTATGTGGGAAGTGAAGGAGCTATCGAAGGCTTTTGAACAACAGAGTGACCGCATCAGATTTGGTGGCAATATGGAGGCTGCTCTGGAGGGACGTGACCTGAGATCAGGGCTTCTGAACTTTATCCCTAGACTTGCAAGGGACCCATGGATAAGATGTCTGGGATCTGTGAACTTGGATTGGAAAAAAGCGTTATACTGTCATTTTCACTATCCTCTAAACTGAAATTTAGCATTTCCTTCAAATAAGAATCTAGGCAACGGATCACAGTAGAATTAACAGAAGATGTGAGTTTATCACCAGTAGAAATGCTCTGATAGCATATTACAGTTGTTGTAGGTATTTCAAAATATCTTTTACACTTATCACTAAACTGAAATTATTATAGATATTAGACTCACTGCCATAAATTGTTACTTAATGAATTAATAAAGAACATATATAACTGTGTGACAAATATAAAAAATAATTTGATATTTACATTTTAATATAATGTATCTTTTGTTTTTATTTTATGATTTAAGCACAGTATTCTGAGAAGGGGTCCATAAAAAAAGTCAAAACTCAACACACCAGAGGATGTGAGTCAAAACTCACATCACCAAAGGAACGTGATCGTTGAGGAGGTCAGTGTAGCCTAAGGCAGCGATGGGGAGAAGGAGGAAGAGGAGTTGGAAGAATTTGTGAGAAATTCTGGAGACAGTGAATTTTTTTTTTTTTTTTTGAGCCAGAGTCTCGCTCTGTTGCCCAGAGACTAGACTGCAATGGCATGTTCTTGGCTCACTGCAATCTCCACCTCCCAGGTTCAAGCAATTCTCCTGTCTCAGCCTTCCAAGTATCTGGGACTACAGGCATGCACCACCAAGCCTAGCTAATTTTTTTTTTTTATTTTTAGTGGAGAAGGGGTTTTGCCATGTTGGCCAGGCTGGTCTTGAACTCCTGACCTCAGGTGATCCACCCGCCTCGGCCTCCCAAAGTGCTGGGATTACAGGCGTGAGCCACCGCGCCTGGCCTGACAGAGTGAATTTGTTGATAGATCAGGGACATAAAGCAGGGGTAGGGGTACGCATAGACCCCATTTCCTCCAGCAGTTTTCTGGCTGGAGCAGAATGCTTATGCTTGCCACATGTGTTCCTTTCTTCCCAGTGCTATCATTATTTACCGTACAGCATGGTTTAAAACACGGAAAACATCCATCCTTTGCTTCCCTCCTCTGTGCCTGCCAGTCCTACACCTTTCTCAACTCTTTTAGTGTTATCTTCTCCAGCTAGACTGCAGATTCTGGGCAGGCAGTGCCTTGCAGTCTGCGACCCCATCATATATTTTTCACAGTTGATGTTGAATACATGACTGATAGATTTCAAAGGCATTTCCTGTTTTGAGGTCACCATGTACACCATATTCTAGTTACAGAAATTATACCAACCTTGACATTCTGGGAATTTTTTTTTTAAATTCCCATGGGTTCTATCATTTGTCTTCTCATAAAATAATACAAAATGTGCAAATAAAAAAATCCATATGCTTGGGCTTCCTGATTGTTTTTATTAAAGTGAGTTTAGTGATGGTGGGTTAAATAATGCTGTAATCTTAAGCCAGAAATTGAGAATATGGATTTGAAATGTCCCCATTCCCTTTTTTTGTTTGTTTTTGTTTTGTTTTGTTTGCTGTTGCATGTTCTTGGCAGCAGTGGTTGATGTCAGTATTGTTGCCCATGTTGTAGACTGCAGATGTTGCAGTGTAGCTTAGTACTTTGGTTCGCTTGCTGAAATTCCTCACTGTGCTTCTTATGAGGTCCAGGAACATATAGATTTGCAGTCTGATGTATTTTGATGATTGCCAGATAAAACTGATGTCTGGCACTTTTTCCAGGAGAAACACATGTAGACGTTTCCAAGTTGATTTGTAGGGACTTAGTGTTATTAGAACTTTGTGGCAAAACTTTTTCTCAAGTGGCAGAAGAAATAAAGGAACTTCAGTTTTGAGGGCTGTTAACAGCACTTCCATTAGTGGCAAAGCTGAGATGGTTGACAAAGTACTGGATTGTTGAGATGGACCTTCCAGGCCGGGTGTGGTGGCTCACGCCTGTAATCCCAGCACTTTGGGAGGCCAAGGTGAGCGGATCATGAGGTCAGGAGTTCGAGACCAGCCTGACCAACACGATGAAACTCCATCTCTACCAAAAATACAAAAATTGGCCTGGTGTGGTGGTGCGCGCCTATAATCTCAGCTACTCAGGAGGCTTGAACCCGGTAGGTGGAGGTTGTAGTAAGCTGAGATCGCGCCACTGCACTCCAGACTGGGTGACAGAGCGAGACTCAGTCTCAAAAAAAAAAAAGAATAAGCAAGTACTGTATTTGGACTTTTAAGCATTACTGATACAGTAAAATACAGTTTTAGCTACCGACGCAAGACTAGCACCCAAGATTTTAGAAAAAGGCACTTTTTCCCTTTTATTTTCCAATAACATTTCTCAATCTGGTAACCAGAGAGACTACTCTGGGATTAATTTGAGTCTGATTGCTGTTTACTGTTCTAACAAGAACAGTTTTTTTGGAGAGGAGAGCAGAGTTTAGGAGAAACGAACTATTAAAAGTTAGCTTCCCGTATGGGCGTGGTGGCTCAGGCCTGTAATCCCAGCACTTTGGGAGGCCGAAGTGGGCGGATCACGAGGTCAGGAGATCGAGACCATCCTGGCCAACATGGTGAAACCTGTCTCTACTAAAAATACAAAAATTAGCTGGGCGTGGTGGCACGTGCCTGTAATCCCAGCTACTCCGGAGGCTGAGGCAGAAAGAATCGCTTGAACCCAGCAGGCAGAGCCGAGATGGCGCCACTGCACTCCAGCCTGGGCGACAGAGCAAGACTCCGCCTCAAAAAAAAAAAAAAAAAAAAAAAAAAAAAAAAAAAAAAAGTTAGCTTCCCAGTGTACACATGAAAAGTACAATCCTTTTCTTCATTTATATTATAATTATTTGAAGAGCAAATTAGGTATTGTTAGTGAAGAAATGAGAGTGATTACCTGGTAATATGATGAGTTACTTTTTCTTTAAACTTACTGGCTTTTCCCTTAACACTAATGGTCTGGATAACAAGTTTTTACTTGTTGGCAGTGCAGTTTAGCCTCCGAACACTCTTGGAACAAAATGACTAATTTTTTTTAACGCTTTATTGAAATATAAATTTTAGGAGAGTAAACATTTTCGATTTGGAAGAAGTAGTTACGTTACAGACCTTCAAATCCAGCTTGTTCGGGAGACTTGACATTTAATCACTAGGCTAATGAAGCGCCAGAAGAGAGAGCTTTTATGGTTAGAAAGGGAGGTGTTTTTTAAAAAAAAAACAAACGAACAAACAAAAAAAAAAAAACAAGGCTCAGCCCGAGATACTGGAAGCGACTTGACCTTGATTTACATATACAAGGAACGGAAATGAATTAGCCCGGCTAGATATTTCTAGGAACTAGTTAAGGGAGAATGAACAAGATGGGAGCGAGGAGAAAGCGTGTGTGCGTTCGTGTGTGGCTGTCTGTCTGTCTGTCTGCGGCAAGAGGAATCTCAGAGTTTCGGTTATTTCTCCTTGAAGAATTTTCAAACGGAGTTCCTGCAGGGGCTGGCTCTAGCGTCTACGATGTGCACACACTGTCTCTCAAGAGGGAAGTGATCCTGGCGCCACGGGGTGATGCAGCAGAAGTTCTTTTTGTCTGTGGCCAGGGTAGAGTGCGGAGCCCCACGGAGCTGTGGCGTGGCGGCTCCTCCCAGACGCGTCCGGGGCGCCGCTCGGGTCTCCCAGGACCTTATGTAACCCAGCGTCGGCAGCAAGGAGCCGGTCACAGGCTGACCAACGTCAAGGCGTTTCACTTTGGAAGCGCACCAGATGAGTGTGGTATTGAGAGCAGACGGCTGGGTGCAATGTTTTTGCCGCATATCTCATGGGTTATTTTAATCTTTTCACGTAGTCTTAAGGGTCTCACTAGACCGTATATGAGAATGTGGCCAGGGATGTGGCTTCTATAGATTGTCCCAGATAAGAGCATCCCTTTTGTTTTTGTTAATGCAGGGTAAATACAACCTCTTCTTAGGAGCTAGTTTTTCAATTATTCTAAAAGTGATAACATGCTCATGGTTCAAAATTTAGTCAGTTCAGAAGTGCACAAAATGAAAAAATTGTCCAACTCCCGTCCCACTCCCCAGAGGTAACTATTATTAAAAGTTTCCTTTTTATTGTTCCAGAATTTTTTTAATGCAGTCGAAGCCTCTATTTAAATCATGTTTTAAAGCACACACAAATATTATTGTACTATACTTTCTGCTCTGCAATTTGCTTTTAAAATTTAATATTTGGACTCTCTATGTCTACCTTTCTCTCTATATATCTATTTATATCTTCATGGCAACATAAGGCTTTGCCTCATTCTTTTCAACAGCTGCACAATATTCCATGATATGAATGTACCATTACTGATTGAATCAGTCTCCTGCTAGTGGATATACAGGTTGTTCCCAGTTTCGTGCTATTACAAACAACGGTGCGGTACAAATCTGTGTGCTAATTGTTGCTGTGTGCTTATGGGAACATATATGTTGAGTACATTCTTAGAAGTGGAACTTTGGGGCCCAAGGGTACATGGCACTTAACATTTTAATAGATATTTACTTTCAAATCACATTCCCAAAAGGTTGTTCCCATGCATATTTCAGATGGAAATAAATTCTGTCTTTCAAGTTGTACACATAGCTGAGGGTTTTCCTTAAAATACTGTTCATTTTTAAACAGCATATTTTCCATTGAGATCGAATAAACTTGTTTATTTGCTAATTAATTGCCCTTGAAGTTAAATCTCTATTCTAGAAAAGATGTCTGAGAAACCTAGTGGAAAGGCCTCAACAACTTCGTCCCAGCCTTGATCAGAGACATTCACAGCTATGGGACAGGCACATGGCTCTATGCCTTGACTGTGGCTTCATAGACAGCTGTCTTTAAAAACCCTAGGGTAGGACTGAGAAAGCTTTTTTTTTTTTTTTTTTTTTGGTATGTGTAATAATATCATCTTCAATTAGTTCTGTTCAAAGGACATCGATTAAGCACAACTATAGTAAAAGTTTCTCCAGTTCCCTACTCTCTGTCCCCTTATCCTGGTTTCCTGCCTTCTCTCTCCCCTTTTGTGTTTGTTTCTTTTCATACCAGTTATCCTCTGCACCCACTCCTGACACCAGATTGGGTGGCCAGTTCTAGGAACAATGAAACTGATTTCCTACAACTGGAAGGTGGTTCTGGAGAGGGAATTAGCTTTGCCTAAGATTATTATCACGCTGACCCGACTCTATATCTAGATCCTGCCTCCAGTGGGATAGCTGATCTGCTATGACTCCCAAATGCCTAAAGCTCTCCGCCTACTCAGAAACACAGCATCTTCTTTAAAGCTCCAGAAGAGAGAGCTTTTATGGTTAGAGAAGGAGGTTTAAGAAAAGCAAACAAATAGGGCTCAGCCTGAGATACTGGAAGCAACTTGACCTTGATTTACATATACAAGGAACAGAAATAAATTAGATATTAGAATTAAATTAAAATCAAATTTTAATTTAGATTTGTATAGGTAAGACCTATTACAGATGAAGCCAGATACCAAGATATGTTTCAAAAAACATGTGGTTCACATTGCTATTAAATTGTTTATAAATGATCATAGTAGCATCCCAATTACCTTTTAGATTATAGCCAACTTTTTGGGAATTACAGGACTTTTACAAGTATTTTATTTCCCAAATTACCTGCTTATCTGGAAAATAACCCTAGTAAGACCAAGCCCACTCATCCTGAAAACTCATCTTAAATGAAGCCAAGTCAAGTCAGAATAAGATCTGGGTGTCAGCAAAAAGGAAAACAAACAAACAAAAATCAAACCGAACCACGCTAAAATAAAATAAAATAAATTTCCCATTTAAAGTCTGAATCCCTTTGGCTTTGTAAGCTACTGTTACCATACAGAGGCATCTGCCTTAAAATAAAGGAAATAAATCAAGAGCGTAGAAAACCTGTTTAATCAAAACTCTTAATTTCAAATCAGTGTTTCCATAACACATTACAAGCCAGCAGGAAGAGAGGGGAGGCAAAATGTGCAGTTCCATGATGTCCCCAAATAGAATGTTCACAACTGACAGGAAGCACCTGGGGGATTATGATTATTTGCTTTAGAAATTCAAAAATAAATTGTTTTTTGAAATAAAAAGGGAAGAACAAATCGGTTTCTCAGTTCAGGTTGTTTTTAACACTTCACACACATCCATTTTTATAATCCCAATTCAGAAGACAATGAATTCAAGTTAATAATGTATTTAAATTTAAGGATAATGCAGAGAATGTCAAAATAGAAAATTGCAATAGAACAGTTGAGCTGAACTCTGAGGCTCCTTTTCTTATTTTGACTCAAGTTGACCTTCAATATTATAGTACTTTCATTTTTACAGCTCTTTACATATTCTGTAAAAAAGCTTTTAAAAAGTGAAATGAAGATGTTTCTTAACTATTAAATTTCTATTGCCTAACTCTTTTAATTTTTTGAGTCCATTAAGACTTTAGAAGATATTCTTTCTCAAATGTGTCATTTAATTAACAATTTGCTAATGGCCTTGATAGGATTTTTCCATTTTTGTTTTCCAAATCAAGAAATCTCCATGTTCCTTTTATTATTTTCACTTTGTTTCTTTAGATATAATTCTTGTTTTTCCTGGATAATTAGTATAGAATTTATTTATTGTAGAGAACTCTGTTCTGACAGCTGATAATATAAATATATGTTTGACCCACATTACTAGAAAGAATGTTATGTAAGGGAGTTTGTCAGGGAATATCAGCTCTCGAACACTGGGAGTTCAGGGAAAGAAATGAATTTGTAGGTCATTGATCTTTGTGTTTTAAATAAGAATTAACCAAGAATTTTATGGTTACATAACCAGTACATGAACTAGTTTTTACTACATTTTGTTAATACATCGAATTGAATAATCCAATTCAAAACATAGGGTACCAATTCCTCTTGTCAGCAATACTTTGAAAGTAGGGATTTATTGAGAGTTCTTTTATTGCCTTGACTTCCTTACGTTTGTAAACTATGTGATGGGTATTACACTTAGATTTATTAGGGTACTTAAAATCTTGCCAAAATGAAACAATCTCTTTTTGTCATAAGTATTGCCGACTTAAAAGCATTTGTGAGGGGACGGGGGGTGATTTTGCTTTTGGAGTCTTACTCGTTACTGAAAATAAAATATGCTCAGCTTTTTCTTTTTCTAGTAGACATTTATTTTACTGAGTTCCACACTGATAGTTAACTTTAGGAAATGCTTCACATATTTTAACTAATTTTATGATTTAATTTTTAAAAAGGAGGTACATTTTAGAATTTTTTCCCCCTTTTAGATACCTGACTTACGTGTTTCTGAAGATAAATTGCAGATCCAGTCACTATAAATTCAGTTGAAAGACCAATCTTTCTACCCTTCTTTGTTGTTCTGATTTCAGAATTCCAGGCCAGTTTGTTGTCAACTTTAATGTACCTTTTGAGAAATAAATTGAGTCTCACATTTCTTGCATGTGTTTGTGCCCCTAGAGCTGGAATGCTTTTCTTCGGCCAACTGAAAGTAGAGCCTGCTCCTTCTCCTCTCACAGATTAAATCTGCTTTCATTCGTGTTAAATTCAGTTAGTTCATGACCAAAAGAAAAGACGTGCTCTCCTTTTTCTTTTTAATTTTAAACAACCACCATCTATAGTCTTCCTGTAGTTTTTGAGAGCTTCAAGTTATATAGCTATTTTTGACTTTGTGTTTGGTTAATCTAATAGAGTCTACATTTTTGGGAGGCATTTAATTTGTGATTATCCCTTATTGTAGTCTACAGAGTCACATCAACAAAATGAGCTGTTTTATTTTATTTTACTTTACTTTCTTTTCTGGTCTTTTTGTTTTGTAATTTATTTTTAAATTTATTAATTTGTTTTTAATTTTTTTTTATGTGATTCTTCCAGCTACTTTCCAGTAGCAAATAGAGGGCAAAAACAGTCATAATTTTATTGAATTTGCCTCACCCCTGTGTTTGCCCCTGTTCCTACTTACTCACAATTTAATACTTCTCAGAACTTTCACATTTCACCTAGCATGGAAACCTGATTGTTAAATGGTTGGATAGGACAGTGTGTAGGAGAATCCTTGGGATCAATAATAGACATATTTGGGTTTATTTCACAGGTATTAGGCTGTGTTTCTTGACTTTTAGTTGAGTGCTTACTCTTGCCAAATTTTATGCCATGCACTTTACATACATTATTTGATTTAATCCCCATAACACCATGCTTGGCATGAAACCACATAGTCTGTTTACATTTTGCAGATGAAGAAACTGAGGCTCAAAGAAGGTTAAAGTAGAAAGGCATCCCTTTACTAAGTGGCAGAGCCGAGATTTGAATCAGCTTATCTGATTTTAATACCTGATTTAATATTTAATATTTGGGATCTTAAGCTATGCCATGCAGCCTGAGTTACTAACTGGGAAGTCATGGTTATATCAGATTCCTAAGATAAGACTACCAAGAGACCCAGGCCCATGCATTTGATCTCTTGAATGTTCAAAGGAAACTGCAGGGGCTGGGCACAGTGACTCACACCTGTAATCCCAGCACTTTGGGAGGCTGAGGCGGGCAGATCACATGAAGCCAGGAGTTTGAGACCAGCCTGGCTAATATGGCAAAACTCCGTCTCTACTAAAAATACAAAAATTAGCTGGGCGTGTTGGCCTGCGCCTGTAATCTCAGCTACTTGAGAGGCTGAGGCATGAGAATTGCTTGAACCTGGGAGCTGGAGGTTGCAGTGAGCCAAGATTACACCACTGCACTCTAGACTGGGAGACGGAGCAAGACCCTGTCTCAAACAAACAACAACAACAACAAAGCTGCAGGTTCTGCAGGCCTTTCTGCCCTGCACCCTCCACCACCTACTACAAATTGTCTTTCTTCTTGGGGGCCTCACTTGTCTCATCTGTAAAATAGAAGTATTATTTCATGTGGTCTATATCTCTCCTTTAAAAGAACACATTTTTAAAAATTTCAAAAGAATTATAGATCTCAAAGGAAGTTGTGGAGATAGTACAGAGAAGGCCTGTGTACCTGTCACCCAGTTTCCCCCCAGTGGTTGGCTACATCTTTTGTAACTATAGCACAAGTAAACCAGAAAACTGATCTTGGTATAAAGTGTTTGTGTAGTTCTGTGCCATTTTATTACCTGTAGATTGGCGTAACCACCACTGAAATCAGGATACAGAACTATCATTACAAAGATCTCCTTTGTGCTACCCATTTATAGTGACTCCCACATTCCTAACCCTTTGCAGCTGCTGATTTGTTACCTATCACTATAATTTTATCATTTCAAATCCCTTTTTTTTTTGAGACACAGTCTTGCTCTGTTGCCCAGGCATGATCTCAGCTCACTGCAAAACCTCCTTCTCCTGGGTTCAAGCAATTCTCCTGCCTCAGCCTCCTGAGTAGCTTGGACTACAGTTGTGCGCCACCACACCCGCCTAATTTCTGTATTTTCAGTAGAGATGGGGCTTTGCCATGTTGGCCAGGCTGGTCTCAAACTCGTGACCTCAAGCGATCCACCCACCTCAGACTCCCAAAGTGCTGAGATTACAGGTGTGAGCCGCCATGCCCGAACTCAAATCTCGCTTTTAAAAAATAATTTTTTGTATTATGAAATAGCTCATCAGAAAAGTACAGGGAATATTGTAACAATACTTATGTAATCACCACTCAGCCATAACAGATAGCCAGATTTAATAAATATTGTTGTACTTCCTTTGCTGATTTATTTTAAGGCATCTTTGTCCTACTTTTTGACCCTACTGACCTCCTACCCTCCCTAGAGATAAACTCTACCCAAAAGTTATTGTATATCCTTCCTGTCCATGTTTTTTCTGTTTCACTGCATAACTAGGTGTCTACAAACACTATGTAGTTTAGCTTTGTAGGTTTTAAAAATTCACATAAGTCAACAAATATATATTGAGTGCCTACTGTGTGCTAGACCTCAGGAATATGGTAGTGAACAAGGCAAATCTTTTGTTCTAAATATGTAAACATTTGAATACATGAGATAATTGCAGGCATCTGTAACTGTGTGAAAATGATAATATAGGATATCAGACTGGCAGGGAAAGTGGGGAAGTGAGGGGATTGGCAGGGCACCGAGGAAACACGTTGCTGACGATACTGTGTTTTCGATCAAAACCTGATTGATGAGAAGGAAGAGCAAGTGTTGATGCCTTAACGTAAGGATGAGTTTGGTTTGTACAAGGAAGGGCAACAAGCACAATGTGGCTGGAACAGTGTAGACTCCAGGGAGGAAGTAGGAGATGAGCTCAGAGGGGTAGAAGGTGAAGGTGGGAGGAGAGGGGGAGATTAGGAAGGACCAAAGAGATGGCACCGAGGAGTTTGGGTTTTATTAAGGCTGCAGTGGGAAGCCATTGAAAGGTATAAGCAGGGTCATGCCATAGTTATGATATAGGGGATGGCATAAAAGGCATTCAAGTGAGAAGAGTTAGGACGCTGTTTCCATTTTCCAGGGAAGAACTCAACCAGAGGGATGGTGATACCTTCTATTAAGATAGAAAGACTTGATATTGATTTATCTGTCTGGATTTGCCTGAAGGATTCAACATTGTTTCAAAATTTACTTATGTTGATACTTTTAGATAAAGTTAACTCATTTTCATTGCTATGTATATTCCAATCTATGAGTACAGTATAACAAATTTTCTTTATCTATTAATTTACTTATTAGTAGATGTTAAAGAAATTCTAGCTTTTTTACTCCTGTACACAATTCTGCCAAAGCATCCTTACATAGAGAGGTTTGTGGATAGGATACTAGAGTTTCTCTGGAGTGTATATCTAGCAATAGAATTGCTGGGGTCTTTTTGATATGCTCATTGTCAACTTTGTCAGATAGTTCAAAATTGCTCTCCAAAGAGGTTGTACCAATTATTGTCCCTAGTGCCTAGCTGTTTATGAGAATTTCCATTTCCTCACCTCCTCAACAGTTAGTGTTAAGCTTTTAACCATTGCTGATCTGATGGATTTAAAATCATATGTCATTGTTATAATTTGCATTTCCTGCTTACTAGTCACTATTTTTTTTGACCATTTAGATTTAGATTTCTTTTCTAATTCCTATTCCTGTCCTATGTCCAGTTTGCTGTTGTGCTGTTTGTCTTTTTTTTTTTTTTTTTTTGAGACAGGGTCTCACTTTGTGGTCCAGGGTGAAGTGCTTACGGTAACTTCAAACTCAGGCTCAAGCAATCCTCCTGCCCCAGCCTCCCAAGTGGCTGGAACTACAGGCATGCACCACCACTCCTGGCTAGTTTTTAATTTTAATTTTTATTTGTATAGATGGGGTCTTGCAATGTTGCCCAGGCTGGTCTTGAATTCCTGGCCTCAAGTGATCCTCCCACTTTGGCCTCCCAAAGCGCTAGGATTACAGGCATGAGCCACTGTGCCCAGGCTGTTTATTCTTTTTGAGTTATAGGATTTCTTTACATATTCCAGGTAAACAATCCTTCGTTGGATTTTAAGCATTGATATATACATTGAAAAAACCTTTGTTGGCTTTTATGCACTACTGTGGTTTGAATGTATCCCCCAGAGTTAATCCCCAGTGCAACAGTGTTGAGGAGAGGTGGGACCTTTAATAGATGATTAGGTCATGAGGGCTCTGCCTTCTTAAATGGATTAATGTAGTTATAATGAGAGCGAGTTTATTATTTCAAGAGTGGGTTTGTTATAAAAGCAAGTTTGGCTTTCTCTTGCTCTCTTGCACATGCATGCTGTCTTGCTCTTTTGCCTTCTACTGTAAGATGATGTAGCAAGAAGGCCCTTGCCAGATGCTGGCACCTAGATATTAGATTTCCCAGCCCATAGAAGTGTGAGAAATAAAATTCTTCATATGTTACCCTGCCTCAGGTATTGTGTTATAGCAACACAAAATGGACTAAGACATGCACTGAAATAATTTTGTCTTCCAGTTTTAGCTTGTCTTTTCACTGTTTAAAGTAATGCTTTACATTTACAATATTACTGTAGTCAGATTTACCAATCTTATTCTTTACATTTTGTGTTTTCCTACCCTGTCATAAATATATTCAAGTTGTGCTTTTCACTTTAGTTGTTGAATTCACCTGAAAAAAAAATTAATAAATGGAGATAAAGGTATAGATTTAAAAAAAATTATTTTTCTTTTCTTTATGGAAAATGAACTAACCCAGTACCACTTATTGAACAGTCTTTTCCTTTCCCTACTGATTTTTAATGTTACCTTTGTAATATATCAAGTTTTCCATAAGCATGGGTCTGTTTATGAGCTCACTATTCTGTTCTGCTCTTCTATTTGTCCGTCTCCACACCAGTGCCATTCTTTTGTAATTACTATAGCTTTATAATAACTTTGCTATCTAGTGTGGTGAGTGGTTTTTGTTTATTCTTCTGTGTTATCTTGGCCATTTTTGATTCTTTACTCTTTGATACTAGCTTAAGGATCAACTTGTCAAATGCTGTGATGGGAAAATGTATAGATTTTAATTGTAATTACAATGAATTTATAGATTAATCTGAAAACAATTGCCATCTTTGAGCTTTTCCATCCCATACATGAACATGAATATCCTTTCATTTATAGAGATTTTTTTATGTACCTCAATCAAGCTTCACTTCATAATGATCTTGTATTTCCTTTGTTAAATCTGTTTATAAGTTACGTAAAGTTTTTTTTTTTTACTATTGTTAATGGAATCTTTTAAAATTTTGATTAAATAAAACATTTTATTATTTATTATTTTCATTTTTTTTTTTTTAGAGATGAGGTCTTGATCTGTCACCCGGGCTGGAGTGCAGTGACGTGATCATGGCTCACTGACGACTTAACCTCCTGGGCTCAAGGGGTCCTTTTGCTTCAGCCTCCCAAGTAGCTGGGACTACGATTGTGCATCACCACACCTGACTAATTTTTTTAAATTTTTTGTAGAGACAGGGTTTTGCTAAATTGCCCAAGCTGGCCTTGAACTCTTGCGCTCAAGTTATTCTCCTGCCTCGACCCCTGAAAGTGTTGGGATTATGGGTGTGAGCCACCTTGCCTGGCTGGAATCTCTCTCTCTCTCTTTTTTTTTTTTTTAAATATACCTTCTGTTAGTTTTGTGCTGGTATATGGGATCACTATTGATTTTTGGATATTCATTTGTATCCAGCGACCTTTCTGAATTCTTACTAATTCTAATAGTTTGTCTGAAGAGTCTGGAGTTTTTAAAAATTTCATATTTATTTATTTATTATTATTACTTTTTTGAGACTGAGTCTTGGTCTGTCACCCAAGCTGGAGTGCAGCGGTGTGGTCTCGGCTCACTGCAACCTCCGCCTCCTGGGTTCAAGGGATTTTCCATCCTTAGCCTCCCAAGTAGCTGGGATTACAGGCGCCCACCACCATGGCCGGCTTTTCAGTAGAGACTGGGTTTCATCATGTTGGCCAGGCTGTTGTATTTTTTGTAGAGACTGGATTTCACCATGTTGGCCAGGTTGGTCTCGAACTCCTGAACTCAAGTGATCTGCCCGCCTCAGCCTCCCAAAGTGCTGGGATTACAGGCGAGAGCCACAGCGCCTGGCCAAAGTCTGGATTTTTTAAATGTATTTGTTCATATTGCTTATAAGTAGCTATTAGTTTTCTCAAAGAACGAGCATTTAGATAATCTCTTTAAGTCTCTCTTCCAAACTCTGTGATATATGATTCTATTCAGTGCTTTTGTATCTATATATGGGTAAAAATTAAGCATGACCACTCATTCTTGGTACATTGCACAATATCTTGATGCATTATACAACTGTCTTTTTTTTATTCCTGCTTCCTATTCCTGTCTCTATTGAATTTACTAGAAAATTTTCACATAAACTTAGATTAAGATTTTAAAAATATATAGCAAAAGTAAAAATCTTTAAGAGATTTAACAACCTTATATCACTTGCTGATGACCATCAGCATGTACAGTTACTGACAGTGTGTGACTATAGACTCAAACACATTCTAGACATATTACAGATTGCAAGATGGGGCCAAGAAAAAACAAGAAAAAGAGAATTATGTCAGTCCTTAGTATTTGTTTGTTTTTTTAAATACAAGGGCTTGCTGGGTCGGCCAGGCTGGAGTGCAGTGGCGCGATCACAGCTGCCTGAAGCCTCCATCTCCAGGGCTCAAGCAATCCTTCTGCCTCAGCTTATCCTAGACTACAGGTGTGTGCCACTCCACCTGGCTAACTTTTTTAAAAATTTTTATTTTTAGTAGAGACGAGGTCTCACTATGTTGCTCAGGCTGTTCTCGAACTCCTGAGGTCAAACAATCCTCCTGCCTTGGCCTTTCAAGGTACTGGGATTACAGGCATAAGCCACTGTCACTGGCCAATCCTCAGTATTTGTAGCATATACATACACATGAAAACCACACATATGAATGTATGTGTATGTATAAAGTCATGTGACCTGTACAACATATCGGCATGAGAATGTGTGAACGTGCTTCCTGTTCACATGTACTCCAGGAAATGGAACCAGTTTCCAATTAAGATTCAAAGGTATATGACAGGTCTACAAGAGACTTTGGGAGATATTATTTCAGAGTTGAGTCCACTTCACCAGGCCTTTCAGACCAGGAGTGGCTCAAATTTGGGTAGTACTCACCACTTAGGATTATGGTCAGGGCAGTTCACAGGGTGCTTCGTAACAAAACTCCCCTTCACTTCTCAGCTCCCAGGAAAGAAGGGGGCTCTTTCCTGCCTCAGAGCCCTGCATTCTGTAATCCACTAAGATACTCACCTTGACTCTGCGAGGAGAGGGTGGTGACAGGGAAAACACAGAAGTCAGTGAACTCATACAACTCACAGCCAGGTTGTCATCTGGGTCCTTTCCATCTTTGTAGTTTTCTAGGTGAAGTAGCTGACAAAGGGCCTGGCCTAGAGAGCGCTGCTGGGCCTGCTTTACTGGGTTGTCCAAACTTCCCTGGAGTGAGGTCCATTCAAGATGTGGGCTCAACTAAGAGGAAGTTACCAGACTATTTAGTCCACTGCCGAACCTTGGTCCGAGACCAAGTCGTAGCTGTTCCCCGAAGCTATGAGAGTAAACACTGCCTCCTATTTTTAGTAGTTAATTGCTTGCAAAAAATAGCTGGAAATCCAGACCTTTAAGTCTCAGCAGCCTTTAGCTTCACAGACCGTCCTGTGGCAACAACAATCTTAACAACAACAGTAAAAAAACCACTAACACTTACCTGGGGTCACTGTGTGCAGGGCCTTGTGCTATATGCATTGTTTTGTTTAATCCTCAGACTGAGTGGTCATTGTTATTATCCCTATTTTTTTAGGTGGGAAAAAGAAGACTCAAAAAGGTTAGGCCCTCTGCCTCAAGTCACACAGCCCTTCAGAAGCAGAACCAAGCCCAGTCCAAGTTAGTACAGCCTAAGGCTACAGCCTACGGTTTTGACCACTTCTCTTTCCCACCTTTCCACATCCCATAATGGCATCCATGGTGGGATGTTTATTACATGGATCTGGTCCAGTTTCCTCAAAGCACTTTCGTTGATAAACTGGACTCAATCAAGTTAAATAAACAAGAGATTATTACCTTTATTATTTTTTTTAAAGCCATTAGATTTACAAGTTACCTTGTCTTCCTCCTCATGTTCCCTTTTTTACAGAGAAACCCGGTATTTTTCCAGTGCAGTATTATTTGGGGTAATGCTTGACAATTTAAAGGGCACGCAGCAGTTGTGTGGAATGTAGTCTGAAAATGGCCAATAAAACCATCAGAGTATGAGCAAGCTCCAGGGTGGAACCAGAAATGTGGCCGCCTGCTCCTTGGGCTGATTGCTTTAGCAGAAAAATCAAGTTCAGGATCCTGTGTTTACTGAGATGATTGGCATGTATTATCAGAGTAGCTGCACCTGGAAGATTTCCGACTTAAATCTATTGACTTCATGTAAATGGCATATGGAAAACAACAAATGATAGTTTGGTTGCCAAATAAAAGTACACAGAACACCCACATGGAGGCAACATGCTTGTTTCTATTTTGACAGCTCTCAGAGGGAAAACGTTGCGGTGTTGGCCTCTTCCTGGTGAGTCCTCATTGGGTATATGGGTATAAAAAAGCTTTGAAACATCCTTTGCTCCTACTCTTCTGCACTCATAGATTCTCAAAAAAACAAACAAAACAAAACAAAAAAAACAAGAAAAATAGTTTTTCTCACTGTTAATCCTCTGATGTGGAAAGAATGTGAAAAGCAGACGACATTCTTACATGAATAAGCCATATATAAATGAAATATTGGGCAATGCCTATTTAAAAAAATTAACACCCAATAATCTGCATTTTTATTCCCCAGACCAAGCAGAAATGATTCATTTTATCCTAATCTAATATTTTTATGCTTGAGTTTTATTGTTCAAATTAACAACAAAAACTACAATAAAAATGTAGTTTTGTCAGAAGAATGATTTTATAGGCACAGTTATGCCTGCCAAATATACCTAAACTCAATGTTTTAAGAAAAAAAACTGTGGTGGGTATTTTAGAAAGTTAGACTTACATTCGTAAAGTGTTTGGTCACCTATTAACATATGAGCAAGTTCAGAATTTTTGCATGTTGGGTTTTTTCTTTTTCTTTGCTTTTATTTATTTATGTTTTTTTGAGACAGGGTTTCGTTTTGTCGCCCAAGCTGGAGTGTAGTGGTGCGATCACAGCTCACTGTAGCTTTGACCTCCCGGGCTCTAGTGATCCTCCCTCCTCAGCCCCCATCGTAGCTGGGATACAGGTGCACGGCCCCACACCTGGCTGATATTTTTTTCTTTTTTGTAGAGACAGGGTCCCACTATGTTGCCCAGGCTGGTGTCAAACTCCTGGTTTCAAGCGATCCTCCTGCCTTGGCCCCCGCAAAGTGCTAGGATTACAGGTGTCAGCCACTGTGCCGGCCTGGATTTTT
Source organism: Homo sapiens (assembly GCF_000001405.40). Classification (NCBI taxonomy): domain Eukaryota; kingdom Metazoa; phylum Chordata; class Mammalia; order Primates; family Hominidae; genus Homo; species Homo sapiens. The sequence goes on from NC_000012.12 coordinate 93,604,970, forward strand.
TTTTTTTTTAAGTTGATTGCTCACATGTATAGGGTAAAATTTTTAGGAAATAAGCAGCCATGCCCACTCCCCACTCCTGCCCCAGTAGTCTTGTAATGTTATATGTCAAAGCAGCTCTCAGTGCTTTTACATTTTCTTACTTTTAATTTAAAATTGTGTTTATAATGTATTTCAAATATACAAAAAGCACAGAGCACAGTAATTACCAATGCCACCACCACCACCCACATTTAACAAGGATAGTTGTTGCGGCTTGTCTTTATCGCTCTCTTAAACGAGCAAGTTGCCGAGTGTTACACACACTATATAACTAACGTATATAAGATAAGAAATTACCCCAAAGTCTACTATGTATTGCTTATGGATACTTATACTTCTTAAGACATAAATACACAATGGGGAAAATACTTAACCACTCCTGAAGGGCCATTACCTGTCAGAAATTGGGTGGATGAGGCCAGGGGCTTCAACCATACCTGTGAAGCCTTATTTTTAAAAAAAGTCATCTGAGGTGAATATGGGAAATGTTAATAGTTGTTGATCCCTGGAGATTTTCAGTGTAAAGCATATGGTGAGACAGTTTGACTCTTCAAGCAGAAACTGGTCCCTTAGAAATGCACCTCCTCCGCCAATCAGGCACATTTGTAATTAACAAAAAGGAATTATGTGAAATGACTACAAGTGGATGCCTCCTGCATGCATTTCTATGGTATGAATATCACTTGAGTCAGGTAATGGGGAAAAAACAAATGTAAAAGAAAGGGAGCAGGGAAAGGAAATGTACTTCAAATTGTGTCCTTCCTAATTTTATTCTGTCTGACACTCTTCTGAGGGGCAGTAGAGGCAGAATTCATAACCTCCACCATCATCTTCATAATTGATATTTACTGAGTTCTTTATAATGTGTCTGTCATTGCCAAGTACTTTACTTCAGATATTAGACAGGGTATAGTTTCATATGCCTGAACAGAGACCCAAAGTAACAGCAGCTTAAACAAGATAGAATTTTATTTCTCACTCACATGACAGTCTGGACATATGTAGTCCATGACTGATATGATGGTTCCACGTGGGTCAAGGATCCAAGCTCCTCCTATCTTGTTGCTCTGCTCTTCCTAGAGTATCGCCCTTTTACTCATGACCCAAAATGGCTCTTGACTCTCCACTACAACATCTAGTTGTTGTTTATATTTCACTGGCCAGAATTTAATCATGTGAGTGCATCTGGCTGCAAGGAAAGCTGGGAAATTTGGTCTTTGTTCTGCACAGCTATGGATGGCAGCCATAAAAATTGGGGTTCTATTCCTGTAGAAGGAGAAGAGATGGATATTGAGGGCCACTAGAAGTGCCACAAGTGGATAGTTTCTATTAATCCTTCTGACACTAGGAGTCAAGCCCAAGTTACCCCATTCAACACATCAGAAAAAGACTAGGTCAAATGCTGTAGGTCACACAGTTAATACTTTGTGGAACTGCTGAGGTGTGGCTTTATTTTTGTTCCTTTTTGCTTTTGCATCTAGTTTGCTGAGAAGCTCTAATACTAGGATCAGGGCTGAGAGTTCTTGGCCTCCTTGGGATTACCATACCTCATCAGTGTTTGCTTGATTTCATCACACCTTTTAAAACAATTATCCAGCAAGGCACTTTGTGGTGTGTTCTTTAGAGTTGAAAACAAGCACACATTTAATTGTTTTTGTTTTTGGGACAGGGTCTCGCTCTGTCACCCAGGCTGGAGTGCAATGGTGCAATCTTGGCTCACTGCAACCTCTGCCTCCCAGGTTCAAGTGATCCTCCTGCCTCAGCCTCCTGAGCAGCTGGGACTATAGGTGCCCACCACCACACCCAGCTAATTTTTGTATTTTTAGTAGAAATGGGGCTTTGCCATGTTGGTCAGGCTGGTCTTGAACTCCTGGCCTCAAGTGATCCACATGCCTTGGCCTCCCAAAATGCTGACCTTACAGGCGTGAGCTACCACAACCGACCCATTTAATTTTGTTCAAGGAATTCTGTGACACTTATTTAGCAGTGGGTAGTACATTTGGGTGTTGCCTAATCAGAACTGGGGACCTAGACCAGGGAAATATCATTCTATAGTTTGATTCAGATTATACCTGGCTTCTGGTTAGGCTAGAATATGTGCTCCCAAAATCTTTTAAATAAGGACATCCTTTAATAAAATATGTGTTCTTTTTCTATAACATCTTTTTCTGAGCCCTATCTTGAGACCATAGACTATCTCCTACATATTAATAAAAGATGGCAGATTTTCTAGGAATGGTTTTATTTGAAGGAGAAAAAAGTAGCATTGAAACCAGCTTTTGCTTTTCTACATCCTCCAACCACTGGCATCTTCCATGAAACACAATTTGATAAGGGAGTGATCCCTTTTTTCCACTCAGAGTACAATTTCCAAGAGATGGCATGTGCTGAAAACAAAACTTAAAAAGGGAACCTGGTTCCTGAGAGTTCACATTTGACATTTTTCAAGGTCATGCCAGATAAAAAGGATACACCCCAGGAAGAAGAACACAAGATACCTGCTGTAGCCCTCTGCCTTTGGAAACGTTAAAATTGAAGTCATTGCATGGTGCAATACTGGAGTAAGGAATAGGGTGAGGCAAATGAGGCATTCACTCCTGACAGCAAAATTCACAGGGGTGCCAAGCAAAATTCACAGGGATGCCAAACCCTTTGTAATCAAAATCAATACTATTTTAATGCAATAGTTGAAACTTCATGACGAGCAAATATCAATATTTTAAATAAAAATACGCTGTCATTTGTTTGTTTTACCATTCTGCATCATCGTGTGATGGGAACAGTCATTTCCAGTCAGCCTGAGGGTCCTGGCCCCCTGGAATACCCCTCACTGTGTGGATTTATGAGGATTGACAATTGTGAGAACAGACTGTATGATGTGGGGCTTTATTACAGTTACGGCTTCTAAAAAATTTATTCTCAACTTTATGGAAGAAAATTAGTCTGTCAACTAAATTTTGTTTTTAGTAGTTATGGATTTTGACTGTAAATCTTTTTTTTTTTTTTTTTTTGAGACAGGGCATCATTTATCACCCAGGCTGGAATGCAGTGGTGCAATCATAACTCGCTGCAGCCTTGATCTCCTGAGCTCAAGTGATCCTCCTGCCTCAAACTCCTCAAACTCCATGTGCCAACATGCCTGGCCCTTTTTTTGTTTTTTGGTTTTTTTTTTGGTAATGACAGGGTCTTGTTACATTGGCCAGGCTGGTCTCGAACTCCTGTCCTCAAGTGATTCTCCCACCTTGGCCTCCCAAACTGTTGAGATTACAGGCATGAACCACCATACTTGGCAATGTTAAGCTTTTATTAATTTTTCTCACTTGGCTAAAAATACAGAAGGATATTTTGATGAATGTATATAGGAGGGCACATTTTTCTTTTGCTCCTGGCTCTAATGTGGCTCTACAGAGCACTGTTCTGGACCTCTGAGAAGCCTGTTCTTCATGCTAGATGAGTCATGGCTCATCTAGGTTCTATTTTCAGGATGACATCACTTACTAACTCTGTGACCTTGGGGCCTCAGTTTCCTCATCTGTAAAACTGAGGATGATATTACATAGTTCATATACATATACTTCATATACATGCAGCACTATAGAACATGATGTAAGCACTATATAGACATGACATAAGCAATGTTGAACTATGTAAGTATTAGCAATTTTTGGTATTATTTCTGACAATGCGATGTCTTATTTATTGCTATGCCTTCTACCTTCTAAAAATCACCTCCTATATCACATTAAATCATCTCCCATTCCCTGATGGGATGCATCCCACTCGGTGCAACATCAGTTTAATGGAACCACCACAGGCTCTGGAAAGTTATATCCCTGAACCCCAAAATACTCAGCTTAATTGGTGTTCCTTTAAGCAGGTCACTAAGTTCTCTAAATTTGAATTTTCTAGATGAGGATAAAAATACCTACTTTCCAGGGGTAAGTATTTACCTTAATAAACACTGTAAGAGGCCAAGCATGCTGGCTCATGCCTGTAATTCCAGCACTTTGGGAGGCTGAGGCGGGCAGATAACTTGAGTTCAGGAGTTCAAGACCAGCCTGGGCAACATGGTGACACCCTGTCTCTATTTAAAAATAAATAGGCCAGGTACGGTGGCTCATGCCTGTAATCCCAGCACTTCGGGAGGCCGAGGCAGGCAAATCACCTGAGTTCAGGAGTTCGGGACCTGCCTGACCAACATGGCAAAACCCTGTCTCTACTAAAAATTCAAACATTATTTGGACGTGGTGGTGTGTGCCTGTAATCCCAGCTACTCGGGAGGCTAAGGCAGGAGAATTGCTTGAACCCGGGAGACAGAGGTTGGGGTGAGCCAAGACTGTGCCATCACACTCCAGCCTGGGCAACAAGAGTGAAACTCCATCTCAAAAATAAATAAGTAAATAAATAAATAAAGACTGTAAAATTTACTTATTTAGATAAAGTATTTTATTAATTTATTAATTTTTATTACCTTAATAATAAATTAATTACATTGATTTACTTAAATATTACCTTAATAATAATTATTTATCTTAATTTATTACCTTATTATTTACTTTAATTTATTACCTTTATTATTTGGTAATAATAATTTGTAACTATGGGAATAAATAAGATCAGAGATAAAATAGAGAGCATCTATTCAAACACTTGAGCTGTAAAGGATGATCAGTAAATATTGGTTTACTTAAAAGCAGTAATTTATGACTGTTCCCTAGGGATCTGTGGAAATCTCCAGTGGAATCTTCAAACATGTTGCCTACTGTCTTAGTTTGTTTTGTGTTGCTACAACAGAATACCACAAACTAGGGTCATTTATAAAGAAAAGAAATTTATTTCTCACAGTTTAGGAGGCTGGAAAGTCCAATGTCAAGGTGCTGATATCTGGAGAGGGCCTTCTTGCAGTATCATCCCATGGTGGAAGGTGGAAGGGCAAGAGAGAACAAGAAAGCAAGAAGGGGCTGAAGTTGCTTTTAGAAGAAGCCTATTGACATGGTAATGACATTAATTCATTCAAGAGAGCAGAGCCCTCATGATCTAATCACCTTTTAAAGGTCCCATCTCCCAACACAGTCGCACTGAGGATTAAGTTTTTAACATATGAACTTCAGGGAATACGTTCAAACTATAGCACCCACCATATTATATTAATTGTAAAATATCCACACATATGTTACAACAGTCGTTCTCAGACTTTAGCACACATAAGAATCATGTGGAGCTAGGGCAACCAAGTCATCTCAGATTGCCCTGGACTTTCCAGTTTTAGCACTAAAAGCCCCTCATCCCAGGACACCCCTCAGTCCCGGGCTAACCTGGATGGTTGGTCACTCTGCCTGGAGGATTTGTTCAAACACAACTTCCTGGACCCCCACCTTTAGAGATTCTGATTCATCAGGTCTGATCTGAAGGGGAGCCTGTGAGTTTGTATTTCTGACAAAGCTCCCAAGTGCTGCAGGGGTGTCTGAGACCACAGTTTGAGTAACATTGTGCTATGACTTGAATCCATGTGTTCCTCCAAAGTCCATATGTTGAAACCTAATACCCAATGTGGTAATATTAAGAAGTAGGGCCTTTTGGAAAGTGATTGAGTCATGGGCACTCCAGTTCATGAATGGGCTCAGTACTCTCGTAGAAGAGGTAGAAGGGAGTGCCCTAGTCCGTTTTTGCCCTGCCATCTCTTTTGCCATGTGAAGACACAGTGTTCATCCGTTTTCTGCCCTTCCACCATGTAAGAACATGGCCATAAGGTGCCATCTTTGTAGCAGAGAATGGACCCTCATCAGACACTGAATCTCCTAGATCCTTAATCTTGGACTTCTCAGCCTCTGAAACTATGAGCAATGAATTTCTGTTGTTTCTAAGTCACCCAGTCTAAGGTGTTTTTTTAATAGCAATAGGAATGGACTAAGACACACTTTCACAATATCATACTAATGGCCATACTTGGTGTTTTATTTCTAAAAGTTGAGAATTGCTCAATTTTTAGAACTCCACAGGGTTCCTTACATCCCTAGGAGGCTGGTGTTTTAACTCTCATTTTATAAATCTTCAAGGAGGTGTCCTAGTCCCCCTAGTTTCCTGGCCTAGACTGGCCAGGAGATGAACTTCTGGCCAGTTATTACCATAGATCTGCAGTGGACACATAGAGACTCAAGTGGGGACCTCTGCTGAGCAAATTTTGCTTACATATCCCTTTTCTAATTAGGAACTGTCAAAAAATGATTTTTTTTTCTTTTTGAGACAGGAGACGGAGTCTCACTTTGCCACCCAGGCTGGAGTGCAGTGGTGTGATCTCAGCTCACTGCAACCTCCACCTCCTTGGTTCAAGCGATTCTCCTGCCTTAGCCTCCTGAGTAGCTGGGATTGCAGGTGTGTGCCACCACGCCCGGCTAATTTTTGTATTTTTGTAGAGACGGGGTTTCACCATGTTGGCTAGGCTGGTTTCTAACTCCTGACCTCAAGTGATCCGCCTGCCTCGGCCTCCCAAAGTGCTGGAATTATGTGCATGAGCCACCTCGTCTGGCCAAGAAGCAATGTTTGCTTTGCAGACGGCATTATTTCAACAAATTTCACACCATCAGCTATAGCAACCAAAGCACCTAATTGCTTACCAAAAATGTATTTAAAAAATTCTCTTTCATTACACTGTAATTATTGGCAGCCCCAGGAGTCATATTTTATTCTGATTTTATGTTTCAGCACAATTTATCCAATTTCTGCAGTCCCCAAAATGCAGAATTGCTAAATGATTGCAGAAATAAACAAAATCTAATATTTTATTGTATTGTTTCAATAATCAGTACTATTATGTGTACATTTGGTAAGACTTCCTTTGATATTCAGTTTATATTGATTTTTTTTTTCATCTATCACAAAGGAGGCCTCCGTTGGTTTGCTTCTCTGTTTTCTTTACAACTCCTCCCTCTGCTCAGAGAACTGCTTTTTTTGTTTGATCAGCCCCCATCTACTGGTTATACTTTTGATTGAATTCTCAGTCAGGCCTTGTCATTTCTGGGATTGGAGCTTTTCCATGTAGCTCCAGGGAATGTTGTTCTTTGATTCCAGGAGATGCTAGAACGACCCTGTGAGCAACACCTACTTCATGGGGTTGGAAGCAAAATAAAAGGATGTATCTAAACTGCTAAACATGAGACCTGCCCATTTTGCACTAAAAAAATTTCTCTGATCTGTCCATTTCCCTTCACACTTCCTCCCAACCCACTGCCTTTCCATGAATACTCCCCCTGCCTGAAATTCAACCTCTCCTGCAGTCTAGGTTGATTCCTCCATGGTACTTTTCCATGGTATCATGCACCTGTCCTTTGGAGCACCAATCACAGTGCCATTGTACTTTTTTTTTTTCTGTGATTACTTCATGGCTGTCTTCCTCCTCTACACTGAGGACAACACTGAAAGGTCATTCCATATTTACAACTCCTTGTGAGGCTGGCCCAGGCTTCCTTTGAACCAGTTTCATATTTTGGCATTGTCCCCTGCTCAATCCTGCTATCTTCACTTCTTTCCATGGTGTTAATCCTAAGTGTACTCCCTAAAGCAAACTATGCATTCTAATCTCTGTCTCAGAATCATCTTCCTAGGGAACCCAACTTGTGCCATGGTACTCCCAACATAGGGAGGAATTGTATTGTTTTTTTCCAATTGTGTATATTCTCAGTCTATCATAGTCCCTGGCACCAGGAGGATGTCAGCAGATAGCTGTGAAATGAATGAACAAATGAATCAATGAATCAATGGTGGTAGTATCATTGGTAATTTCTGTTTTATGCCCCACCCTTCTCCTTTCTTTAAAGGCAATGTAACCCCTACACGGGAATTTCTTGGGTTTCTGCCCAGGGATCTATTTTACTCCTCTTCATTTCCTTCCCTTTTCCCTTTTACAGCCCCTTTTTCTCCTACCCCTCCCTTTTGTAAAATCTCTGCCTAGCAATAGCTCTTAGCTGTAGCTAAGGAGTGAGGAGGAAGCCCAAGGAAAGTGGCTGAGAGACAAAGACGGAAAACAGCTAAATTAGTTTAGAGGCCAATTCAGGAACTCCGGCACTTCTTTCTATCAGAGCCTGTGTGGAGCCCTGCAAGAAAGGGCAATGCCAAGGAACAGAGGAAGCCAATATCTGAAGGCTCTGCTCATTGCATGGCTTTCCGAAGGTATTTTCTCCTTTTGAATGAGAATAAAGAGCCTTTTAAAACAACAAAGCTTCTGTATAAATAGAAAAAAGGGAGAACTCACATTTTCAGTCCATATGAAAAATAGCCTCTTCGTTAGTAATTTCTCATCCTCATGTACAGCCTACTGCGGTCAATGCTTTATTTCTGCAGCCCTGTTTTTTGTTTTTATGGTCCTTTTTTTCTTTTTCTTTTTGCTCCTTCCGCCCCTCCCAGAAAAAAAAACCAAAAACAAAAACAAACAAACAAGCAAAAAAACAGATTCAAGCTAGAAGACTTGAGTTTGAGACCTAGTTCTACCACTTTAGTAGCTGCATACTGTCTCCGAGCCTTAGTTCTTTATCTGAAGGTGGGCATTTGTTAACCAGCTCACAGAGACGGGCTACTGAGAAGCTCAAATGAAACAACGGATGTGAACAAGCTTTAAGAATTGTGACACTCTAAAGAGAAATTGTCATTGCCACTTAATTTTTAGTGAAACGGAACAGCATGCTGAATATAGTTAACAATTGAGTACTCTGGCTTTCAATATTGGTTAAGAAAGTAACTTTCTAATGTTCTCATCACAAAAATGTTAAATATTGGTGGCAATAATATATTAATTAGCTTAATTTAATCACTCCACACTGTAGTCAAAATCATAACACCACTTTGTACCCCATCAACATATACTACTATAGCGTGTCAATAGGCAATAAAAAAATAAAAAGAAATTTAAAGCTGGTACCCTCCCAAAAAAGAATAGAACACACTTCAAAGCCAAGTATAAAAGGTTTTTTAATTATTCCTCATTTTGCATGATGTTTGGCAAAGGTCCTTGTTAGCCCACATGATTAGGAATCCACTTTACTTGGAATGGACTGAGAATGTCAAACTTCTAGGTTAACCAGCCATTTTTTTTTTTTCATTGATTCATTGATACATGACAGACTTGGAAGCCACTCGCTCTCTCAACCAGGGTTTTGGGTTGATCAAGTAGATGTTATTGTCACAGCTCAATGAATACTTCTTATTTCTCATCTGCCTAAGGCAGCCCTGGTGTTCAAACATATCCTTGTTTTTCCTCCAAACACACGATGCTCTGAGAATTTACACCATTAGGAATAATCTCCTACCCTCAACTCTGGGTGTATAGGGATTCAAGATTTCCTTTGTATATAGCAATTTTCCTTCTTTCTTTCTTTCTTTCTTTCTTTCTTTCTTTCTTTCTTTCTTTCTTTCTTTCTTCCTTTCTTTCCCTTCCTTCCTTCCTTCCTTCCTTCCTTCCTTCCTTCCTTCCTTCCTTCCTTTCCTTCCTTCCTTCCTTCCTTCCTTCCTTCCTTCCTTCCTTCCTTCCTTCCTTCCTTCCTTCTTTCTTTCTTTCTTTCTTTCTTTCTTTCTTTCTTTCTTTCTTTCTTTCTTTCTTTCTTTCTTTCTTTCTTTCTTTCTTTCTTTCTTTCTTTTGATGGAGTCTGGCTCTAATGCCCAGGCTGGAGTGCAGTGGTGTGATCTCAGCCCACTGCTACCTCTGCCTCCTGGGTTCAAGCGATTCTCCTGCCTCAGACCCCGAGCAGCTGGCATTACAGGCGCCTGCCACCATGCCTGGCAAATCTTTCTATTTTAGTAGGGATGGGGTTTCACCATGTTGGCTAGGCTGGTCTTGAACTCCCGACCTCAGGTGATCCATCCGCCTCGGCCTCCCAAAGTGTTGGGATTACAGGCATGAGCCACAGCGCCCGGCGCCTTGTATGTAGCAATTTTCTATTTAAAAAAAAAAAAAAAAGACAGACTGATAAGGGTCATTGAGCAGCCGGCAAAGGATCCTAGGGAGAAATTGTCATTGCCACTTAATTTTCCAGGCCCTGTTTGGGATCTCCTTCTTTGGGATGACTTCTCTGAATCTCTCCTTATCTCCTCATGCCTTAACCCTCTCCCCCACTGGGATAGGTGCCCCTTTTCTGAGCTGCCTTATCATCCTGCCTCTGCCCTTGCTTGACATTCTGAATTGTTCATCAGTGATCTACTTGTCTGCACCCACCTCAAGACTGTTGTTTTAGAGAGCAAGGACTTTTTTTGGTTCATTGTTCATTCCCAGAGTCTAGTACAGCTCTTGAGATGTAAGAATTACATCATAATTGTTGGTTGAGTTTATCAATGAATAGATGCTTCAGATTCCATCCGTTTCTCTCCACTGGCACCAATCTCTCTGGCTTGTTTTCCTGTGACATTCCTGGGCAGGGATCCTGCAGAGTAGATAGAAAAGGCCTGTGTCTATCATGGAACTTGTCCCTCCCAATTGGCTTGTACAGGCAGTTATGTCACTACAGATCCTCATTTTAATTGGATTAAGGTATTCTCCTCTGAGAAGTGAAAACAGCATATAATTTACAAGGGATATTAGGTGGAGTTATAAAGTGTGAAAGTATTTGTTCTGTTTTGTTTGAGACAGAGTCTCGATCTGTCACCCAGGCTGGAGTGCAGTGGCACCATGTCATCTCACTACAACCTCCACCTCCTGGGTTCAAGCGATTCTTATGCCTCAACCTCTGAAGTAGCTGGAATTACAGGCATGAGCCACCATGTTCAGCTAATTTTTGTATTTTTAGTAGAGACAGGGTTTCACCATGTTGACCAGGCTGGTCTCAAACTCCTGCCTTCAAGTGATCCTCCCGCCTCGGCCTCCCAAAGTGTTGGGATTACAGGTGTAAGCCACTGAGCCTGGCCTAGAGTGTGAAAGTAGAAAGGACCTTAGAGGTTACAGGATCCATCCCTCTTATTTTACAGATAAACCAGGCTCAGAGGTGGAAAGATTTGTCCAAGCTCTCATGATTAATTCATGGCTAAGGAAGATATCCATTGCTTTAGCCTGCCTCAGGCCCTGTGGGGAATCAGCCCTTCCCACTCTTGGTCCTAGCATTTTGGCTGGTGCTGACTTTACTCCCAAATCCAGGATGAGCATGAGAACTAGGCCTCTTCAATCAGAGCACCAGGACTTATGTTCCCAGAAGGCCAATCAAAGCCAGTGAGACATGATTTCAGGACATTGGAAAGAGAAGTTTATGTGCTCCATTGGGGTTGCTGAGAGGATGAGATTCAAGCTTGAGACTGTAGACAGCCATCTTGTCACCAGAGGCAGACAGCCAAGGGAAGCAGTACCAAGAGATGGAGAGAATGAAATCCAGTTTTCTTGGTTTGGCACTGAGGTCTCTCATAATGACATCATTGGAGACCCTGATACAACCATGCCTGACCTCTGATCTCTGTAGGAGCTAATTAATTACTGGGGTTTCTGTTTATTTCTTGCTCAGTCAAGTTTCTGTCACTTTCCACTAGTTAGCCTAAAGAATTCAACATTAGACCTAGAAGCAGGCTTCTTAACTTTCAAATGCTGTCCTCTTTCCACCAAACCACATCGGGCATTCCTCTGATTAACCCAATACCACCCACTGTCACATAACAGAGAGCAGAATTAGGCAGGAATGGGAGACAATGGGCTGCATTTCAATGGGCGGGGGTATGTGTGCATCCAGTGACGTGCTCCGGGGACAAGTGGGAGGCATGAGGCCATGGGGTAATGAAAGGGTTACATCAAAACAAACTTTGGCTGCTTCCCTGTTTTAACCCTGGCAGTCTAATGAATAAGAATTGGCGGGCAGGAGATGGGGAAGTACATGTGACTAGAAGCTGATTCAGCTGGATGTTTCTTCTCGATTAATGAAAAAACCTTTTGGTCTGGACCTGGCAAAACCAAAAGTCAAGGCATCACTGTTTTATTGTTAACCTCTCATGACTCACCTAAGGCATGGGAATATACAAGGCTACAGAAGAGTCACAGCCTTAATCAACAAACATTATGCAAACCCAGTACTACCGAGGTGGCTGTGCTGGGCCGTGTCCATTGATGGGGATCAGGCAAACAATTATATCACTGTGATATGCTAAGCAGACTGTCTTATGCTTTGGGGATAACCTGGTTGCAAGCCTCTGAGATCAGTTCTTCATTACCAGGTGCAATAAGCAGGAACAGAAATTGTGGGCCTGTTCCTGGTGGGAATCCCATACTAACCACATCCCAGGGTGGGATTTTTAGCAATCTGCTTTCTCCTGATTTCCCCCTCTTCTCAGGTACTGATAAATTTCAACAACCAGCTAAACTAAACTAGGGTGTGGGAGTAGTGACTTGGAGAGGACAGGAGAGGGGTTCCTGGAGTCTTGGTGATGTTGAGTTCCTAAACTGTGCTGCTTCTATGGAGATGTTCAGTTTGTGAAAATTTATTGAACTATGCACCTATGAATGTTGTATTTCCTCTAAGTATATTATGTCTGAATAAAAACACCACAGTATGTTAAATGCTGTTATTGTAGGCAATTATTTGGCACTGTGGAGGTCTTAGAAATAAAATTAAATGGGGCCACTGAAATTATGTGATAATACTCTTCCACTCTAAAGTGGCCATACAGATACTCCACATATTTATATTTACTTCAAAATATGTAATAATCAAAATGAACATATAAATGTAAAAAAAAAAAATAGAGTTTTCACAATCTTCCAGGAGCCTAGGATACTGGTTGGGAAAGACTGAAGTATTGTTATAGTTCAGAATCACAGTGCAAGTTGACCTCAAATCCATTTACATCTCTCCACTTCCACTGCCATCACTCTAGATCATGCCACTAGTAACTCCGGCCTGGACAGGAGCAGTACCCTCCACTCTTGCCTGATGTGTAATCCTTTGTCTACTGATATGGTCTGGATCTGTGTCCCCACCCAAATCTCACGTCAAATTATAATCCCCAGTGTTGGAAATGGGATCTGGTGGAAGATGATTGGATCATGGGGGCAGTTTCTCATGAATGATTTAGCACTAACCCCCTAGTGCTGATGTTGTGATAGAGTTCTCATGAGATCTGGTTGTTCAAAGTGTGTGGCACCTCCCACTCTCTCTTCCGCCTGCTCTGGCCATGTAAGATGTGCCTGCTTACCCTTTGCCTTCCGCCATGATTGTAAGTTTCCTGAGGCCTCCCCAGAAGCTGATGCCACCATGCTTCCTGTACAGCCTGCAGGACTGTGAGCCAATGAAACCTCTTTTCTTTATAAATTACCCAGTCTCAGGTATTTTTCTTTATAGCAGTGTGAGAATGCACTAAGACACCAACCCAGTAGAAAATCAGAAGATGATAGTTTTTAAATATGGCTCAAATTACTCTCCTTTCCCCCAGGCCTCCCACCCAAGCCCTTCGAAGACTTCCTGACACTCTTAAAGTCCAAATCCTTCTCCATGGCTCACTGTGTCCATCCTTGACCAGTCCCCACCTGCCTCTCTGACCAGCTGCCCACCACCCTTCCCCAGCTCACCAGTCTCAGCCCCACTGGCCTCTTTTCATTCTCCCAACACCACATGCCTGTCCTAGCCTTAGGGCTTTTACATGTATGCCTCTACTGCCTAAAATAGAAGTCTCCCAGATCTTTGGATTGCTGGCTCCCTCTGATTCCTTAGGTCCCAGCTCAAATATCATTCCCTCGAGTAGCCCCTCTCAGCCATTCTATGTCATTGTCTCACTACTTTACTTTATTTTCTTCACTGTATCCAAAGCTATTATGTTAATATGGTTGTTTACCAGAACATAAGCCCCATAAGGGCAAGGATGTTGTCTACCTTGTTTATGGTTTGTATCAGTCAGGGTACCAGCAAGGCGTCTCACTATGTTGCCCAGGTTGTACTTGAACTCCTGGGCTAAAGTGATCCTCCCACTCAGCCTCTAGAGTAGCTGGGCCTGCAGGCACACACCAGCACACCCAGTGAGATGGCATTCTTAAAGGAGTTTAACTGAAGGGAATTTGAGAAAGGAACCAGGTACAGAAACGTGGGCAGGGTTAAGAGAACACATGATGCGGCACCCAGGGCCTACCACTGTGGAAAGCTATCCCCACCGGTAGAACTGAAGGGGCAAGAGTGCAGAGCTGTGTTTGGAGATGGTAAGAGCGGAGGCTATGGGAGAGGAGCTACCCACCACAGCCATGGCAACGCAGGGGACAAGCGGTGACTGGGTAAGTTGCCCCGCTTCTTCCTCCTCCCACCTTCAGATTTCCTGCCATTATTTCCTGGCCAAGCCCAACTGGAAGCCAGAGAGCAAGAGAGCCTTACACAGTCCATAGGGGTCAGACTCTGGGGCCCCAGAACAGGGCAGGAAGGGTGGGGCACAGGGCAGGATCGGAGCAAACAGAGCCTAGCCAACCCTACATTGCTTGCTACATAGGTGCTCCCACATGCTGATTAAATGAATGGTTGATCGAATGAATGAATAAATGAACAACAAAGAAAGCTGAAGAGAAAGACAAAGGGATATCCACAGGAATTAACATTTAGGAAGCTCCTAGTGGGTGCCATGTGGGCATCATATATAAATAATCTTGTTTAATCCACACAGGAATCCTATGAGATACCTTACTGTCCCTGTATATGGCTGATGATCCTGAGACCTTAGAGGTTACCATACCCTATTAAAGAGAAATCATGGAGCCAGGATTCCAACTGAGGTTCCAAGTGTTTTTCCCTTGCATTACACTAAACATATATTGCATGTTTCCATACTTGCATCAGCCTGGAACCTGCATCCCTCCCATTCCTGCCTGGAATGCTCTATAGCCTGCCTAAATCCCAGTTAACTTCTGGTTCAGCTCATGCTCCTCCTCTTCACAGCCTGCCCTGGATCACCACAGCCAAAGGTAATCTTTCTCTCTTCTGGATATTATAGCAACTGTTATATATCTTCACGTTTCAATTGCCATCTATTTCTTCATAATCTAATTATTTGAGAGCTTCTCATCTCCTCAACTATATTGAAATATCTTGGAATTGGAAATTTTTGTGTTTTCTTTTGTCTATTACTTTGTATCCTTATTGCAGGTAATCAATAAATATTTGCTGGTTTACTTACCTGTCTTATATAACTCATTTTCAATGTCTTTTTTTGTTTAAGAAAAAAAATCACTTAAATGATACATTTTTACATATACTGTATAAACAACTTGTATCATTTTCTCATTTAATATTGGATCATAAGTATTTTTTATTACACATAATTTGTAAACAATGTTTTGATGGTAGTCTAATAGTCAATTCTATGGCTGTACCAAAATTTAAATCATTTTCTATTGTGGACATTCGGGTGGATGGCATCCCCCATCGCCTCAATATCAATGTTGTCCTGAAGAGTTTGGAGCTACATTTCTTTTCTTTTTTTCTCTTTTTTTTTTGAGATGGAGTCTTGCTGTGTTGCCCCAGGCTGGAGTGCAGTGGCACGATCTCGACTCACTGCAACCTCCACCTGCCAGGTTCAAGCAATCCTCCTGCCTCAGCCCCCCAGTAGCTGGGATTACAGGCATGCACCACCATGCCTGGCTAATTTTTGTATTTTAGTAGAGTCAGGGTTTTGCCATGTTGGCCAGGCTGGTCTCAAACTCCTGACCTCAGGTGATCCACCCGCCTCAGTCTCCCAAAGTGCTGGGATTACAGGCATGAGCCACCATGCCTGGCCTGGAGCGACATTTATTCCTATGGAATCAATTTCCTTCACTAAGCTCTTTTTTAGGGAATGCTTAGTGAAGATTTGATTAAACACTACAATTGTTAACTACACCAGATAAGTTTAACTTTGACACTCTATTTTGTAATTCATCTTGTAATGGAAGAGTCAAAATAACAGTGTCTCCTGGTATATGCAGATAGATGGATACCTTTGGGAAGCCCACTCATTCATCTATCCATTCGTCCAGCCATATCCATCTATCCAAGTCTGCACTACTTGGGAGCCCAGGTGAGGAGAGCTGCAGTCATGATGGGAGGTTGGTGGTCTTCTCTGAAGATGTAACATTTCACCATCTTCAGTGCAACTCTTGTCCTTTGGCGACCAAGAGCTGAGCATATACGTCCTCGTGACTGTTCCAACTCCTAGTCAAGACTATATAGATTCCATGTATCATTATACTGATCACCTATCTAGACATCACAGTAGTTTTTGAGATACCTAATTGAAATGACAACTTTTGTTAGTATTTAAAATACCAAACTGTCTTTCTTTAGCATCAGAAAATCCCCAGTTCTGTTTCTGAAGTTGCCTCAAAGCACCTGAGGGGATGTTGGGAAGGGAAATTACACAGACTGTCTATCATGGATCAGAAGCTTGTACTGCAAGCATAATGCATTGATTAAGAGAGGTGAAATCTGAATCCAGATTGCCTGGGTCTAGGTTCAAATCCCTGCCCCACTTCTTCATGACTGTATGACCAGAACAAGGTTACTTAACTTCTCTCTCTCCTTTTTTTGAGACAGAGTCTCACTCTATCACCCAGGCACAGTGGAACAATCATAGCTCACTGCAGCCTCGAACGGTCAGGCTTAAGAGATCCTCCTGCCTTAGTCTCCCCAGTACCTGGGACCACAAGCACACACCATCATGCCCAGCTAATTAAAAAAAAATTTTTTTTTTGTAGAGATGGAGTCTCACTATGCTGTTCAGGCTGGTCTTGAACCCCTGGCCTCAAGCAATCCTCCCACCTTGGCCTTCCAAAGTGAGTGCTAGGACTATAAGCATGAGCTGCCATGCCCAGCCTACTTAACACCTCTTATCCTTACTTTCTTTATCTGTAACATAGAGGTAGTAATTACACCTCCCTCATAAGGTTGTTCTGAGACTTAAATCAGTTAACATATGAACACCAAAGTGGTGAAGCGAGCAGAATAGTGCCTGACACATATTAAGTGTGATGTGAGTACTTGCTATTATTATTACTGATCTTATTTTAAACTCATTTAATTTAGTTCTTACAACAACTCTTACTTAGATTGAGGCTGAAAATTGTCAGCCTGTAGGTTGAACTTGGCCTGCAGATATGTTTTGTTTGGCCTGCACAATTTTCTTTAGTTTGAGCCAACATTTAAAACTCTGGAGTTTTATACAAAAATCTTGATTTCTGGCTCTTCTTGTAAAATCCTTATCTGACAGCAACCCACAGGAGCTGAGGGCTGCTGATTTCTTTAGATAAGGAATGCACCTTGGTAGTGTGCCCTGATTCTGTGGGGATGATGTCAGTGGTGAGTGATAGAAGACCCAACTAATAGTCGCTTCAACTAAGAATTTATATCTCAATTAAGAGGTCTGAGGTAGGGTAGTTCCAGGTTTCATACAGAGGCACAAAAGTGTTGTCGGAGACTCTTGCTCCTTTACTGTTAATGTCTTCCACCTGTCCTCTCTGACATCATTGGCATGTCAGCTATGATGCTGCACTCATACCTACTGATGCCTCCAAAGGCTCACACATGTCACATGCAGATACACGACCAGTGAAGAAGAGATGTCTTTTTACTGGTCTCTTTTCCTTATAAAGGAAACCTTTAAAACAAAACAAAAAAACCCTAGCTGAGTGTCTCCTGAGCTCACAATTGGCCAAGACTGGCTTCTATGCCAATACTCTGGTTGGAAGAAAGCCTAGGAAAGCTGGTCTCACACTTCCTGCCCTTAAGTGGGAAGGCAGGATGTGCCTATAAGAGGGATGAGGCAAGGGGTAGTGAACAGGCCAAGACTGCCAGGCACATCTCACTCAGAAATCGCTCAAGCACACACACCCAGCTTCCTCCACCTATTTACCTAACTGAGGGCAACTGGATAATGGAATCTGTATGTCAAGTTCAGGATTCAGCCCTATAAACTTATGGAAGGTTTGAGCCATGACTAGTTTAGGTGGATTTTTTAAAATAAAAAAATCACTTTCAGTTCTTAAAAAAGGAATCCATTTTAGGTTCAAAGTAGCATGATAACTTTGCTGTTTAGAGTTTGAAATTCAACAAGGATATTTACTCTTGCCTGGATAACCTGCAGCACTGATAGCATTTGGCTCTTTGTCCCCACCCAAGTCTCATCTCGAATTGTAACCCCCAAATGTCAGGGAAGGGCCTGGTGGGAAGCAATTGGATCATGGGGGCAGCTTCTCCCAGGCTGGTCTCGTGATAGTGAGGGAGTTCTCACGAGATCTGATGGTTTAAGTGCCAAGAAGTTTTCCTCCTCTCACTCACTCCTTTCTCCTGCTGCCATGTAAGACGTGCCTTGCTTCCCCTTCACCTGCAGCCATGATTATAAGTTTCCTGAGGCCTCCCTAGCCATGTGGAACTGTGAATCAATTAAACCTCTTTCCTTTATAAATTACCCAGTCTCAGGGAAGTTCTTTTTATTTATTTATTTATTATCATTATTTTTTAATTTATTATTATTATACTTTACGTTTTAGGGTACATGTGCACAATGTGCAGGTTAGTTACATATGTATACATGTGCCATGCTGGTGTGCTGCACCGGGAAGTTCTTTATAGCAGTGTGAAAACGGACTTACACAAGCACCAACCAATATTTATGGTGTCTCTGGGTGAACATGTAAGATGCCATTTAAAATGCTGTATAGAGACATGGGCACTACCCTCTAGGTACTAGCTGTGGTCTAAATGCATCCTCTAAAATTCACAAGTTGACATTTAATCATGAATTTTTTTTTTTTTGAGACAGGGTCTCGCTCTGCTGCCCACGCAGGAGTGCAATCGCGATCTCAGCTCACTGCAACCTCCGCCTCCCGAGCTCAAGCGATTCTCCTGCCTCAGCCTCCCAAATAGCTGGGATTACAGGCACACACCACCATGTCCAGCTAATTTTTGTATTTTTAGTAAAGACAGGGTTTTGTCTTGTTGGCCCGGCTGGTCTTGAACTCCTGACCTCAGGTGATCACCCACGTCAGCCTCCCAAAGTGCTGGGATTACAGGTGTGAGCCACCCCACCCAGCCTGAGCCACTGCGCCTGGTCTTAATCACGAATATTAATAGGTGGGGTCTTTAGGAGGTAATTAAGTCATGAGAGTGAAAGCCTCATGAATGGGATTAGCCGCCTTGTAAAAGGTCTGGAGGAAACTAGTGTTTGTCCCTTGTTATCCTTCCATCCCTTCCACCACATGAGGACACAGAGGTCAAGGTGCCATCTTGAAAGCAAAGACTAGGCCCTCACCAGACACGAAACCTGCCAGCGCTTTGACTTTGGACTTCCCAGCTTCCAGAACTATGAAAAATACATTTCTGGCCAAGCGCAGTGGCTCACGCCTGTAATCCCAGCACTCTGGGAGGCCAAGGCGGGTGGATCACGAGGTCAAGAGATTGAGATCATCCTGACCAACATGGTGAAACCTTGTCTCTACTTAAAATACAAAAAATTAGCCAGGTGTGGTGGCAGGCACCTGTAGTCCCAGCTACTAGGGAGGCTGAGGCAGGAGAATCACTTGAATCCGGGAGGCGGAGGTTGTAGTGAGCCGAGATTGCACCACTGCACTCAGCCTGGCAACAGAGAGAGACTCCATCTAAAAAAAAAAAAAAATCTATTATGTGTTAATTACCAGTTCTTAGGTGTTTTGTTATAGCAGCACAAACAGACTAAGACAATACTCATCACCCAAGTCACTCTGGAAGGCACTGTTTTATAAGAGCAGAACAGAGTGTGATACATGAATGCTGCAGGCATCAGAAATTGCTGGAACCCATTAAGTTGCTCCCATTAAGTTGGGGGCAGGGTAAAATAAGTAGAAGTACACAGTATGCCACTGTGTGGGCAAAGTTGTTTCTGATTTCATACTAAAGATAGAACCCTAAAACAAGACCTAACAAGAGGTTTCTTTGTGGAAACAATCTTCTTGGGTTAATAGCTAAATATAGTGACTAATGCTTCTTCCTGTTCTTTCTCGACTATACCTTATGAGCTACCTTTAGAACAAGCAGGTTGAAGCCCTGCCTTTTACTAATCCCCTGAGATAATCTTTTTAAAACTCTCAGTGGCAAGTGAAGACCCCAGTGTTTTCCCCATCTCTGAGATTTCTTTCATATCCCTTTAGCATTCGCATTTGCTCTTACTGGTTATTTCCCATGCTGAATCATTCACTGACTATCTGGTCATCTCCTGGGGGAGCCAAATAGTTTTAAACATTCTCAGTGACTCATCTATCCTCACCAGTTCTTTTATTTATTTGTTGTTGATGTGTCATACACACACAATCTCTCTCTGTCATTAAAATGCTAAAAAAAGTTTCTATTTACCGTCATAGTATACTCCACTTTCTCAGTGCATGTCTTCACTTGTTTTGTAGTTTTCTAGTTCATGCAATTGAAATAAAGGTACAGTTACTTAGTCTTTAACCAAGTCCCAGGTTTAGCCAAAATTGTCAAACTCAGGATTCAGCCCTTCAAAGCTTACGAATTTATTGAGGGCCGGGCGCGGTGGCTCACATTTGTAATCTCAGCACTTTGGGAGGCCCAGGCGAGTGGATCACCAGAGGTCAGGAGTTTGAGACCAGCCTGGCCAACATGGTGAAACCCAGTCTCTACTAAAAACACAAAAATTAGCTGGGTGTGGTGGCACGTGCCTGTAATCTTAGCTACTCGGGAGGCTGAGGCAGGAGAATTGCTTGAACCTGGGAGGCGGAGGTTGCAATGAGCTGAGATCACGCCACTGCACTCCAGCCTGGGCAACAGGGTGAGACCATCTCAAAAAAAAAAAAAAAAAAAAAGAGAATTACTTGGTGAAAATAATTCCATATCATTACTATTTTGTAAAAGGGAAACTGCTCTCTTAGCACATTGTGTTGTTTGCTTTGCTACCTTCAGTTGCTCTGCGTCAGAACCCTGTATCTGAAATCCCTCAATAATGAGACTAACTGAGGTAGTGGTGATACTCTATCTTGTTATTTTAAAGCAGGCCTGCAAATACTGGGTGCTCAGTAACCATGAGAAAAAGGCCTGATAAAAGCAACAACAGAAGCAATTGGGACCCAAGGTGGACACCACGGCAAATCCTCAGCGCCTGGGTTTTAGACGGTTCTGCCAAAGGTTTGGTTCTTTCCAGCCTGAGATCATTGCTTAGATCTTTCTGGGGTGTAGTTAAAGTAAAATGAGCCTCTTTCTATTTATCCCACAGATGCCGTTCTCTCTTAACAATGTACTCCTTGAAGGCTTCTTAAGGTAATGTCTGGTCTCTGCTGAATGCAGCCATAAATGCAATAGAACGCTACCTTTGCTGAATGTGCTCAGTCCTCCCCCCTTAGCACAGCTCACCCTA
Organism: Homo sapiens; assembly: GCF_000001405.40. Lineage (NCBI taxonomy): Eukaryota > Metazoa > Chordata > Mammalia > Primates > Hominidae > Homo > Homo sapiens. The sequence goes on from NC_000012.12 coordinate 93,626,315, forward strand.
CTAGCCTTATCTTGCTGGCCTCCCTCTACCCCCACTGCAACCTCCCAACAGGCTTTAAAATCCAGACATACCTAACGAATCACACAATTACCAAGCAGGTCAGGATACTTTACATCAGAGCCTCTGAACATACTGTTCTCTTCCCAGAATGCCCTTCTCCACCTCATCCACCTGGAGAACCCCTACGTATCCTTCAAGACTCAACTCAAGCTTTTTTTGTTTTAACCCCCCTACAGCCTTCTTACCTTTCCAAATAGCACCAGAACTTTTCATCCACCACTGTACCTTGTATGCAACTGTGTTACAGCACTCTCTAAACCTTCATGTCATCTGCCTTACTTTTTGAGGTTTATGAGAGGAGTGATATGGTTTGGATGTTTATCCCCTCCAAATCTCATGTTGAAATGTGATTCCCAATGTTGGAGGTGGGGCCTGATGGGAGGCAATTGGATCATGAGGGCGTATCCTTCATTAAGCGGTTAGCACATCTTCTTGGTGATAAGTAAGTTCTTATTCTGAGTTCACACAGGGTCTGGTTGTTTAAAAAAGTGTGGCACAACACCCTCACCTTGCTCCCACTTGACCTTCCATCATGACTGTAAGCTTCCTGAGGCCCTCACTAGAAGCTGAGCAGATGTTGGTGCCATGCTTGTTGATATAGTTTGAATATATGTCCCCACCAAATCTCATGTTGAATGGTAATCTCCAATGTTGGAGATGAGGTCTGGTGGGAGGTGTTTGGGTCATGGGGTGGATCCCTCATGGTTTGCGGCTGCACTGGTGATAGTGAGTTCTCACAAGATCAGGTCATTTATAAATGTGTGGCACCTCCCCAGTCTTGCTCCTCCTCCCGCCTTGTGAGATGCCTATTCCCCTTTGCTTTCCACCATGATTGTAGGCTTCTTGAGGCCTCCCCTGAAGCTGATGCTGGCACTATGATTCCTGTACAGCCTGCAGAACTGTGAGCCAACTAAACCTCATTTCTTTATAAATTACCCAGTCTCAGGTATTCCTTTATAGTAATGCGAGAATGGCCTAACACAAGGAGGGACTTACATTATTTTCTGAATCTCAGTGCTTATCTCCTGGAAAGTGTTTACAAAGTATTTGTTGAATGAGTAAATAATTATTTTGAAATATTTATAACTCTCTGATAACATAACATTATATGGTAATAGAGAATTTAGGAAATGCAGAACTATACAAAGAAGAACTAAAAACCATCTGTAATCTCTGGTTAATGGTAATTAACCAAAGTTAATTATTATTCAATAATTTTCTCTGTAGATTTTTTTCTATATTTTTAAAATAACAGCTTTATTGAGATATACTTTACATACCATACAAGTCACCCATTTAAAGTATACAATTCAATGATTTTTAGTATTTCATAGACTTGTATAACCATAATAATAAGTTTTATAACATTTTCATCACCCCAAGAAGTAACCTCATATCCATTAGGAGTCATTCGATTTCCCTCTAACTCTAACCTCCTCCCATCCCTAGGCAATCACTTACCTATTTTTGCCTCTAAAGATTTGCCTATTCTGGACATTTCATAATAAATGAAACCATACAATACACAGCCTTTCGTATCTGGCTTCTTTCACTTAGAATAATATTTTCAAGTTTCATTCATATTATAGGATGTATTAGTTAGCACTTCATTCCTTTTTATGGCCAATAGTATTCCATGGCATTAATATACCACATTTTATTTATATGGTCATCAGTTGATGGACATTTGGGTTGTTTCTACCTTTTTGGCTATTGTGTATAATGCTGCTATGAAGATTTGTGTACAAGTTTTTATATGGACATATGTGTTTGTTTTTCTCTTAAGTACATGCCTAGGAATAGAATTTCTGGGTCAAATGGTAACTCTATGTTTAACCTTTTGGGGAAACTTCTAGACTTTTTTCTTTCAAAGATGCTGCACCATTTTACATTCCCATTAACAGTGTACCAGTGTTATTCTAGATTCTCCACATCCTTGTCCGCACTTATTATTAGCTATCTTTTTTATGTGGCATCTCATTGTGGCTTTGATTTGCATTTTCTTGATAGACAATTATGTTAAGTATCTTTCCATGTATTTATTGGCCATTTATGTATCTTCCTGGGAAGATCATTCAAGTCCTTGGCAATTTTTAGTTGGGTTATTAGTCTTTTAAATTATTGAGTTGTAGGCATTCTTTATACATTGTAGTTACAATTCCTTTATAAGATATGTGATTTGTAAATATTATCTCTTATTCTGCGGGCTGGCTGTCTTTCCACTTTCTTGATGGTGTACTTTGAAGCACAGAAGTTTTTAATTTTGGTGAAGTTCAGTGTATCTATTTTTCCTTTTGTTGCTGTGCTTTTCATGTTAGATCTAAGAAGCCATTGCTTAACTGAAAGTCAGAAAGATTTCACCTATCTTTTCTGAGAGTTTCACCTATCTTTTCTTCTAAGAGTTTTATAGTTTTAGCTCATACATTTAAGATGTCTTTGATCTAGTTTGATTTAATTTTTGTAGATGGTGTGAGATAGGGGTCCTACTTTATTCAGTAGGCTATCCAATTGTTCCAGTACCATCTGTTGGATAAATTATTCTCCCCCAACTGAATTGTTTTGACACTCTTGTCAAAAATCAATTGACTGTAAGTATGGTTTACTTCTAACTCTGAATTACATGCTGTTGATCTATATGTCTATCCTGGAGCCAATACCACACTATCTTGATTATTGTAGCTTTCTTGTGAGTTTTGTAGTTGGCAAGTATGAATCCTCAACTTCATTCTTCTATTTCAAGATTGGATTATTTTTGGGACTGTTGAATTTTCATATGAATTTTGAGATTAGCTTGTCAACTTCTGCAAAAAGGCCAGCTGTGATTTTGAAAGGAATGACATTGAATTTGTGGATCAATCTGGGGAGTATTGCTAGCCTAACAATATTAAGTTTTTAATCAATTTCCATTTATTTAGGTCATTTTCAGTTTCTTTTGTACGTTGGGCTTTCATTTTCATTTGCCTCAAAACATTTTCTAATTTCCTTTGTGATTTTTTCTCTGATTCATTTGTTATTTAAAAATCTGTTGTTTAATTTCCACATATTTGTGGATTTCTAATTTAATACCATTGTGGTCAGAGAATATTCTTTGCATAATTTCAAACCTTTTATTGGATAAAGCAAATACGGTATATATACACCATGGAATACTACAGAGCCATTAAAAAGAGAATGAAATCATGCCCTTTGTTGCAGCATGAATGCAACTGGAGGCGATTATCTTTTTTTTTGAGATGGAGTCTCACTCTGTCACCCAGGCTGGAGTGCAATGGCGCCATCTCTGCTCTGCAACCTCTACCTCCCGGGTTCAAGTGGTTCTCCTGCCTCAGCCTCCTGAGAAGCTGGGATTATAGGCACGCACCACTACTCCTGGCTAATTTTTATATTTTTAGTAGAGATGGGGTTTCACCCTGTTGGTCAGGCTGGTCTTGAACTCTTGACCTTGTGATCTGCCCACCTGGGCCTCCCAAAGTGCTGGGATTACAGGCATGAGCCACCATGCCCAGCCGAAGCCATTATCTTAAGCAAATTCACCCAGAAACAGAAAACCAAATGCTGCATGCTCTCATTTATAAGTGAGGGCTAAACATTGAGTACACATGGACATAAAGACGTGAACAATAGACATGAGGGGGCTACTAGATGGGAGAGGGAGGAGAGGAATGGGGCATCAGTTGAAAAACTACCTATTGGATACTATGCTCACTACCTGGGTGATGGGATTAGTCAGATCCCAAACCTCAGCATCATGTAATATACCCATGTAACAAACCTGCACATGAATCCTCTGAATCTAAAAAATAAAAGTTGAAAAAAATTTTCAATCTTTTTAGAATTTATTGAGATGAGTAGGGCTGGCCGGGCAAGTTGGCTTACGCTTATGTTCCCAGAACTTTGGGAGGCTGAGGCGGATGGATTACTTGAGGCCAAGAGTTCAAGACCAGCCTGGGCAACATGGTGAAACCCCGTCTCTACTAAAAATACAAAAATCAGCCAGGTGTGGTGGCACTTGCCTGTAGTCTCAGCTACATGGAAGGCTGTGGCAGGAGAATTGCTTGAACCCGGGAGGCAGAAGTTGCAGTGAGCTGAGATTGTGCCACTGCACTCCAACCTGGGTGACAGAGTGAGACCCTGTCTCAACAACAACAAAAAAAGAAAAAGAATAGGGCTAATACCACATCATGCATCCTGGAAAATGTTCTCTGCACATTAGAAAACAATATGTATTCTGCTGTTGTTTAGTAAAATGTTTTATAGGTATCTGTTAAGTCTAGTTGGTTTATAGTGTTGTTCAAGTCTTCCTTTTTTGTTGTTGATCTTCTGCCTAATTCTATTAATTATTGAAAGTAGGATATTGAAGTCTCTAGCTATTATTGTTGAATTGTCTATTTCTTCATTTAGTTCTGTTATTTTTCACATGATATGTTTTGGAACTCCATTGTTAAGTGCAGAGATATGTTTATAATTGTTATATCTCCCTGATTGATTGACCTTGTTATCATTGTAAAATGTCCCTCTTTATTTCTAGAACCATTTCTTAAAAATCTATGTTGTCTGAAATTAGTATTGCCACTTCAGCTTTCTTATGACTGCTGTTTGCATGGTATATCTTTTTCTACCCTTTAACTTTCAACCTATTTGAATATTTAAATCTAAAGTGTGTCTCTTATAGACAGCATGTAATCCTGTTTTTAGCATAGTGGCAATTTTTGCCTTTTGACTACCTTGTTTAATTCATTCACATTTACTGTCATTATTGATGTAATTGCATTTATATCTGCCATTTTGGTTTTTGTGTTTTCTGCCTCTTGTCTTTGTTCCTCTATTCTCCTTTGCTGCTTTCTGTTGCATTAAGTGATTATTTCCTAGCGTAACATTTTAATTCCTTGAATGATTTTTTTTGCAGTGCATTTTTGAGGTGTTTTCTTAGTGGTTGCTGTAGGTGTTCCCATATATATCTTAGCTTATCGGAATTAACTTCAGATTTATACTAAATTAATTATAGTAACATATAGAAACTTTATTCCTACATAGCCCTATTTTCTCCTTCCTTTTTTTGGTGCCATTGTTGTTACATATATAATATGTGTATATAATAGAAATCCAACAGTATGTTATTATAATTATTACTTCATATCATTTTATGTCTTTTAAAGAAGAGAAGAAAAGAAAGCAAGTAGATATTTATAGAGTCTGTTATACTAACCTTATTTACCTTTTCTGGTTCTCTTCATTTACTCCTTTAGATATGAGCTACTCTCTGGTGTTACTTACTTACTCCAATATGATTTTGCTACCATCTACTTCCTTTGTGTTGTTATTGCCAAATATATTACATTACTTTATGTTGTGGGCCTAACAATACAATTATATATATATATTATTTTATACAATTGCTTTTATAAAAAAGAAGAAAGGGAAAGAAATATGTGTTTCAATTTTCTCTTATAATCACCTACATAATTACCTTTATTGATGCTCTTCGGTTTTTCTGTGTAGAATCAAAGTATTCTCTGGGATCACTTGCTTTTAGTGAAAACAACTTTCCTTAATGTTTCTGGTAGAGTGTGCCTATATTTTTTGCATTGAATCTTTGTGTGTTTCACATAACAATCCACCCTGTCATTTCCTGTCAATTCTTCATTCAAAGCACAACTTACTATGTCTACGTGAAATGCTGTGACCAGCATGTATGTAACTATTCTCCTAAGGGGTTGTTTTTAACCTTTAATCACTGCAAATGATGCTATCATAAACATCTTTGCATATACATCCTTTATAAAACTTTTTAAAAGTATACAAGTGATATGGTTTGGCTCTGTATCCCCACCCAAATCTCATCTCTAATTGTAATCCTCACGTGTCGAGGGCGGCACCTGGTGGGAGGTGATTGGATCATGGGGGGCAGTTTGCCCCGTGCTGTTCTCATGATAGTAAGTGAGTTCTCATGAGATCTGATGGTTTTAAAAGTGGCATTTCCCCCTTTGCTATCTCTCTCCTGCCACGTTGTGAAGAAGGTGTCTGCTTCCTCTTCACCTTCTGCCATGATTGTAAGTTTCCTAAGGCCTCCCTAGCCATGCAGAACTGTGATGCAATTAAACCTCTTTTGTTACTAAATTACCCAGTTTCAGCAGCTCTTTATAGCAGTGTGAAAATGGACTAATATACAAAATTGGTACCAGGAGTGGGGTTGGAGACCCCATACAGAGTCCCTACTGGGGCACTGCCTAGTGGAGCTGTAAGAAGAGGGCCACTGGCCTTCAGACCCCAGAATGGTAGATCCACTGACAGCTAGCACCATGTGCTTGAAAAAGCCACAGGCACTCAATACCTGCCCTTGAAAGCATCTGTGGGGGCTGTACCCTGCAGAGCCACAGGGGCGGAGTTGCCCAAGGCCTTGAGAGCCCACCTCTTGCATCAGTGTGCCCTGAATGTGAGACATGGAGTCAAAGGAGATCATTTTGGAGCTTTAAGATTTAATGACTGCCCTCTGGGTTTTGGACTTGCATAGGGCCTGTGGCCCCTTTGTTTTCGTCAATTTCTCCCATTTGGAATGGGAACATTTGCCCAATGCCTGTACCCCCATTGTATCTTTGAAGTAACTAACTTGTTTTTTGTTTTAGGCTCATAGGTGGAAGAGACTTGCCTTGTCTCAGATGAGACTTTGGACTTGGACTTTTGGGTTAATGCTGGAATGAGTTAAGACTTTGGGGGACTGTTGGGAAGGCATGATTAGCTTTGAAATGTGAAAAGGACATGAGATTTGGGAGGGGCCAGGGGCAGAATGATATGGTTTGGCTCTGTGTCCTCACCCAAATCTCATCTCAAATTGTAATCCCCACATGTTGAGGGAGGGACCTGGTGGGAGGTGATTGAATCATGGAAGTGGTTTCCCCCATGCTGTCCACATGGTAGTGAGTGAGTTCTCACAAGATCTGATTGTTTTAAAAGTGGCACTTCCAGCTGAGCACAGTGGCTAATGCCTGTAATCCCAGCACTTTGGGAGGCTGAGGCAGGCGGATCACTTGAGGTTGGGAGTTCGAGACCAGCCTGGCCAACATGGAGAAACCCCGTGTCTACTAAAAACACAAAATTAGCCGGGCGGGGTGGCGGGCGCCTGTAGTCGCAGCTACTCAGGAGGCAGAGGCAGGAGAATTGCTTGAACCCGGGAGGTGGAGGTTGCGGTGAGCCAAGATCGCACCATTGCACTCCAGCCTGGGAAACAAGAGTGAAACTCCTTCTAAAAAAAATAAACAAATAAAAATAAAAATGGCACTTCTCCCTTTGCTCTGTCTCCTGCCACCTTGCGAAGAAGGTGCCTTCTTCTTTACAGCAGTGTAAAACCAGACTAATACAACAAGTAGTCTGAGAATATATTTATATGTAAAACCATTCAGACAACAAAATTTCCCTCCAAATCTGCTCTTCCTGGACATCCCCATCTCCTTCCCAAACATAATCATGCTTATGGGCTTAGTGTGTGCACCTTTTTTTATGTTTGTCTATGCATTTACACATACACAGAGAGATGAAGAGGAACAGGGATGATATGGTTTGTTTTTCTGTCCCCACCCAAATACCCAGGTGTTGAGGGAGGGTCCTAGTGGGAGGTGACTAGATCATGGGGGTAGTTTCCCCCATGCTGTTCTCATGATAGTGAGGGAGTTCTCATGAGATCTGATGGTTTTATAAATGGCAGTTTCCCCTGGGCTTCTCTCTCTCTCCTGCTGCCTTGTGAAGAAGGTGTCTGCTTCTCCTTCACCTTCTGCCATGATTATAAGTTTCCTGTGGCCTCCCCAGCCATGAAGAACTGTGAGTTAATTAAAGCTCTGTTCTTTATACATTACTCAGTGTTGGCAGTTCTTTACAGCAGTGTGAGAACAGGCTAATACAAGGGAGAAGGTTTTATATTTGTTGTTTGTTTTGGTTCTGGTTTTAGTTTTACATCAATGGGATCAGCTTGTACATCCTCTTTTTCACCTTGTTTTCTTCATTTAACAGGTCTAGGATATCTTTCTAAGTCATAATTGGAACTCCTTTTTATTTTTTAGCTACCACATAGAATTCCAGAGTCAGTTAACAAATACTTGTTGATCCTTACTAATGTAGCAGGTCCTGGGGATTCAGAGACTATGTTCTCATGGAGGTCGACTATTCATCACAGTATGAACGTATCAAATTTAACATTCTTATTTTGATGAATGCGTAGGTTTTTCTCCAAGGATAGATGCTTAGATGAGGAATTACTGAGTCAGAAGTCTCTTGACAAGTAGTATGAAATTGCTTTCCAGGAAGTAGAACCAGTTTATATTCCCAAGAGGAGTGTATGGGAGTGCTGGCTTGCTAATTTGGTAGAGGGGAAATTTCAGTTTTGATTGCATTTGTTATACTACTACTGAAATTGAATATTTTTTCATGTTTATTAACCAGTTTTATTTTCTCTGTGGGCTGTTAAAAACTTTTTTCTCTTGTTCAACTTTTAATAATATTAATATTTTTGTGTTTTCTTGTTTATTTGCATAAACCCATGTATTGACTGTATTTTCTTCTTTTGTAGTTTTTGTTGCAAATATTCTTTCCTATTGCTTTTTTACATCTCATGTTTTGTGACTTTTTGATAGACAAAAAGATTTTTTTAAAGATTTCCTTTTTAAAGTCATTTTTCTCCTTTTTTATTTCTTTTATTATCTTTGTGCTTTCAAAATCCTTGCCCAAATTGATAAGATAATCTGTTTACTTAGCTATTGGTTTCATTTTTAGCATCAAACTTTTTAACAGACTTGAAAAAAAAAATTGTAAAGAGTAAAGAAAGATTTAACTTTACTTTTATTCCCAAAATTGTGCTCACACAGAATACTGAATGTCCCTTCCTTTGCCTATTGTATCTGATGCCATGGGATTCTGTCCTCCTTCATCCATGTGAGGCCCTTCTCTTTACTTACATTTTTTACTTCCATCACTGATCCCACTCCCATTCTATATGATCTATAGACACCCATTTTAGTGTATTTGCTCTAGATCCTTGAATAATGTATGCATCCTTCTAAAATGTACCTAAAATACACATTCAATGGTAAAATCCCACAAATCATTCTGTTTCTTACTTGATGAGTCTTACTATTAATAGTGTTATGTCTATTTTGTTCATCTTTCCAAATAATCAATTTTTGGTTTATTAGTATTTTTTATTTATTTTCTGGAGCTATCTTTATTATTTCTTTCCTTCATATTTCACCAGATGGATTAGACTTTTTCCCCAGTTTCACAAATTCAGAGTTTAGCTTATTTTATTTTGATTTCTTGTTTTCTAACAAATGTATTTAAAGCTATAAACTATTGTTTTGGTTCTGCTTTAATTGTGTTTCATACTGTCTTTTTTTTTTTGAGACAGGATTTCACTCTGTTGTACTTTCTTTCATGTAGCATGTTCAATGTGGTTCAATTCTAAGCACATTTAATGCTGCTGAATTTCTGCTCTAACCCAAGAGTTACTTTAGTAGAATATATTTTGATTTTCAGACATAAGGAATAATTTTAATATCCTTTTGTCAATGACTTTTAATTTTATTAGAACATGATTGGATGTTAACTCGAAAATAAAATTATTAAATTTATTAAAATTATTAAATTTTATTTTGGGATTAATTTTTATAAGGGTTCTATATTTGGTTGGAAAGAATGTTATATTTATTAAAGTTTACTTTGTGGTTTTTAAAATGAGAAAATTCTATATTTGCTTGGAAATAATTGGTTTATATTTAACTTTATTCATTGTTTTTTCAAATGATCCATACATTTGTTTTTGTTTTTATCTGCTTGATCTATCAGTTTCTTTTTTTTTTTAACTCTGATATCAAGAATCAGTCCAATGATCTATTGGTTTCTGAAAATAATATGTGAAATATTCAACAATTGTACCTTCTGTTTCTTCCCATAGTTCTCCCAGCTTTATTTAATGGAGAGATGCTCATGTCATTATGTTTTATCGAAGTTAGTCTCTTTTTCTTTCCTTTTTTCTTTGTTTCTTTTTTGAGATGTAGTCTCACTCTGTCACCTAGGCTGGAGTGCAGTGGCGCAATCTCGGCTCACTGCAACCTCCGCCTCCTGGGTTCAAGCAATTCTCCTGCCTCAGCCTCCCGAGTAGCTGGGACTACAGGTGCACGCCGCCATGCCCGGATAATTTTTTGTATTTTTAGTAGTGACGGGGTTTCACCATGTTGGTCAGGCTGGTCTCGAATTCCTGACCTCGTGATCCACCCGACTCGGTCTCCCAAAGTGCTGGGATTACAGGCGTGAGCCGCCGTGCTCGGCCTATTATTTTATTGTTCCGGGTATGATATGGCAGACTCCCAGCTCAGTAATTTGTTTCTCAGGTGTATTCCTTGAGATATTTATCTTAATTACTGAGTTATTTTATTTCAACTATCATGTCTTTTGTAATCAGGTTTTCCACTTGGTTCTTCCTTATTCTGTTAGTTCTTATTTCATTTTGCCAATATTGTCTCTTATTTGTTTGAAGATTTTTATGCTTATTTAGCATTTGTTATTTACCTACTACATTCATTCTGTGGCTTTTCTTTTTGTCCTATTTCCTTTTATAGTGATGCTCTTCACGTGTGTGGGTTTTTGTTTTGTTTTTTCTCTTTGGGCTTCGATGCCCCTGGGAACATCAGCTTCTATAGTTGGCAATGTGCACTGGGGAGTGATCAGTACACCAGGGTTGTGGTGCAGTCAGGTCCTGGAAGGGAGTGGGGCTACAACCCCCCAACCCCAGGTTGTTAATAAAGATTGGGCCGTTATCTCTACCTGGAAGGAGAATTGTTCTTTTGTCCTCTTCCATTAGTACATAACTACGTATTATTTGATCAGATAAACTCTCTTCTACTTTGACACTCAGAAGTGACTTTCTGGACTTACCTGAGAGGACATAAAGTAAATCAATTTTAATGTGAGCTCATAAGAGCGTTCAGCACAAGGAACAGCAGACCTAGGAGTTTGGAATTGGCACCTCAGGTGATGTAGGGGGCAACCTTGGGAGGAAGGATTCTCAGAGAATCCCTCAGTTTCTATAATCATTCATTCTGCATCTTGGCAGAGAGGATAACTGGATATTGAGAAGAGTGGTGAAAATGCTTACTTGACTCTGACACTTGATAGCTACAACCCTCTGAATAAGCATCTTATTTATGATCCTCAGTGTTCTCACCTGGAAACTGGGGTCATAATACTCACCTTAGAATGTTGTTGTTAGAAGTTTATGGAATACTAATAGAGAGGCTATGAGTTTCAAGCACTGTGCCTGGTCCTCAATAGATGTTTAATAAATTCTAGATCCTTCCCCAAAATATTCCCCATCATTTTCCTTTCTATCGTAAAGTTATAAACATAAGGCAAGAGAATGAATGCTATTACTTTTCAGCAAATGTGAATATCTTTACATTTCATTTTTTTTTCCATTTATATCTCAGCTGTGTTTCTTTACGTTATTGCTAGTCAGGAATGCAATTTGCAATTACATGGGTTCATGAGTTCTGAAATTCAAGGGAAACCTATCTTCACACATGCCTTCCTCTTTCACCCCATTTCTGTGCACTTTTGTCCAAGCCTTTTTCTTTCCTGAACACTGTCATTTTGTCATGTACTCTGGTCCTAAAGGATAAGCAGATGAATTGTAGAGGAGTCCCCTTTGTATCGAAACATTTACAGCTTCTATTCCAAGAGTTAACGTGGCGAATTTTCACAATCTGTTTGTTGTTCTCATTCTTTCAACCTTCTTTTGCACTTTTTGCAAAACAGCTGCTATTGTTAGTTTTTCTGAGTACTCTTGTGAACATTGGGAGCTGTTCTGTTGTCAAAATCTTTGCAGCTGGCTCCTGGCTAGTATTTTGTAATCCATTCTCAAAAGTTTAATAGCTCCTAGTTTTTCATGTCAGCTGTGTTTCTTGTTTTAGAGATAATTGTGAGTAATGGTCAAGGCTTAGTTGAGCCATCCATTCCCTTTTTCCACATGTCTTTGAAAGGCAGACAGTTCAGATTCCTAAGGCTGATAGAAACTGACTAATCCTTTTTTGTTTCCTACTATGATTTTCCTCAAAGATATTGCTATTTACTTCACTTCTGAGCATTGATTCGTCCTTGAAATTTGTGTGGTTTATCCTTTTAATATATTTGGGTGTTTTCTTAGTTGTCTTCTTTTTTTCTTTCTTTGTGAATGATTCTTAAAGAGTTCTGGGCATTTGCATGTGTACCAGACTTTTAAATTTCATGGACCAGTGAAAAAGAAAAAAAAAAAGCTGAGGACTGATGGAGTGTTGCCAACATTTTATTTCACCATGAATATAAGAGAGAGGAAAAAAAAAGAACACCATCTTCTATCGTCTTTTCACAAAAGGAGATTTAATATCAAAACTGTGAAAGAAGAAATCTTGGAATAAAGGACAGTCTTTTAAGTGAAAGGTATAAGGGAAACTTGCTACATTGTCCTTTTTTGTTGGGGACCAGTGAAAACCTCCACAAAGATATTTGGGAACCGCCACCTCACGAGCTGTATCCACACCCTCTTAACAGTTTGCTTCCAGCACTTTGTTGTTCACTTTATTCTGTCAAGGTTATTCCTACCTGGCACTTTCCCTTCTCGCTCCAGTAACATTTAAAGACCTTTCCCCCGGCAAAGGCTTTGCTGCCACACTGGAGAGCTTTGATCATCAATTCTGTTAGGCTGGTTGTCAAAGGAGCTGGTGGTGGAAAAAGCCCAGCAGAGGTGGCTGCTGTTAGCTCTGAGGAAACCGAGCAGCTGTTTGCTGTCGTTCCAGGGTTATCTCATAATTTATTGTGCGCAAAGGTGGCTTTACTGTTCTCCTTCATCCTTGTCCTCATCACCCAGGCTCTGACAACCCAGTGCCTTTCATCTGGGTGCCATGACTCAAGGTCTTCACCATTTGTCTTGCTTTTCTTCAGGGCTTTCTGTAAGTTATTCGTGTCAGACACTGGAGTGTCTTCCAATGTCAAACACAAAATGCAGCCCTCCATAGAGAGAGGAGTCCTACTCTTTTGGCTTTGATTGGATTTCTTTCTGAGTTCCAACCAAAACCTCTGCAAAATTGTGAAGAAGATGAAGTGTGTGGTGTGCCTGGACTTTCCTCTTTGCACCCTTCATTTCATTTCTATGTACCCTTTCTCCTGAGAGCTGGTGGCTTCACGCTGTCATTCTCTCTTCCTCCAGACTGTAAGTAATCTAATAAAATCACTCACACTAAGAGGTTAGGAGTTTAATTCTGTCTCTCCCAGCGGCTCTTGCACACAATGAAGTGGAAAGAGAGCCCAGCATTAGAGTTTGAAGGATTTAATTCCAGCCATGGCTCTACTTGCTGTTGCAGGACTTACACAATTCACATCATTTCTCTGGGACTCTGTTTCTCCTTCAGCAAAATGGGAATGATAGTAAGATCTACCTCACAGGTTTGATGTAAAAGTTAAATGAGATTGTCATAATGTTTTATCATCTGAAAGTGTTTTTTTTTTTTTTTTTTTGCACATCACTCCTTTATTATACTGATATGGAAAAAGGATTTAGTACAGTTATGCTCAGATGAACACTGGACCCATGTGGCAGGGTCAAGCAACTAGAACATGATTCAGAAATCAGTGAAAGATACACTTGGACAGGACCAAGAGGCATTTCACTGCCATGAAACAAGGCAGGAAGGGATTCTAATACACACACCAGGAAGCACTCCTGCCCCTCAGAGGTCAAGGAGCTGATCCTATATTGGTATGAGGAATGGCTTATTTTCTGATGACCACATGTGGGACTATTTCAACCGCCACAAGAAACCCCAGAAGGGTTATTGTTTTGTATTATTTATATATACTATACTTTTTTAATAAAAGTAAATTAACACATAACGAAATTCAGGATTGATCCCAACCTAGAGCCAGATCCTCTGGGGTCAGGGAGGAAACAGTTGTCACATCACCACGCAGGTTACATTCGTCTTCCACTGGAATGACTAGAGCCCCCAGGCAGTAGGCAGTGGCCTGACTGCAGAAGAGCAGAGGACAGACTCCGCTCATGGGGACAGACAGGCTCTGTTGCTTCTCCTCACTGGTCATGGCTTAGCATGGTTCCTCCCCAAAGTCCTTAGTAAACAAAGCACTCGCAAAAACCCAAGTCACTACTTTTAAACTCTGTTGGATAAGGGGAGCTTTTCCATAGCTTAGACTGAGAACCTGTGCTCTAGAACTGCTATTCTGACTAGATTGTATGAAGGGAGTGGGTGCAGGCGACAAAATGGCTAAAATGAAAATGGGAGCCACTGGTCCCCATCTGCAGCTACAACTCAAGATGTCTACAGATGTGGTCAGTGTGACATGTGCAGGTGGGAGGGGCAGAGGGACAAGACGGGCAGGGAGGGTGCTCCTGGGGACAGTATCCTCCCCGCCGGCCTTCACTTCTTGGCCTTGCCCTGGGCAGCCACAGCTTCCATGGCTTTGCGCACCGTCTCTTCATCCCCCAGAAACTGCATGGGCTTGATAGGCTTCAAGTTCTTGTCCAATTCATAGACAATGGGAATACCAGTCGGCAGGTTCAGCTCCATGATAGCCTCTTCAGAGAGACCCTCCAGATGCTTGACAATGCCCCGGAGGCTGTTGCCATGGGCTGCAATCAGTACACGTTTCCCCTCCTTGATCTGGGGAACTATTTCTTCATTCCAGAAGGGCAGAGCTCTGGCAATAGTATCCTTCAGACTCTCACAGGAGGGTAGCTGATCTTCTGTGAGGTCTGCATACCTACGATCCTTACTGATGTTGCTGTAGAAAGGATGGTCGGGCTCCATCGGAGGTGGTGGGACATCATAGGAGCGCCTCCAGATCTTCACCTGGGCCTCACCATGCTTTGCAGCAGTTTCTGCTTTATTGAGACCGGTTAGACCCCCATAGTGCCGCTCATTGAGGCGCCAAGTCCTCACCACTGGCAGCCACATCTGATCAATGGCATCTAGCACTGTCCAGAGGGTCCGGATCGCTCTCTTCTGCACTGAGGTGAAGCAGATGTCAAACTCATAGCCAGCATCTCGTAGCGCCTGCCCGCCGCGCTTCGCCTCCTCGTGGCCCGCCGGGCTCAGGTCGGCGTCGTACCAGCCGCTGAAGCGGTTCTCCAGGTTCCATGCGCTCTCGCCGTGCCGGATCAGCACCAGTTTGTAGGCGGCCATGGCGGCGGGCTGGGGATGCGGCACCGACTGTGAAAGTGTTTTGATTATTTGTTAGTCCATAAATACTAGAAACTCACTTGTGCTAGCTTGAGTAAGGATATTGGATTTGACCAATTAAGTGTCATACAGCACAAGATCAAGAAGGAACCCAAGACATTATCTTTCCCGTATGTAGCAGATCCTTCCAGGGTTCACAAATATCTGGTTCTTTTTACCTTTGTAGGCACAAAGTGAAGTTAAATTTTCTAGTCTTCTTTGCATCTAGATAGAACTGTTACCAAACCAAACTGGGTTCGTTTGCCTGCATGCAATGGAAAGCGAAACACTGAAGCACTGCATTTTTGCAGCAAAAAGGCTTATTGCCAGTGAACTGGCAAGGAGACAGGAGGAAATGCTCAAATCTGACTCCCCAAGCTGAGGGCTGGGTTGGGTTTCATAAGCATAGTGTAGTGAGGTGTGATCTGATTGGATCTTACAATGCGGTGGTGCCAGGAGGCATGATCTGTTGGGATTCTGCCATGGAGTTACACCAGGGCTCAATCTGATTAGATTCTGGATCCTACCATGAAGGAATCCAAGACGTTCCAAGATGTCTGCTTCTTGATTCAGTCCTTGCCCCTCAGTGCAAGCACTTTGGTTCCACTTGTGGTTGCACGCTTGGTTCATCTGGGCATGCTCAGATTACATGACCTTCAACCTTGGGGTGGGGGGGTGGTCCATGGGACTAAAAAATAACTCACAACTTTGTTACATAGGAGTTGAACCAGATTGATCCAGGGCAGTTACAGAACTATGTGATTGAGTTCTGGCTAATGGATAGTGGAAGGAAGTGAGGTATGCCTATTCCAGCATACATCACAAAATGTCTCTTGTGATCTTTCACGTTCTCTCTCTTCCTCCCCTCTCCTGGCTGGGATGATATCATGGGGCTCTTGAAGCCATAAGATGATGGAGACATGAGATAGAAGGAGCCTGGGTCCCTGAGTCACCACTTGGAAAGAGCTCACAGGAAAGCTATCTAACCAGCATCATCAGATTCGAATTTTTGCATGAGGAAGAAATAAACTTGTATTGTCTTAAGCTACTGAGATTTGGGGCTGTTTCTTATAGTGGGTAGTCTACCTTAATACATACACTGTATCTCAGGTCTGCTTCTCCCTGCCCCCTGCATCTTGCTGCACACCACTTTCTCTGCCTTCTTATTCATCATGGTGGAAAAAAGGCCTCCAGGAACAACAACCAAGTTGACTTCTCTTCTATTCAGGGAAACAGGCTGATTGCAACTAAAAACACTTCATTTATTTCAAATTCCTTTGAGAAGACTGGGTTAGGTCCAGCTGGTATTGGATGTTGACTGAACCAATCAACTTGTAGTGTCTATGAGGATAGGGGAAGGACAATACCCCAGAAAAATGGTGGTTGGCAGCCATCCTAAAATGTAGTTGACGCTGTGCTCCATGCTTGCAGTTAACATTTTTAAAAAGAAACATGGGGAGAGTGAAGACATACATTTCTTTTTATATACCCCAAAAGAATGAATCTCTATGGATGTCTTTTCAGTGTTCAGTTAGTGATTTACATTTTGGGGCTGGGTAGCTTTTCCCAATTGCTCTCAAATTATATAGCTTGAATGCAACAATATTGCCCATCCAGTGTTGGAAAGCACAGAGTTAGGGGCTGCAGGCTCTGGCCTGTGGGGCACACTGGACACAAGAACCATGCTAAAATATGCAGGTAAGTAAGGGGTAAGAATCATTATCCATGCATTGGTACTTAAAGTGTGGTGCAGCAAAGTCCATAAAGTGACCTTGACGTGGTGCTGCAAGATGTGGTGGACAAAAATTAGAGTTCGATTCTCTCCAAAGCTGATTCTCCATGTATGCTTTCTCCTCTGCCTGAAACACCCTTTTCCCTTCACCAGCAGATAATCCTGGCTGACTTCAGGACTCAGCTCCAGCACACCTTCTAGAAATGGCCCACTCCCACTTAGGGTTAGGCCACCTCTCCTTTGTGCTCTGTTATAATACCCAAATGTGATTCAGTTTTTAAAAATAACATTTTTTCCCTTCAGTTGCAAAGGGAAAAAATGTTAATGCTACAAACTGAAAAGTCCAAATGAGCTCAAAAAAGAAAATAAGAGTCTCTCATTATTCCACTCTCTAGGGGAGTATACGTACACACACACACACACACACACACGTAACATGCTTCTAAAAATTTTTGCTTTTGTACTTTTATCTCTTAACAGTATGTCATGAAGATTTTCCCACTCATTTACAATATGATTTATGAATATGTAGTAGCTTATGGAATCTCATAATTTCTTAACCAAATTCATATTGTTGGACATTTATGACTGTTTCTAATTTTTCATTATAGTAAATGAACTCCATTCAAGTCTGTCCTATTCAAGAGAACAGCCTGATTGCAACTAGATAGACTTGTATGTAAAGTTTTGCATATTTTCTTAGTTATTTCTTCAAGATAAAAACCTAGGATTAGATTGCTGGATCAAGAGGTATATAAACAAGGCAGGAAAGCAGAGAGTATTCATTACTGTCTTGGGTCCCTTTCTAAGAAAGAAGAGAATCTTTCTAGGTACCCCCTCTCCCTAGCAGATTTCCCTTTGTGTCTCATGGACAGAATTCCATCACATGCTGTATCAGTCTGTTCTCACGCTGCTAATAAAAACATACCCAAAACTGGATAATTTGTAAAGGAAAAAGGTTTAATTGACTCACAGTTCCACATGGCTGGGGAGGCCTCACGATCATGGCAGAAGGCAAATGAGGAGCAAAGTCAAGTCTTACATGGCGGCAGGCAAGAGGGCTTGTGCAGGGGAACTCCCATTTATAAAACCGTCAGAGCTCATGAGACTTATTCACTACCATGAGAACAGTATGAGGGAAACCACCCCCATGGTTCAGTTGTCTCCACCTGGCCCTGCACTTGACACATGGGGATTATTATAATTCAAGGTGAGATTTGGGTGGAGACACAGCCAAACCATATTACATGCATATGCAGAAACTAGGTACCAGCAAGGGTAGTGAGACTATGATCAGTTTAGACCATCCAGATATTTCCTATAAGATTCAATACCTCAGAATTTTTTTTTCTGTTAATTAGGAAGATTTGGGAGTAGCTGTGGTACAGGAACCAAGTCCTTTTCATACTTGCTACAGAATAATAAAATGTTTAAAAATCTGTTCTAAGTTAATAGGTAACAGTTCCTTCTTGTCATCTTTGTTTATATTTTATTGATTACTGGTAGATGTGAACAGTGTTTCAAATATGTATTGGTCATTGTATTTCTTCTGTGATTTACTGAGTCATATTATACCTATGCATCCTTTAAAAAGTGACTGTTTTATTTTTGAATTCTACGGAGCAGCAAATTATGTCAGCCATATAGTTAGCACAAAGTAAAAGCTCATCAGGTGAATAAACATGTATGTGCTTGCACACAGTTTGCTGTGTGTTTTGTAGTTATAAATAATAGTAGATGGGAGAGTGGTTCCTAGTGCAATTGGCCTACAGAGACTAAAAAGTTGTGGAGAACAGACTTAAGGTAGTCCTGAAACAGAATAAGACATCAGGCAGTCACATCTAAAATTCAGCTTTCTGGGCCAGGCACAGTGGCTCACACCTGTAATTCCAACACCTTTGGAGAAGACCAAGTTGGGTGGATCACTTGAGTCCAGTAATTCGAGACCAGCCTGGGCAACACGGCAAGACCCTGTCCCTACAAAAAATACAAAAATTAGCCAGGCATGGTGGTGCACATCTGTAGTCCCAGCTACTTGGGAGGCTGAGGCGGTGGGATCCCCTGAGTCCAGGGAAGTTGAGGTTGCAATGAGCCGTGATCATGCCACTGCACTCCAGACTAGACGACAGAGTGAGACCCTGTCTCAAAAGTAAAATAAAACAAAACCCGACTTTCTTTTCTGTTAGTCTAATGTATTTTTTCACTGGCTAGCTTTTGAATCAATTTTACAATGATCACGACAATGTCATCTTTATTTAAGCTGAAAAATCTTTGTTGGGTTCGGAGAAAAAAAAATCTATCACTCAAAGGAAAAACAAGAACAATAACAAAAACTAGACATTAATTATGGAATTGTTGCCTGGCTGTAATCCTTTTGTTAGTGAGTCCTTGCATAATTATCACCCAGTTTAATGAGTGTGAATTTGCAGGTAGGAGAAATTATCATGATATCTTAAGGCTAAAATTACAGTGCTCTAGAGAGCAATGGCGAGAAACATCAGTCTATTGCCAGAAACCTAATATGGTGAGTCATCAGTTTGAATCCTGAGGTTTATGGAGATGGAATAAGCAGGAGGGACTCCCAGAAACTTCTTTTGACAATAGGAGGCTTGGCAGTTGGTCTTACAAACCCAGGAGCTTGAAGTTCTAAATGAGGAAAGTACACAATTTTAAAATGTCATGATAAAAAATGTAAAAGAAATCTTTTTTGTTTAGAGATTAAAAAAACAAGATCTACCTTCTATGGAGCCTTAAGCAAGTGAATAAGGTCTTCTTTAAAATGTAGCTAATGACATACATCAGCACAGCGAGAAATCAGCATTGCATCCAGGTAATGAATAATTATGTACCCTACGGTCTATCAATAACCAATTATCTGGTTATGCTAACATACCCAACCGTCATGTGCAAGTAGTTATTTAGATTTTGTAATAATTGATTATTGAATTGACTTTTACAATAATTTATCTAATTCTAACTGCTTATGCTTATGTTTTATTTTACCTTAAAGAATGAATGCATCAAATCACTTTCTTTTTTAAAAAAATAATTAAAAATTGAAATGACTTTTGCATGAAGGATATGCAGACCATTCAAAGACTGTGTAATTGATCAGAAGATTCTATAATTGTTTGCAAAAGCTAAAATTCTCCATCATCTTGACGGGAGAGCAATCAATAGCAATGACAAGCTGATGAGAATTACAAAGCACATATGTGTTGAAATTCACTTACTCTTCAGGCATTCAGGTATGTGAAGAGATTATAGAAACATGCCGATAAGAAAGAGGCCATACAATTCTGACCAGTTTCCTCCCTGCCAAATCCACACGAGTCTCTGACCAGGGGTAGCATCCCCTAGAGCAGAAACCCTGCCCTGCTCATTCTATAAAATGATCACAGGTAGAGAATTAACTTTGGACTGATGTTATAGACTGAATGTTCATGTCTCCCCCAAATTCATATGTTGAAGTCTTAACCTCCAATATGATGGTATTTGGAGGTGGGTCCTTTGGGTGGTAATTAGGGTTAGATTAGAACATGAGGGTAGGGCCCTCATGATGGGATCAGAGTCCTCATAAGAAGAGGAAGAGACACCAGAGCTCTCTCTGTGCCATGTGAAGATACAGAGAGACCGCAGCCATCTGCAAGCCAGGAAGGGAGCTCCCACCAGGAACTGAATCAGCTGACACCTCAATCTTGGACTTCAAAGGCTCATGAACTGTGAGAAATAAATTTCTGTTCCAGCTGGATGCAGTGGCTCATGCTGTTAATCCTAGCACTTTGGGAGGCCTAGGTGGGCAGATCACCTGAGGTTGGGAGTTCAAGACCAGCCTGGCCAACATGGTGAAACCCTGCATCTACTAAAAATACAAAAATTAGCCAGGTGTGGTGATGCACACCTGTAGTTCCAGCTACTTGGGAGGCAGAGGCAGGAGAATCGCTTGAACCTGGGAGGCAGAGGATGCAGTGAGCTGAGATCGCATCACTGCACTCCAGCCTGGGCAACAGAGTGAGATTGTCTTAAAAAAAAAATTCTGTTCCATAAGCCACCCAGCCTATGGTATTTTGTTGTGGCAGCCTGAGGATTTGATCAACAACTGGGTTTATCAGGGGTATTGTTTCATGACTGTACCTTTCTTCATATGCATTTCCTTCCTCATTTTTATCAGCAACCATCAGCACACCTCATCAGCAATTACAGAATATGTAAGTTGGCTTCATTACTTTATTGAATAAGTATTTTTTAGGCATATAATAATGCAGCCATCCTAGACTTAAGCTTTGATTAGGATACAAAGAGGAATGAGCACCAGTCACTGCAATTGAGATCCTAACACTTTACACCTGAGTCATAAATAAATAAATGATGTGGGCCACAAAAGGGTACTGAACTGAACAGGACCTGTGGGAACCCAAGGAGGGAGATTTCCAGAAGATTCCAGCAAGGTTTCCAAGGGAGGTGATATTTGAGTTTTACTAAGTAATAAAACTGCATGTAAAAGTTAATGTCAACACTTTAAATGTTATAGACCATAAATTATGAAAAAATTAAGCATACAGAAAATATAGAAAATACTCTAATAGACTTTCATGTATCCAAATTTAATATAGGTAAGCTTTATTTTAGATATCTCCCTGAAATAGTTGGAATGTTTCTCCCCTCCAAATCTCATGCTGAAACCTGTTCCCCAATGTTGGAATTAGGGCCTAGTGGAAGCTAGGTTATGGGGGCAGATCCCTCATGAATAGCTTGGTGCCCTCCCTATGGTAATGAATGCGTTCTCACTCTGTTAGTTTACAAGAGCTGGTTGTTTAAAAGAGGCTGGCACCTCTCTTGCTCCCTCTCTCGCCATGTAACATGTCATCTCCCCCTTTGCCTTCTGCCATGATTGGAAGCTTCCTGAGGCTTCCCCAGAAACAGATGCTGGCACCATGCTTCTTGTACAGCCTACAAAACTGTGAGCCAAATAAACGTCTTTTCTTTATTAATTATCCGGCCTGTATTCTTTTGTAGCAATGCAAGATGGAGTAATACACTCCCCTTCATTTTTTTTTAATTTTTAGAAATAAAATGCAGTAGTTACAGCTGAAGTTCCATCTTTCTTCCCTTTATCTTTTCCTTGTCCAGAGGTAATAACTATCCTGAAATGGATAGGTATCACTACACATATTTTAGAATGCTTACTGTATTGGTAAGTAATATGTATATATAATATTGTTATATGTTTTATTTTTATTTTTTTGAGGCAGAGTCTAGCTCTGTTGCCCAGGCTGGAGTGCAGTGGCATGATCTCAGCTCACTGCAACCTACATCTCGCCGGTTCAAGCCATTCTCGTGCCTCAGGCTCCCAAGTAGCTGGGATTACAGGCATGCGCCACCATGCCTGTCTAATTTTTGTAAATTATATGTATTTTGTAAATGCACATGATAGTATTCCTCTAAAACTTGCATTTTCATGTAGCCATACATTTTTGAGATGTGTTCACATGTAAATAGGTTATTCCTTCACTTTTTTTTGGAAGGGCTATGAATTAGTAATGTAATGGGCATTTATACCTAGAGAATGCTTCTTTAAGAGCACAAGGGTTATATATATATATATAGTAATTAATTACTGTATATATGTTTGTGTATATATGTGTGTATGTATGTGTGTCATAGATCATAAATCATGAACAAATTAAACATACACAATTAAGAGCACAAGGGACATATACACACACATATATATATATACACACACACATACACACACACATATATATACACTAATTAATTACTATATATATATATCCCTTGTGCTCTTAAAGAAGTATTCTCTAGGTGCCTAGAAATGGAATTTTTAAACCCCATTTTAAAGAAACTCTGTGACTGCATTTTAATTGTTTCAAGAAGGTGTTGTTCCTACCTAGGAAATTGCTTCATCATTTGAATGCAAATTGCAATAGGAACCTTGTCAGTAACAATAATAAAACAACACAATCATTAATTATTGGGGCTTCATATATGCCTGGCACTGTTACAAGTGGTGTTATAAGTGGTCATGCAATTAATTTACATGAGTTAATTACAAGAATTAATGCAAAATGTACATTTAATACACAATCATGTGGATAGTACCACTGATCCTCTAATTTTACTGGGTTGGACAGGAGTCCATCACACTCATAGGCAGGGTGGCTGAGAACAGCTAAAGCAATGGTTCTCAGACACCAATGTGCATCATTATCACGTGGAAGAATTGTTGAAACTTCTTTGCTGAGTCCCACTCCCAGACTTTCTGACTCAGTAGGCCTATGGTGGAGCTCAAGAATATTTCTTTCTTTTCTTTCTTTCTTTTTTCTTTCTTTCTTTTTTTTTTTTTTTTTTTTTTTTGAGACAGAGTCCCGCTCTGTCATCAGGCTGGAGTGCAGTGACACGATCTCGGCTCACTGCAACCTCTGCTTCCCAGATTCAAGCGATTCTCCTGCCTCAGCCTCCTGAGTAGCTGGGATTACAAGCACACACCACCACACCTGGCTAATTTTTGTATTTTTAGTAGGGACGGAGTTTCACCATATTGGCCAGGATGGTCTCGATCTCTTGACCTCGTGATCTGCCTGCCTCGGCCTCCCAAAGTCCTGGGATTACAGGCGTGAGCCACCATGCCCAGCTGAAGAATGTTAATTTCTAATAAATTCCCAGGTGAAGCTGATGCTGCTGACCCAAGGACCACACTTTGAGAACCATTGATCTAAACCATTCCCTCAGGCCCCAGCATCAATCACCACAAATCTTTAGGCATGAGCATAATGAAATCAATCAATCTTCCCTCCCTCCCTCCCGCTACCCTGCTCCTTTTCTCTCTCTCTCTCTCTCATTTTTTGCAAACATTTATTTCATGCTTACTAGTTGCACAGTACCAAACTGGGTGCTATGAAAAAAAAAATCAAATGATAAATATTGAGTAGTACATATGAAGAAAATATTTAGCGATGCTGGCAATTAATGAAAAGTTGCTGGCTTCAAGTGGATTTCACTTTATCTGAGAAGACAGTCACATGTGAAAAATTAAATAACAACTGTGATTAAATGACAAATTAAAGTTATAGAAATAACTCAGACACATCATAATAATCCTGGCTAATGAGTATACAATTCAACATTTATAAGATGCTATATTTGTTTTTCTTCTAATAAGAATATCCCAGTAGCATTTTCAAGTAGAAATGTAATAATGTGTAGGTTCAGACACTTTAACAAAGATCAACTTAATCTGGTTTAAAACAAAATAAAACTGTCTCTCATGTGACAGCCTGAAGGTAGTGATCCAGGGAGGTCCATATTTCAGCTTCTGGAAAGGGAAAAGGGAAATGCAGGTCATGCCCCCCTTTTTTATGGATTTACCTAAGAAGTTTCACACATGACTTCTGCTCACATCCCATTGGCCAGAGCTCAATCATATGACCACATCTAGATGCAAAGGAGGCTGGGAAGTGTATCTTAGCTTAGTGGCCATGTCCCCAGCCAGAACTTGGGCGTTCCCTTATCAAAGATGGAAAAGGAGAGTGGATGTTGGGGAACAACTACCATCTTTGCCTAAGAATTACTGTCCATTTTTATAGATGTAGAAAACTGAAAACAGAGAATGTAAATGACTTGCCCTTAATTACATAATCAATAACTGGTGGACTTGGAGTTGAAGTTCTGGCTTTTTTGTTTGTTCATTTTTGTTTGCTTCGTTTTAAGTCCATTGGCCTTTCCCTTCTATTAAACTCTTCAAGTGTAAAGCCATTCTATTTTAAACAATCCATAAAAGAAAATGTTGGTTTCTGTGATGGTTAATATTAGATGTCAACTTGATTGGATTGAAGGATGCTTAGATGGCTGGCAAATTGTTGTTTCTGGGTGTGTCTGTGAGGGTGTTGCCAGAGGAGACTGACATTTGAGTCAGTGGACTGGGAGGGGAAGACCTACCCTCAACGTAGTTAGGCACCAGGTAATCAGCTGCTAGTGCAGCTAGAGCAAAGCAGGTGGAAGACAGTGGGACAAGCTGGCTTGCTGAGTGTTCTGGCTTCCTTCTTTGTCCTGTGCTGGATGCTTCCTTCCGCTCCTACTGCCCTTGGACATCAGACTCCAGGTTCTTCAGTCTTCGGACTCTTAGACTTACACCCATGGTTTGCCAGGGCTCCTGGGCCTTTGGCCACAGACTGAAGGCTGCACTGTTGGCTTTGCTGCTTTTGAGGCTTTTGGACTCGGAATAAGCCACTACAACCTTCTCTCTTCCCCAGCTTACAGACAGCCTATTGTAAGATTTCACCTTATAATCATGTGAGCCAATTCTCCCTAATAAACTCATACACACACACACACACGCACACACCCTACTTGTTCTGTCCCTCTGGAGAACCCTAATACAGTTTCCTACGTACTTTTTTTTTTTACAATACTCATTGTTAGGAATATTTTTCTGGAAGTAAATTAAGTTTCCGTTTACTGCAATTTCAATCCACTCTATTTTATTTAACCAACAAAATAGAACATAAAATATTAAAGATTCACTGTCCACTTTCTGACCAGACACTAAGCTCTCACTTGACTCGTACAGAATCTAAGTGTTCATAACCTCCAGCAGACACAAGTCATCCATTGATATGAGACCAAGGAGACTGAATCTACTTCCCCATTTCAAACCCATTCCAAATAATGCTTTCTTGTCAATATCTCAGACTGTGCCATCATGACTGAGATGGTGTTTTTTTGAACGTTGATGGTTTGCAGAGCACTGTAATAGTTTATGTGTGTGAAGGTGAATGTGCAACATGACCAAACAAATCAAACATCACTCTCCTTCCAGCTAAGAGTTTTCTTATGGGGCTAATAAAAGCCACAGCTGGCCAAGATTAAAAAGTTACTCATAAGAAGGTAGTTTGAGAAAAAAGAAATGACAAACTAGGAAAATAAAAAGTTATGAGCTTTTGTAGTATGAAAATAGATTTAATTAAGAATATTTAGGTCAGGCACAGTGGCTCATGCCTGTAATCCCAGCACTTTGGGAGGCTGAGGTGGGTGGATCACTTGAGGTCAGGAGTTTGAGACCAACCTGGCCAATATGGTGAAACCCCATCTCTACTAAAAAAAAAAAACAAAAAACAAACAAAAAAAACTAGGTGAGCGTGGTGGCACATGCCTGTAATCCCAGCTACTTGGGAGGCTGAGGCAGGAGAATTGCTTGAACCTGGGAGGCGAAGGTTGCAGTGAGCTGAGATCTGCCACTACACTCCAGCCTGGGTGACAGAGCAAGACTCTGTCTAGAAAGAAGAAGAAGAAGAAGAAAAAAAGAAAGAAAGAATAGATAATCTGAAATTGTGTTACAACCAGATTTGAACCCAATAATAATTTTCCTAACAATGTTGGCCAGGCTGGTCTTGAATTCCTGGCCTCAAGTGATCTGCCTACCTCAGCCTCCCAAAGTGCTAGGATTACAGGTGTAAGCCACTGCACCTGGCCCCAATGATTTTTAAAAATACATTTGGGTCATTTCCCAACCAATAGGTCAACACGAGTTCAGATGATTTGGTGAAGGTATTGACTCTTTCAACCTTTAATAAAAAGTGTTCAATGATAGTCTTATTAAGCTACCACGAATGAAAATAAAACATAAAAATGAGAAAGAAATTAGGAAAACAGTAACATAAAACTAAAAAAATTATTGATACAATTGTGTGATATTCATATATAGTCATTCATGGATATATTCAACATTTTCCTGGCCCATACAAGAATTGCAACAGGATTCACCTTATTCTTATGACATTTTACAGTTTAAAAAGTTTTTCATATAATTATTTTATTTGACATGAGGATGAATCAGATAGATAGCAACTCAACTCAGGAGATTATGGTGGAATAGAGGATGTGAGAGTAATATGCAAATAACGGTAATATACAGTCATACATCACATAAGCACATTTTGGTAAATGATATGCCACAAATATGACAGTGATCGCATAAGATTATAATGGAACTGCTCTATACAGATGTGCCATTAAAAATTTTTATACTGTATTTTTACTGTACCTTTTTTATGTTTAGATATGTTTAGATACACAAGTACTTACTACCGTGCTACAATTACCTACAATATTCAGTACAGTAACATACTGTACAGTTTGTAGCCTAGGAGCAATAGGCTATACCATATAACCTAGGTGTGCAGGAGGCTATGCTTGTATGATACACTCTATGATGGTATCACCTAATGATGAAATCACCTAACGATGTTTTTCTAAGAATGTATCTTTGTCATTAAGTGATGCATAATTGTAATAGAAAAAGTGGTGAATATCATCAGGGAAGTTGCAAGGCAATTCCGAGAAGGGAGCAATGGTTTTTCGTTGAGGAGGAGGGAGAGAGTGTGTCTTTGATACACAAGTGATACTTCTATCTGCTATACTCTGTTCCAAGCATCAGCACCCCTCAGCAGGATGATTGCAACAGCCGCTTAACTCGTCTCCATACATGCCCTTAACTTTACTCCACTCCTGCCCTTTGATGTTCTTTTCTGTTTTGCAAGGGACTGGAACCCTGAAAACTACATTTCCCAGACTCCCAGCTGTTCTCTGGTTAGATTCTGCTAGTAGGAAGCACTGGCTGGAGATTAGAATATGCTCTTATTTAATTATCTACTCTGAAAGCTAACCATTGGCATTAGGTGAGGATCTCTGCCTTTATGAGCTTTTCCTAAACAAAGCTGGACTTCTTAAGCAAAGCTTACTTTTACTATGGCAGAGAAAACAACAACAACAACAACAAATGGTTAAGCTGAAGTTTGCTTTCAGGTCCCTGGCATTCTTTTTTAGCTTTATCTTACTCTTCCATCAAACCTCCTCAGTTGGCAACTAATGCTTTACTTTTGCCTACCTGAAGAAAAATAGCTCATAAACATATTGAGTCTAGTAAGGCCCAGGAAGGGGCAGTGCTAGTTCATTCAGAGTCTTTGCATGCAGTGGAAAAGGCTGCCTTCTTCCATTAAGACAAAGCCCTAGGACAGGCTCACAGTTTGGCAAGGGGAGCACAGGCTGTATTTTGACCTCCTCCTACCTGCTTAGTCAGGTGTCTTTGCTCAGTGGACAATCTGCAGAACTGTATATAGCTGGTCAAGACAATACCTCAGACCTACTCACTGGAGTTCACCACTGGGGACTTTGTTCCTACCACTGAGATCTTCCCTTAAGACCATTACTGGTGCCATTTCATAGATGCCCAACCATCCATTTCCCTACTTATTCATTCATTAATTATTAAGGCAGGGTCTTGCTCTGTTGCTCATGCTGGAGTGCAGTGGTGTGATCATAGCTCACTGTAACCCCAAATTCCTGGCCTCAAGTGATCTTCCCACCTCAGTCTCCAAGTAGCTAGAACTACAGACAATCACCATCACGCCCAGCTAATTTTTTAATTTTTTTTTTTAGACGGAGTTTTGCTCTTGTTGCCCAGGATGGAGTGCAATGGTGCCATCTTGGCTCATTGCAACATCCGCCCCCGGGGTTCAAGCGATTCTGCCTCAGCTTCCCAAGTAGCTGGGATTATAGGCATGTGCCACCACGCCCAGCTAATTTTTGTATTTTTAGTAGAGACGGGGTTTCTCCATGTTGGTCAGGCTGGTCTCAAACTCCCAACCTCAGGTGATCTTCCCACCTCGGCCTCCAAAAGTGCTGGGATTACAGGCATGAGCCACTGTGCCCAGCCTTAATTTTTCAATTCTTTTATAGGGACAGGATCTTGCTATGTTGCCCCAGCTGGACTCAAACTCCTGGCCTCAAGCAATCCTCCTGCCTCGGCCTCCTAAAGTGCTGGAATTACAGTCATGAGCCACTGTGCCCGGCCTCATTAAATATTATTAAATGTCTGCTCTGCACTTGGTTCTATTCCAGACTCTGGAAACTAGAAGCAGACCTTAAGATGATGACAACACAGTGACCAGAGTTAGAGTCAAGCTTTCCAGAGAAGTTAACCTTCACACCTAGCAATGTTGGGGAAATGGGTTCTGTGTTCCAATTTGGAATGGCAGTTTTATTCTTTCCTTACTGGGGCCTCCATTTTCCTTTACCCTTGTCTTCAGGGCTTGCCGTCAGCTGTTAATGGTGACTGTCTTGGCTTGAGGTTCCATTGGACTGGGTCTGGAGGGCTGACATTCAGAGTAGGGAGTTTAGGGGATGGGAAGGTGATCTTCTGGCCATTTGAACCCTGGGGATATGCTTTTAATCCTGACTTGATGCCCTCTCTGCTACCTTACTTTTCTTTTGCATGCCCCGGGGCCTCATGGTTTGCTTCGTTTTCCACCATCTACAGCTTCTGAATGGTTTTTCTCTCCCTTCCCTGCCCTGTGAAGGAACAGAACATGAGCTTAGAGCATCTCTCTTATCCTTCTTTCACTTGGTAAGCAGTCAGCTCTTCTGACACTTCTGAGGGACACATAGAAGGTTCAAATGCCCACCTTCCCATCTGCTTTTCAGGACAACTACAGATAGGCACGTAGGATATGGGGGGGTCTTTTGTCAAAAAGAAAACTGAGGGAAGAGAATCCACAGGTAAGTTCCCATAGGTTATCTCCCATAAAGCCTCACAATAAGCAGGCTAAGATGGACATTCTCTTCATTTTTCAGCAAGTGAAGAAACCTGCCTGGACCTACAGAGCTGGACTTGAACCTGATCTAACTACATTACCTTACACTCTCTCCCCTTTAGAAACTGAAGACCTAAGGGAGAAAGCTTCTTACACAGCTGGCACAGCACACTAAATCGTCACAACCCTATGAGGTACATATCACTATTAGCTCATTTTACAGATGAGGAAACTGAGGCACTAAATAATTACTTTACTTGCCCACAGTCACAGGGTTTTTAAGTGGTAGAGGAGGGATTCCAATCTAGGCAGTCTTCAAAGCCTGGACTATTCACCATTGTCTTCTGGGCAAAAGAAGGTGCCTCAGCCACATTCCTGAAGTGTTCCTGTACCCCTGTTTGTCTTGAAGTAATGTTCGCCTGGGTCAGGAGCCACTTCTGTAAAGTTACCAGATAACTCTGGGCTCCTGGGAACAAGAGAAAAAGCAGGCTGTGGTAAGATTTGGGCTCTCAGTTGTCCCTGGCTTTGCTGTACAGGGACTATTATATTAGTCAAGGTTCTCCAGAGAAACAGAACCAATAGGAGAGAGAGAGAGAGAGAGAGAGAGAGAGAGAGAGAGAGAGAGAGAGAGATTATGGGAATTGGCTCACACTATTACGGAGGCCAATACATCCCATAATCTGCTACCTGCAAGCAGGAGAACCAGGAGAGCTAGTGATGGGCCTCCCAGTCAAGTCTGAAGGCCTGAGAACCAGGAGGTCCTATGTCCAAGGACAGGAGAAAACAGATGTTCTGGCTCAAAAAGAGAGTAAATTCAGCTTCCTTTATCCTTTTATTCTATTTGGGCCCTCCATGGATTGGATGATGCCCACCAACATTGGTGAGGACCATCTTCTTTATTCAGTCCACTGATTCTAATGCTCATCTCATCCAGAAACACCCTCCCAGACACACCCAGACATAATGTTTATCAGCTATCTGGGTACCCTTTAGCCTAGTCAAGTTGACCCATAAAATTAATCATCACAACTTTTCCAGGCAACCACCCAGTTGTTTGATGACAGTTTCTCTTAGGCACATCAGATGTAAAAGCCAAAAGGCTGGGTCCACTACATTATTTGTGGGGCTTAATGTAAAATAAAAATGTAGGTCCCCTTATTCAAAAAGTAAGAAAAGAGTGCCAATAAACATATTAAAATATAAGGCCATTTCCTGTCTTTCTTTAAATTGCTTGCAAAAACCTTACCAAATCTCTTTCTATTGTGCAATTGTAAATGCTAGTATAAGAGCATTTCATTCATATGTGGAATCACAGATATTACACAATTTGTATTTTGCGGCCCATACATGCACATGTGTCTTGTTCTTATTACAACAGTGGAATTGTTGCACAAAATTAAACTAACTCAACTGTTTTTATTTTGCTTCTTGATGTGCATACTTGTTTTTGTTGTTGTTGTTGTTGCTTTTGAGACGGAGTCTCACTCTGTTGCCCAGGCTGGAGTGCAATGGCGCGATCTCAGCTCACTGCAACCTCCACTTCCTGGGTTCAAACAATTCTTCCACCTCAGCCTCCCAAGTAGCTGGGATTACAGGCACCCGCCATCATGCCCGGCTAATTTTTGTATTTTTGTAGAGATGGGGTTTCACCATGTTGGTAATGCTGGTCTTGAACTCCTGACCTCAGGTGATCCGCCCACCTTGGCCTCCCAAAGTGCTGGGATTACAGGTGTGAGCCACTGCGCCTGGCCGCTGTGCATACTTTTACCAACACTGTGGAAGCTGGTGGCTTCCATAATTCACTATCTTGTACTCACTTTGAGTCTTGCTGACTTCCGACAGATCGTGGGTTTGAAATTCTGTGTGAATGGATGGCGAGAAACTGTGGGCACATATTAATATATTATGCATATCTCCTCTGCTCACACTCACACTCCATTGTCCCATCGGATTTCAATTACAAAACTCAAGTTCAAAGGTAAAGTTATTCAGAATTTCAAGATGGTGACAGCAGAGCATTACACCAAGCAGGAAGCCCTTTCTAGCCTGGGGCCCATGAAGCCAGTCCTGCCAAAGGGGACCGAAAAGATTTCACTGGAGCTCAACCTTTCATTTTGGTGGGAATGCCCAAGCCAGATCAGAATTAGGTGAGCCTTGAGCCTCTAACTGAAATGCATGACATTCCTAATTACACAATTCTAAAATTCAGAGCTGAAAAGGGCATTATTTAGCTATGGGTTTGTTTGTGGGTATTTTTTTGTAACGAAACCTACATTTTGAAACCTAGGAAAACACATAAAATACTGTAATAAACATCATTTCACTCCAGAACCAATCATTGTTAACATTTTGCTTCTTTTCTTCATAGTTCTTTTTTTTTTTTTTTTTTTTTTTTGAGTTGGAGTCTCTCTCTGTCACCTGAGCTGGAGTGCAGTGGTGCGATCTTGGCTCACTGCAGCCTCTGCCTCCTGGGTTCAAGCGATTCTCCTGCCTCAACCTCTTGAGTAGCTGGGACTGCAAGTGCGTGGCACCACACCTGGCTAATTTTTGTATTTTTCGTAGAGACGGGGTTTTGCCATGTTGGCCAGGCTGGTCTCAAACTCCTGATCTCTAGTGATTTGCCCACTTCAGCCTCCCAAAGTGCTGGGATTACAGGTGTGAGCCACCGTGCCTGGCCCTTTTTTATTTAAATAATAGAACTGAGACATTTTAGGTAAAACTGAAGCCTCCTTCATCTTCCACCCCTAATCAGATTCCACAGTTCCTTCACCAGAGGCAGCCACTACCATGAATTTGGTGTATATTTTTCCAGGTCACTTAAATACTATAATGCTTTACTTGAATATACAGTATCCATAAACAAGACAGATATTTTTGAATGTAAGTTTGTTTCTTTTCTTTTAAGTTACATACAGTGGCATCTTCTAGTACAAATTGTTCTGTAACTTGCTTTTATTCTCATGCAACATTATATTTTTAAGATCTACCTATCTTAATATGTAGGATTAGTTTATTCCTATGAAATGGTTATAGTGCATTTTATGAATATGCCACATTTTATTTACCCGCTTAGCCTGGTGGACATGTAGTTGTTTCCAGTTGTTCACTATTATAAACAATGCTGCAATGAACTTTCTTTTTTTTTTTTTTTCTTTGAGACAGGGTCTCATTCTGTTGCTTAGCCTGGAGGGCAGTGGTGCAATCATAGCTCACTGCAAGCAGCCTCAACCTCCTGGACTCAAGGGATCCTTGTGCCTCAGCCTCCAATAGGTGGGACTATAAGTGTGCACCACTACACCGGGCTAATTTTGTGTATATGTGTGTGTGTGTGTGTGTGTGTGTAGATGACGTCTTGCTATGTTGCCCAGGCTGGTCTCAAACTCCTGGCCTCAAGTGATCCTTCCACCTGAGCTCCCAAAGTGCTAGAGTTACAGGTATGAGCCACTGAGCCTGACCTGCAACGAACATTTTTGTGTGGGAGTTCTAGTGCACATATGAGAGAGTTTCTCTAGGACAGTACTTGCTGTGTGCCAAATTGCTCTCCAAAAAGATTGTAGCAATGTGCATGTCCACTGGCTGAGTACGAAAGTTCTCATTTCACTGCATCCTTGACAGTGCTAAATAATACCTATTTCTTTTTTCATTCTTGACCTTCACGTTTTATAGCCTTGAGACTTGGGCAGAAACAGTTCTAGAACCCAGGACTCATTTCCAGCCTAGGGCTCAGCAGTTGATTCAAATATTAAACTATCATGCTCTTTTCC
Source organism: Homo sapiens (assembly GCF_000001405.40). Taxonomy (NCBI): domain Eukaryota; kingdom Metazoa; phylum Chordata; class Mammalia; order Primates; family Hominidae; genus Homo; species Homo sapiens. The sequence continues at coordinate 93,659,730 of NC_000012.12, forward strand.
CGCTACCTTCCACAAAATTTTCAGAAACATTCTATGGTAGTTGCCAAAGTTGTAGGCCTGGGATTTGGGTTGTGCCCTGACAACCTACCCTGTATTGTATATATTGTAAATGTTCTGTGTATTTTGATGTTTTGATATCTTAAGAACCCTTTCTAGGTGAGGAGAGACTGCCCCTCCCGGTGCTAGCCAATTCTTACAGATAGCAAAGAGCCAAGATAGGAGCATGGCTTTGGTAGGCAAACTAATCAGTGCAGAGCCATGCCTTCTCCATTAGGATGCACAACCCAGCAGACAATATTCCTCTCTCTCAGTCCTCCCAGGGCCAGGTGCCAGGCAGCTAAAGACCACTCTCTTAGAGTTTAAGAGCCCACTGAAATTATACAAACTAGCCAATCCTAAACCATTCACCCTGCCCTATCTTGCCTTTCTTGCAGAAACTCCAATAAAGGCAGTGGCCTAATGTTCTCCTCTAGCTCTTGTCTTTTGCCTCCTGCCTACCCTGGCGCCTTTCCCACCTGGCTCTGTGTGGCATGCTGTGTCTCGAGGACTTGTGAGTATAATTAACTTTTTTTTTTTTTTTGAGACAGGGTCCCACTCTGTTACCCAGGCTGGAGTGTAGTGGCGCGATGATGGCTCACTGCAGCCTCGACCTCCTGTGTGCAGGTGATCCTCCTCCCACCTCAGCCTCCTGAGCAGCTGGAACTATAGGTGTGGGCCACCACGGCTATTTTACTTTTTATTTTTTGGATTTTTTTAGAGATGGGGTTTCGCCATGTTGTCCAGGCTGGTCTCAAACTCCCAGGCTCAAGCGATCCACCTGCCTTTGCCTCCCAAAGTGCTGGGATTACAGGTATGAGCCACTGTGCCAGGTCATAAACTTCATTTTCCTGAGCCTCTCCTATGTCACCTCTTGGGGGTGCCCCTGAAAGGCAATCTCATAAAAGAATAAAAATAACCCCTACCCCAAGTCTGGCAGTAGAGGGGACCTAGCCAGTCTTATCTTTTGTCTCAAAAACCTCCAGGAAAACATGACTTCTTATCTTGTGTTTTCCTATGTGCATATGAGGACTTGCGGCAAAGTATCGGGTGAAATCATATACAGGATATAAGTACTGTTATTTGGAGGGTCTGAAGCACTTTAAGACAAGACTGGGGATAAAATTCAAGGAATAGTTGAATCAAAAACAGATTAATCAGAAGAGGTGCAGAGTATTATGAATGCAATCAAGGAGAAAGATTGTTTGGAGAGAAATGCTAAACAATTCAAGTCTGGAAGGTTGACGTGATTCCGCTGTTATGAAAATAGGGGGTGCGCTTTTATAGATCAACACACTTCTATGCAAATCATGTATCACTCTACAGAACTCATTGTTCAAAAATAATATGAAAAGAAATCCTCCTTCCTTCACCTTTGTCCCAGGGGACATTCTGTTGGCTAAAAGAATAGGTCTTCACAGAGGTTTATCAGCACGAATTAAAGCTTGGGTTTTTTCCCTGAGGGCCATGAGAACTGGAATTTGGCCCTGCATTTATGAATAATGCAAAGAGATGCTAGGGAAAGAGCAGCATGGTGGGAGGATCTCTGTCTATCCACACTCCTCGATTTTCTCCTTTACTTAATCCAGACCTTGTTTGTTTACAAGCAAGCTAATTAGCCTTTAAGACTTGCAATCCTCATCTGAAAATGAGGATGATGATAATTCTGACTTCACAGGACTGTTGTGACTACTGAAACAGATCATGCATTCGAAGTGCCTAGCATATAGAAGGCACTTGATAAATGCCAGCCCTTCCTCTTATTAGTTTCTACCCTCTTTGAATTCTTAAGAGGCTTTTCATTGAGAGCCTCATAATTTAGTAGCTGATTGCATACTGTCTTATACAGTTTGCTATTGTTTCTCCTAAGTTAATCTTATCTTTCTTATGCCTCGTAGAACTTATGAAGGAGATACTGTAAGATCTAAACCCGCTGCTTTACAGTGTATGCAATGTGTGCACAGATATTCTTTTACATATCTTTTGATTCCTCCACTTGCTCGGCCCACAGCTGAACATGGACGAGGCACACTACAGTCCGTATTAACTGATTGATGGCTCTTTGTCACAAAGGCGAATCCCTCCAGAACTTTTTTCAATGATTGGGAATCAGAGACTTTCACTTTGAAGAAAGAGCACAGTGCATTTTCAACATCCTAAGAGAAAGCTCTCACCTTGAGAATTTTCAGTCTGCTAGATTAAATACAAAATGATTATGAATTCTTCTTCATGGGAGCACGGTGGTAAAGTTAAAAAGCACCTGTGGCACACTGTTCTTTTTTGAAGAGGAAAACACAGGGCTGTAATGGTACGGCAGAGCCCATTGCTAAGCAACAGAACCAGGTCTAGACTGCACAGGAGCAAAAATTCTTCTTTGTTCAGTATAATGAAGAATTTTTAAATGGAAAATGCTTAATAGATTTCTAGCAGCAACAATACTCCTTATGATTTTCTAAAGTACTAATCAGCAGTTGATATCTAACTTTCATGGGAGTCTCTGACAGTAGCTCACTGTTTTGTTTTCTAAATGAAACACTTCAACAAGAAGGTTTCAGATCATCAATTTTATAAAAGGCATGGATCTAATGTATGGATTAGAAGTCACCTGTCCCTGTGTTTTAGTTTAAATTCAGGATTATAAAAATCCATCTCAAGTAATGTCAATACCCGTTAATGTTGATGAAACTATGTTGTTTGTTGGCATAACTTGAAATGAGCAGCATCTGGGAACCTGTTAGAACTGCAGATTATTGGCAGGGCATGGTGGCTCACACCTGTAATCCCAGCATTTTAGGAGGCTGAGGTGGGCGGATCACTTGAGGTCAGGAGTTGAAGACCAGCCCGGTCAACATAGTGAAACCCCTTCTCTACAAAAATACAAAAATTAGCCGGATGTCATGCCTGGTGCCTGTAATCCCAGCTACTTGGGAGGCTGAGGCAGAAGAATCACTTGAACCTGGGAGATGGAGGTTGCAGTAAACTAAGACCATGCCATTGCACTCCACCCTGACCAACAAGAGCAAAACTCAGTCTCAAAAAAAAAAAAAAGAAAGAAATGCAGATTATCGAGCCCCATCCTTGGCCTACTGAATCAAACACTCTGAAGACGGGTTCAGTGCTTGGTGCTTTCTGGGGCTCTCCAGGTCATTCCTCTATAGTTCAGAGTTTGAGAACCACTGAGTTAAGGGATTGGGATCACTGTGTGAGACACGAAGAAGCAGAGAGTAACGAGTTAGGTCCTGTTTGGTACTAGTGAGCCCTGGGAATCAGTGGAACTCCCGAGCCATTTGGAACTGGGGAAGAAATCTGTAGTGGTAACTCAGACAGCATGCAGAAAATAGCATATGAAATGGAGATGCTTCACAGTAGCCTTCACTTCCTGCTGAAATTGGATCTGTCTGTAAACACTGTCTGGGATGGTTAATTTTAGGTGTTGACTTGACTAGCTGAAGGAATACCTAGAAACTGGGTAAAGCATTATTTTTGGGTGTGTCTGAGCACATTTCCAGAGGAGATTAGCATGTGTGTCTGAATAGACTAAGTGGGGAAGATCTGCCCTCAATGTGGGTGGGCACCATCTACTCTACTAGGGCCCTGGAGAGAACAAAAACAGAGAAAAGAAGAACATGTCCATCTCTCTGCTGGGGCTGGGGTACACTCTTCCTCTCCTGGCCTTGGACAACAACTCTGGGCTCCCTGGCCTTTGGATTTCAGGACTTACATCAGCAGCCCCGCCAGGCTTTCAGGCATTTGGCCTTGGACTGAGAGTTACACAATTGGCTTCCCTGGTTCTAAGGCCTTTGGACTTGGACTGAGCCATGCTGTCAACATCTCAGGTCTCCAGTTTGTGAATGGCCTGTCATGGGACTTCTTAGCCTTCATAATTGCAGAGCCAATTTCCCTAATAAATCCTCTGTCATATATCTATATCTCTTATTAGTTGTGTTTCTCTAGAGAACCCTAATGCACCTCCCAATTGTCTCCAAACAATTAAAAAAGGGCACTATTTTAAATGGTCATTTGTCTGTCGAGTATTTACTGGGTAACTCCTATGGGCCAGGCATCACGGTAGGCATTACAAACAATTGTTTGTAATAAATATATAGTGTTTTGCCGAGTCAGCGGTAATATGCTTATGCAGAGTTGAAGAAGAGGGATATTTCTTGAAAACTGGAAATTATACAGATTAAAGGAATAGTGAATAGGAATATAAACAGCTAAAGATATAGAAATATAGTTAGTGAAGTTTCTATTCCTGTGGCCAGATTAAAGATGGCCACAAATTCTTTGATGTCAAATAATTCCTGCATTGAGAGGTGGGATATATTTCCCGCCTCCTTGGACCTGAGCTGTGACTTCTTTAACAAGTAGAGTATGACAGTTTCAGGCCTAGGCTTGCAAGAATACCAGCAGCTTCTTCCTTGTTCCCTTGGAGCCCTGAGCTGCCAAGTAAGGCATTAGACTACTGTATTAGTCTGTTCTCACACTGCTGATAAAGACATACCCGAGACTAGGTGATTTATAAAGAAAAAGAGGTTTAATGGACTCACAGTTCCATGTGGCTGGGGAGACTTCACAATCATGGTGGAAGGCGAAAGGCGCATCTTACATGGTGGCAGACAAGAGAGAATGAGAGCCAAGCAAACGGGGAAACCGCTTATAAAACCATCAGATCTCGTGAGACTTATTCACTACCACGAGAACAATATGGGGGAACCTTCCCCTATGATTCAGTTATCTCCCACTGCATCCCTCCCACAACAGATGGAATTATGGGAGCTACAATTCAAGATGAGATTTGGGTGGGGACACAGTCAAACCATGTCAACTACCCTGCTGGAGAGGGCAGGTGAAGTGCCCTGAGACTACATGGATAATGAGAGGAGTCTTGCTGAGCTCAGCCTTTCATTGTCCTTGCCAAAAAGCCAAGCTTGGGAATGAAGCCAGATGAACCATCAGATGACTACCACCAAGTAACACCAGTCAACACCATATCGAGCAGAAGAGTCACCCAGCCAAACCCTGACCACATTTCCAACCTGCAAAGTTGTGAAATATAGTAACTTTGTTGTTGTTTGAAGCCACTAAATTCTGGGGCAGTTTGTTATGAAGCAATGGATAGCCCTGCACTTTAAACCATTGCTGACAGAGATGGAAAATGACCTAACATGAGTAAAGCCGTCAGACATGGACTCATGTAGAACTACAAAGTGTAAGAAAGAAAAGCAAAACCAGGACAATGCAGATGAGGACCAGATTAGAACAGGCCACTCCTGAGTTAGGGTGTCTCCCAAAACCCAGTGAGAAGACACAAGAAGTCAACATCAGAATCACACTATTTTTACAACTATACAGCAAAATTGTTAAGAGTGCAGGGTATGCAGTCAGGCCAACTTGGCGTTAGAGCCCAGTGCCACCATTACTGGCTGCATGCTTAGAAGAGAAACTTGACCATGCTAAGATCCAATTTACTCTAGGGCATGTAGTAGTACCTGTCTGTTGTGAAGATTAAATCAGATAATCTGCATACAAGTGCTTTATCAGAATACCTGGCTATGCAGGTTCTAGGTCTGCTTGACCTTGAATGTATGCCTTGTCTTTCCCCTGACTTGCTCTGCATGCCGAGTTTCCTGGGCTGTGTGTTGTCTGATTTCCAGTTGGGTTCAGCCAAGAGGAGGCAACAGCAAAATATTGGAGAGCCAAGGAAGAGAGAGAAGCCTAGCTGTTATACCCTGAATCTCTTCTAGCCTTTTGTTGTTGTTCATTTTGTATCTGTTTTCTTCTGACTTTTGTTTTCCTCATCAACCTTTTTTTTCTCTCTTTTTTTTCCTGAAGGTATAGTTCATTGCCTATCCTAGCTCTATACAAGATGGTCTCCAATTCAGCTTCCCAACCTCCATGAGTCCAGGGCTTTACTTCCAGCCTTCCTCTCCCCCTACTCCCACTCTGCTACCCACTTCACCCACTGCTGCTAAATTTTTAGCCCTATAATTTGTAGGTGAGTATCAGGTGTACAAGGCTCAGCCACCTCCCTGGACTCATGCACCCACTCTGGTCATGGCCTCAGAGCAATTTTCTTATTTTTTGTAGGCTTATGCATTCATAAAAGAGTAACTTTTATATTTTATCTTGCATTTTTAACATTGTGTAGCATTAGGTTGCAGGATCTCTTATCCACCATGTTGCCAGAGATGTTGAAACTATTTTTTATAGTATTAAGCATTTAGTAAACTCTATTATGTTTTTCCAGGCTTTTGGTCATTTTGATAAATTTCTTCTTTATTTGTAAAAGTTTCTGCTATCGTTTGAATATTTGTGTTCCATCAAAATTCCTATGTTGAAATTGAATCCCCAATGTGATGGTATTAGGAGGTGGAGCCTTTGGGAGGTGATTAGGTCATGAGGGCGGAGCCCTCATGGAGGGGATTAGTGTCCTTATAAAAGAAGTCCCAGAGAACTAGTTCATCCCCTCTACCATGTAAAGACACAGTAAGAAGGTGACATCTCTGAGCCAGACAGCAGGCCTTCCCCAGACACCAAATCTGCCAGTGCCTTAATCTTGAACTTCTCAGCCTCTAGACATGTGTGAAATTAAATTTTTGTTATTTACAAGTCATCAAGTTCATGATATTTTGTTATAGCTGTCCAAATGAACTAAGATAGCTCCAAATTAAAATAAATGCTTTATATATAATTAAAAGGAGTTATCTCAAGCAGGCAGATGCTTGCAGTCATTTTTCTGTTGTCTGGGGTAGCTGTTGGAATTCTGGGTGACATGGCTCTTTATATAGAACTATCCCTTGGATTACAGGCCATTTATACTAACATTCTTGTCCACTAGACACCAAATGCCAGGAGATTTCTCTAATCATTATGACAACCCCCCAAAAAATCTTCATACATTTCCAAATGTCGGCACTTCCTGTTGAGAGTCACTAGGGAAAAAAGCACCCATTGACAGTGTCCATCTGCAGGACTTTTACTGTTCAAATGCGCCATATGTTACAGTTCCACCTGTGACAATTTTTGAAGAGATCATTGATCATAAATGTATAGTAATTTTGTCTTGTTTTGTTTTTCCTGGAGACATTAAGGTGAAACGATGCCTACTGCTCATTATATGGGCGACTGGTCTCTTCGAAAAATGTTTTATAAAATATAAGGTCCAGAAAAAATATGTCCACATCAATATCATAAACTTGGCATCATTTTGAAAGTTTGAGATCAGGTGTGTTAACTCAGTTAAGATGATTGTAAGGACCACTGCTGAGATTCAGATTGAAAACTAAATTTAGGGCCGGATGCGGTGGCTCACGCCTGTAATCCCAGCACTTTGGGAGGCCAAGACGGGTGGATCACTTGAGGTCAGGAGTTCGAGAGCAGTCTGGCCAACGTGGTGAAACCCGGTCTCTACTAAAAAAAAAAAAAAAAAAAAAATCAGCCAGGCGTGGTGGTGCATACCTGTAGTCCCAGCTACTTGGGAGGCTGAGGTGGGAGAATTGCTTCAACCAGGGAGGCGGAGGTTTCAGTGAGCTGAGATTGTGCCATTGCATTCCAGCCTGGGCAACAGAGCAAGAATCCGTCTCAAACAAAAAAAAAAAAAGAAAGAAAATTGAATTTGGTAAACAATGTAATTTCATTCTATAGGCTACTAGCCCCTCAACCACAAGTCACTTTACCTCTCTGTGCCTCACTGTTCCCTTTCATAAAATTAGGTGCCATTTCTTAGTTCTTTTCCATTTCCAGAATTCTGTGATTATATTATGGTGCACATTCTATGTAATAGTTTGTATTTTTTTCAAAGAGATATCATATATACTAGCTCACTTGATCCTTACAAGAACCCAATCCTTCTGTATGTAAAAAGAAAATTTTGTCAAGTATCAACTTTGGAGGCCTGAATCTTAGAAAATGTGTAATAATCATTGTACAGGTTCAGCAGGACACTCAGATATTTATTAATTAACTAACTGAAGAAATGCTGTTTTGGCTAATGTCTTGCTGTGCTCACAGCATATGCGTCATGGGAAGAATGCTCTTGTATAGCCAAGCTTTGATGTCCATGTGCTCTCAAAGGAAACCACACAAATGCTGCAGCCTTTTAGGGGAGAGCCATGGGGCTCTACATTGAGGCTAAGCTGCCCTGACCTTACTTTGCTGGATGAGTGTTCTAGGGAATCTGGCCAATCTGAAAGGAACATTCATATTAATATGGTAATAAAAAGCTTGGGACTCTGGAATAAGCCTGACTTTTATTTGAATCCTGGCTTTGCCACTTAACTAGTTATAGTTACTTTATAAGGCTGTACAAGGATGGAATTAAATTCAGTGAGCTAATATGTGAAAAAATGTCCAGTTTCTGGCATGTAATAAATGTTCAATGATTGTTAACTAAAAAATATTAGGGTGGGAGCTGTCAAAGGAAATTGGATAATTTAAATTTAGTCTCAATGAATCTATTACTTACATAAAAACTGTGTTGTTCTGCATTCTGCTCATCTTTCACGTTCAAATACACATTAGGCTTATTCACTAATTGATTCATTAATTTCTTAATTCAATGACTATTTATTGAGCACCTATTATGTGTCAAACTCTATTATAAATAAACACTGGAAATGCAGAAGCAAACAAGACATTAAGAGTCCCTACTCTTATGGACGTGCATTTTAATGGGGAGTGACAGAAAATATCCTCCTTCCCAATAAAAAAACAAACAAATAAGAAAATTAACTGGTAATGATAAATGCTAAGAAAAACATGAAATTAGGCAATGTGATAGACTCTGGGGAGCAATTTTAGATTGGGTGTTCAAGGAAGGCCTCTCTATGGATGAAAAGATGAAGCAAAGTTCCGGGGTCCAAGCAAGATATGATGTAGAAGAGAGTAGAGGTGGTTAGGATGGAGAGAGGCGAATGGGTTAGGGGATGATGTAGAGGAAGAGCAATAGTACTTATTGATGGGTCGGACAGTAGGTGTGAGGGACAGAGAGGAATTAAGGAGGAGCCCTGAAGTCTTTGACTTGAGTGGATGGTGGTACCATTTACAGAAGTGGAGCAGGCTGAGTAGAGTAAATTGGGAGTGAGAGGATCAGGAGTCTGGTTTGGGAAAGATTAAGTTTGAAGTGCCTATTGAACTCCAGTGGAGGTGTCAAGTAGACAACTGGATACACAAGGTCATAGCGAAACATTTGGGGGATTTTTGCCTTTAGATAATATTTAATGGAGTGGGCGGGATGAGAATGGTTAGGGGAAAGAGCACACTCTCACTTCTCGACAATGGGAGTTAAAAAAGAGAAGAGGTTCCTGGTATATTCTTACATTTTCAGGTATCTATGACTCATAACAAAAGCTTACAGTAATAAAATACAGTCCTCATAGAATTACCCACATGGAAATAAATTGATAGGAAATTCTGGCCTTTTCACATTCTTTAGTATACATGAATGGGAATCAGAAATAAGTCGGATTGTAATACACTAGTCATTCTTTGACCCACATTTTTGACTGCCTACTGCTAGGCACTGTATGTAAAAGGAAATCAATAGCACAGTCATGTTGTTGGTCAAACATTTACTGAGCACATGCTGTGTGCATAGTACCAGATGAGTCGGGTAGAGACTAAAAAATGGAAAATTAATTTTCTGCCCCAAGAAAAAGCGGTCTAAATTAGGGATGGAGTACAAACCACTCAAAAGTTTAAAGAAGAGTATGTTTCCTTTTCCTTCCACATATCTGATGTTCTTAGGCCACTAGGAGTTCTTGCACTGCTATAAAGAAACACCTGAGACTGGGTAACGCATAAAGAAAAGAGGTTTAATTGGCTCACAGTTGCACAGGCTGCTAAGGAAGCATGATGCTGGCATCTGCTCAGCTTCTGGGGAGGCCTCAGGAAACTTACAATCATGGCAGAAGGCGAAGGGGAAAGAGGCACATCTTATGTGGCCTGAGCAGAAGCAAGGGGTGTGGGGTAGGTGCCACACACTTTTAAACAACCAAATCTCGTGATAACTCACTCACTATCATGAGAACAGCAGCATGGGGGAATTCCACCCCCATGATCCAATCACTTCCCAACAGGCCCCACCTCCAACACTGGGTATTACAGTTTGACATGAGATTTGGGCAGGGACACAGATCTAAGCCATATCAGGCAGTATGTTTCCTTCCACATATCTGATGTTCTTAGGCCACTAGGAGAAACCCGTTTGTGCCGAATGGATTTGGTGAGGTAGGCCACAGTCCATAACTCCTTCTGTCTTTTCCCCTCCCTTCCACTTCTTGACAATGGGTGGGCTTCTCTGAGTAAAGAGAAGTGTATTTCAGCCCATATTTTATTGCTAGCCAACTAGTACTCTAGGCAACCCAGCATTCATATTCCCATTATTAGAGAAGAAGGTACATTGACATTTTTAATGGGTTGATTTTTTTTGCCTGTTAAATTAAACACAGTCTCCACTTTCACATTAATATCCACTATTTGGGCCGGATGTGGTGACTCACATCTGTAATCCTAGCACTTTGGGAGGCGAAGGTGGGAGGATCGCTTGAGCCCAGGAGTTCAAGGTGAGACCCTGTCTCTAAGAAAAGAAAAGAAAAAAAAAATCCACTATTTGTTCAACATGCTACGCTTCCTGTCTAGCTAGTATGTAGATTGGATGCATGCCCACTTATCAGCAAAAATGGGAGGGAAGGGAAGAACCCTTTTCTAGGCCAATGGTTGTATTTGCCTCATTAAGATGCAGCAGAGGCCAGGTGCAGTAGCTCACGCCTGTAATCCCAGCACTTTGGGAGGCCGAGGTGGGCAGATCACCTGAGGTCAGGAGTTCGAGACCAGCCTGACCAATATGATGAAACTCCGTCTCTATTAAAAATACAAAAATTAGCCGGGCGTAGTGGCATGCATCTGTAATCCCAGCCACTTGGGAGGCTGAGACAGGAGAATTTCTTGAACCCGGGAGGCAGAGGTTGCAGTGAGCTGAGATCATGCCATTGCACTCTAGCCTGGGCAACAAGAGTGAAACTCCATCTCAAAAAAAAAAAAAAAAAAAAAAGAGATACAGCAGAGGCTTTTGATGGCTTATTGTCAGAAAGAACAGCCAGCATTAATTATGTGGAAACAAAAATCATTACATTTAGCAGTCATTTAGTTTTTAAATGAAATTTATTAAGTAACCCCAGATAAAAGCTTTCTTCCTTCAACTACTTGGGACATTTACTGATAAATCATCCTGGCAGACCAATGGTGAGGTAATTCTGATTGGAAAGAAATTCTCAGTAGGGTCCACGGTGAAGTTCTTTTGTGGTCAATATGGCCAAATAAAATACTCAGGGATTTTTTTGGGGGGAGGATGTCAAAATAACTTCTTTATGCTTGGTGATGTCAAGTTCTGTGATCTCCAAATACTTGGCCATCTTCTGAAACAGGTTCAAACTCTTTTTGTTGTACATTGAGAAACATCTTGGCCCTCTTCCCTGGTACCAGTGCAGCCTGCTTCTATGTCAATTTGCTTGAACGAGAATGGAAGGTTAGCTATTAAATTGTTTGCCACAAAATGTTAAATCAGTCCCCTTCATGTCTGCTATCTGAACCGTATGTATTTCTCTTCCATCAATGATATGCAATGTCAGCCCAGTAGATATTCAGCAGAGATTTTTAGCTATTAAATTTTGCTATTCAGAATACTGAAGTTCAGGGTTGTTACTTAGTACCTGAGAGAATCTAAGTGGCATTCATTTACTAGTTTCTTTCAGTCCCTGCATGTAGTTATATCACCAGAAAGTCACTACCTGGACTGCATTATCTTGTGGTTTATATTGGGTTACGATCAGAAATGTCATTTGAAGAACATTTTAGTATCTTATGCAAAATAACACGAGAAAATGGCAGTTTATTAACTTATCTGATATTCCTTATAGAAAGAATCATATGATAAATTGCTGCTTGAAACCAGTGCCAGAGAAATATTAGTCCCTTTAGGTGACTCAGTATATTTTCTTTCTTTGAGAGATGAGAACTCTACAGTAATATGAATGATGTTGTCTTTTTACTGTGAGTGCCAGGAAACTAAGAAGTTATTTTAACATGTCCTCATACCTTTTTGTGTCCTAATACCTTAAATTCTTGATTTTTGTTTTTTTTTTAATCCAGCTGTTATTTATTTATTTATTTATTTACTTATTTGAGACAGAGTTTCTCTCTGTTGCCCAGGCTGGAGTCCAGTGGCATGCTCTCAGCTCATTGCAACCTCCACCTCCCAGGTTGAAGTGATTCTCCTGCCTCAGCCTCCCGAGTAGCTGGGATTACAATCGCGTGCCATCATGGTGGGGTAATTTTTGTATTTTTAGTAGAGACGGGATTTGGCTATGTTGGCCATGGCTGGTCTCAAACTCCTGACCTCAACTGATTTGCCTGCCTCGGCCTCCCAAAGTGCTGGGATTACAGGCGTAAGCCACTATGCCCGGACATCTTTTAAACGTGTGTAGTACAGTTTTATAACTCCTGCCAAGTCTTTGGAAGAAAACTAGGAGAAAGGTCATCTCCTCAGAGAGGCTTTCTCCGAAGACTGAATTAGAATCAGCTCCCATCTCCCAGCCCCTGAACCAGTTTATCTTATTAAAGCACCTTTCCTTCATTGCACTTATAGTAATTTGTAATTATTACTTTTGTTTTGTTTCCTTGTTAAAGTTTGTTTTCTCCACGGGATTCTAAGTTCCATGAAGACTAAGACCATCTCTGTCTTTCAGTGGGTTATCCCTAGCTGACCATAGCATGTAATCAATGCTCAATAGAAACTTCTTGTTGTCAATTATTAATAAATTATAATAGTCCTAGTATTACCACCACTAAAGTCTTATGGTGTAATGCTTCAAATTTCTAGAATTGTTGGAGTATTAAATTAGTACATGATACTCTGCATAATAATGTATTTGGCTCTTTTAAAAGGTTTTTGTAAATAGTCTCAGGATTTTTACAACAAACAGTAATTAAGATGAAAATTAGATAGCAAAGAATTGAATGAATCATTGGAATTCATAACTTAGTAAAATAATAATTTATTAGTGCAGATGATATTATCTACAGCATATCTTAATCAAAAGTTATACAGAAAGAGGCAACACTTGCATATTTCAAGTGAGTTTTTTTTTTTTTTAAGGATTTACAGTTACAGGGATAGATGTCTGTATTTCTTTTGACAAATTCTTATTTCATCTCTTTTTGGGGAGCGTTGGTCCAGGAAATAGAGACCATATGAAATTCTATGCTGCATGTCAAGAAAATAGCTAAGATAAAATGGGGACTAGGAATTTGGTCCCAGAAGTTTTCATTTCTCCCTGACTATGAGCAAGTCCTTTATGGAGTTCCTTTTCTCCTTCTTTCTCTTCTGATCCTCCCTCTCTTGCTCCTTCCCTGCCTCAAGTTGTCACACCTCCTTGTCTTCTTCAATCTGTAACAATTTCTCAGTCTTTCATGACCTTGACACTTTTGAAAGTACTTGTCAGATATTTTGTAGTGGCAAAAACCACAATTAGTTTTGCAACAACCTAACAGAATATCTCTCAGTTTGAGTTTGTCTGATGTTTTCTTACAAAAACACTGAGGTTCTGAATTTTAAAGGAGAATATTGCAAAGGAGATATGCCTTTCTTGTCACATCGTATTGGAGCACATGATATCTCCATGACTAATTACTGGGGAGGTTTAACCTTGATCACTTGGTTAAGGCGATGTTTGCCAGGTTTCTCTACTATCACGTTTTTCTTTTTCTTTCTTTCTTTCTATGTTTTATTAGTTATACAGGTGTGACTTTTTTTTAAACCCAAGGGTTTAAGAATTGTTTTATTTAGTTTCCAAATTTATGGGATTTATGGAAGCTATCCTTTTGTCAAAATATCTAATTTTATTGTATAATTATAGAGTACATAGTTTGTATGCTAGTGATTTTCAGGAATTTATTAATGCTTCTTTGTGACCTGATTTATGATCTATTTTAATAAATGTTTCAAGTATGCTTGAAAAGACTCTGGTTTTCCCCATGACTTAATTTCTACATCAATGAAACAGGAAGAACCAAAACATCCAATTCCTTTTATTTATTTTTTGAAGGCTGCAAAACCAAAGACCAAACCGAAAGAGAAAAATACTGCATTTGTTCTTTTTGACTCTTTATTTTGCAAACTCACAATAGGGATATCTTGACACAAGTAAACATACTAGGGGAGAGAGAAAAATGAAAATATCTGTCCTTCCTGTGGATTCGTTACCACTGGGTAACAGGTGCTTAATCCTCCGTGGGGGCACAATTTCAGATTACAGAGGGTCTGGCCAGAGCGGAGGAGTAACCACCTGTGATAATGATTCTGATCTGTGTTCCATTCCTTAGAAGCCCTCTGGCCTTAGCTAATCTGTCTAAGTAAAGTTGGGTCTTTGGTGTACTGCCATGAAGTATCGCTGTATGCTGAGGTGGGGTGGCTGATGGCAGTGGGCTAGTCGTTCAGCCTAGTTGCTTAAGAGACAGCATGGATCCTCATCTGTATTTGCCATGGGAAGAGGCATTCGATGATTAAAGACTTCACGCTGCAGATTTAAGTCAGATCTTTAATGGCCACCCTTTCAGGTTGTTTACCATAGGACGCCATGCCCCTCGGCTGCTGCCCTGACACTCTCCTGCTGTCTCTGGCTGCTTCTCTTCTGTGAACCCTCACGGATCCTATTGTTGGTTCCCCACCTCCTCCTGGGCATCATCATCAAGGCTCACCTTCTAGCTTCTAGGAGATCTCAAGCCTTTCCAAATATGATGAGTCATCAAGAAATATGAAACTTTATATGGGCGTTTATTGCGCTATTTGTTTCAACTTTCCTATATGTTTGAAATTTATCGAAGTTCACAGTTAGAAAAAAATCCACTTGCTTTTCCTCTCTAAAAAAGTTAGTATAGGTTGATGATCCCTTACCCAACATGCTTGGGACCAGAAGTGTTTTGGATTTTGGATTTTTTGGGATTTTGGAATATTTGCATATACATAATGAGGTAACTTGGGGATGGGACCCAAGTTTAAGCACAAAACTTATGTTTCATATATACTTTTTATACACATAGCCTGAAAGTAACTTTATACAATATTTTAAATAATTTTGCACATGAAACAAAGGTTTGTGTTTTGACTGAGACCCATCACATAAGGTCAGGTGTGGAATTTTCCACTTGTGGCGTCATGTTGACACCCAAAAAGCTTCAGGTTTTGGAGCATTTCTTTTTCTTTCTTTTTTTTTTTTTTTCTGAGACAGGGTCTCTCTCTGTCGCCCAGGCCGGAGTGCAGTGGCATGATCTTGTTTCACTGCAAACTCCACCTCCCGGGTTCAATTGATTCTCCACCTCAGCCTCCTGAGAAGCTGGGACTACAGGCGTACACAAGCATGGCTGGCTAATTTTTTGTATTTTTTGTAGAGATGGGATTTCCCTATGTTGCCCAGGCTGGCCCTGAACTCCTGGGCTCAAACGATCTGCCTGCCTTGGCTTCCCAAAATGCTGAGATTACAGGTGTCAGCCACCACTCTCAGGCAGGTTTTGGAGGATTCTGGATTTCAAATTTTTGTATTAGGGATGTTTAACCTGTAAACTTCAACGCTTGGCAGTGTTGCAAGTGGTCTGCACTTTATCTGGATGAAGACAAAGAATGGTGCTAACATTTGTCTATGAACAGATGGGAAATCTTGCTGAGGAAAGGACAATGATTCTCAAGCAAAAGGGGAAAAGGGAGAGAGAAAAGAGAGCACCTGGAACTCAAGAGTATCAAGAATGGGAGGTGGCAACAGGATGATTTGCAAATAATATTTGGCTATCATTAGAACAATAAACTCTTCACTATACAAGGTTGTATGGTGTATTGGAAAGAGCATGAAATCAGAGAAACTTCATTAGACTTCAAGTTTTGCTCTATATTAGCTGTGAGATTTTGCCTAAGACAATTGACCATTCTGATTCCACAGTCTTTATACATGCAAATGCTAAAACAGTTGTAACAGTGGAGATACATTGTGAAAAATGTGTCATTGTGCAAACAAAATAGGATGTACTTATGCAAACCTAGATGGTATAGCCTACTACATACTTAGGCCATATAGCATAGCCTATTGCTCTGACCACCATCATATATGCAGTCTGTCATTGACCCAAATATTGTTATGCAATGCATGACTGTAATAATAATAATACTTGCCACATAGGTAAAAATACTGTCATTAACGGTGTAGTAAAATGGTAACTGGCATAGTAATGCTGTAAATTGAATACAATTTTTAGAAGGTTTTGAGGAGGGAGGTTCAGAACTGTTCTCCATTGATTTGCTTAACAAAGATATTTTCATTTTCCACCAAAGGGTTTGGCTGTGAAAACCTTTGCAGAAATAATATTTTAGGAGTTTTTTCCCCCTGTACTGTCAACTGATTTTTAGTAAGCATATGACTTTCTGTATGTATCATCCAATTGATTTAAAAATGAATCAATGAATGTATTTATTGATCGCCTGCCTCGCTTCACAAAGGAATGTGAGGAAGGACACCCAATTTGGCATTGCTGTGTTTCTCTGTATTTGGGTCATGCATTTTTTCTTGCTTTCCACATTGAAAATGTGGTGGATGCAGTAGATTGGCTTTAAGTGTCAGGCCTTCCCTCATTTACTATACCTTTTTGTGTTTCACAAGCTGGAAAGCTACCAACTACATGCTCTAGACATCCTTGCTGCTAATATTCTGCATGTCAGATTGGTCTCACCAATGGCACGCAGCAAAGCAAGATTTGCAGGTGCTGTTTTCTTGCTGCTGGCAAATGCAGCCGTGGAGACCACCGTTTTTTGCAGCACTGTTCCAGTGTCCTGTTAATTGTTCTGTCGGTGTTGAGAGGAGGTTGGGGACCAGGCATGGCAACTTCCTGACGCCATCTTCCTGATTGTGGGCAGCAGCCACAATCAGCAATCTTATCTAGGTAGTCATCCATGGATGTTCAGCTCAGCCCTTCTCCAGCCTTTCCAATGATTTCGAATGTCCCCAATTCCCCCTAACGAATCCCTTTCTGACTAGGAGTAACTAGCTGAGTGCTGCAATGAAATCCTGACTGACAGATTTGTAAACTCTTTGCGGGCAGGAACCCTTGATATAAATAAATGACCTTGCATTTTAATGGAGGGAAGCAGAAGGATAAACAAATGAATAAGTGAAAAGTTTTAATAAGATGGTGATGCGTAAAAAATAAAGCTGGTTAATGGGGAGTGCAGGAAATGAGCGCAGCTGTCTTGCCGTTTTAATCAGATAGGTCAGAGAAGGCTTCTCTACTAGGGTGGCTTTTGACCTGCCTCTCTGTTAGGTCAATTGTGTGCGAGGCCCTGATGGAGTTACTGTGTTAAAATGCAATGATTCAATTACTCCATTACTTAGATACCCTTTAAGTGACACTACGGTTGTCCATCTCCCCGCTATTGAATTGTTTACCCACAGTAAGCATGGCGGGAAGAGCTTCGATCCGACCCTTGAACGCTCAATAAAAATGGCGACAGCACTTCCTGTACTTGCCCTCAACAAAGATGGTGTCAACACTTCCTGTTTAGGGTTTTCGCCATTAACAAAGATGGTGCTTATGGGGCAGGTTCCCTAACAGTCAGGATTCCGGTTGCAGTTTTTCTCCCCCGCCCCAAAGATACGTGGTTGCAGACGTAAGTAACAGGAATCCATCTTTCTTTGAAAGTCCTGCATTGTAGCGTCTGCGACCTGGGCCCTGCGGGGGCTTCCCCGCCCCGCTAACTTGCTCCGCATTTCCGATCCGGGCCAAGGCTGGGTGGCTGCGGCAGTGCCGGAGGCCCGCTCTCCCCTTGGTCCGCTCTTTAGTTCATTCCCAGCACTCCCTCTTTAGCGGGTCAAGTTGCCGCAGAAACCGCCCGTAGTCTTCCTGTTTGATACAAGGGTTTCAGCGGCCGAAGCAGAGCCTTTTTAAATAGTTCCCAATGGGCGCTCACGGCCAAACGTGAACACCTCCCCTCCTCACCTGTCACCTCCTGAACTTTACAGGGTTGCGAGGGGGAGTGTGGGATCGGGTGTCGCCTAGCCGTGGTCGTACTGCCCGGGTGTGTCTGAAGCCCCATCTGTCATCCCTGCCTGCCTTCCCGGTCACTTAACCTTCACTGCCTTACACACAACCAAGCCACAGCACACTGGTGCAGGGGTGGTGGAACTGCACCTTCAAATCGTGCCTGGCTACTGACCAGTGCTGGGGTGTGTGCTTTTTTTGAAAGAAAAAAATCCCATAAAATGTCCCATGCATGTGCGGCCACGACAGTGTTGTGCTGGAGATTCGGAATTCTTAGTGGGAAGGAATGGAGTCTGTGACTGTATATTGTGTAAAGTTTATTGTAGACTGGGCACAAACAACAATTTTCTTAAAGGTGATCGTGTAGAGGACTTTTAGCGAAAAGAGCCTTAAATTCTGAACCTGCTGATTTCTGTCCTGCACTCCTATTACTGATCAGGTTTTGCAAATACTTGTGATCAAAAAAAGGGGACCTGCGTCCACCTTGGCAGTTTCTGCCTTGGTGGTGGTGGTGCAGGTCTGATGAGGGCAATGTGAAAATAAAACCACCATTTCTTCTCCAGCGTGTTAAAATTAGTGCTGCTCTGTAATCTTCAGATAAAAATTGCTTGTTCAGAAGGGTCTCTGACCCACTTTTTTTTTTTCTTTTTCCAAATTTCTTTATTGAACGAGGAATTGAGCTGGGACCCCATTGTGTGAAAAGCAGAAACAGAAAAGATGATTCATCTTCATTGTTGTTCATTATGTTAGGAAACATTCAAAATTAACCTGGCTTGGCTTAATCAGTGAATTAAATACCATGACCTGGCAGTCTGCTATGGTTTAAAGATGTGCTTGACCTGAAGGAACTTACATTGCAGTGACACTGTCTTTAGGGCCACATCAACATGTCTGTAATTTGAGCTGTGATTTTGGCTCTTTCCAGGGAGAAATGGAGGCCAGAGACAAACAAGTACTCCGCTCACTTCGCCTGGAGCTGGGTGCAGAGGTATTGGTGGAGGGACTGGTTCTTCAGTACCTCTACCAGGAAGGAATCTTGACGGAAAACCATATTCAAGAAATCAATGCTCAAACCACAGGCCTCCGGAAAACAATGCTCCTGCTGGATATCCTACCTTCCAGGGGCCCTAAAGCATTTGATACATTCCTAGATTCCCTACAGGAGTTTCCCTGGGTCAGGGAGAAGCTGAAGAAGGCAAGGGAAGAGGCCATGACCGACCTGCCTGCAGGTAGGCCTCAGAAAGATCACTTTGAACCAGCTCCAAAATGTTGTAACTATGCTCTTTGCTTTTTTGTTTATTTGTTTGTTTGTTTTTGAGACAGAGTCTTGCTCTGTTGCCCAGGCTGGAGTGCAATGGTGTGATCTCGGCTCACTGCAACCTCTGCTTCCTGGGTTCAAGCAATTCACTTGCTTCAGCCTCCCGAGTTGCTGGGAATACAGGCATTTGCCACCATGCCCTGCTAAGTTTTGTATTTTTAGTAGAGATGGGGTTTCATCATGTTGGCCAGGCTGGTCTCGAACTCCGTACCTCAGGTGATCCACCCACCTCCGCCTCCCAAAGTGCTGGGATTACAGACGTGAGCCACCACACCTAGCCAGAACTATGCCCTTTGGATTTGAAGTTGGGATGTAAGGCAGGACAAGGGTCAATGGTTGATGAAAGTGGGTAAGGATTTGGGACTGAAGGGACATGACGTTGGAGGAATAGGATCAGGAGGTGGCATTAGGAAGTGCAGGGAAGGAAGAATGAACCGTGACTGGGAGGTGAGGGAGGGAGCTCAGAGAATGCATTTAGAAATGCTTCCAGGAAACCTGGCATGTCACTTGGGAAGCATGTTCTCATCAGAGAGCCAGGTCATATCTCAGCCGTTGGCATCAGGAGCCATTTGGAAAGTGCAGATGGGAAAGCAGGCATTCGGCCTACTGACAACTGATTTGTGAGGTGCCAGAGCTACCAGCTGGAAAAGGTCAGATTCATGGAGGAGGAGACAGCCTCTAGGAAGGCATGCCCTGCACCTGTCCCCTGGGCTGTCCTGTGTGGCCAAAGGGGATTATTTTGAAGGCTGACTTAGTTTGTTTTTAAAGGTTATTCGTTTAAAGTGTCCTTTTTAGTTTAGCTTTGTTCAGACACTGGAGTATTTAATTTTGCAAAGAGCAATAGTTTGGGGAGGGTCTCAGTTTAATTTGAAGGAGAATTGGAAGCTGGAGAAGAGAGAAACAGTTCTGGTTCTGTTAGCCTGGCTTGTAGCAGGAAGAAGATGTGATATGGAAACACTTGCTTTTTCTTAACCTCCCTTGACTCTGTTTCACAAAGATAGAGGGGCAGAGAACTGAACTGGCAAAAATTAAAAATTGAAAAAAAAAAGTAATTGAAAGTTGGCTTGCAAATTTTTAACAAAGTTAGAGAATCAAGGTTCTCTGGGGTTTCTGATAAGAGTGATAGAACTATTCCGGTTCAGTGGGCCCCAGACTTCGTGGTTGCTATTTTTTAAATACTGGTTAAAAAAAATGAATACTGATAATAAGACCACTTTTACTATTTTTGCTCCATGGACCTCATATTTTGACATATGTCTGAATACCTGATCAGCATGACATAGCCAGCTAACTTTAGGAAGACCTGGTAAGATCCCAGTGGAAAAAGCAAAAGTATTTTCATTCCTAGTCTGGGCTCGTTACAGTTAAATGTATCTTTAGGCTTTTTGAAATATTAGACATAGCTGGCTTTTGAGGACCACTGGAATTCACTGCTTGGATTGTCCTTACAAAATTAAATACTCCACATGTCTGAACAAAATGTATCTAGATGTTTTTATGACTTTATTGAAAGCAGAATAGATAACATAGAGTTGGAGAAATGTTAAAAAATTATTGGTGTTTTCCTGATATTTGACTTAGAGGTTTCTGCTGGCATCATATAGTTGGAAACAACAAAACAGGTGAACTGAAAGCCTTTCACTATCAAAATACTGAATTTAATTTTATGGTCATTTTGGGTGATACAGATCATGCTGTTGTATGTCATTCGTAGAGGTATAATACCATTTTTTTTTTTTTGAGACGGAGTTTCACTCTTGTTGCCCAGGCTGGAGTGCAATGGCGCGATCTCGGCTCTCTGCAACCTCTGCCTCCCGGGTTTAAGCAATTCTTCTGCCTCAGCCTCCCGAGTAGCTGGGATTACAGGCATGTGCCACCATGCTCGGCTAATTTTGTATTTTTAGTAGAGATGGGGTTTCTCCATGTTGGTCAGGCTGGTCTTAAACTCCCGACCTCAGGTGATCCGCCCACCTCGGCCTCCCAAAGTGCTGGGATTACAGGCGTGAGCCACCATGCTCGGCCATAACCCCATTATTTCTTCAGATTCATTCAGAGAGTTAGAAAGAATTAAGGCATTTTTTACAAAATGATGAGAGTTACAGAGAAGCTGAGGAAAAATAGCTTTTTAAAAAAGCAAACAGAATGAAGCAGTACATAATGGGAAAAAAATTGAGCATATCTGTGTAGAAGTTTAGAAAAATAAGGTTTTTCTCAAGATTTGTTAATTCTGTAGAAGGTTGGCTCTGGAACAAATTCGTACAGTCATCTTAATTGTTTTACTTTTTACTGAGTAACACTGCTATTGAAAAAAACATTCTGAAGTGAGGGTTTGATTTATATATGTCTTTGAATACCTTCCACGGTGACAATCACATAAACTCTTTTAAAAAAGACTTGTATTTATTAAATATTGACTATTTTAAATAATATTACAAAATATAAGTAAGATATGGAGAATAATGGTACAGCGAACACCCGTCTCCTCATCACTCAGTTTAAGAAAAATAATATTACGATTGCCTTTAAAAACCCCGGGCACTCCTTCCCAATCTTGTCTCATTCCCAACCCCCACGCAGTGAAAAGCCCTGAATTGGGGGTTTATCATTCATTCACTTCTTCACTTTATAGTTTCCTATCTCCTAAAAATCACTTTTAAAATCTTCATATGTTTTTGAAAATCCTGTATACCGTAAGTTCTAGAGGTGTGTGTGTGTGTATATGTATATATGTATATAGAGAGAGATATATATGTTTTTTGTGTGTGTGGGAAGGAAAGGGTGGAAGTAATGGAAGAAATTATGCATTTAAACTTGATAGTTAACACCTTCTCTTGTTTCAGAACTTAAAATATTTTTTACATGTTTAAAGTAATTTAATTGGTGGCAATATTTTAATTCTAAAATTAAATTGGGATTTACTGAATTGGAAACCTAGGTTTTGTTATTTTGTAAATCCTGGGAAGAGTATCAGAGTTGAAATCCCTTCAATTTAACGTCCCTATAAAAAAGAAATCCAGAACCTACTGCCTAAGACCTCGGTGCTTCTCCAGTGTTGTAATTGAGTAATTTTAGTAAGATTTAAAATAGTCCACTTAAATTTTTGTAAAGATATCTTTGAGTTTTGAGGATCTAGACTATAGGAGAATGTGTGTACACATTAACCTCTTAATGTATGTACACATTAAACTCTTCCTACCTTTTCCTCATTTTGATCATACTTATTAATTAATTTGTATGGATTCAGTAGTCTCTTGGGAGGCCTTGAGAACAAATGGGAAGGAATGGCCTTCTTTTTTAGCCAAGACGTTGATCCTTCTCTAAGAATGAACTGATTTTATCTTATTAAGGTTTTCTTGTGTTGGTCTTCCCAGAGATGCTTGGTTTCCCCTTTATTGGTTTGTTGTTTTAATTTTCGTTGTTTCACTTGTAAATTTTGAGCTGTCTCAGAGGCTTTATTTTGGTGATTGTTCCTGGTTAGTTGCTTTTTACTTATGTGCTGGATGTAATTTGTTTAGAGAATTGAGCTGTATCTTGTTCTTCTCTACTCTTCTGAACGCCACCCCCATCAAATCTCAAAACATACAAAAACACCCTAAACCTTTTGATTCTCTCAGAATCTGCCTCTGTGACTAGTCTCCCAATCTCTGTTAGGAAAAAAAAAAAGGTTTAAGTTGTTAAAGTTGTTAATGGATCATTGGTTTTGTGTTTTTCTCACCCTGTAAGGACTCTTACCTTTTAAAAGAGGAATTCTGGTGATAAAATGACTTAATCCACCTTGGCACCGTGGAGAGAACACTTCATGGTTTGTCTCTCTGGCCAAGGTCACATACTAGACATTAGATCAGCTGGAAATCCTCTCTGGGCTCCTGTCAGGTCATTTAGGAGATAGGGACAGTGCCGTGTCTGGGTGAAGGCAGCCTGTGCCTGCCTGCCTGGCTTCTCACTGCTCATGGGGCCTGTCGGCACTGACAGGCTCCCTCCAGTGCCTGAGCTAATCTGGATCTGGAAAGGAGGTTGATGGCAGCCCAGCCTCCCCATCTGGTGGGACTCAGCGTAAATCACGGTGGGAGTGACTCCTGGGCCACAGGACCCCCTCCCTGTTCCACTGTGTTGGCCCTGGCTGTGGGTCTGGGTGTCTGCCATGATTCTCTGCCTTTTGCCCCAGT
The DNA here is from genome assembly GCF_000001405.40 of Homo sapiens. Lineage (NCBI taxonomy): Eukaryota > Metazoa > Chordata > Mammalia > Primates > Hominidae > Homo > Homo sapiens. The sequence continues at coordinate 93,683,328 of NC_000012.12, forward strand.
CTTCCTTTAAGCTTGGGAGTGTTTTTGTTTTTCTCTCCTCCGTTGGTTTGATTCATGCTTTATGTATTCTTAGCCATGGCGAGAGTGAAGAACAGAGCTCTGGGAACACAGCTCGGTGCCTCCGGCATCAGCATTGGATGTCTCAACTCTTGAGCCTGTTGGAATGGCTGTCCCTAAGCTGACACTTGCTTCAACCTTCTCTGGGCTTGATCTTGTCCTCCCCATAGACTCTGTGCCCTGGACTCCCTGGCTGCTCTTACAACAGCAGTGCGCAGGACTGGCTAGTCCATTTCCCCTCTACCTGTGGGCTCAAGGGCTCTGCCTGCCCCTTGTGGCGCCAGCCTTGAGTGACAACACAGAACCACACCTGCCGCCCTCCTGAGATACATTCTAGCTCTGAGTTGCATACTTGGATGCATCTAAAGTCACTGAGCTCTTAATGGCAGATATTTTAGATATTGTGATGGGTTTATTAGAGAGGTTTCTAGCTTGGGATTCTTTTCATAGGTTCCTCCAATCATACCACGTAATTGACCTTGCTCTGCATGTAAGTTCAGTGTTGGTCTCAGTGTATCTAGCTTGCAGTCTATCCATGTGCTTCCACTGTGACTGAGTAGTGTTTGCCTAGTGGCGTCCTGTGTGCTAGAGTGAGAACAGTGGGTCAGTATCCATAGCAAGACCCTTCCCTCGGTAAAGGGAGAGTCTGCAGAGGGCCCAGGTTTCTGTGTATACCCAGCCCGATTTTCATATACTTCCTAAGGACCTACTGAATGCCAGGTACTGGGTATATAAAGACAAATGGAGGATCTCCAGATCAGTTGAGGGCATTCATGCGTTCATCCAGCAAATATTTGCTGAGTCTTGACCATGTGCTAAACCAGAGGTCCCCAGCCTTTTTGGCGTCAGAGACTGGTTTTGTGGAAGACAATTTTTCAACCAACGGGAGAGTTGGGGGGAATGATGGTTTCGGGATGAAACTGTTCCACCTTAGATTATTACCAGGCATTAGATTCTCATAAGGAGTGCGCGACCTCGATCTCTGGCATGTGCAGTTCACAATAGGTTCATGCTCCTATGAGAGTCTAATGCCACTGCTGATCCAATAGGAGGAGGAGCTCAGGTGGTAATCCTCGCTTGCCTGCCACTTACCTCCTGCTCTGCGATCCGGTTCCTAATAGGCCACGGACCGGTATGGGAGTTGGGGACCCCTGTGCAAGACAGTAGGTGCTGGAGATATAACAGTAAACAAAACAAAGCCCTTATTTTCATGGAGTTCAATGTATTCTAGTAGAGGGAGGGGATAAGGGCAGGGACAGATAATAAGCAAATGAATAAATAACATTTGGTGGTGAAGAGCGCTATGAAGAGAAGCGGTATGTGTGGTGGTGGGGGTGGTCAGGGAAAGCCTCTCTGATGAGGGGACACTGAGCAGAGAACTGAGTTTGGCTGCAGAGTTGATACAGGGAGGAGAGCTTTCAGATAGAGGGGACCACAAATACACAGGAAGTCAAGTGGGAGCCACAGGTGACAATGTGGCTAATAAGACACCTTCCTCCCTGGGATGAATCACATTCCACATCAGCAGAGGCTCAGTGGCTACCTTTTGTTTTGCTCTCAACATGTGAGATGTGTGTGCAGCCGTGATCTTGTGTGGCTCGTAGCATGACTTTAGTTGATACGTGGATGTGGGATTAAGTAATATTGAATTACATGATGAGAAAGTTATTTCCTTTCTATTTCTGTTTCAGTTCGGTAAGAATGATAGGAGGTCCTCATGCTTAAAGCCTTCTGTGGGCAACAGTATTTAGCTAGAATCTAGTTGTATTGCTTTTTTTGTGTCAACTTAATGGGTTCCTTCCATTTATGGCAAGCAAAACTTTTCTATTTACGAAGTTCCTTTTAAAAATACATGACTTTTAGAGACTAGAATTGTGGTTATTAGGGACTGGGAAGGGTATGAGGGAGGCAGGGATGGGGAGGTTGGTTAATGGATACAAAATTACAGCTAGATGGGTGGAATAAGTTCTAATGTCCTAGCACTGTAGGGTGAATATGGTTAACAGGAATTTATTATGTGTTTTCAAAATGCTAGAAGAGAGGATTTTGAATATTCCCAGCACAAAGAAAGAATAAATGTTTGACATGATGGATATACTGATTGCCCTTATTTGATCATTACACATTGTATGCATGTATTGAAATGTTACCCTGTATCCCATAAATATATACAATTTTTATGTATCAACCAAAAATAAAAAGAAAAATGTTCATAGGAATATTGAATAGGAAATAAGATTGAAAGTATACCAAATTATTTAGGAAAAAACCATTACTTACATTTAAGTAGAAATGTGTCAACATAAAGGAGACTATAAAAAAATAGGCCAGGCACAGTGGCTCACTCCTGTGATCCCAGCATTTTGGGAGGCCGAGGCGGGCAGATCACCTGAGGTCAGGAGTTTGAGACCAGCCTGGCCAACATGGTGAAACCCCCATCTCTACTTAAAATACAAAAATTAGCCAGGCGTGGTGGCAGGCGCCTGGAATCCCAGCTACTTGGGAGGCTGAGGCAGGAGAATCGCTTGAACCTGGCAGGTGGAGGTTGTAGTGAGCTGAGATCGCGCCATTGCACTCCAGCCTGGGGGACAAGAGCGAAACTTCGTCTAAAAAACAAAACCAACGGAAATAATGGTTGGGTGTAGTGGCTCATGCCTGTAATCCCTACACTTTGGGAGGCTGAGGCGGGTGAATCACTTGAGGTCAGGAGTTTGAGACCAGCCTGGCCAACATGGTGAAACCCCATTTTTACTAAAAATACAAAAAATTAACCGGGTGTGGTGGCAGGCACCTGTAATCCTAGCTAGTCAGGAGGCTGAGGCAGGAGAATTGCTTGAACTCAGGAGGTGGAGGTTGCAGTGAGCCGAGATTGTGCCACTGCACTCCAGCCTGGGCAACAGAGTGAGACTCCATCCCCCCCAAAAAAAAAAAAAAAAAAAAAGAAAAGAAAATAATAATGGTGTGAGGATGTGGCCAAAAGTTGCTTTTCATCATATATTTTTTTAATTTAAAAAGAAAGACAGGCATTTGGGGGAGGAGCCATCACCTGGCTGGCATAGTTAAAGCAGGAAGGCTCCAGTTCTAGTATAGATAGTAGATAGAGCTGTTTTCATGATGCTTCACAGTTTTGCTCTTTCAATTTATGCCCAGTGATAGGAATTAGTTAAATTAACTAGAATTTCAAAATTCGTAAGTTCTCTAAATTTTAAACACATTTACTTGCTAGTGAAACAAAGTCAGCAAGATGGAGCCATATCCTGGTATTATGAATTTTAGAACTGGGTGGGACTCACAGGTCATCTAATTTTTCTCTGAGAAAACAGAGGCCTAGGGAGATTAAGTCAACTTGCCCATGATCACACAGCTAGTTAATGTAATTTATTACTGGGACTAGAATCCAGGCTTTGCAACTCTTGATTTAGGACTTTTTCTGCTGCGCAATCTTGGCTTCCCACTGAGTTTGAAATGGAATTGTATTATGCTGCAGTGTTAATAATTGAAAGAGGCTTTTTAAAAATTGTACTAATGCATTTTTTTTTTTTTCATTTTAAGAGGAGAATTTCCAAGGGCCTTTAGAGGTATGCTGGAATGAGATTTCACTAAAATATTTTATTTTTATGAATGCTAATTTTAATCATTTAAAAGGAAATGATGATCGTTCAGTACTGCATTTTGTCACAAGATTTTTTTCTTCCTACCTCTGCAAGGCTGACATAAAGGAAAAGCGGAAGACTTTCATCGAGTATTTATGGGACTGATGAAATAATGCATCTGTTGGCAGCTAATTGCAGGTCTTTCTAGGAATAGCAAACATGTGACAGGTCTTGCCCCAGCGGAGATGCCTCCATTTCACTTTAAAACATGGATTTGGTATTCTTTTCACTTAGAAATTCTGGCTATGCCTTTTTTTCTCCCTTCTGTGGATGTATAGACCGTTCGGCTGCATCAGACACTGTATTGAACATCAGGGTTGATTTAACTCATTGTTGCTCAGCTGTGGCTATGCTTTGGAATCACCTGGGGAGCTTTTACAAAACTACTGATGCCCAGGCTCTACTCCAGGTGAATCCATTACACAATCTCTGGAGGGTGGGTTCTGGGCAATGGGATGTTAAAGGCACACACGGGCATGCCCATGTGTAAGTCAGGCACACGTACAAATGCTTCGTGAGGTCATCTTAAATTGCAGCCGGGGTTGAGAACCTTGAGCTCTGACCAGCTGGTTAGGAGCGTGCCTCCTTCCTCACTCACTGCTTCCAAGTCGTGGCTTCCCAAAGCTGTGTACTTGCTTGAAGCATTGTTCTTATTTTCAGGTAGCACCAGATGGAAGGGTGGTAGGAATCAGGGTGTAGAGGGATATTAGTTTGCAAATCCTTTTATTCCTTGAATTTCCTGAGCATTGTTGCTCAAGAATGTTCCAGAATCTCAGACCCCATACAGGGGGTGATGCTGCTACCAACATTAAAATCCATTAGGGCTCTATGGGGATATATAGGCTACACACATGAGGCAACAATTGGAGGAGTTTGAATTGCTAGTGAATTTGAATTTGGGAATTATTTTTATTGCTATTCACATTGTTTGGTACAGTCATTACAAACTACATGCAGTACCTTGTGCTCTGTAGATCAGGTTATGTCCAAATGGAGACAGAGTCTCCTGCTGAAGAACGAGTTGGATGCTCCTCTCAGTTAAAAAGTGAGCTGAAGATGGCTCGAGGATGGAAGAGAGAAGGAGAGACAAATGGCTAGTTGGGAAGAGTGGGACTGGCTTAGTCTGTCAGACTGGCTGTCTGTCTGCTCATGGTCTTTATTCATAATTAAAAATGAATTTCAGGCCAGGTGCATTGGCTCACGCCTGTTAATTCCAACAGTTTGGGAGACCAAGGTGGGAGGATCACATGAGGTCAGGAGTTCAAGACCAGCCTGGGCAACATGGCAAAACCCCGTTTCTACTAAAAATACAAAAAGTAGCTGGGCATGGTGGCACACACCTGTCATCCCAGCTTCTTGGGTGGCTGAGGCACAAGAATCACTTGAACCCAGGAGGCAGAGGTTGCAATGAGTCGAGAGCACACTCCATCCTGGGTGACAGAGTGAGACCCTGTCTCAAAAAAAAAAAAAAAAGCAAAAGCAGTCTTTTGTGTCTCACAAAGAACTTCAGATAACATCAGTAAAATAATCATAATAGCTAGTGGGGACTTACTGTCTGCCAGCTATATTCTAAGTCCTTTGTGTTTATTAATTCATTTAATCCTGACAATAACTTGATGAGGGAGGTGGTATTATTACCCTTTTGAACAGATGCGAAAATGTAAGCACAGAGATAGATGTTAAATAACTTACTTAAAGTCACACAACATAAAGTCAAATTTCACTTCAAGGCCTACTGATTCATATCTTATAAAACCACTTTCTCGGCATTCAGTTTTCTCCTCTTCCTAATTCTGATAACCTGTGGCTGCTCCAGAGCCCATCACCCTAATTCTTCTTCAGAAACTCCCCTACTTCCAGTTTCTTCCAGACACACAGCCTCAGGAGGCTTTCTCTTTCTTGCCTCTTGTCCTAAGGCTGATTCCTGGTTGGTATCTCTCTCGTATCTCTCATTTTATACTTTTTTGGTTGGGGGAAGGCTAGGGTCTAATGGAAGACCATACGGTGGGGAGGGGTCATGGAACAGAGCCCCTGAATCTCTCCCATTTCAACTTGCTACTTTGAGAGTAAAAAAAAGACTAAATCTCCTTGGCTGTGATCAGGAGATAGTGTGTTGGCTCCCCTGATACTGGAATCCAGTCCCACTTTTGCAGCTCTTAAATCTTGCTATCTAAAGCCCTCAGTTCCAATAACCAGCTTTTCTGGTGGTGCAGCTTCAGAGTTTCACCAAATGCTTAGCAAGGTAGTGTTCTCTTTTTATGGGTGTAGTTCAAACTTGTAGGCTGCTGTTATAGCTAGCTGTGGGAATGTTTGCTTTACATAATGTTAATAGGCAGCTGTGTTTATGCTTGTTCCTCAGTTTAAGCAGTAAGGAGTGTATACATATGATTCTTTGAGGGCATTTCCCCCAGACTAAAAAAAAGAAAAAAAGGTATGTTGTGTTTTTTCCAACAGTAAATTTTAATTGAAAAGGAATGTAGTTTCTAGAAGAAGTTTGGGGCAGGTTTTACTCCTAGGCTTTATTTTGTTAATGTTATGAAAGAAACTTTAACTCCTTCTAAGAAGTGCCAAGTTGACAATTCCTGGAAATGTTCATGTTCTATTTATGCTCAGCACCATAGCAGACAGGGTGGCAATACCATTACCAAAATAATACCGCCGAGATGTACTAAGTGACAAATGAGAGGCTTCTGGTTTTATAACCTAAATACAAGACTTTAAAAGCATCTCCCAATTCTACCATTTGTTGATAAGGTCTGTGGGTGCTGAGTAGTAATGGTGAAGTTGCTGTGGAGAATTATAGATCAAGTAGAGCGTATCTGCAGTGACTTGTCCTGTTGCTAGAACTATAGAAGGTTAGAGTTGGAAGGGATCTTAGAAACACTTTATAGATGAGGAAACGAAGGGATATCCAAGTCTAACAGCATGCATATGGGTTCTTCTGTTCAAATAGTAGAACTTCATGTAACATAAAAATAGGAATTTCTCTGAAATATATTGGGTAGTTCACAACTTTGAAGGAATGATAAAGGTTTCAGGGCTTAATAAGGGCAGGAATGAGGCAACAGTGGGGGATCTCAGGCCATCAGATGGTCATCTTCAATCAAGTTTCTACACTGTACCTTCCTTCCAGATTCAGACTATTGGCCAAACTTGGGTCCTGAGCCCTTCCTCTAGGACACCAGAATCACCTGAAGTGGGGAAAGGAAGTTCCAAAAGAAAGAGTGAAAGCTGATTGAAGCAAGAGTTGTCTACTGTGCCATCCTTCTTCTTTTTGGATTGAATAGGTCTCACGCCCATGGGCCTGGAAAACAAATGATAGCCCTTTAAGGGAGGAGGTTGCTTTACCTCTTCTTCATACAGCAAGGCCCAGGTTGAGGGCCAAAGGTGGTAGATAAAACGCTGGAGAGCAGTTTTGGAGCAGCATAGGTCTCCTTAAACTTTTCCAAAATCAGAATGTATTGGGGGAGAAAAATGGATTGAGAATGTAGATGTAAAGAGGAGGTTTAGAAAGAGAATTTGAATTGGGTACTGGCCTAAGGGCTTTAGATATATAAACTCACTTTATTATCATAATAGCCCTTTGAGGTAGGCACTACTGTTATCATTTGCATTTCACAGATGAGGAGACTAAGGTGTTAGATAAATTGCTCAAGGTCACACAGTTTGGCAGTAGCAGAGCTGAGGTTCAAACACTGACAGTCTGGCTCACAGTCTGTGCTTCTAATCACTAGGGTCCTGTCTCTATCGGTCTACTACCAGTTCTTAGATCTGATTGGAGTCACATGGCTTAGATGACCTGACCTGGGCTAGCTGCAGCTTCTTTATTTTCTGACCCTTGCTTGCCTCAGGTCTCACACATAGCCGGCATTTTCATTATGTGTATGTCAGTCTCTTTTTTAACAGTTACCAAATTTTAAAAAATACAAAAGAAAATGAAAGATGTTTTCTAAGAAATATGATTAGGTAAAATAAAGGTTTTGAATGTGATTGATGTGGACATTTTTGTTCATTTAGTTTTTAAACATATCTCTTCCCTTTCAATCTCTTTATTATTAATTAGTTATGTGCTACGGGCAAATGTGACTTTTCAGGCCTTTCATATTTGTTTGAGCCCTTTTATTCCATCATGTGCCAGTCACAATTCATTCAGGAGACAGAAACCACACAGTAATTTAAATAGGGAAAACTTAATATAAAGAATTTTCTTTTGTTTTCTTTTTTTTTTTTTTTGAGACAGAGTTTTACTCTCGTCGCCCAGGCTGGGGTGCAATGGCGCGATCCTGGCTCACTGCAACCTCCGCCTCCCGGGTTCAAGCAATTCTCCTGCCTCAGCCTTCCGAGTAGCTGGGATTACAGGTGCCCGCCACCATGCCTGGCTAATTTTTGTATTGTTAGTAGAGACAGGGTTTCACCATGTTGGCCAGGCTGGTCTCGAACTCCTGACCTCAGGTGATCTGCCCGCCTTGGCCTCCCAAAGTGCTGGGATTACAGGCATGAGCCACCGTGCCTGGCCAATATAAAGAATTTTTAACTGGTGAAAAGCAAACCATGGTTAACCACTAAATGGGGTAAAAGAGGTCTCTAAGTAATACAGGAATGGCAGAAGCTACTTTTTCTGAGGTTGAAAGGTAGTGCAGGATACAGTCACTAAGAATGTGGAAGAGGGCCCTCCCCACCTCTAAGGCTGAGATTCAGACTTCGGTGGAGTTGAAGTGACTGTCACACTAGCTGGTCTGTAAGAGCAGCCTACCTGGTAGCTAACTTCAAGAAAATCCAGAGAAATAATTGCATGAAGTCAGAAAAGTAATAAATGACCAAAATGAGAAATTTTGAAATTATTTAAAAAAATCAAATAGAAATTCTGGAGCTGAATTAGGAAAAATAACTAATGCATGTGGGCTTAATACCTAGGTGATGGGTTGATAGGTGCAGCAAACCATCATGGCACACATTTACCTATGTAACAAACCTGTATATCCTGCACATGTAGTCCAGGACTTAAAGTAAAAATTAAAATTAAATTCTGGAGCCGAAATAAAAATTAATGGACTGAAAAATGCAATAGAGAGTATCAACAGCAGAATTAATCAAGCAGAAGAAAGAATCTGTAAACTTGAAGACATTATTTAAAATTACAGTTGGAGGAGAAAAAGAATGAAAAGGAATGAAGAAAGCTCATGGGATTTATGAGACAGCATCAAAAGAACAAACATTTGAATAATAGGAGTTAAGGCAGAGGAAGAGAGATAAAGTGGTAGAAAGCTGTTTTAAAGAAATATTAGCAGAAAACTTTCCAAATCTGGGGAAAGATATAATATCCAGGTACAGGAAGGTCAAAGTCTCTAATTAGATTCAATCCAAACAAGACTACACTAAGCCTTATTATAATTAAACTGTCAAAAAACAAAGACAAAGAGAAGACCCTGACAGCAGCAAGAGAAAAGAAGCAAATAACATATAAGACAATTTCAATAAGCCTAGTAGTACATTTCTCAGCAGAAACTTTATAGGCCAGGAGAGAGTAGGATGATATGTTCAAAATGTTGATGGAAAAAAAAAATTGCTAACAATGAATAGTGTAGCCGGCAAAACCGTTCTTTAGAAGTGAAGGAGAGAATGATACTTTCCCAGATAAAGCTGAGAAAGTTTATCACCACCACACCTGTTTTTACAAGAAAGGCTAGTGGAGTCTTCAAGTGGAAAGAAATGGAAGGTTAATAATAACATGGAAACGTACGAAAGTATAAAACTTACATAGTCAAATTTGGAATCTCCAATACTGTAATGGTTGTATGTAAATCATTTACATCTTTAGTTTGAAGGTTAAAAGATGAAACTATTAAAATGGATATAACAACTTATAAAGTATATACAAAACAAAAAGACATAAATTGTGCCATCAAAAACTAAAATATGGGGGTGATGGTGGAGTAAAGTGTAGAATTTTTGTATGTGATCAAAATTGAGTTGTTATCAGCTTAAAATAACTGGCTGTTTATAAAATGTTTTTGTAAGCTTCATGGTAACCATAAAACAAAAACCTATGGTATATACACAAAAAATAAAAGGTAAGGGACCAAAGGATATCACTAGAGAAAATTACCTAATCACACTGGAAGACAGCCAGAGGAAGGAAAGAACAAAGCATCTACAAAGCAACCAGGAAACAGTTAACGAAATGGCAGAAGCAAGACCTTATCATTAATTACCTTGAATGTAAATGGATTAAATTCTCCAGTTAAAAGACAGGGTGTCTGAATGGGTTTTATAAAAAGCACAAGACCCAACTATATGCCATCCACAAAAGATTCACTTCCTTTTTAAGAACACATATAGAGTGAAAATTAACGGGTAGAAAAATATTTTCCATGCAAATGGAAACCAAAAGAGAGTAGGAGTGGCTATACTTATGTCAGACCAAGTAGATTTTAAGTCAAAAATTGTCAAAAGAGACAAAGAGGGTCATTATGTAATAATAAGGGGGTCAATTCATTAAGAAGGTATAATAGCCATAAATATATATGCACCAATCACTGGAGCACCTAAATATATAAATCAAATATTAATAGATCTGAAGGGGGAGACAGACTAGAATATAGTAATAGTAGAGAACTTTAATACCCCACTTTCAGTAATGGACAGGTTACCCAGATAAAAAAAGTAATAAAGAAACAGTGGATTTAGACTACACTTTAGACCAAATGGACCTAACAGACATTTACAGAACATTCCATCCAATGGTATCAAGAATACATATTTTGATTAGCTTAGTAATGTATAAGGATATTGAGTCAGTAATACAAATTCTCCCATTAATGAAAAGCCCAGAACCTGATGGCTTCATTGCTGAATTCTGCCAAACATTCAAAGAACAAATACCAATCTTTCTCAAACTCTTCTACAAAATTGAAGAAGAGGAAATACTTCCAAGCTTATTTTGTAAGGCCAGAATTTACTTTGATATCAAAGCTAGATAAGGATACAAGAATAGAAAATTACAGACCAATATTCTATTCTTGATCAACATAGGTGCAAAAATTGTCAACAAAATACTAGCAAACTGAATTTAACAGCACAGTAAAAGAATCATTCACTGTGATCAAAGGATGCAAGGATGGTTTAACATACACAAATCAATAAATATGACATACCACATTAACAGAATGAAGGACAAAAACTATATGATCATCTCAATAGTTGCAGAAAAAGCTTTCGACAAATGTCAACATCCCTTCATTATAAAATCTCTCAACAAATTAGGTATAGAAGGAATATACTTCAACACAAAAAAGGTTATATGGGACAGACTCGTAGCTAACTTCATACTCAACAGTGGAAAACTGAAAGCTTTTTCTTTTAAGATCAGGAACAAGAGAAGGATGCCCACTCTCACCACTCTTACTCAACATAATACTGGAGGTTCTAGCCAGAATAATTAGGCAAGATAAAGAAATAAAAGGTATCTAGATTAGAAAGAAAGAAGTTAAATTATCCCTGTTTGCAGGTGACATGATCTTAAATATAGGAAACCCTAAAGACTCTACCAAAAAACTATTAGAACTAATAAATTTAGTAAAGTTGCAGTATACAAAATTAACATAAAAATCAGTAGTGTTTCTGTACACAAACAGCAAACTATTTGAAAAAGAGATCAAGGAAACAATCCCATTTTCAATAGCTACCAAAAGAAAAATACTTAGGAATACTTAACCAAGGATGTGAAAAACCTGTATAATGAAAACTGTTAAAACATTGATGAAAGAAACTGAAGAAGACACAAATAAATGGGAGGAAACCTCATGTTCATGGATTGAAAGAATTAATACTGTTAAAATGTCCATACTACCCAAAGTGATTTATAGATTCAGTGCAATCACTATCAAAATTCTAGTGACATATTTTATAGAAATAGAAAAAACAATTCTGAAATTTATATGGAACCACAAAAGACCCTGAATTGCCAAAGCAGTCTTGAGCAAAGAAGAACAGAACTGGAGGCATCATACTACCTTCTCTGACTTCAAAATGTGCTACAAAGCTATACTAGTCAGAACAGCATGGTGTTGGCATAAAAACAGACACATAGACCAATGGAACAGAATAGATAGTCCAGAAATGAATTCACACATTTATGGTCAGTTGATTTTCAACAAAGGTGCCAATAAGACACACTGGAGAAAGGACAGTCTTTTCAATAAATGGTGTTGGAACAACTGGATATGCAGAAGAATTTAGACCCTCATCTCACACCATGTATAAAAATAAACTCAAAATGGATTAAAGACTTAAACATAAGACCAAAATTATGAAACTACTAGAAGAAAACCTAGGGGAAATGCTCTATGACATTGGTCTGGGCAATGGATTTTTTGGATATGACCCCAAAAGCACAAGCAACAAATACAATAGACAAATGGGATAAACAAAAGCTTCTGCACAGGAAACAACAGAGTAAAGAAGTAACCTATGGAATGGGAGAAATTATTTGCAAACCATATATATGATAAGGAATTAATGTCCAAAATACACCAGGAACTGTAAAAACTCAATAGCAAGAAAACAACCCAATTAAAAAATGGGCGGCCAGCGCAGTGGTTCATGCGTGTAATCCCAGCACTTTGGGAGGCCGAGGTGGGTGGCTTGTCTGAGGTCAAGAGTTCAAGAGCAGCCTGGCCAACATGGTGAAACCCTGTCTCTACTAATAATACAAAAATTAGTGGTGGCACTCGCCTGTATTCCCAGCTACTTGGGAGGCTGAGGCAGGAGAATCACTTGAAACCAGGAGGCGGAAGTTGCAGTGAGCCAAGATTGAGATTGTGCCACTGCACTCCAGCCTTGGTAACAAGAGCAAAACTCCGTCTCAAAATAAATAAATAAATGGGCAAAGGATGGGAACAGACATTTCTCAAAAGACATACAAATGGCCAACAGGTATATGAAAAAATGATCAACATCGCAAATCACCAGGGAAATGGAAATTAAAATTATAATGAGATATAACCTCATACCTATTAGAATTCTAGGTGCTTATTAAAAATATGAAAGGTAACAAGTACTGGCATGGATGTGGAGAAAGTGGAACCTTTGCATACTTGGTGAGAATGTGAATCAGTATAGTCATTATGGAAAACAGTATGGAGGTTCCTCAAAAAATTTAAAATAGAACTCTGTGTCTTAGCAATCCCACTACTGGGTATATATCCAGAAGAAGTGGAGTCAGTATATCAAAGAGATAGCTACACTTTCATGTTCACTGCAGCATTATTTACAATAGCCAAGATACAGAATCAACCTGAGTGTCCATCAACAGATGAATGGATAAAGAAAATATAGCATATATACATAATGAAATACTATTCAGTTTTTAAAAAGAAATACCGTCATTTGTGACAACATGGATGAACCTAGGTGATATTATGCAAAGTGAAGTGAAACAAGGCACAAAAGGACAGATACCATATAATCTCACTTATATGTAGAATCTAAAAAAGTTGAACTCATGGAAGCAGAGAGTAGAATGGTAGATACCAGAGGCTGGAGGAGATGTGATTGGGGAGATGTTGGTCACAGAATGCAAAGGTTAGTTAGACAGGAGAAATAAGTTCAAGAGATCTATTGTGCAACATGATGACTATAGATAATTAACAACCTACAGTTGGCCCTTTGTATCTATGGATTCAACCAACCACAAATAGAAAATATTTGAAAAAAAAAACCACAATAAAAAATAACAATTCAGCAATAAAAAAGAATACAAGTGAAAATATAGTAGGACAACCATTTACATAGCACTTACCTTGTATTAGGTATTATAAGTAATCTAGAGATTATTTAAAATATATGGGAGGATGTATGCAGGTTATATGGAAATATTATTATCATTTTATATCAGGGACTTGAGCATCCATGGATTTTGGTATCTTGGGTGGTAGTGGGGGCCTGTAGTCCCCCTGCAGATACTGACAAATGACTGTAGACTGTATTGCATTCTTGAAAATCACCTGAGTAAATCTGACATGTTTTCTTCACAAAAAGTGATAAGTGTATGAGATAATGCATATTTTAATCATCTCTATTTAGCCATCCTGCAATGACCATCCTGCTATGGTCCCAATGTCTCCCAGAATTCAACTTAATCCCCATTGTGGTGGTATTAAGGGGTGGTAATAGGGGGTGGTATTAAGGGGTGAAGTAATTAAGTCATAGGGGCTTTACCCTCATGAATAGATTAGTGCCTGACTAAAGGGCTGGAGGGAACTCGCTTAGGCTCTTGTTGCCCTTTGGCATTCTGCTGCGGGAGGACACAGTGTTAACCTCTTCTGCCACGTGAAGATGCAGCAAGACTGCCCTCACCAGACACCAAATGCTTGATCTTGCACCTTTATCTTGGACTTCCAGCCTCCAGAACTGTGAGAAGTAAATTTCTATTGTTTATAAATTACCCAATCTGTGATATTTTGTTATAGCAGCAAAAATGGACTGCCAGTTTTCGTATTTCAAAACATCATGTTATACACGATAAACGTGTACAATTTTTATTTGTCAGTTAAAATAATAAGTTAAATAAGTTAATTTAAAAAAGAGATAGCCAGTGTTTATAATAAATGAATCATCTTAACATTTGAGTTTTTGCTGTAGGGGAGGAAAAATCTCTTTTCCTCATTCATTCTAGGTTCATGACTGAGGCCCTTATACCAAAGGACAGATAAACAAGAGCAAGCATAGAAATTTATTTAATATAAATTTTACATGACACAGGAACTTTTATAAGGGAGTGAAGACCCAAAGAGATGGTTAAACTTGTGTATTTTTATGCTAGGTTTGATGGCATGTGGATGGTTGTGGGGAAATGGGATTGGAAAAAGAATATGAGCTCTAATGATAATGAACTAGGGTAAACTTTGCTAGGGCTAGGTGTTCCTGTTCTCTCTGTGATCTGCATCTTCCGAAATAAGGATGCTCCTTTCCTCTGGGGATAGGGAAGGCATTGCACATGAGAGTCACCTTACCTGTTTCAGGGGAAGGTCAGAAAATCCTTTCTAGGGTTTACAACCTGCTTTAAGGGAGAATCGGGAGAATTGTGGGAGCTGAGGGGAGGTCAGAGTGACCTGCCTGCTTATGCTGTCTTCTCAGATTCCAAGTGCCATATCTTGGGCCAGTGTGTCTTGAATCCCATCATTACTGTTGGAAATTCCGTTTCAGAAGCCCACTCTTTGCTAAACTCCAGTTACTTCTAGAACTGGACACTGCTGCTGAAATCTGGAATTTCTTATGTGATGCCAAAAAAAGGAGAAAATTTAGAAGATTACGAGTATGTGTGTGTTTAACAAAGTATATATACTTTTTTCTTCAGAGAGTAAAACCTCTGAATCAACTTGAAGTAGTCTTTTCAAATTGTTATCAAGGCATGCTGCTATTTCAACTATTAGAGAGATAGCACCGGACTTAAAAGACCTTCTCTAAATGACTCTTCAGGAACTAGGAAGAGCATTTTTCACTCTGCTGTTTAAAGTATTTTGTTTGTCTTTCTATGAGTATACTGTTTCAAAGTGTTTCACTAGATTATAACCTGATTTTTTTCAGTGTCTTCTGTTTGTATGCTTTTAAGTTTCTAAATCTTTTCTCTTCATTGTTTTTCCCCAAATTGTTGGACTCTGAGTAAGCTTCTGCCAGTGTCATTTTAAAATATATTTATATCCTTCAGATGCTAAAAATAGTTTGTGCACTTTTAAATGGTTGAAAAAGAAAAGAAGATTACATGATGTTTGAAAATCACATGAAATGCAAATTTCAGTGTCTATAAATAAAGTTTTATTGGAACACAGCCATGCTTATTTGTTAACACGTTGTCTCTGGCTGCTTTCACAATACACCAGCAGGGCAGAGTCAGGTAGCTGCAACAGAGACCTTATGGTCCACAAAACCTAAAATGTTTACTATCTGGCCCTTTACAGAAAAAGCCTACCACCCCTGGTATAGAGTGAGAAAGGCCAGAAACCAGAAAAAAAACCTGTGGCTTTTCCCAAAAAAGCTTTGGTTTTTTTCTTATGACCGGAATCAGCTTTATTTGCCTTTCTTTACTTGGTGCCTAACTGAGTGCTGGATTAAAGCAAATGCTTAGTTCTAAAATTGTTTTGAGAGTCAAAACTGGGGAGGCCTTTCTTCAGGGTAAACTTTTCCTATGAATATATATCATTATCTTTGCCATTTTTTGAGTTAGATTTTGCCAGAAGAGATTTGTCATACCAGGGCCATTGAAGCTTTTCTTTCATTTCTAAAATTGTACATAAGAGAAAAAGAATTAGATAAACCAAACAGATAAAACCCTTTTGTGCTCTGCACATTCACACGAGGATTTAGTTTCAGCTTATCCTGTGTATTTACTCATGGTTTAGTCTCAAGATTTTTAAGTATTGGCATGATGAGATAATGTTAGCATTTGAATACTAACCACAGAAAGCATTAAGCAAGGTCTGCAGTCATGAAGCATTTGCCTTTTGTTCCCATCCATTAGGTATTTAATGTATTTTTTACATCCCCCCACCTTGTCTTTGTTTTCACCTCCTTTGAAGGAAATCTTTTGTCATTGAGACTCAAACGTTCTGATGAGTAATGCTACGCCAGGGTATGAATTTCTTCCCATTCCCTGAGATAGCCATTGTACTATTAATATTTCTGTCTGTTGTTTAGAAGTGTAGCCTGTATTAGGTTCTCAATCCCCTAAGGAATATAACATTTTAAGTGCTCGTAGAGTGCTGTGGGCTCTAAAAGGTATCAAAAGCATTCCATCAGAAATAGAAGCTAGAGAGCCCTTGTCCTTCAAGGAGTTTGAAGTCTGTATGGTAAGAGAGGGGTAACATGCATACGAATTCTGAACATGTACTAGCAGCCTACAAAGTGAATGGAATTTCAGCAGAGCATGCAGCATGAAGGAGCGATCTCAGCGGGGAAGGGAATAAAGTAGGGAGTGCTTCGAAGGTGAATCTGGGTTTTATGGAAGGTAGAGTCATTGGTTCCAGGGGAAGAAGCCAGTCCAGATGGAGGAGACGCCAAGTACTTCCCTGACATCTCAGGATGCCTTGCTAGAACATTAAACCCAGCATGTTGCAGATGGAATGAGTTTTTCTCACTAAATCTAGGTCCTGCTCCTGCCCTCAGTATTTCCGTCAATGTCATGGTTTTCTGAGTTATGCACCTGCCACTTACTTTAGGCTTTTATTGCTTCTCCAAACTACTTTGTAACTGGTTTGCCTGTACAGAGAAGCTGCCAGATTTGTCTTCCAAAGCTTTCTTCCTATCACTGTGACCCCTGCACACCATTCCAGCATCCATTGTGCCATTCTCTGGAGAGCTGCTCTTCTGCATACTAGCCAAATTTGTCTTCCTTCAGTAATTTTTTTTTTCTTTTGAGATGGAGTCTGGCTCTGTCACCCAGGCTGGAGTGCAGTGGCTTGATCTCTGCTCAGTACAAGCTCTGCCTCCTGGGTTCACGCCATTCTCCTGCCTCAGCCTCCCGAGTAGCTGGAACGACAGGCGCCCACCACCATGCCCGGCTAATTTTTTGTATTTTTAGTAGAGACGGGGTTTCACCTTGTTAGCCAGGCTGGTCTCGATCTCCTGACCTCGTGATCTGCCCGCCTTGGTCTCCCAAAGTGCTTGGATTACAGGTGTGAGCCACCGCATCCGGTCCAGTTTGTTTTTTAATGTGCTGTGCTGTTGGGTTTTGTTTGTTTGATTTTTGTTTTGCCTGAGTGTCTTTGCCTATAGTGTGAATGTTTTTACTTCTCTCTTTGCCACGTTAACTCCAGTTCCTCCTTTGGGCTTTAGCTTAGGTGTTTTTTCAGGAAGCCTTCCCATACCTTCTATGTTGGATTAAGTCCTCTCTCATGCGCTTCTGAGCATCTTGCACCTCCTATTTGGTGTGCTTCTCTATAATAGGTTGTAACTTCCAGAGGGCAGGGACCTAGTGCTATTGGACAAATGGCAAGTGCTCAAATAAAAGATGTTGTTTTTTTCTTAAAATATATTTAAATTTTCCTCATTGTCTACAAAATTAATTTCAGACATTTTTAAATTCATTTCAGACCTTCTGTAATATGGCCCGACCTTATCTATATTAATTATTGAATTAGATTTGGCAACATTTAACAGAAAACCCAAATGACAGTGATTTTAACAAGATGGAAGGTTTATTTTTCCCTTCTCCTCCTCTTCCTCCTGTTTCTCCTCCATATCCTTCTCTCTCTCTCTCTGTGACACACACACACACACACACACACACACACACACACAATCTGTAAGTAGTCTCCAGGGCTGTGGGCTGGTGTGACTGCTCCACAGTTACCAGAGGCCAAGGCTTCTTCTCTCTTTATGCTTTGCCATCCTTGGCACGTGATTTCCACTCTCAAGATTCCCTCATGGTCCTAACTGGCTGCTGGAGCCCCAGGCCATCTTGTCCCTTGTGGGAATAGTGCTAGCAGAGTAGAAGGGAGACTCAGAGAGAGGAAGACAAAAAGGAAGCTAACATGAAAAAGACATTTTCGTCAAATGCTAGTTCTTTGAACTTCTGGGAAGAAAAGAGTTTCTAGGAGACCACAACTTTTTACTGCTTTGAAGATTCCAAATTCCTGAGAATATGATTCAGTTAGTGAGTAACATTCTCTATGCTGGCAAAGGAGGAAATTACCTGGATCTGGACCTATCTTTGGAGGATGAGAGAGGAGCTGTTATCTCTCCCCCACTGATACAATGATGTTGTAATGTCTTTTCAGTAGGCATTTGCCTGAGCTCTTTTTTTTGGACTATAATTTCCCCCCACCCCACTTTCTCTAATCTCTGCTTCTCAAAATCTTATCTATTCTTCAGAGCCTAATTCCTTTCTTTTCCCAGAAGCTTTTCCACATTCTCCTCATCTGGGATTTTTTTTTTTCTTTGAACCTCCACAGATTTTTGTGATGATCTTTCTCCATGTTTTAACATAGATACCGGTAAACTTATCTAACGCTTCCCTAGCTCCCTCTCACCATCGAATGCCATCCCCTTGAGTTAAGTCAGGGACTATGCCTTGTTCACATCTGCTGCAGCCATCACAGAACCTTTAAAAAAGTAGGTTCTTAAATCTTAAATGAGTGCATGCTGTGAGGGAAGGAAAGCAAATAGACTTTTTGGCTCAAATAAAGAATTGATGTGTTTAGAAGACAGGTAAAGAGAAAAGGGACGAGTTGTTGGATGATCTTGATATCTAGGCTTTGAATCTGGGCTTGGCAGGGTAGGTGCATGAGCCCTGAATATAAGGGAGCTGGCCTAGGGAGAGAAAAAAAACCATCACTTCAACTCCTGTCTTCCAGGGTGTTGACATCATTAACTGCCCCACATCCACCAGATTTCCCCAGATCTTAGTTGACATAGAGACATTCATTCTGTTTCTCACCTTAAGAAAATCCATCCTGAGTTAGCTTCAGTTGGTGCTGCTGCTAGGCTTTATGGTGATAGGCTTTGGGAGGAACTGAGAATCCCAAATGCTAGGTGGTATCTGAATGTGGCATTACGAGATATAATGCTCTAAACTCTGCAATTTCTCTTGTAAGACGGAAACAATTCAACCTGTTCTTTGACTCCTTTTCTGGGTTTTCTTGGCTCCAGGCTTCTTAGAACACTGATCACACTGTTCCACCACCCCCAATCTTTACCTCCATTCTCTCTACCCTCCCAGCCCCCACCAAAACACAATTCTTTTCAGGCAAGTGCACCATACAGGTGCTCTGGTGGTCCCGTAACTGAGGATGTAGTTGCCAGCCTTTTAGCAATATCAAGAGTTCTCTGGAGGCTCTTGAGAGCTGTGGCCTTGGTTAAATTGGACAGAATCACCTTTTTGGTAAATTCCCTTCCGATTCATTTCACAAATGGCTTAAATCATTTATGTTGTTTTGTTCAATCCAGTCAGGAAATGAAAGCATTGCCATTTTAATTGTTTTAGAACAGCATTTTACACCTAATATAGACTCCCAAAGCCAGCCAAATGCAGATTTTGGCTCCTAGATCGCTGACTGCATGCTGACTGTGTTCTTGAGTGTGGAAGAAAACAGATCCAGCCAAAGACTGATTACCTTCCAAAGGTCACAAAAGAAGTTTCTCTTTATCTAAGAAAGAAAGTAGGTGCCATTAGGTGTTGATTTTTTTTAAAAAGTCCTTTTAATTTAAACAATATTTGAATAAAAATTATGGTATAGTCAACCACAAATCAGTTGATGAAGTCTCAAATTTTGGCAGTCTCCCTTGGTTCTGTGTTCTTGGGCAAGTTTACTTTCTTTTTCTTTTTCTTTTTTTTTTTTTTTTGAGACAGGGTCTGGTTCTGTTGCCCAGGCTTGAGTGCAGCAGCGTGATCTTGGCTCACTGCAACCTCTGCCTCAAGCATTGCTCAAGCAACCCTCCCACTTCAACCTCCCAGTTAGCTGGGACTACAGGCGCATGCCACCACACCTGGCTAATTTTTGTATTTTTTTGTAGAGACGAGGTTTTACCATGTTGTCCAGGCTGGTGTAGAACTTCTGAGCTCAAGCGATCTGCCCACCTCAGCCTCCCAAAGTGCTGGGATTACAGGCAGGAACCACCATACCCAGCCTCTTTTTTTAAAAAATAATTTTTTACTTTGAAATAATTTAAGACAAGAAGTTGCAAAAATAGTACTGAGAGATCCCAGGTACCTTTCACTCAGCTTCCCCCAATGATAATATCTTACATGATCATAGCACATTGTTAAAAGCAGGAAATTGACATTGGTGCAATACTAGTAATTCAAGAACAGACCTTATTGGAATAGGTTTTACATGCAATCTGTTTTTAGTGTGTGTAGTTCTGTGAAATTTTATTACCTTTGTAGATTCATACATGCTTTTGATTTTTAATGCTCACTTACCGTCAAATTATTTGGAGCCTTTCTTTTTTTTTTTTTTTTTTTTTTGTAGAGATGGGGGTTCCACCATGTTACCCAGGCTGGTCTTGAACTCCTGAGCTCAAGGGATCTGCCTGCCTTGGCCTCCCAAAGTGCTGGAATTACAGGTGTGAGCCACCACACCTGGCCTATTTGGAGCCTTTGTGTGAATAATTAATAATAGCAAAACTGGAAATTATTTAATCTGGAAATCTCAATTTAATACTCTTAACAAAAAGACTACTGGATTAGAAAGTAGAAAGTCAGGTTCTAATTCCAGCTCTTCAACTAGGCAGTTAAACTTCTTTGGTTAAGTCATTTACATATTTGGTACATCATGTACTCATCTCTGAAATGAGTGAGCTAAATGAAACAAATCTTGATTTCCACTTTCCCTTCTCTAAACATCCTTCTGTGTACTGTATTTTAAAAGGCACCATCTGTATTTTACCACATTGTTCTAGCCAAAAACTTAGGCATCATCCTTGTTTCCTTCTTTGCTGTACCTACCCTCTTTCCTTCTGTATATTCCATTAGCAAGTCTTCTACAACATTCCCCAAATCTGTCTACTTGAGTCCATCCCTTGCCTGGATTACTGCAGTAGCCTCCACATGTACTTTCCCGTAAAACGTTTTCCACATGGCAATCAGAGCCATCTTTTAAAAATAGAAATCAGACTTTGTTATTCCTCTGCTTAAAACCTCCTCCTAGGACTTTACATTGCACTGAGAATCAGAGCTCCTCACCAGGGCCCAAAAGGGACACCGTGACCTGGGGACTCCTGCTGGCTTCTTCAGTCACATCTACCATTCCCTGCCTTCTCCCTGTAGCCCAGCACAGGCCTCCTCTGTCACTCCAGTCGGCCAAGTCAGTGCCCACCTCGAGGCCTTTGTTCCAGCCTAGCCGTTCTCTGTGCCTGGTGTGCCCTGCTCCCAGTTTTGCTCTAATAAGTGGCTCCCTCTGGTAATTTAGGTGTCAGGCCTCCTTGATGAGGCCTGCCTGATCAAATTAGCCACCTCCCAAGTCACTTTCTGCAACATTATCCTGTTTTGTTTCTTGCACAGCATTTAACACTATCTGGAATTATCCTCCGCACTTGATTGGACTTGTTACTTGACAAGCGAATTTCCCTTCTCTAGACTGTAAGCTCTTTCAGAAGTAGGGCAGCTTTAACTGCCTGGTTTATCCTGCATCCCCAGACCCCAGGACAGTGCCTGTCCCATCAATAATTATGTGTTGAGCAGATGCATTTATGGACCAGATCATCACAGAGGATTTTGAAATTGAAAAAATTACTTAATTAAATGAAATGTTTAAAATTAATTTTTTGGGATTCTGAAGGGAACTTTTATGATTAAATTTCTGTGTACTACAGGTTGCCTATTGTGTAGTCATGTTTTAGTAAAAGTTCTTTTCCTGAGGCAGGACCATTTCAGATGGGAAAGATAAGTTTTCTGTGCTCTAGGGACAGTCTCCTGTCTGCCTTGAACACATTAGACAGATGACCTTAATGATCGGAAGAGATGCATTGGAAATACATTCCTTTCCCTCATCAGCAGTGCTTTTGCATTAGCATTGAGCAGGGTTTGACTTTCTTGGTGATACAGAAGGTGCAAGAAGCTTAGTATCATGTGGTTTGACATTTAATCAGACTTGCTTTCCTTGTTAACCTAAAGGCCTTCCTCTTCTTTGGAATTTAATGTGTCAGTAATGGCTCCTAGAGCTGGAACAGATGGAGCTGTTGATGTTCTCACTTAAACGAAAAAAAACATGATTTATATCCTCAGCTTCATTTCTTAAATTCTTGTTGAACTTTCATTTGATTGTCAGAGCCACATAACCAGAATGTCACTAAATTTGCTTTCGCGGCATTACCATCTACTTTTGCTTTTTAAGCAGTTTTGGAAATGTGATGTAGTATAGGAACATGAGTACATGTTTTTAAACATGTATTATTCGGAGTTAATGATTCACTGCTGCTGAAGGAGTAGTTTCTGTGTGAAGGCAATGGTTATTTTTTTCATTAAATATTCTCATCAGAAGTTAATATGTTTTTCTTCTCTTATTCTGGACTTGTCTTATAAAAAATACATGTACTCGTATAGCTGCCAATGAGACAAGTGTTGACATTTTGGTTTCTTTTGTTATGGTTTTATTGTTGTTATTGCTAATGAATGATTTTTGAAGCAAATATGTACTTTCAAGCAAATATGTGCAAATATGAAGTTGGAAGATGATATTTTCTCTTAAAAGCATTTTACCATTTTCACATTGCCATGCCCTTAGCTTTCAGGGTGTTTTCTTGAGTCATTATTTTCTTTTGTTGATTCTTTAAAATGTACCAATGGTGAGTGTGAATTCATAGTATGAAAAATGTGGGTGATAGACTATGATTAGACATAGTTCAAGATAATAGTTTATATGAAAAATTGATGCTCTAAAGCATTTGCTACCAAAATTTGTTTTTTTGTGTGTGTGTTACCTTTACTCTTCTCCCTGGGTCCACTTAATGGTTCTGTATTTTTTTGGAGAGCCAAATATGTCTTGAAGGTAGTCGGGGAGAGGGAGGAGGAGCAACATGAAATGAGTGTGCTGTTTTATCAGAAGCCACTTATTCACAGGGCCTGAAGTGATAGCTGTTGGGAGAAGTGATATTCATACTGATGGGGGTAAAACTGCCTACTCATTTTGGGGAGCTTTTGTTTTCATAATAAAAATTGTTTGTACAAATAAAGGATGTTCTAAAGGAGAGGACTATTTGCAATTGAGTGTTTTCTATTCTGGCAGCATCCGATTGAAAATCATTTCAGAAATTCTTAGTATTGCATGCAATCATTGTTTAGTAGCTAGATCTTTTTAACTTTATGATAGAATTGTGCATTTCATTTCTGTTTTAAGTCCTATCCATGTATTTAAGTAGTGTAATAAATTATTTTCTTGCCAGCAGGGTGACTTGAGTGAAAAAATATGTATAATTTGGCCAATAGCCTAATTCTGTGACCTCTACAATCCAAATGGATGCCGTGGCTTTTACTTTGGTTACATTTCAAATGACTTTAATTGGCCTGAAATTCTATTAGTATGATTGATTCAGGATACCCATTCAAAGTCATCTCATTTGTCTGTGTCATTTGTCATGGATCAAATCTCTGGGCAAAGCAGTCATTGAACCTTGGTTAAACCTCAGACTGTGTCCGTCTGTCAATTTTATAAATGATTGGGAGGAAGGCACTCTTGTGAGTTCTGGATCAGTAGTGATATAATTCTGTTTCTGTTTTTTGCTTTTTTAAATCTACTGCTACATAATAAACCACTCCAAAACTTGGTGCCTTAAAATAACCATTTTACCTTGGTCATGATTTTGTGGGTTAGGAATTAAGAAAGGGCTCAGCTGGGCAGTTTGTCTCTGATCCACATGGTGTCAGCTGAGGAATCTGGGGATAGGGGATCCACTTTTGAGATCTCAGACTCAGATGTCTGGTGCCTTGACTGGGGTGCGTGGCTCTGGGCAGGGGGCTTAGCTGGGGCCCAGCATGTGGTCTCTCCATGTGGCTTAGGTTTCTTTCAGCATGGGAGCTGGGTTTCCCAAAATGTGAGGATGGAAGCTTCAAGGCTGAAGGTTTCTCAGGATGTAGACTCATAAGTCCCAGAACACCAGTTCTCCTGCTTATTGGTCAAGTAAGTCACTAAATTCAACCCAGACTTGGGGTCAGGAGGGGGTCAGGGAGGGGAGTAGCATTATCCTTCACTTTTCATTGGGAGAAGAAACAAAGGATTTGAGGCCATCATTAATGGCTAGTGATGAGATCACATCAGAATAGCATTTATTTAATAGCAATTTATTACTCTCCTGAGGTTCAGGTGGCTTAAAGTGCAAATATTAGTAGGTAGTTCCATGTAAGGGAATCCCATTCCAAGTGGCACAGCCTTCATTTAGACAAAACTCTGATGTAATTCATTCTAGTCATTTGATGGATGGAGACTCTAAAAGTGGCATGAATATAATCTCAAAATATCTAGAAAGATGTCAGTCCTCTGAGTCATTGTGCAAACTAGTTTGTTGAGAGAGTTCAAAGGCATCATGGATCTTAACAGCTAGAAAAGATTCTAAGAGATTACATCATCATTATCACCTTCTGGAAAGATTTATTGAGCATCTGTTAGGTGCCAGGCCCTGGGAATACAGAAGAGAATATGACTGATTCTTGCCGTTGAGACATAGTTGAGGACATAGAATTGATACACAAGAGATGAATAGAAATCCATGGAATATAGACTAACTGGTAAATAAAAGTACAGGTGATAAGAGCACAAGAAGGAGAAGTAATCAATAGAGGCTTAGCTAGGGGCTGGGAAAGGCTGTAGGGACTTTCCGTCACTCCGAAAACATGAAGTCCAAAGTGGTGGCCATTACCTACAAGTCCCTTTGAGATCTGGATCCCTGTATCCTCTCTGATCCCCTTTGCTACCTCTCTTTTCCTCACTCACTGGCCTTCTTCCATGGAAGTATAGGCATTTGAGGATCTTTGCCACTTGCTCATTCCTCTGCCTGGAATGCTCTTTTTCCAGATATTCCCATAGTTTGCTTTCTCACTTCCATCAGATCTCTGGTCAACTGTGCTCTCCACCAGCCTTCTCTGACCACTCTATCTACTTCCTGTTCATCAACACATTTATCTCCATGAAGCCAGGGCATTGTCTGCCTTATTAATTATTGTATCCTGAGCACCTAGAGTAGTGCCTGGCATCATTGGTGCCCAACAAAATATGGTTGAATGTATGAATGAGTAAATGAATGCAGAATCTTGAAACAGGGTGTGCTTTTTGGGCTGATAGAACAAAGTAGTGTAAACTGGGTAGCTTATAAACAATAGAAATTTAATTCCCACAGTTCTAGAAGCTGGGAAGTCCAAGATCAAGGCACCAGCAGATTAGGTGTCTGGTGAGGGCCCATTTCCTGGTTCATAGACGGTACCTTGTTGTGTCTTCACATGGTAGGAGGGTCAAGATAGCTCTCTCGGGCTTCTTTTATATGGGTACCAATCTTGTTCATGAAGGCTCTGCCAAAGGTAAGATTTAGCAAAGTGGAGAATAGATGATATTGCTGGATGCCTGCAAGGCAGAGTGAAAGAGAAGCAGAAAGTTACATAATATATTCATAGATCATGTGCATCAGCTCTCTGACACCAGGGGTCCTTATTTTACAACTCTGAGTCCTGCAAACCATTTTGCGAATATGTAAGCATTGTAATAGGGCTTGCACAGGAAGTGATTTATTTTTTTCTTTATTTTTAACTTTTATTATAGGTTTGGCAATACATATGAAGGTTTGTTAGGTAGGTAAACATGTGTCACAGAGGTTTGTTGTACAGATTATTTCATCACCCAGGTATTAAGCCCAGTACCCAGTAGTTATCTTTTCTGCTCCTCTCCCTCTTCCTACCCTCTCCCCTCAAGTAGACCCGAGTATCTATTGTTTCCTTCTTTGTATTCATATGTTCTTACCATTCAGCTCCCACTAAAAAGTGAGAACATGCAGTATTTGGTTTTCTGTTCCTGAGTTAGTCTGCTAAGGGTAATTAGCCTTCAGCTCTATCCATATTCCCACAAAAGACATGATCTTATTCTTTTTTATGGCTGTGTAGTATTCCATGGTGCATATGTACCACATTTTTTAAATCCAGTTTGTCATTGATGGGCGTTTAAGTTGATTCCATGTCTTTGCTGTTGTGAATAGTGCTTCGGTGAACATTCATGTGTGTGTGTCTTTATGGTTGGATGATTTATATTCGTCTGGCTATATACCCAGTAATGGGATTGCTGGGTCGAATGGTAGTTCTGCTTTTAGGTCTTTGAGCCATAGTACTTTCCACAAGTGGTTCATTTTAACTAGAATAGCTGGTTCATGACTGGTGGCAGTTATTGGAGAACTTGCCTTTCTTGAAAAATATTCTGTACTATACCATTTCTTTGTCTTTTCTCCTGCTCATATTTCTGTCTGGAATATCCAGCTTTTTGTATTGACCTGTTGAAATTCCACATGAATGTTCCAAAATATAGTGACTTAAAACCACAGTTTATTATTTCTCACAATTTGGTGTGTTGGCTGGGTTCAGCTGAGTGGTTTTCTGTTCCATGTGGTGGTGTCTGCTAGCAT